>NC_000006.12:56516836-57162520 GCF_000001405.40 Homo sapiens
CAAATGTCTCTGAAGCACATAAACAATAGTTGATACATATAAAAAACAATAATTTATACTGATAATAATGGTAATAATACAGCTAACATTAACTGAATGCTTAATGCGTGCCAGTTAACCAAGGTCTCAAACCTTAATAGCCTTTGTGCCTATTCAAAAAGATTGTCCTCATAGTGATTCTCTTAAGAAATATTCCTTTCACTGTTATTCTATAAACTTGAAAAATGCCTTATTTAAACTAATTATTTTTGCTGCTTAAATGGCAGCTGTGGATAACGGAGAAGTGTTTTTCTAGGACTGAAAGCTCAACACCTGCTGTTTTTTCAAGAGTCCCACTACCAGTCCACAGACAAGATTATACCTTCATTGATTGCTTTTCCTCTTCACTGCATGCGGTCATGATTTTATGCCCAGATTTAACAAGGTCATCAATAATATCCTTGTGTCTCAAAATCTCCATGGTGAATGTCTGTGATTTACCAAAATAAAGACAAAAAATAAAACAAGAAATTGTATGACTAAAATGAAAACAATTAGGCTAAGTAGTTAAAAATATCACGTTACACTAGAGGGGTCTTAAAAAGTAAATCATACAAGCACATTTTATAGAGTTGGAGCACACCAGCAAATAATTCATATGGCAATTGGAAATGTATTTCTTCACCTTTTGAACTTGAAGCTGAGCAGAAGTCTGGTCTTGCTCAAGCCTGATGTCACCCAGAGACATCAATTTTTTTTCTGTTTCAGTAATCCAGGATAACTCAGCATCAGCTGCTTGGTCAAACTAAACAAAAGATAAATAATTAGGTCAGCACGTTCCCGTTCCTGATGCCAGAAAATACCTATCTACAGTTCTTTGAAATATCCTTATTACACAAGTGGAAAATCCGAGCTTGTCTCCTCATGGCATCCTAAAATAATTCGTGATAATGACTAAATTTTAAAGAAAGGAGAACTTTCCACAGAGTAATTAAACACAAGCTCTTAAAACATGCTGGATTTATAGCACTGCATTAATGATTTTAGGACAGCTAGCACTATTGCCTTCTTTTCAGGCAGTCTTAATAATTTGCACCTTAGGAGTACTGTCCAAATCTAACAGTTATGAAAGCCAACAGCCAGGTACCATCTTTTAATCATTTCACCCATCACTTCAACTCCTATGATATGCAACTAACATTCTGCTATCAAAGTACATAGTTCCAAGCAAAAAGAATAGAATATCCCCATTTATTTATTATACTATTATGTTTATAAATGCATGTGTAAATATACATCTCTATATATGCAGAGTATACCCCTAAATGATTCATGTATAATTTTTAAGCATCTCATTTAATAATGGCAGAAAACATTTTTAAGAGCATTCTTAAATATTTTAATAAATGTTATTTTCCTGATCATAACAGTAATTAAAACAGTAATTTATAAGCACAGTACAAATTCATAAAGCAGAGAAAAACATACAGAAGAAAATTAAAACCTAGATTTAACACTGCTGGTATTGTAGTGAATTTTCTTCCACAAATCAAGAGAGAAAGATTTGTAAAAAAAATGTCTGGGATGACACTGTATAAACAGCTTCATATCCTGCTTTTTCATTTAGTATGAACATTTCCCATGTCATACTCCTTTAAATGTGATTTTCAAATAATACCATTATATTCTAGCATACCTGGATTTTCGTTTAAGCTTTCTGCATTTTTGTTATTATACAAACAACCCTATAATGAATATATTTGTATATAAATTTCTGTTGGCATCTCTAGTTAGTTCCTTAGTGTAGATTCCTAGAAGTGACTATCAAGTCAAAGAGCACGAACATTTTCAATGTCTTCCATCGGATAAACCCCAGTGCCTCCCATGAATAAAATGGGCCTGTGACACCACAGTACCAACCATAAATGATCACTGAAATGACCTCAGTTGGAAGAATTAATGAGGAATGAACATTTTGGCTATTCAAGTCCAGTACTGCCAGATCTTCTAACTTTTCAAAGGAATCTGGAAATCCAGATGAGGTGGGAGAACAGGTAGGTGGGGAGAAAGATGGGTGGAGATAAGAAACTAGATTTTTAAAAATTCATACTTTAAAAACTCTGCAACACTATGCCAACTCATGGGAAGATGGAGTACATTAGCTTTTCTCTGTTCTTCGTGGTAAGTACACCTACAAATCCCAGGCATTATATATAAAACATACATAAGAAGATTCCACAAAGGGGAGAGAAGAGGACAGAACTACCATGGACCTTGGGCCACAAGGAAGAACACAGTGGTGAGTTCTCTGGGATTTTCTTTTTGCCTCACGTATCTAAGACTAAATACTGGAAAAACTAGCAACCACACAACACTAAACGGGTACAAAGTCCCAAAACAAGCCTGCTCTCTCTAGCCAAAGAACCAGGAAAGGAGTAGTTTAGCAAAACAGACAACTTTTAAACAATAACCACTCTATTCCAACCAAACACTACAGAAAAAATGGTTGCTCCACTCACACTCATGCCAAGAAAGGACAAATGGGGGGCCTACACTTCTATCCTTGCAATGCCATGACAAGGTCCCCAACACTCTTGCCGGGAGATGTTAGAGAATGCCAAGTAGGGAGCCAGAATTTTCATCCCCAGATCATCCTGTCAGTTGAGACCATGTGGGGAGGCTGGGCTTCCACCCCCACTAAGCAATAACGAACTGCCCCTCCCTCCACTCCTCTGGGGTGATATCAGAGAAGGCCTAGTGGAGAGTCAGGATCTTCATCATCACTCAGTGTGTCACCATCACAGCCACCTGCACTGTGGTACCAGTAGAGACCACATAGGGAGCTGGAACTCCCACTCCCACTCAGCAGAAATGACGAGCCATCTCCTAGGTGTCAACAGAGGTGGAATTGGGAACCTGGACTTCTATCTTCACCTGGTAGCACCCCCACCTTCTGCCAGAGTGGTAAGAGGAAGGCAGCTAAAACAGAAAGCTTAAGCTCTAACACTCATAAGATCATATAAGAGCCAGGAAAATCTCAAACTGAATTAAAGAAGATAATCAAATAGATGCCAATACCCAGATGGCAGACATGTTAGAATTACCTGACAATGATTTTAAAGCAGCCATGATAAAAATGCTTCAATGAGTACTTCTGAATGTTCACAGTTGAAACAAATGAGAAATTAGAAGGCTTCATCAACAACACAGAACATCTCAGCAAAGAAAAAGAATATACAGTATAAAGAAGAACCAAATGAAAATGTAGAACTGAAAAATGTAACTGAAATAAAAATCTCAGTGGATGAGCTCAATGAAGGGGACAGAAGAAAGAATCAGTGAAGGAAAAGAAATTACCACTTAGAAATAGAAATGGAAATTACCCAAACTGAATAATAGAAAATAACTTAAAAAATAATCAGAACTGCAGGTACCTGTGGAACTACAACAAAAGTCCTAATATTCATGTTATCAGAGTCCCAGAAGGAGAAGAGAAAGAGATTGTGACTGAAAAAATACTTGAACATTCTTGAAATAACATTATAGAAATGGAGAATAGCTTTGTGGTTGACAAAAGTTACGGAGGGTAGGGTGGGATGGAATGGGTATGGCTCACAGAGCAGCATGAAGAATTCTTGTGGTGAGGGGAATATTCTGTATCTTGACTGTATCAATGTCAATATGCTGCTTGTGATATTTTACTATAAAGATGTTACCACTGGGGAAAACTGAGTAGAGGATACAATGGGATCTCTCTGTATTGTTTCTACAGCTGCAGGTGAACTTAGAATTATCTTAAAACAAGTTTAATTTTAATAAGACATTGTATACGTGTATCAAAATAACTTATGTACCTCATAAATATACACATCTACTATGTGTCCATAAAAATTAAAAATTAAAAGAAAATATATTAAATAAAAAAAATTTTAAAAGAAAGAAAACCAACTCTGTGGGTAACGTCTCACCTATCAGTTCCTATTTGTGTTTTCTCTCTTCGATATAATACTGCCCAATTGCCCTTCAGGTAGAATGTGCTAATGTACACTCCCACAAGCAGTGTTTTGCTATAACTTCATAAACGTGGGGTATAATTTATTTTTTGATATTGAAAATTTAATATCGTCAAGTTTATAGGTAGACTTTCTGTAATTATAAGGAAACCAAGAAACCACTTAAAATAATCTATCTTAAGCTGGTTCAATAATTTCTGTGATATTATTTAATTTCAAATGAAGTTATTCATGAGCAATTATTGATCAATATGAAAACAAAAGAAAAACATTTCATCAACTAATTCAGCAGCTTCAGGTGTGGAGAAAGAATCCCCATGAAAAAGAAGTGAAAGTTAGTCTTCTGTGGATTCTTACTTTTCAAGGCATGTAAAGCTACAGGTAAAAATTGATTATGTGATTCATTTAAAGAATATAAGACTGAGAAAAACAGTTCAGGCCTTTCTACCTGAGTGTAAATACTGCAAGATATCTGAATAAAATTTAACAGTTATAAATTTTTTTCTTCCACTGGTTCCTGAAAAAAAAAATAAAGTAATACCCCAACCCTCTTGTTTGTGTTCAGCCTGACAGTATTTAAATGAGTGTCCTCATAAAGACAGTCAGGCTGTGAAATATTAATATTAGTTTAACACTATGTCTTCCCTATTTAAAAAAAAAAAAAAACTTTCCAGCAATAAACAGTATGGTGATACCATCTAAGTTGCCAAAAAAGGAAAGCTGAAATCCAAACAATGTTTCTTTGATCAAGTCAAACATTTGCTCTGCTAAGGAAAAAAAAAAAAAAAAAAAAAAAAGACTTCAAACAGATATTTCCCGCCTGTCATCTGAGAAACTTTTAAAATTAAATTATCAAATATTGTTAAGCAACAAAGGGAGTAGCTACAGGATCTACATTAAGTAATTTATAGTAAGGCGAGGCATTTTAGGTCTATGACTCACTCAAATGACTGGTTAACATTTCTAATGGAACATAAACATGGTCCATAAACATATTTCTAATGGACCATAAACATGGCTCACTTTATATGTAAGCAACATGGAGAGAAATACACTAGGTCAAATTTTAGTAAATTTGTTTACTACTCATACAAGTAAGTAAAATTTGACTTAACATAAAATGTTGATAATCTTGGCATCCATAATTGTATTTGGGGAAATACTTTAATAGCATCAGAGGAGCCGAACCACCAACTCTAGCTACTGTAACTTCTGTTTATAGTTGAATTAGCCTTTCAGGAATTTTCTAAAAGTTAGTGCAAGACATTTTAAGTAGCTACATCTAAATATGCCTGAAAAACACTCTCTAAAACAGTAACAGCCAGCATCCTACTGAGCACATTGTTCTAAGTGCTTAACATGCAATACCTCCTTTAATCCTGACAGCTGTATCATGTATTACCATTAACTCCATTTCCAGCTTAGAAAAATGAGGTAAAGGGAAGTTAACTAACTTACCAAAGACTACTCAGGTAGTAAATGCTGAGCCTGAGATTCTAACGAAGGTGGTCTGACTTCTAGACTGCCAAATATCACAACAGTCAATACACAATAGGTTTTAATAGAGGTTTAAGGCAAAGTGATAAGCAAACCTTAACCTCAAGGACATCCTTTTCACTCCCTTCCCCTTACTGGGGATCTTATCACTTTCTTTTGATTAGCATTTCCTTCCACTTTGCTTGTCTTTATTTATAACACAAGACATATTTTCCCATCCACAACACCTGGAGGGTCTGAACAAATCTCATTTCCGTAGGAGATGTTTCCTTCTGGTCCTTTAAAAGAAATAAACAGGTGATATTTTTCTCCAGGCTGATTCCTAATGACCCAATGAGTTGTTTGCATTAACTGCACCCAAACCACCAATCCAAGGGCCTTTCTAACAGGGTTATTATGGGGCCCACTTACATAAGCCAAGCAATTAGAACTGCTGAAGAAAGCTTGGGATTCCCAGACCCAGTAAGATATACATATTTTAGCAACTACTGACAGTTGTACATTATAAGAAGCAAAGGATGATGAATTGCTCTGAGGCTTAAAGAATCAAGGTAGTCTGAATTCAGAACCCAAGTCTGTACATTTTTCAAGTAAAAGTGCCTTTCTCCATTTCCACAAAGCTTGTAGAAAGAAAGCAACAAAGATATGCTACTCTGCGTAGGTTTAAAATGCAAAAATATGTACAGTTTATAACTCAGATAATGGCATGTATTGTAAAAGGGAGGCAGTTCAGCTCAACATCATTATTTACTAAGCTGCCTTGTCCCATTCAGATTCTTCCTAAAAGTAATGAATGGGCCCAACTACTTTAAAAAATAATACCCTTTTTAGAATATCAATGCCCGCAAATCTAGAGTCAGATTTGGGGGACTGGTGGGTGGTATCAGTGAATGTACAAGTTCTTACTCATTCACCCATTACTGAGGTTTTTCAATTATTTCTCAAATAATAACAAATACGGCCTTCACACCTATGTTATGAAAGTTCAATAGCGTATCTTTTCAAAACTGTTATTGTGATATAGGATTAACAAGAAAATCTAACCCTGTCAAATCAAAACTTTTTAAAAACCTAAATTTATACAAAGTGGTTACAAAGTATGTGCTAATGAGAAGGTATCTGTATGTTCCCTTCTGTTCTCCCTTCAAACTTTTAAGTCTTTTCCATGTTTTTCTTGACATCTTCCATGCTGATGATTAGAAGTCAATACATTCTGCGATTGTGGCTTGACAGTTCACAAAGTGCTTATGCTTTTGTTAAATTTCAAAAAGCAGGTTGACATTATAAAAGAGGTATATCTGTATATATGCAACCTTAAAACTGGGAAAAAATATGAAGTATCTTAAGAGATATTTCTGCTCAGAAAACAGAACACCTAGTCATTGAAAATCTAATTTAACTCTCCCTGATTTAACTGGGACAAATCATTAAATCTATAAATTTTAAAATTGTTAAGTATTATTCAAGACACATGTCCTTACCCCATCATGTGTGGCTGTTGGTAGGCTGGGGGCAGGGGTCTGGGGAAAGAGTCACTGTTAATAAAACAAATTGCATATGACTAAAGGTGTGTCTAAAAAGATGAGCTCAGGTCATATCGTGTCCCTATTTCATACAGAGAAGAGACTCAGAATGGTAATTTGTTTAAACAATGCAAAACAGATAGTCCAAAATACGTGGCTAATGTCCAGGTCTAAAGATATGCTTTTTTTAATCACTCCTTTTTATATTTCATGGATGTAGTTATTGGGTAAAACAGAAAACAAACATTTTTATCAAACTGTACTCTGGTCCTAATTCCAAACATCTATAAGTAGGCAACCTTATAAAATATTTCAGGGATATATTAGCTTCTTTATAAACTTGAAAATTATGAGTTTGGAAACTTATCTTTTAAGTGCAAAATCTCTGCCACACCAGGAAGACAGGTACCTACTACTCTATTCTTACGTTTCCCTACACGGTAATGTTTTATGATCCTTTTAGTGTTGTATCCTCATCCTCCACAGTCTTTACAGCTGGAAATATTTTCATTAGATACCTCCACTTTGTTGTAATAATGGAACCTTCGGATTATTGAAGAATTTTAGAAAAAAAATGGTTTACCACCCTCAAGGGTTTTTCTCTATATATAATTTATGAGGAGGCACAGCAGTGAGGGAGAATGAGATAGGGATTAAATTTTAGTTGCTACTCTGCCACTTACTGCTTGTGAGACCACATGCAAGTCACTTTATCCCATGCATGCTGGGCATGTTCCTCCCAGCTCTAAACATCTGTGTGTCTATGTAGCCTTATTGGAGGTATTTTCATTGGACAGACTTGCAGGTATTTCAAAGAAATGAAGATAAAAATACACACATGAACAACCAGAAGATATCAGTGGCATTAAGATGTGTAATCTGTTGGTAGTAAGACTTTTACTATATACATTGTCTTTCACTTTCAAAAGGATTTTACTATATAAATTCTCCTCCTCTTTCAAGACGAAGACTGGAAGGATACAGACCAAATTGCTTACATATGCTTTCTTTCATGAATTTTTCTATATTCTTTGAGAAAATCTTGAAATTTTAAATAAGGACTAATTCTATCAGAAAAAAAAAATCATTATTTTCCTAAAGGATTCCGGAAGACTTACACTGACTTACTTTCCCCCATGCCTTTGGAAAACATACGCAAAACCTTGAAGAACCTGGCCACAGTTAATGACCTTGGCATATATCAGAGATTACTAACCAACGAAAACTCAATCTGTGACTGTGCCCTTATTACTTCCTCACTTTACTGAACCAGCCAACCACAGTCAACTTCTCAAGAAATTCTTACTCCCAAGAGTACAGAATAATTTTCTTGCTGTTTAGAGAAGCCTTCAGTGCCAGTTGGGAAACGTTCAAATACATTTCAGTGAAAAAAATATATTTTTCAATAGTTAAATAAACTTCACAAATAAACACCCTCATTTTCCTATAAAAATGAGGCATACAAACTCCTCTGTTTAAACAGAGTCACACAAATACATTCCTCAAGCATGAATGCCCTCCTTCACAAAAATTTCTTAGCCAGGGCTTTTGCTATCACTGCATTTCATCAGCTGTTGTGATCCCAGAGCACAGCACTAAAATGAGGAGCAGAACATTATGCTTTAGAACTAACTATAAATTCCATTTCTATGGCAACATTAGAAAATTAATTCTGGATGCTCCCACAGAATCAGCTTGATTTATGCCTCTTGCTTTTGGCTCATACTAGTAAAAGCTTAGTCACACACCATCACAAGCTCTGCTCTAAAGTACAGTGCAATATCATACTACCCCCACACATAAACTTTGTAGTAACTGTGATGACTTAATATAAATATTCACAGAAATTTCAACTAAAGTTAATCAACACATGTATTATATTACGAACTTCTATCTCCAGGACCCCACTCATTGCCCACAGTCTTCCCAGGGAGCTGTGGCTAAGGGCTGAATGCCTATAAAACTCTTGGAGTATACATTCTGCAGGAGTTATAGACAAATTGGAACCTATCATCTTTTCCCCCCTTCTGTCATCTTCAGAAAAAAACTTCACATTACCAACAAAACTGCTTCCTTTTTAAAAAGAAAACATTCTCTTTGCCCCAGCTTTCTGTAAATGAACAGTTAATACTGACTTACATAACAATTCACAGTATTTACTCACATACAGATTAGACTTAGTCAATACATAAAAATTAATATCAGCAATATGCATATGTGTAGACAAAAGCATTTTGTTTGGAAAGCTGGGCTGATCTTCGCAGTGTCTGACTTGGTAAGGATAAATCTGTGAAACAATGAGGCAGATGGCTGTGAACAATGTGCAGATTAGCCTTGCCCTGGTGCTCAGACGTCGAAGAAGCCCAGTCAACTTCTTTTCAAATCCACTCTTTCATTTTGGAAGCACAGCAAATGAATGGAAACAGTATTAACAGTCATCTTTGTTCAGGTAAAAGCTCCAAGAACAGCTGGAGAAAATTTATTGCCTAAACAACAAACCATTTTTCCCTACCTGCTGTGATCGCAGAATGGCTGCATCGATCTCCTCCACCTTCTGAGTGATGGTGTCGCTCACTAATCGGTAGCGCTCATTGTCCTCAGCTACCATTTTCTCAAGTCCTTCTCTTGCCCTCCATGGTACCAGTTCCAGCAAAGCACTGCTCACTTCATTAAGGGAGTCCAGTAAGGCTTTGTTGTTCTTAGCTTCCTTTTTCAGTTCCTGAAAACATACAAATAAGTTAGTAACACTTAAGAGCTTCAACAGACTTTTCCTTTAACTGTTCTTGGAGCTCAAGTCCTTTGCAGGCGAATAATGTGATGCTTTGCCCCACTCCCCCCCTCCCTTAGTTTCAGTCGAGTTAAATAAACCTTTTTTATCTAAAGCTATTTTGCAAAAAGAAAAATGTTTCCTGAGAAGTTCAAAGAACAATTCATTTGTCGACACGGCAAGATTTTATCTTTGAAATTTAATATAAATATTTAAAATTTCAGAAGCAAAAACAAGCAAGTTAACTTGTATTATTCTTTGCTTTCTGGGAACCTCTAAGTAATCAGGTAACAGAAAAGTAAAATGAAGAGGATATTCCAAGCCAGAATTAAGTGACCCTCAAAATGATGACAAACTGGCTTTATATCATGACAGTAGAATCATTACAGGCTCAGTGAGCCTGACCTCACCAACTCCCTTTCACCCACATGTGATCATACTTCAAGGATGATAAAAACAGAGGCTGATATCTTGGAAAAGAGGAATGATTACCATGCAGTGTATTACGTTTGTGATATAATTAGAAAACCCACCCCATGTTATCTTATAGAAATATTGGTATTCCAACCAAATTATGTGTGTCTCTGAAACAATGATCATTTTCCTTTTTTTTTTCTGTTTTCATCATTCTGTCCCTTGGGTAATAAACTATACTCCCAAATATAAGACTCTTGCAACAATTATAACATACTGTTTTCATCTCTGGGCTCCTAAAACTTTAAACAGTTGATCTGCTGCCAATTTCTATTGGGTCTCCACCCACCAAGGCATCCTTCAGCATATGTAATGACATAAGACAAATATAATTTTATTTTTGTGTGAATAAGACTGCCTAAAAGATAAAAGACTAATCCAAAATGCAGAAATCAGAGCTTACCTTTGGTCTCATTTGTGCTTGACTTGCTTCTTCTCCTTTCAGAACCTGAGTTTCATATGAAAGTAATTCCACCTCCACTTTGTCCAGCCAGGTACACAGCTCTTCGTGTGTGGAGTGCAGCCGCCTTGCAAGCTGCAGCGCCTGTTCCAGAGTCTTGGCCACATCAGTGCTCAGTTTAGTAATGTCTTTGTACCTTGCTTTAATGGCTTCCAATTTATCTTGAATTATTAAAACTTCATCACCTAAAATTTCAAAGTCACGTTATTTCTTATGAAGGAAAAAAAAGGCAGGGAGAGGGTTTCTTCAGATATTATGGAACACTGATGAAATTTCCACAGAACAAAAGGAGACATTTTTCTAAAGATAATCTTACTCAAGAGAAGCCCTTTTCTAAATTTTAATCTTTCCCAAGATTTCCAGCAAATCTAAATCACTCTGAAAATACAAATGTAGGAACTGGAAAAGGCTAAATGTCTTTAGCTATGTGGAAAGCAGTACTTTTGTATCTATCTGTATGAGACTTTGTTTTCAAAGAAGAGAGGTTAAAAACTGCTTGAGTTCAAATACTGACTTCATGCATGGCTTAAAAGCTGGGTTACTTTGGGCAAGATACTTAGCCTCTCTGCTCTTAGTTATTCATCATTACTCATCTGCACTATTCCAACAGATCTTTATTTGCCTCTACCTCATTTTTTGACACACAGAAAAACTGTGTCCTGGGCTTCAGACTTCTAACTAAAGGCTCTTGATTCTACATTTAATTTCTTCAATGCATAATGAATGGTACTTGCCCCCAACATACACATATTGCTGAACTGAATATAGGTATAGTGAAATTCCTATGGCCAAAGGAATCACTAAAACTAGTTTCCCTGAGTTGTCCTAAAAATCTCATCTAGATACTAAACTATGTATCAGTTTTCTTGGTGATTCAGACATGAAGAAATGAAGCCCATGTATAGCTATGCACGTAGCCATACTGTGTGTCACTGCAATGCGATCTATCTTAAAAAGAAATTGTCTACAACCTACGTGTTCATCTGCCTTCCACAAGTGGAAAAGTAATGTGACTCTGTCCTGGGCTTCTCTGATGAGCTCCTGTGCCAAAGTGCTTTATGTTATGAGTAATACACACAACTTCCATCAAGAACTCAAGTGAGATCATGAGAAAAAAGTGAGATCATATCCTAACCACCCCCTTGATTGGTCTTCAAAGCATTCTCCAGAATAAAAGTCTTGGAATGGACCAAAAATTATAAAGTGTTTTGGTTTTTTCCCATCCCTAAAATATTTTGAAAACAATATAAAATGCTGACCACATGATGATTTGATTTGAAAGATATCTCACCTGTGGTTTGTTTAAGTAGTTCTAAACCATTTAGTAAAGCCTGATCTACATTTTGTTTCCTGAGTAAGATGTCCTCTTGCAGAACCTGAAAACACAGGTACCATTTTTATGTGGGGGGAAAAACATTTAAGTTAGCATTAACATTAGTTAATCTCAGAGAACTTTAATTAGATTTCACAGAGACATATTTGAGTAAATATCTCACATTTTCAAATGTTCTTATTGTTCCCATGTTTAGACCTCTTCTTTTCACCTCTGTGGCCCATGTCCCATGTTCATCTACCATAATTCACAGCATATTCCTTTTCAGAAAATACTTAGGGCCCTATGAAAATGGGCTTTGTGGACATACTGAAGTACTGGTTAATACAGGTCTTTGTATACAACAATAAAATAACAAAATGAAAAGTGAAATATCCAGCTAATTGGATAGAGTCACTCTTTTCTTTAAAATGACTTCATTAAAAGTAATCTGTATAAACAGTCTTTTTTTAAGTACAGCAATTCATCGAAATCATCATAAACATAAAATTGTACAGAAATAAGGACTAAGAAATAATGACAATTGAAATGAAAAAATAAGATAAAATAAAATAAATCAAAATACCCGAAGTTCAGACTGCTGCTTCCATAGCCCCTCAGTGCTGTAATCCTGGACTGAGAGCTTGCTCAGTTTGTCATGCACTTCATTCAGCCAGTTCATCAGTTCAACTTCATCTTCCCCAAAAATCTTAGCATTACATAAGGCCTGCTGGAGGAGCTCAGACCTGCTGTGACTTTTCTCTTGAATCTCAATGTACCATACTTGAGAGAAGTCTAATTTACTCTGCACCATATCTTTATCCTCCCTGGAGCTCAAAACCTTTAAGGACTGGCCAATGCTAACAGCCTGGTGTAAATGTTTATTGTGATTGATGATGTCATCTTCTAAGGCCTAAGCAAAGTTTAAAAAAATAAAGAAGAAAAACAAAAAGAATGGACAAATAAAAATGAAAACATAAATAAAACTAAAGCATGACATGTTAAATGGATTTAGTTTGCAATTAAACAAAACAATAGTACATAACTCAAATTTATGTCACAAAACCACACAATAAAAACTGAACCTCGCTAATGTGTGATTTATATCTTACTTTGTGCTGTGCAATTTGTTCCTCAAGTTTAGATGCTTGGGTTCCTATGGGTTCACAATTCACCAGCCTCTTTTCTATGGTTGTAAGCCACTCGTTCAGTGGTTCTAAGGTTTCATGAAATTGCTGTGCTACCACCGAGATACCTTCCAACTGACGATTCCTACAAATGTGCCAAAAGGTCATTTAGGGATGAAGAATGTGTGAAATATTCAACAAAAATCTTCAGTCATGCTCTTGCAATCTATTCTAAACATTTTCTGTAGAAACTATCTAAGGTTACAATTTAAATCTCTTAACATTTAAAGAACATATTAAAACAATTCTTCTGTTAAAAAAAATTAAAGTTGAACAACAGATCATCCTCAAGTTCCTGAATCTCATGAAAGTCTGAAGTAATCTTCTGTAACAATACTTCCAATAGTTACAGTTATAATAATGACAGCAATGTTATAATAATAACAGCAGTAATAGTAACGACAACAGGTAAAATTTATTGAACACATATTCTGTGCCAGGCCCCATTTTAAGTGCTTTATATATTAATTTCAATTGGAGCAACAGTTACTGAGATTGCTCTTAATCAAATGGTCAAAACTGGTTTCAAATTTTGAAGAGCATACATAGCTTCTTCCTCCTCTCCTTAGTGGAATTAATAGTGATTCCTATTTTATAAAAGCGCAGGGTTAGGTTTACTTCCCAAAAGCAATATTAATATTTTATGGATTAAAATATCATGAACAGGGGAGAAGTATTCATTGGACTTTTACTGGTACTTTAAAATATCTTTGGAAATACGTTTCCTCAGTTGCAGAGGACTAAAGCTAAAACCTGTTTCCGCTGTCCTCAGTATTTATCTAGAGCAAGCTATTGTTCTGGTCTGCATACGGAGTACCTGATTCAGTATCAAATCCTGTATACATAATTTCTGCTGGGATCAAGAGATATTGCTGCCTTAACTTCTTATCATGTTTAATTTTCAGGGAATTACATGTTTTGAAAAATTAGCTTTCTATGAAGAAGAAGGGAATTACAGAAAATTGGCATAAGCTATTAAACATAATTTCTATAACATATCACAATGCACACACATTTTTAAAAACTTTCAGTTGATATATTTGATCCTAAAAATGAATAAAATTACTATATTCGTAATTACCTCTGGATTATCACTATCTGTGACCTTTTCTTCTAAATTCAAATATCCAATCATCTAAAATCAGTGGAAATAACTATTCTGTGATGGGATTTCACTTACTATGATTTAAACTGTCCACAATAAATCTGGGCATGAATCATAACCATTACCAATATCCCTCAATTTAATATCTCTGTGAAGAAAGTTTTAGGAAAAGAAGACTAGTTATGGTAGTAAAGCAGAGATCTAGACATTCACTCATTTATTATTTTAAAATTACTGAGAGTATCTCCCATGGCAGCCAGGGCACAGCTCCCAGGGCATTACACAGAACGGTTAATCTGTTGACACATATCAGAGGACAACATGAGATTTTTCACCTCTTTGGGAGCACTTTATTCTATGGCCCTAAAGCTATAATTAATTATACTCTGTATTTGAAGTTTAGACAAATCCTTCTCTTCACTATTCTGGTTCCAAAGAAGGTGGGAATTTATATAACATACTCACTCAGGTCAGTGATTCTTCTATTTTCATCTATTTCAACCCAACCAGCCTAGGTGACTACTCTTCAATGTAGCTACTACTATGGCTAGTCAATGGCGGCATCAATGCAGATACTGAAATATGGGTTGGGGTTTTGTAATAAAATTGTTGAGAACAAACACCCAGTGGAGCCAGGCTCTAGGCTTCCTAGCCTTCATGAAGTTAGAGCACCCTTCCACCTTCTTTGTTTCCTAGCTCCCATTCCCCTCTAAAACTTAGCTTAACTGTCATTTCCCTGCCCCTAGGCTAGGTTCTTCCTGTGATATGCTCCCACAGCAACCTGTATTTCAACTTTGAGACATCACATTTATCATTACTTCTCAATGGCTATAAACCCTCTTAGACTGTACCCTATCTGATGACAGAGATGATCTGCCCAGCTCACCCCTATAACACAAGACCTAACTCTGTGCCTGATGCATGGTAAGCAGGCAGTAACTATGTAATAAACAAATGAAGTAATCACTCCCAAGGGAAATGCTTGTCTTAAAAAGTTGGGATATAGCGGTGACAAGCCATTACCATTAGAGGAATGAGGAAAGAGGCACTACAATCTTTGCTATCTCTGTTCACATACATGATAAACATAGGAAAATCATGATTTGAAGTATTAACAAAATACAAAATGTCAGTTTTGTAGACAGAGGCCACTGCTACTCTTTCAAAAGAACTGGAAGTATATAAGTTACCTTGTTTCAGCTTTATTAAGCAATGCCTCCCATCTGCTATCCAAGAGACTGAGCTGTTTCAAAATCTTCACTTTATCTGCGGGCTCTGCTGTTGTAGCAATTTTTTCTCCTTCTCGTTTGATTACCTCCACCGTAGATTTTCGGTCATCCAACAATCTCTGGAGAAGCTTGAGACAAAACATTAAATATAAAAAAGCAAGGGAATAATTGTATGAATATAAAGTACAATGTATTCTAAGTACATTTGAAGTATGACAAAAATGTATTTTGTATGTATGCACATATGAAAGGATCTGAAAAGCGAGATTTTAAAGGTAACTCATTTGTTTAATGATTTATTACTATTGGGTCAGACACTGTGGCAGGGGCTTTTCACAGTAGACAAAACTAATATTGGTAAGGCCACTAAACTCATTACTAATTTTTTAATATAGAATAATACGGTAGAAGGTGCCACTTAGGATAACTCCAATGAATCATGAAAAAAGTGCAAAATCTCCATTATCGGAATGAAATAAGACTGCCTTAAACATTCAACAACTATCTGTCCTGTCAAGATACAAAAGGTTCCTATAAATCATTACTGTTTTCAAAACCCTTTCCCACGTTAAACAATCCATTATAGACAAGGAAGTTAAGACTCAGCCCAAGTTCACAAGTTAACAAGGCTAAAACGAGAGGCTCTTGGCTCCTTTTACTAGGTGGAACTGGCTCCTAAAATCTGTGTGAGGCTGCAAACTAAAACAGCTTTTACACATCATTGGCAACAGGAAGAGAGGGTAGAAGATGTCAGAAATCTCCAAAGCTGGCTAAATAAGACTAATATTTCAGGATTTAGCACCAGAAACAAAATTCAATTTGATTCTAATTAAACATTTCAAAGCACCTGAAATGAAATGTTTGCTATAATTAGCCTTTTACCTTGCTCTAATCTAATCAAACAAATGGCTCATGAGCAACTGCTGTGCACAGGCACTGTGCTACCAGCAATGAGGAAGGCGTAAGTGTATGAAACACTATGCTTCACTGCTTCCTTAATGATCCTGACTGCTAATTAAGGAGTAAAGATTTGACAGTTACCCAGAAGTAAAAAGCTAAAAGAGTATTTTGAGATCAGGACCACCAAGGCAGAAGGTAAGAGGAACTTGTTTAAAGAGAAGGGTAAGACATACAAACTGTGTTGGCACAGGTTTTTATATACTAAAGTCATGATATAATCAAAGTACAACAGGTGCTTTGGCAGCAAGGAGAACTAATTACTTTGATACATTTTAATAATAAAGCTTCTAGCAATTAAAAAAGCAAAATCAATTAATAGGTTTTGTTGGCTAAGCATCATGACTCTGGGAGTTAACTTTAAATTGTGAATGGTAGACACTGTATTATGCAAAAATCGCACAAATGCAATGTGTTTCCAGTTATGTGTCCTTAATCCTTACCTCTAAATCTATTTCTAATTGGTATAATTTCCCAATATGCTGAAGTTTTCAAAAACTTCTAGGGAGATAGTATTAAATGTAGAAATTAAAGTAAGCAGTAAGTCTTAAATACAAAAAAAAAATTGAGGGTAAATGTGGAATTTTTTGTTTTTTTCCATTTTTAATTGATGAATAATAATTGAATTTATGGGGTGCAATTCAATGCTTTGATGTATGTATACATTGTGGAATGATTAAATCAATCTGATTGACATATCCATCACCTCACCTACTCATCATTTTTTTGTGGTGAGGACCTTTAAAATCTATTCTTTTAGCAACTTTGAAATATACAGTACATTATTAGCAGCCATGCTAAGTGAAATAAGCCAGGTACAGAAAGAGAAATTTAAAATGTTGTCTTTTTTATAAATTAAAAAAAATTAATGTAAAATTTTAAAAAATTTCTTTGAGTTTTAAAATAACGTAATTAACATAATCCATCCTCTTCTTTTTAAAGTTCCAGAGGGGAGAAACCTTAACAGTACGCCATGCTCTAGGATCCTTCCCACATGTCATCTCAAGTCATGGCTGGCTGATTACTACTCAAAGTGGTATTAAATACTTCATACCCGACCATTGCTATCAGGGGCACAAAAACTATCATGTGGTCAGTCTCAGGTACATATCAACCCTCTGAAGACACTATTTTCCCAAATTGGCCCCACTTTAGTAGTGTCAAAAGACACAATGGCACATTCCTCAGCATATATGAATCAAATATTTGTCTCTTTAGTAATAGGTGGAACCAAAAGAAGCTGTCAATATTTAATATATAAAAAGACAATTTCATAGGGATCAACCTAATATATAAGGGAACAATGTTATTTCCATACAAATGCCATCTTGTCAGTGACCTCCCTTCATGACCCTATTTAAAATTACACACACCCCCTCCCTCCCTCCATTCCAGCACTTTAGGTCCCTCATCTTTGCTCTATTGCTTCCTGATGCCTCTCCCCGATCCCTGCTTTATTCATCACTTGCTAACTTATCACCATTCATTTATTTACTTTACTTATTGTCTTTCAATCCTGGCACACCCTTCCCACTTGGCTTTGAACTCAATGAGAAATGTTCATCTTTTTTATTCAAGGATATATTCCCAGCAACTGGAACAAGGCCTGGCCCATGGTAGATGTTCAATAAATATTTGTCGAATGACTAACAAAATAATGTCTACAGCAGCAACAACCGGTTAACTAGGTTATCCTATTAATTAAAAGAGTCACAATTTGCATTTTTTCTCTTGTTATTAAGATTTAATATGAAACGCAATACAAAAGCATGACTAACTTACCTTTTGTTCTTGTATCTGGGCCTTTACCACTTTGAACTCAGCCGACGGGGGCTTCTGATTGGCCACAAGCTCCTCAGTGTCCACCATCCAGCTGAGCAGGGACTCCAGGGCATCCTGGAACCTCCCACAGTGCAGCAAGGCCTCCTGCAGCTGGGCTGCTCGCTGAGCCACCTGCAAAGTGCCAATTGTTTCCACTTATTTATTTGTTTCACAAAATAATGCAATCTGAGCACAAATCACTATTTTACATGCTTATTTTCCCGTGTGGTCACAAATTTTCTTTTACTTTTCACTTAAAATTTACCCAAAGTATCGATAGTAGGCAGGATAGCAGTGAAAAGGAGACAAACTTTAAGCAAGTAGGCATGAAAATAAGGTTACCATCACAGTCAACATAGAGCACTCAATCTTGGAGGTTTTTGGATTGTCTAATACGTTTTATGATTAGCAATGAATGATTCAAATATTTTAGAGTTATCGTAAAAAACAGCACATTAGTCATTTTTATCAATATTGCATTTTATTTCCTTCTAATAAATATCAGAGATAATGATTTTTAAAAGATTAAGAATAAACAGAACTATTATAGCAGAGAGAATCAGAATTATATTTTGCTAGGCAAGAATAACAAAAGTATCCAATTAAGTTCTGCTAGCTCCAAGCTCTGGAGTCTTTTTTCAACAAACCAGGCCCTTTGTCTACCAGTAAATGGAGTCTCTGTGTCCTACATAGAGATATCTTATTGCTTGTCTCAACAGATATTTTCCTTTTGGACTGAATAAAGTAGCTGGCAAGATATTGTAAGTGCTATGGATTATATTTACACCTGATACAGCATTCCAACTGTGTTTAAGGTGCACTACACATATGTATCAGACTTTAAAGAATGAATAATATAGTTTCAAGACCTGGTACCTGCTGAAGATGTCAATCGAAAGAAAACAACAAGAGTAACCACCACTGCCACAACCAGATATGCACTGCCATCCCATAATAATTTTCTGATAATTTATGTCTCGTAAGAGCTGCCTGCCATCGTATGTCAGCATTATCTCCCTAAGACATCAGAGCATTATTTCTAGTGTTTTCTCTCATGGGAATTTAGAAAAAGGTTGGACCTACATCTTACAAGTAATTGAGGGCTGATGGTCTACAGTGAGGGTAGCAGGACTTAGTCCAGGAATGACATAAAGACATAACTTTGTTTGTATGGTGTGAACTTAGTTGCTAATATTTGAAAATAGGAAGGTTTCACATAGAAAGTGAGATTTCCAGGTTATTTTGAAAGTAAACAGAATATCTGGCAACAGTGGGCCTACATGCCTACATGTCAATGATCTTCTGGAACTAAGTAGTGACCTGTACCTTTACAGATGCATGTGCCCATCATACCTGCACTGTTGTATCTGTGACCCTGTCTTGATTAAAGGCGAGATAACAGCAGGAAGAGGCTCTGTCTTACCCAGTTTGCTTCCTTTCATTTAGATTCCCTACCTAGCTCCAGTAGGCATCTGAGTTTGAGCCATCCAGTTTACAGTAATATAAAACAGTAGACATATTTAGAAAAGTTTGGCTACCACAAATATGATTCATGGTCACCACAAATGCTCATGAATAATAATCAGCAAAATAGCAATGAAGGGGGTGAGAAAATTACCTTCTTATTGAGAGTCTTCCACCGTGCATTGACATCATCCAGGTCATGCTCCAAGCCCTGAGTGCTAGTGCTTTTGGCAGCACTCTGAATAAGGCCTTGACCTAACCAGTTTACATCTTGCTGTTTACCTTGCAAGGGTTCAATCTCTTCTTTCTGGAATACCTGCAGTTAAAAGAGTAATAATTATATGAGTTATATTACCTATCAACCGCCAAATATATAATAAGCATTTCTTTAGGCATCAGGTTGTGGAAACCATCAATTATTACAGAGGTAAAGATAATTTTTATTGTCTAGCCATAGGTCATAGCTACCTTCTGAAGAACAGAAAGAAACTAAATATAAATTAGTAGCACATCAAAAACATTTGAGAATACTAAAGAATGATATTCTGAGTACACTTAAGTTACTTATAAAACCAAGAAGACAGTACATGTCTCCTCTCTTTATTGCTTCATTATCATAGGATGAAAATGTTTCTGTTGTCCCAGTTTAACTGTAGCAAAAGATTTACAGAAAATGCTAAAGAGCAAAAATATAAAATAAGTACAAAATGAGCCTTCATGGGCAAGGCAATCCTAATAGGCTCTCCTAAGAATGGCTGCTGCTAGCTGGCAACTGAAGCTTGAGACTCACATTGGAAATGGAAAATCAGGGACAGGATGAGGTGAGCCAAGTGGCCAAAACATGGCTTGGCAGGAGGGCCAAAATACAGAGATAGGAAAATGAAAAATACATAGGCATGTGCTGCAATAGTATGGATCCCTACACAAATAGCCTCCTCAATGTCTACAGAGATGCCAATGGACTCTCAAGAAATACAATGACCTCACCCCATGGATCTGATCACATACCTTACCAGCACAGCAACTCTGGTTACTCTGTAGTCATTGTCACCCATACCTGCACTGACAGTGGATTCCTAGCAATCTCTCCCTTACTGTCTATCCCATCCAATTTACAGTTCCCCAGTTGCCTGTGACTGGCAAAGGATTTAATGTGCTAGATTAAAATACAAGTGCCATGAAAGCAGAAATTTGTTTTCCTTACAGTAGTTCTATGACCTGGGCCTACCATGGTACCTAGCATGTAATATTTGCCAATATTTATTTGCCAAATTAATATCAGTATAGAAATTTATATTTCTATCTTAGGTGGATGACTTCAACCCCTTAACAGATAATACTGGGAGTAGATACATCAATATTATGATTATTTTTTTGAGACATGGCCTCACTCTGTCACCCATGCTGGAGGGCAGTAGTGCAGTCACAGCTCACTGCAACCTCTGTCTCCCAGGCTCAAGCCATCCTCCCACCTTAGCCTCCCCAGTAGCTGGGACCACAGCTGCATGTCACCACGCCCAGCTAATTAAAAGAAAATTTTTTTTTGGTAGAGACTGGGTCCCACTATGTTGTCCAGGCTGGTCTCAAACTCCTGGGCTCAAGCAACCTTCTTACCTCAGCCTTGCAAAGTGCTGGGATTACAGGTATGAGCCAACTCTTTCATAGATAATATGTTTTTAATATAGGGCTTGGAGGATGCCATGAGGAAAATAAATTATTGGAACTAAGGAAGGAAAGTTTTACATCGATATTAAGGTAAAACATAGTTTGAGATTCTGAGTCATTATCCTGAAGGGCACTATATAAATATACCAATGATTGGACAGTTAATCATAATACATAGAAACATAATAAAGGCACATATTAAAATAGCACTTCAGGAAAAAAATTGCAGACACAGTATGAAAAATAACTTTGAAAGATGTAGAGGCTGCAGGAGACAAATCCTCCAGACTCTGGTCTAAGGCCTAGCATACAGGATACTCCTGTGTTACTGTATACATGAGTAAATTAGAGAACAGCAAACAAATTAATGATCATTTTCTCTAAAATCTCCTCCTAGCTAAAAACTCAAACTACCTTTTCCACAGAAAATGTATATAGACAATTTCCATACTGGCAGTTTATATATAACAATAATAAATATTTAAAAATCAATTACACATAATCAAATAAATTATGAGATTCACCCAAATCATTGAGGAAAAACTTAGGAAGTCTCCGTAATTTTGCAAAAAGGTAAAATTTATCAAATATGTAAACAGAAACTTGGCAACAAAATGTTAAAGATAGAATTTGGCATTATAATTCAATTTCATTTCTATACCACTTTCTAAGTTATAACTTCCAGGACTAATAGCTTTGGATATGTTTTACTACTTATCAAAAAGTGGGGGCGGAGGGTGGGGGTGTACAAAAACTGCTACCTTTTAAATTCCAGGAACTTGTAAATAAACATTCAAGGAAACGTTTTATTTTCCCTCTTATATAGTTTTCAGGACAAAAGGATAACAATAATGTTCTATTAAATTGCCTTAACCTCTGGTCTTGGTTTTAAATTAATTTCAGGGGTTTATATTGGAGTAGATCTAGGTAAATCTGATAGTTTTCTAAAGTGCCCCCAAAAATATACTAAGGATTTAAAAAGATAACTACTAAAGAGTATATACTCCCCTAAGATTTAATTGTTTTCTACAAATAAACTGAAATATCCTTTACAGAAAAAAATTAATTTGCTAAGCTTTTAAATTAGCATGCCATTTACTGCATGTCTAAGAAAAAGGCATAACTAACAAGAACAATTATTTCACAGACTGAGAAGAGGAACGGTTCTGATATTGTCTAAGTTCCTTATCTCTCAATGTTAACAAAATACCTATGAAGAGAGCCTTTCCCCCTAATCTAACCCACAGCACACAAGCATGAAGAGAAGTTTAAAATAAAATAAAACTACCTTTGAGGCCAAGTTTACCAGAAGAGTTTAGTAAAAGTACCAAAACAGCTGAACTTCAATCTGAGTGGGAAGAAAAAAATTACAGGCTTGACAAGCAATCTCTACTTATTACAAGGCTGCACCCTTTACTTTCTTACCTCATTCACCACTCACAAAAAGTTGGGAGCTATAATGCCTGCAAAGTACAGCATAATAACTCTACTCTCACATGCAGAGCTCCTGAGAGAAATTTTTCAACCTATTAAAAAAAGTCCTTAATGTGGATAGAGTACTTTGCAGGCCATAACAATATAATACTGTTTGTACCTTCATGACTAAGCCTGTTCAAGCTTAATAAATCCAATATAATGGCTCTTAAATGGCAGTGTCTTTACCACAATTTGTGTAAAAGCCTAACATTAACATATATTCACAGTGGAGGCCTTCTAAATGAAGGGGAATGGCCACCATCTGCACAATCAATAACAGGACCCTGAACAGCTGGGAATATCAATTCTTCTCCAAAACAGTCCCTATTAATTTGTTATAATTATCCATTTATCAATATGTGGCATCTTGCAGGGTGCTAGTCAAACCTCCAAAACAAAAGTGTGGATTTCATTATTATTAGAAACACTAGTGACCACTCTGAAACAGAACCACAAACTTTTAGCAGAACCGCAAACTTTTGACACTGCAGAGTTTCATATTTCCATGAATTACCTGAACCAACTGAAAGCCATTGCAGACTGTGTCCAATATTCCTGCCTGGGCCCCTGTTTTTCTGGGTGCTGCTTTCTTTCTTGCTGATACGAATTTCAGGGAGAACTTCTTATAGAGCATTTCGCTCTCCTGGGCAGAAAGAGGAGCCTCCACTTCCTCTTTAGATGCAATGTTGCATTCTCCTGAATCATATTGTGTCAAAAGTGTCACATTTTCTACTAAGCTGGTGCTACCACAATCTACATCACTCTCCCCTAGATCTGTGTGAGAGAGATCTAAATCTTGAGGGGAATCCTTCAAGAGTTCCCTACTTTGTGCTGTGATTTGGGATTCTCCAGGTCCGTATGTTTCGTCCTCTTCTCCAAGGTTAAAAATATGCTCATTTTCTCTATTTCTTGGCATAATTAATGGGTCACACTTCACAGGGCTCTCTTTCAAATTATTCTGCAGGCAACAATTTTCATCGTGGATTTCCCTTTGACCATTTACATGTTTTGCTTCCTCTAGTGGAGAAACATCATGTAAAATCATTTTGAAATTTTCATCAGGGTGGGCACTTTGACATGAAAGCAGTGGGATTTTCTGTTCGCTAATGGAATTAACAGAAAAAAATGGTCTGTATTGGTCTGTTACAAGAATATCTTCAGTAGAAGACAAACTTTTAATTCGTGACTGGTCTCCAGTTAAAATGCCCTGTTTTTCTTCCCTCTCTGCTGGAGGGCTACATAAACCAGAGTCATCCTCCTCCGAAGTGAGAGAATTAGTACCCCATCTGCACTTGCTGGCCTTGGTAACAGCATCTGACATATCAGCAGGTTCAACAAAAGAGCTTTCACTTTTGTTTGCATAATCCATAAAATTGGCCGGGACAAACATTCGCCATGACCGTCTATGCTCTTTCTTTTCCGCATGAGATTTGGCTTTAGGTAATCCTGTGGTTCGAATGATATCACTATTTAGTTTGAGTGCATCAAAGATCATCTTTTCATCTAGTTTGTTAGCTTCCCGACCTCTCAGCTCAAATACACTGGAAGAAGTAAGGGCACCATTAGAGCATAAAGAACTAACATCCAGTGTTCTGTGACTGTAGGGTAAAGTTCGATCTGTAAAATGCCTGGAAGATAGACTACCTTTTGAACCAGAGTCTATCTGTTCATTTAGTCTAACAGTATCATAGATTGACCGCTGTGGGACGTAACAGTCTTCGATATTTAGGTCCTCCTCTTCTTCACCCTTCCCTACACATGGGGGATTCTGACGTAAACAGTCTGGTCTGCTGAGTGGCTTCCCCATTTTGCAGATAGTTAAAACAAATATTGCAGCTCTTGACACAGATAAGAAATAAGATAAAGCATCTTCCAAAAAAGTATACTTCTGAACAGAGCTATGGAGTGTCTTTAGCATAAAGACACA
Source organism: Homo sapiens (assembly GCF_000001405.40). Taxonomy (NCBI): domain Eukaryota; kingdom Metazoa; phylum Chordata; class Mammalia; order Primates; family Hominidae; genus Homo; species Homo sapiens. The sequence continues at coordinate 56,541,693 of NC_000006.12, forward strand.
TGCTCAAATAATATATTTCATAATACATGAGGTGTTTAAGGTCATCAGCAGTGCATCAGTATAAATGCAACTATCCTTTTACCTGGTTGATTTTAGGATGATTCTAAACAATAAAGTGCATCAATAACAGAGAACAAAAATCTCCTTTGTCCACCTTTCCCAGCTCCCAAAGTCCCCGTTCACACACTCCAAAACACAGAAAATAAACAAACACACACTTAACAGTGGCTCAAACACTCAGAACATTCCATTGTCAGTCCATTTCCCTTTTTAGTCTGATATTTCCAGATTAAAATTTCCAAATGAGCAAGCATTTTAACAGCCTGAATGTTAATTTCGGCAGAGCTCTGGTTAACTGTAATCCACTTAAAGATGGCTTGCAGAACTCCACCATTCTGGTAAATAAACCATGCTCCAGAAATTTAAAAGACAAACACAGGGACCTGGTATTGTTCACATCAAGGCACAGAACAAATCTTCAGAGAAAAATAAGTTAAGTCTAACGTTATGAGAAAGTTACATTTTTCTTTTACTTTTTTTTTTTGGAGGGGGGAGTAGCTATAAATAAACTTGATTGAAAAGGCAGGTTTTCTTCCTGTTTTAAGCTTCTTCAATGCTATTCAGAACTACTCAAAGGAAGAAAGAAAAAAACACCAGACTTTTAGACACCCAGGGCAGTACAATCCAGCAACCGTTTAAAGTAAACAGAAAGCATGGTGTACTACTAAGCTTCTTTAAAAAAAAAAAAAAAAAAAAAAAAAAAGCCATTTCCAAAGATTCTTATCTGGTCCTCCTTAGGAAGGCTTATTCCACCTGAGGCAATTGCAGCAACGAAGAGCTCCGCGGCTTCCTCTAAGGCACAGGCAGCGTAATTCACATTGAGCAGAAAACCCAGGGACTACATTAGCCTTTGAAACTGAACCAAGTTCTGTGGCCGCGGTATGGCCTTCATTTCAGCTGGGGCTAGAGAGAGACGGTGGCGGTGGAGGCAGCAGAAAGAACTCCGGAAGGGAGCTCCGGGGCTGTCCGCGGCTCCTCAGGGCAGCACGGTGCCGGGCAGGCATGCTCTCCAGCCAGGGCGCTTGCAGCAACGCCCTCTCTCTTCAGGCACCATCTGCTGCGTCTCTGGGCCTGCCGGGCGTTCCGGAGCCGCAGCTCTCTACCACTTCGGTGCTACGCCCTCCCGTGACTTAACTTCGCAGTCATCTTTCGCTTCTTCCCGGGAGTCGGCGAGCGGTTTCAGTGGGAGGTACCTCGAAGCCGAGAGGCTGCAATGTAACAGCTTGTGGTGACATCAGCGCAAAGCAGGCCGAGTCCGGCCACTGGGGAGAGGGACAGCTCAGGTTCAAACACCGCGGAAACCCCGCCGACTACTTCAAAATGGGAGGGGATCCGTAGGGCTTGCGGAGGCAGAACCTGGCACCGGGAGATCCGCGAAGAAATTATTTTGTGAAGGTCCAGAGACCGCACTCATTTGAATACTAAATGGGAAAAGGGGGGCTACATAGGTCCCTATCCTTCAGTTGAAACCGCACTTTTACACTGAAGAATCTGATGCTTCAGCAGTATCTGCGATGCAAAGTGCAGATCACTTTGAAGTCGAGAGTGTTTTGCCGTTCCCTTTTGAAGCCCAAGTTCAAATCTAACTGTTCTCCAGAGTAAAGTATTCCTACCAGTGAGGGGCTCTCAGCACTGCTGACATGAATATTAGTAGTTACTAATAACCATACAGTACTCTTGAGGTTAACACAAGGCCCAAGAGTGGTACTCACTGACTCCAGATATTTAATAAACAAAATCACCTCCACAGATTTTTATCTACTGAACACCCTTCTAAAAATACTGTTTGAAAATAAATTCAGCAAGCCAACTCTTAGTCTTTGTAGGAAATTTAATAGTTTTATTTAAATAAAATCTAAACATTCTCTATTTTACAAAATAAGAAACATCGTCAGAGTGTCAGTTACAAATGAAGCGGTCTTTCTTCAATCTCATAAAATAATCATTTGAACATGAACAAAACTGTGCTAACTCCAAATGAAGAAGGCAGTTCTAGTAAAAACAACTTTATACTTTCTTTGTTAATTTTACAGAAAAGATGTGGGAGGAAACTTTTGTGCCTTTAATGAGAAAACGTTATCTCAATATTCATTCGATAAATCTAAGAGTTGAATCTTTTTTAAAAAAATCTTTTCATAATGAAAACTCTATCGGTAACTCATCCATTCAACAATTATTAGATTATTAGATGCAACTCAGTATGTGGCCATCATTAAGTTGACTAGATATATGACTATCTATAAAGAAAAAGAGATTTAAAAATATCCATCCACATCACAATATCAATGCCAATTTTTCATGTTCAAGACGTGAAATATTTCAACAAGCACCTGATTCTGTGGTGTTCAAGCACACAGGCTGTAATAAGGCACTGATAAGAGAAAGAAAAATGGTCTCATACTTACCACGCTTGAACAGTGGATTGGGCACTAGACTGGGAAATAGTAGAGGCCAAGAGTCTTACTCCCAGCTGCCGCTCTCTTGATATGTAAGCTTAGAAAACTACTTATTCATGGCAATATGAATAATAAAGTTTCCTTGAGATCTCTGAGTGCCTTTCTCTAAACACTCTAAGATCCTTACAGAACTTTTCATAATAAAGAATGGCTCTAATTCAGTTCACCTTAGACTCTAACTCTGAATCATTAGCACAATATTATTCTAGGCTTATGAAAAGCTAAGAGGAGCAACATATAACCTCACATTTGAGGTGGGTAGTACATTTTTAAAACTGCACAAATAATTCATTCATAAATTAAATGATTCAAAAAAATAGCACTCACTGTCTGCCAAACAACATGTAAGCACTGGAAAAATGATGTTGTAAAGACATAGCCACCACTGTCCTTACACCACTTACACTAGAATGGGAATGTGAATGAGAAAATGGCCATGACACAGTTCGGAAGTAAACAGTGCTATGGGAAAATATTCCCTAGTTAATTGAGTTCAAGTATACACCACTTATTTAATAACTAAATTCCTTTTTTATTGAACTGATTTTTATATTGATTCACATTAAGATTTGTGCTATTAAAATTTGTCACAATAATTTACATATATCTTTGTTACTTGAAATCACATTCCAAAGTCTTACCTGGATGACATGTAAGAGCTCATATATAGAGCAGAACCGGACTGGTTTATTTTTCCCCAAAAATTTGGTTTAGACAGCTACTATAAATGTTATAGCCTCTAATGTTAATAAAATCAAGATATATTAAACCATGTTAAATATTAATCATGATATCTAGATCCATCACATTTTCTTTTTTTCTGAGACAGGGTCTTGCTCTGTCACCCAGGCTGAAATGCAGTGGCATGATCACAGCTCACTGCAGCCTTGACCTCTCGGGCTCATGTGATCCTCCTGTCTCAGCCTCCCAAGTACAGATGCGCACCACTACACCTGGCTAATTTTAAAAATTTTTTGTGGAGATGGGGTCTCACTCTGTTGCCCAGGATGGTTTTGAACACCTGGGCTCAAGCAGTCCTCCTGCCTCAGTCTCCCAAAGTGCTGGGATTACAGGCATGACCCACTGTGCCCAGCCCCCTCACATTTTCACAATGAGAGAAATACATAATAAGGTACGTAAAGTTTTCCTGAAAAATAGCCAACACTATTATTTCATAATACAGAAATCATAATGCTGTTTTCAAAATGTAGCTTTACTTACTTTTTGTAGCCTACTAGATATAATCCAGCTAAACTATCTACTAAAGCAGATGATTTCAGAAAAGTACACAACTACTAATTGAATTATAAGCAAAACAGTAATATTTTCTCATTTTATATTCCTAAAGTTTAATTAAATCTTTTAAAAGGAAAGTCCCTGAAAAGTCTTCCCACTAAGTGCAACAATGTACATCATAGAAAAGTTTTATCATTCACATTTATGATTATTATTTACACATTATTTACTCATAGAAAAGAGCAATTTTATCAGCTGAAACATGGAGGTTTTAGGGTTGAAGGATTGGAGGTATTAAGTTCAATGTGCAGTAAGTGAAAAATGTCTATGTAAGTAAACGCACTATTATCAATGAATAACTCTTGGCCTGATAGCTCTTGAAATCAGGATGAGAAGTCAAACAAGGGATATGCGTTTTGTGCTGCAAGTACATAAACAGGCATTAAGAGCAAAAATTGTTCTTTCTAAAACAAATAAGCCATTAGCTAATGAAAACTGAAGGCATGCTATATTTTTAGTTTTCAAACTATTAAATTTATTCACATAAATGGCTAAACGTTTCCAAAGATATGAATATGCATCATATGAATATGCAATAACTATTTATTTCATGGGAATACAGTTTATATTTAGAAGAAAGTAGAATATTCTCATCCTAAAGCCCTAAACCGATTTAGAAACAAGAGATTCACCAACTGATCTTGACAGGAGTTTATCTTGATGTGAACCTTAGTTAATATCTTTAATGAGCACTTGCTCTTCTTCCTGTAAGTTACTACAATACTAAGACTATGCCTTTCCCACATCTTCAATGAGGTTTTCTGGTGACAGTGAAAAAAAATTCTATGTAACAGAAGATGATTCTATATATAAATCTTATTAATTGAAATATATACATATTTCATATATATATATATATATATATATATATATATATATATATATAAATGTCAAAAAGTTCATTTAAAGAAAAGCTATCCAGCAAGCAGAAGCAACTCACATGTTAATGGCCCTATTCAATTTTCTTCAGAGAAAAAAAAAAACAAACAAAATCTGGAAATACTTTTCATATTAAAATACTGACAAAAGAAATAAAGCTTGAAATGAAGACAACTGGAGATATGTGAGAATAGGATCTGTGAGCACAGACATTTTCTTGTTGTATCCAGTTCTTGAGCAGCTCCAGACACTTTTCACTTAAAATCGTAGCATTTCCTTATCCTACATTGTTATTAATGAATGATTAGAGACCTAGATAAACATTTACCACTCAAATGTTCTTTTCAAGAAACCAATGTCTAATTTCATAACAAGGCAAATTCTTCTCTGTCTCTCTCTCACACACAACTTTAAGCAACTTTCCATATTAATAAAATACATTATGAAGGTTTCCTTTGATCAAAGGTGGGCCTATAATAATGACAGTAGATACCGCAGTTTGGCTGTTTTATTGGATCACTCTAAAATGGTGATATAGGTTTATCAAGGTAAAAGCAAAACAAAATAACAACTACCAAAAAATCCTACATTATAAAATCTCTGGCTGGAACTGCCTTCAGAACAACCAACTTTAATTCCTCAATCTCAAATGAAGGAATAAAAGTTAAGAGGAGCTCTGTGACATAAAGGGCCGTAGCATTAGTTAGCAGCAAAACTGAAAAGAGAACATGTTGCAAAGTTCCCTTTTGACAGCCCTTTCCGAGAAGTATGGTATATTCCTTGTATCATGTGAAAAAGAGGGTATCCACCTGTTATGCCTAGTTTGTGTGGATAAGAATATGAGGTGTTAATAATACCACACAGCAGATCAGCTCCACCTCTTCATAGCTAGGTGTGGTCTCTGCTTCAGTAGGGCTTCTCTCTTGACCAGCATATGGAGTATTCTTTCTTCCTAAAGTTGTTAAATGCCACTTTGCTCTGGGTTTATTAAATAATGTGATCTTCCTATAAAAGCCATGCATCTAGTTACAGTGTCTATAGTGGAAATATTTTCACCATTAAAAATACCAGAGGAAGGGAACATGCAACCCCTTTGCTAAGGTAGCTTCATTAACAAAAATCCAATCTATTAAGGAATTTTCCCTAACAAAAACCTCTTCTGCAACAGTTTTATCTAATTTCCCCATTCTTAATAAAATGGAAAATAATTTGTCATTGACCTCTATATAACAATATGAACACTTTAAAAGTACTATTAAAGCAGTTTTTGGACAGTTTGATTTTCAATATGGTGACATCAGAGGTTGTTTCTGGATCATTTGATAAACACCATAATAAGAATTTGTGCTCAAACTGCCTGTCTTCCTTAGCCTCATGCTACTTGGCATTTTGGTTTACCGAATATTAAAATAATGATGCCTGGGTTAAACAATGCCTTCACCTGGACCAGAGAAAATTTATTACAGTATAATTAGGCATATGTTCTGCTCTTTGTCTCTGGTTTCAACTTGGCTTAAAAATCCTCTGCTCAATGTAATTCTATGTCCATTTGAAAATAAAAAGAAATCCTCAGAGAGAATGTACTGGAGATGTACTCATTTGTGGGGACAAAATGAATTACAATTGGGGCAGCAACAGAGTGGCCAGAAATAAACTGTAAGCAGGTTCTGAGGTAAGGCATTTTTTCACAATGGTCTAGATCAGGGGTGTCCAATCTTTTGGCTTCCCTGGGCCACACTGGAAGAAGAAGAGTTGTCTTAGGCCACCCATAAAATACACTAACAGCAATGACAGCTGATGAGCTTAAAAAAATGGCAAAAAAAATCTTGTCATGTTATTTAAGAAAGTTTATGAATTTGTGTTGGGCCACATTCAAAGCCATCCTGGGCCACAGGTGGGCCGTGGGCCATGGGTGGGACAAGCTTGGCCTAGATAGAGGTGGGGAAGGTACAGATTTAGCTAGGACTCATTAAAGCATCAAGTCTCTTTGATTTTCATTGAAATTAAATCATGCAATATGGTGATAATGGTTACTTCATAATGATCAGAAGACCTGATTGGCTGTTAATCACATAATAGGAATTACTGGGAGGCATTCCTTGTATACAGTCAGTTACATATGTCTTTGATAAATAATAATGTGTTAATATTAATGTTACTTAATAATGTGGTTTAGATTTGAAGATAATCTTGAGCTAGGAGTCTTCAGATAGGAGTAGGGATAGAGGGAACACCAAAGGAGTTTCTTTCTTCCTGCCTAGAGACAAACAGAATCGCCCTGCTATTCATTCCACCAATTTATAACAGTGTGCATAGAATTTAACCGTAATCATAAATAAGTGTAAGTGGAAAATGGTACTCTAACTTACCAACAGTATAGAAAACACTTCACCCTTCAGACATGTTAGTCCAATGACTAGTATTCAGAAGTAGAAAAACTTATGTACAACAGAACTTATATATAATCAAAATAGTTTTAAAACGTCAAGCTAACTAACACAAAAGATAACACCAATCTACTTTCAAAATCTCAGGATAGTTTTCACTGAGTGAGTTAGGACATTTGGTTTAGAATAGCATTTGCTTTAAGTATTATGTTTGAATTGGTATCTTAAACATGAACGAATGAATTTTGTCCTTGTCTTTACAAGAAAACCTCAAGTAACTATTAACAGCTATTTCTTGAACTATAGAAAGAAAAACAGAATCGGGGAAGTCTATCAAACCTGCTTTAAATCCTCTATTACGGGTCCAGTGAATAGAAGGCACCCCCTGCTGAGTAACTGGGTAATAGCTATTATTCTCAGTTCTGCTCAGAAGGCAGTTTATTTTGTATTAAGAAAAACTATTATAGGATTTTATCTGTGACATTAGGTTAAACTAAAGCTACCAGATAGATTAATGTCAAACTAGATTATATTTCAAAGTCAATAAGGAAGACAGACTCAGTCCTTCACTACTTTTCTGTTTCACTTTTAGGAATTATAACTAGCTTTTCACTCAATACAAATCATTCCATTTAAAAAATTTAAAAAACTTTCCAAAAATTATGTTAAAACTAATGTTTAACAAAAGTCTAAGGCCCAACAGAAACTAAATTAAATACTGAACTGTAAACAAGTCAATTTACTACTTTAACCAAGAAAGATATAATCACTAAAACAATGAAATGTTTGGCTCCATCTCAGTAGCAGCAGTAGTGGTGATCACTGGAATCTCCACCATCAACATCATCATTATCATCATCACCCTTATCATATCACGGCACCTACATAACATCAGTTTCTAAGACTGTTTTACATGTTCATCTCATATTTCTCATAGCTGCTAGTTTTATAGAACATGTTCCTTAAGTGGGTGTTCTTGGTATTTTGGATTAAAATGAACAATGGCTGGGTATTCGGGCTGTCTAAATTAGGCTACAGCAAAGATGATTAGAAAATCCCCCAGAGAAAATACCAGATGTGAAACATGGATGACAAATAAAGTTTACACGAAGCAGTGCATCATTTTCATCAAAAGAATCAGGTTCTGACACTATCCGTGTGACCTTGGACAAGTCACTTAACCTCCTTGAGCCTAGGCTTCTTTATAATAAGATGCAGAATAGTAATAGCATCTACCTCTCATGACTGTTAACAGGATTAAAGATAAATTAAAATAGTGCTTGACACATAGTAAGCCCATAATAAATTGATTTGTTGATTATTGTAATTACTATTTTTAAGGAATACACACACACACATACACAGATAAATGGAATTAGTGGTTGTGTGAGCTACCATAATCATATTCTTGTCCTTTTTTTACCTATGGCACTGGAATATACTAAATGCAGAGTATTTGTCTACTTGAAAACTTTTTTTTCAAGTCACTGGGTTTCAAGATACTGAAAGTATGCCATGATGTTCTTTATTGCTGAATTTCAATAAAATCAATCAACTCTTTCCAAATAATCTGAAAGCAAACAAACACAGCATGCTAAATGGTTTATTTTAGGAGAAATTATCACTCTATATTTCTTCACAATCAAATAAAACAATCTCTGTAGCTATTAATGGTAATGTTACTTATTTGGGACTTTGCAGTTTGCAAAACACTTTCAGTGCAATGGTGAGAAAGCTCCTCCTATCTCTTGCTTTTTCTTACTTTCAGTTCTCCACATGAACAGCCACATTTTTCACTGTACTTGGGAACACCAAAGGGGAGACACCCGCAAATAGCAGCACCAGTATTATTACTTTGTCCATTGTCTTACAAGTAGTTAGAAACAGCAAAGAGAAATGAAGGTCTTTTTTCTAAACAAATGCACAGGAAACCGAAAGAAATCATAATGTTTCACAATTTAACCATTTAATGTGGTTAAATTTCATTAGTATAAACAGTGCTTGGTTACTGTCATTTAATCTTTAAGGTGCTGACAGGGTTCTAGAGAGAATTCCAAACTTTACTGACGAAGGAAGAGTTGCTCCCAAGATCTCTCCCAGTCTTTGATGCAGCAATTGCCACAGAACTATGTTTTTCTAATAGAGGATTCTCTCACGTGAAATCTTTATTTTGCAAATCAGAAATACAAAAATTTGACAGAGCAATGAAGGAGGTCAAGTCAACAATAAGGACGTTTCCTTCACCTTCAAGAATCAAGAACTAAATACAGAATCACAGCTTTGTGAGCCTTGAAGGAACTGGGCTTCAAAGGCGTTTAATAAACTGCAAATAATCATAACTAATAACAATACAAAGAAAAAGAAGGTATTTTTCAAGATTCAGTCACCTAAATAATGTTATTAAAGACAAGCAAATGAAAGAGTTTATCAACTATAACTGCACAGAATTTGGAAGTCCATTTGATTCATATTCATCTCTCAAAGAAAATAATTTGTGGTTTTATAAACTGTTTTTATTTGGTCTTAGTTTATTCTTTATGCACTAATGGTGCAATATATCTTTGCCAGTAAAACACACCTCATAAATATAACAGGAGCTGTGAAACCCTAAAGGTTTATATCAGCCCCATATAGAAAATTGCTTGCTATTTAGGACCCTTTGTTTCCAGGGATAAACCTATCTTTGTCCCCTATACAGATGTGACTTCTGTTCTCACTATCATAAATAAGGCCAAATCCAATGACACGGAAACTGGCCCACCATTTTTATCAAATGTTTCATTCATTAAGTGTCATTGATCACTGTTGAGTGGCAGTCATTTCTTGGCACTGAGGAGCTTATGTCATGCAATAAAAAAAAAATTCACCTCTAATCCTCTGGGGCATGAGCCTAAGACCTTTGTTTAATGAAACAGATTACAACATGGAACTCCATATTGCCTTTAAAAATATGAGCTTTTAGAAGAAAAATGTCTGTGGAAGAAATTAAGAAGGATGAGAAGATAATTATAAAAAGAAAGGGCAGAAAAGACGGTAATTCACCATTGAAGAAATTGCTGGAAGATAAACATCTGCAATAGAGTTCAAAACACAGCCACGGTCACCACAGATGGCAATTGTGAATAATTCCAGAAATGGACCCTATGATGTCAGTTTCTGGCTTGCCTGGAACTTTGCCAAGCACCCTTTGGTCTGATTTTATCTCAGACCTTATCCCACAAAGGCCCAAATCCCCAGTGGCCTTGTAACTGCCCCACCTGCCTGGGTGTTACCCCCATATATGCTCATTCTGGCTCAAATATTGTATGACAATCATTATTAAAAAGTTCTACAAAATAGGCAATCTCCTTTCTAAGCAAATTAGAAACTTCATTGACAATAAAAACACTGGGTAAAAATGAAGAGTTCCCTACCTTGAACATGTTAAGCTGCTGATTAATTGTCTCCGTTTCCATACCAACAGGACCTTGTGACTCTTCATGTTCTTCGGCTTTCTGGAGCAGAATAGAAAATTCTTTCAATTTGCTGTAAAATTCTTCAAGGCGCTTAATTGTCCCTTCAACCTGCTCTTCTCTGGCTTGGGCTCGGTCCAGTAACTTGTTGCATTGTTTGCTTAAGGCCTCCAAGTCCCTTTTGATTCCAACAAGGTCAGGAGAGGTTTCTTCTGTGGCTAACATCATCTTGCAGGTTTTATTGGCATTGTCATTGCTTGCCATGAGGGCTTCTAGTTTCTTTAGAAAGGCTTTTATAGTTTCCTTTTGCTTTTGCAATGTTTCTGCATCTCTCCCCACTGGAGCCATGCTATCCAGTTCATCATCAAACTCTGCGAACTGAGAAAACATTTCTCGAATGGTATTCTGGAAATGCCCAATGCCCTGAAGCTTGGTTTCTAAGAAAGAACACTTTTCATCAACCTGCTGACTTAGTGTACTATGCTCTTGAGCTATGGTTTCCACTTGTAATAAAACATCAGAGGTTCCCTTTGAGTCTGAGGCCTCTACCACAAGGTCCTGTGCAAGTCTTTTAGCCAAATCTACCTGATGCTTCAAGGCCTGAAGTGATTTCTGCTGAGTTTGCAACATGGTCAGGTATTTGTTACTGTAAGCCTGGGATCCCAGCGAATCATGGATATCTAGCTGCTCCTTTGCACACTGAAGCTGCCTTTTAGATTCTTTGGAAACTTCTTGAAATTCTTTAAACTTCTGAGTCATGTTCTCCAGACAGAATTTCTTACTGTGAAGTTGTTCAGTGACCATGTCCACCTTCTGGATCAGTGACTTATTCTCATCTGTAACAACTTCTTTATCTATCTCACAGACACTGAGCAAGCTATTGGCTGTGTTGTTCAGTAATTCTACCATACCAAAGTGTTGGTCCATTTCCTTCTGCAGAGACTTTAACTTGGCAATAGAATTCTCTCCTTCAGCAGGATCCAAGCAAAATTTTATTTCCTCCAGGTTGTTTTGGCATTTGTCTATCCATGGCCAGAGAGTCTCTACTTGCTCTTTATACTTAAGGGCTTTTTCCAATGACTCTTTTAACTTGTTTTCTCTTTCTTTCACCTGCTTATTAAATGTATCCCAATTGGTTTTAATTGTATTAAGCTGTAACTGTAAGGCTGCCTTCTCAGACCCTTGTGTTTTTAATAACAGATTTTCACCTTCTGCAATGGTTTTTTCATACATATGAGACTGAGCGGTCAAAGTTTTACTAAAGTCTTTATGATCTTTAATTAATGACTCCAAGACATCGAGTTTGGCAGATATTGGATGAGATTTGTTTTGCTCTTCTTTCTTTGTATCCAGCCAAGCCTGAAAATCTCTAGACATTTGCTGAAATTGATGAGAGCTTGCACAGGCCGACTGAAGGTGCTGGACATGATTCTCTAGAAATAAAATTACAAGATATGTTTATTTTACATCAAAATGTTAATTTAATCTATGAAAAGCCAAAATAAAAATCTCTGAATGAATATATAGAATTGTTGAAAAGCAAGGGCTTTTAGCATTGACTATAAGAACTACAAGTGAACTTAAGTTATTGACAAAGGGGAAAAGAAGCAAGAAGTAGGCAGAAGAAAATACACAATCAAGAAAAGATGCAGGATACAGATGAGAGGGGAAAACAAAGAATAAGGAAATAAGTAAAAATGCATCAAGGTGCAGGGAGTGGCCATGCCACACATCGCCTGCTGTGCTGGTGTCTTCTCTATTCCAGTATGGAGAAGTGATGATGGCAAAGTTCTTAATTATGTTGATAAATAATCCATCTCTTATTAAATATGACTTTTTCGCGTCTATGACTTTTTTTTTTTTTTTTTTTTTTTTTTTTTGAGGCAGAGTCTCGCTCTGTCACCCAGACTGGAGTGTTGAGGCGCTATCTCAGCTCACTGCAAGCTCCTCCTCCTGGGTTCACACCATTCTCCTGCCTCAGCCTCCTGAGTAGCTGGGACTACAGGCACCCGCCACCACGCCCGGCTAATTTTTTGTATTTTTAGTAGAGACAGGGTTTCACCGTGTTAGCCAGGATGGTCTCGATCTCCTGACCTCGTGATCCGCCGGCCTCGGCCTCCCAAAGTGCTGGGATTACAGGTGTGAGCCACCGCTCCTGGCCACGTCTATGACTTTTACATATTATGGAGGCAACATAATGTAGCACATAAAAACTACATGAGTTTGTATCTTGGTTTAACCTCTTCAGAGTTGGAAGACCCCAGGCAAATGATTAAACCTTTAAGCCTAATTTCTCCCACTGTAAATTGACAATATTAATAGTAGGTATACAGATTAAATTACAGTACATGTAAAGCTTTTAGTTTAATACCTATCACATAACTGTTCATACCATTAAGAATAATAATGATAATAGCTGATATTTACTATTGTTAATGTCATGTCAAATAAAGGAATAAGTCTGAAACAGTTGCTGTGATCAGTAAATCCAATCAATTAAAAAGCATAACTTGAGTATCTACTAGGTGCAAGAAACTAGAAACTTTTCAAACAGAACAAACTTAACAACAAAATGTGTCTTTCTTCATCAGGGCTTTCTGATGAAGTGAATTCTAATAATTCACTGCTACCTCTGACAAATATCATCACATATGCCACAGAATTATAGCCACAGTGAGAGAGGAAAATAGTGACAAATGCCTCTCTTTCGCACATTTCTCTAGAAAAGTTTTCTATGACAGAATAGATAAAGTAACAGCAGATGAGAAGATGATGCAAAGCCTTTTACTAACTATTCATGTTTTTTTCTGGCTAAATAAGACTTTCATACAGCAAAAAACATTTACATTTTTTAAAAACCAGTTTGGGGTACCTGAGATTTTAATAGGCCTTCAGGAAGCCAATTTTGCCAACAGATTATGTGTGTAGAATGACCCTAACATTCCATGTGCCTATGAACACAAAACTGCTCTCTGAGCTCCTGTATTCATCCTCCTCTTCACTGATGTTAACAGTGGGGCAGAGTCTCTTTGGGGTCCTGGATTATTGGCAACATCTTGGAAATAGGCAATATATGACATTTATTTCTGACCAGGAAATATATGTATTAAAAGTAGACAAACCTGCTTTCTGTTCAACATCCTTAAATGATTTTAAGATGCCTTCTAGTTGCCTACTAAGTTCTGCTTTCAAGTACTCTTCTTTAACCAGTGCTGACAAATCCTCACAGAGTGCCTGGGCCACTTTTATCTGCTTCTTTTCCTGCTGTATCTCCTGCTTCATTTTTTGGGCTGTTTCCAACTGTTGGTTCATAGCATCAGGGTGCGTGCTCACAGCCAGACTGCTGCTGAGTTTATTATCCAAGTCACTCAGTTTATCAGAAAGGCTTCTCAGCAGGCTTTGATACTGTGTGCTTTTAACAATGGCTTGGTCAATCCAGTCACATCTGTCACTCAATTGCCCTGTTAGGCTATCCCATTTTTGGGTCACAGCTGCCAGTTGCTCTTTCACAATCCCACGTAAAGAAGGGTCTTCTCCAGGCCTGCTCAGAATGCCCTGACCAGCTGCTGTCAGCTGTTCATATTGAGGTTTCCGAGTGGCGAATTCTTGCAGCAAAATCTAAGGTAACAAGGGTAAACAAACGCAAATTATTATATAATTGATTGTAGAAAACACAGATTTGGTGTCCAAACAGACAGAAATGGTAATTATTTCTCCAGTTTTTGTTTTTTAGTTATCACTTTCCTACTTTTTACTTAAAGGGCAGTACAATTCTCTTAAATCCGAAGAGCCACAGTGCTTCACAGAGATATCCTGTCTAAACTAATCCCATCCCCCTAAAGGAAAAATATGGACAAAATGAACAAAAATTCATGTGTAAATTTTCATATAAAAAGAGAAACACTGCTGTTAAACAAGTTCACACTGCACTTACACCAAATTTGTTTTTACCCACTCATGTTTTTGTCTTCGTAGGATTTTTGGAATACCCTATAGAATTTTATATTAAAGAAAATGCACAGTGATAAAGGTGTTAGAATATATTAACTCATGATGCATTGAGTTGCAAAGGTTTTTGTAACATAAAATTTATTGATGTTTACAGTCTTTATTATAAAGGTTTTAGTCAACAAATCATGCTGCTCAGAATGTATAGGCTCAACTTGACTCATAAAATTAATGATCCAAAAATCTCATTCTTTTAGTATCATATTTTATCTATCTTTTATACTTTTATCTATATTTTATTTATCTATCTATCTCTGGGAGACTACCAAGACTAGAGGCAATTATTTCTCCCCAGATATTTACTTTTATCTTTTGTTTTCATTGTCTTTGGATTATGAACAGATATGAATTCAAACATCTGACTTTTACAAAAACTTATTTGAATTTTCAGCTTATAAAACAGCCTCCCTGCTCTAAAGCCAGTACTCAGACATTAAAAAACTAACTGAAATCACCACAGAGCTTCTGCTATTATGCCTGACTGTAAAACATTAAACATTAAAAATAAAACTCATTTTTTTGGATTTTTTTCCCTTGTGGATTTATCTGCTTTGTAACTAGACTAGTCTAACTAACACCCTGGGTTTCAGGGTTCCCTCTCTGCTTCCCTTATTCTTTGTCCTCTTCTCATTCTCTCTCTCCTCCATCAGGACTCAAATGCATGAGTTTTACAAGTTTCATTATCTACTACCACAATCAAAATAAATAAAACCTCAAAGGAGTAATTTCTAAACAGTAAAAAGTATAGACTAGCCTCTCATAAAGATATTACTTAATTGCATTAATACTTCAAAGAAGGCCCTTTTAACCAGATCTGTACCACCCACAATATGACTGAAATAATCAGGAGACTTGGCCCATTCATGGGATTCAAAGGAGGCCTCTAAGATGCCTTATAGCTTTAGTTCTTTGGGGATTCCCACTAATATCAGGACAGTATCTTATGGGCATCTGAAACATTACATATATACTTCAAAGCAGTTAAATAAAACACCTACTGACCAAAGTTAATATATTTATAATGAAAACATTGGTCTCAGTAAGTCAAATTGCTATGCACGAGAGACAGGTTATTAGGTAATACTCACCTGCACCTGCTGCCTTTGTGTGTTTAGCATATTTGGGTCAATTGACAAGGGCCCAAGAACACTGACCATAAGTTCTTTTTCCACAAGCCACTGTTTCAATTGGGCCTCTACAGTCTGGAACTGGGTTAGATTATTGGAGGATTCTTCCAGTTTTTGTTGTCTATCAATTGTTAATTGATTGAGTTCTTGCCACTTAGAATCTAAAAGAAAAAAAATGAAACTGGTGTTTGACATTTTTTGCATTTAACATGACTATGTCTATGAGGACTGTATGGTATGATTTAAAATGATATATAATGGCTATAATCCCATTTTTATGACTCTTGTTACATAGTTACTTAAAGGACTAACCTACGATTTTATAGGTCTGATGGTTGTATGTCAACTAAAGTATAGGGAAAAAATTTTGAATCTGACTTTAGAAGATATCGTAGAATATCGAATATTCATTAAAGCAGACAGCATTCTGGGATCTCTCATTCCTTCTATAAGTCCTATAGAGTGTGTTATTAAACTATGACTTACTAGAACAATGAACAATAATCCTTTTAATATCAAATCTTCACTTATCCGTTCTAGGCAAATTGCTCCCAAATTTGTATATCTATCCCCAATTATTCTTTCCCATTCAAATTACACATTAACAACCAGCTGCTGGAAAGTTCCCGTAGGAAGTCTCACCAATTAAACTCAACATTAAAAAATAAAACTCATTATATTCCTCTCAAAACTGGTGGACTTTTAAGACTTTTAGATTTCTTTCAAAGGTTATCTTTTCTCCCATGTCATAAAGATGCAATAATTCAGAAAATTCTTTTATGAGCTTCCTAACTCTATTATACCCTCGATCATAAAACCTTAAAGCCCTCCTTTACATTCTCAATGCCATAACTCCATTTTGGCCTTCATCATGTGTTTTTTAAAATTATTTGTATTTTTTACATTGATATATAGTAGATATGTATTTTTAGAGTGCATGTGATAATTTAACACAATCCATCCAGGTGATGAGCTAACATCATCATGTTTTACCTTGACCAGTAGTTCTCACACTTCAGCTGCATTAAGAATCACCTGGAGGCATCTTTAACAGAGATTTCTGGGCTCTACCCTGAGTTTTTGATTCAGTAGGTCTGGAGTAGTATCTGAAATTCTGCATTTCTAAATAATTCCCAGATGATGCTGTTGCTGCTGATCCCAGGAGCACACTTGGAGAACTAATGACCTAGTCTAGCAGTCTTCTAACTAGTATCCCTGCTATTAATGTTTCTCAGCTGCAAGCCACTTGTTTCTAATACAATTTCCCTAAAAAAAATGTCACTTTTAAAACTGTCACTTCACTGCTCAAATCCTTCAATAACTAACTCCTCGTTACCTAGACGATAAAATCTGAAGACCATTGCCTGACATTCAAGGCCTCCCACAATCTTTGAAGGTTTGTACTCTGAGACGATCCTCTAATCTATCCCTGCTGATTTCATCCTTATAATCCAAACAGGCTTTTGCTCACACAGGTCCTGTGCCTGAGATGCTATACCTCCTCTCTATATATCCCAACCCTATCCTTCCTTTACATTCCATTGGATTTACCCTCTGCTAGGAAGCCTTTTCTGTTTTCTCCATCCTCAAGACAGTATGCTCCCTGCAGTCAAGGGTTACTGATCAGAGCACTTCTTTCAGCACTTCAACACAGTCACTCGATAAATATTCATTGATGGTGTGATCACTTGACTTGAGAGAGTTTTCATTTAGCATAACACACTAAAGGGATGACTTTAATAGAACACAATCACTGAAACCTTACCTAATAACATCATTCTACATGACATTTTCCAGTCAAACACAATCTGGCAACAAAATAATGCCATTAAAGCAATAAATCAGGAAGGAAAAATAGAAAAACTCATCCAGAAGGTTTTTTGAACTACATATTCCTCATTCCCACTCCTATTCTAAAATGTCTTGCTAATACTCTCCCCAAGTAATTCTGAGATCCTAGAAGAGAGTCACTGAATGAGTGTCAAATTAATTACAACTTGACAGGAATCTCTATAGTTGGATTAAATATATCTTTGAACATGAAGATCCCTTAGGGTAACCTTTTTCAAACTAAAATATACTTAGAGATTTCTACATTTATCATAGCATACCTGACTCTAAAGGAAGGACAATATTTAGTAATGGAACCATTGAAAGTAAAATAATTATTATAATCATAGTATATACTTATATAGCACTTGATATGTGCCAGGTACTATTTGTTTGAGCCATATACACATTAACTTATTGGGTTCTCCAAATGAAACTATGAAGTGGGGAAAATTATTACCGTTCTCTTACACTCATTTTCTTTTTTTCTACCCCCTTTACACTCATTTTCTACATCATTATAGTAATAAAAATTGGTAAGACAATAGGGCTTGTAAAGAAAATTCTGTACCTCCGAGGAGCAGTGTATACTCCTCTGTTTACACAGGGACAGGATGTGGGTAGGAGGATAACTTTGGATGAAAAAATTGATTGGGGAAGAGCATAAGAGCATAAAGTATGGAGCAGGAGGGGTCCCAGAAGTAACTCCATGAAGGAGAAGGGAGCACAGCTTTTCCAGATGAATGAAAGAAATATTTACAATATAATACAGCTTAAAAATATATAAAGCATAATAAAGCACCAAAAGCTAGGAAAAAGAAACATTAATGAAAACAGGTACTCCATGCACAGCACTTCATTAACTAGTATCTACCTTCTTCATAAAAATAGATTTAATTACTGTGTTTACCATAAAAAACATAAGATATGCCAATTTTCTGCACAATATAATTTGAAATGACACTTTATGCAAAAAATAGATTCTGAAACATTAAAGCAAATCCAAAAATAAGTGACTGTTGAATGTTTTCTGATAAAGATCATGATAAACATGAAAAATGATTGCACTTTTCTTCATAGGCATTCATCTAAGTAACGCAACATACCTATTTCTGTCAACATCTGTTTCCATCTGGGGGCCTCAGGAGTATCTGGGTTCTCCTCCAACAGCTCTGTCAATTTGTCTTTCAACTCCTGTACTTTGTTTACATTCTGCTTCAGTTCTGCCTCAAACGACTAACAAGGGAAAAATAATAATAAATCATGTGTACAGCAAAAGACAAAAATACAATAATGATAGAGCATTATTTTTCTCTAGAATAATGAAAAGAGGAAAAAATCTACTGTTAAATGTTGTGGTGGGTGAGGGCCTGGATTTTGCAATTATTTTCCTTTCCTCTTCTTAGCTAGTGTTCAATTGTGTGATACAGGAATCCCCACAGAGGAACACTATGACTATGAAGATAATGACTCTTGTCCCCATTAGTGAGAAAGAATTTCATATATTCAAACAAGCCACTCTGGAATAAAGCAAGATGATATCAGTAAAATTATAATAAATAAGAAAATCAGTCTTAATAAAGGCTGCCAGAAGTGGAGAATCTACATGTGAATAAACACTTTTTTTGGGCAACACATTATAGAATTCAAATGTAGGTTGGTAATTTGTAGAAATCTTGCCATCACTGCTACCATATAAAGCCATTTTCCCAACCTTGGCAGCTGTAGAAAGAAATACCCTCTATTAAAGAAAAGGAAGGTATTAGCTACCCTATTTTTATACTACAGAGAACAGATCCTTCATACATTTAGCCCTTAAATAAATCTTTTCCAGTAGTTGACTGGTTAACATCCTAGACTTAAACTGATTTAAAGGTGGCAAAGTGGCTTACACCCAACAGTTTGCTAACCTATGACATGGCTGTGCCAAAAATTTAAAAAAAAGTAACTATTATTATCAATCTTTATAGAAAGGCACATTAAACAAAACTGTCAATTATGTGCTAAAGGTTACAGAGCTAGAAAAGAAAACAGAGCAGAGCTTCTGACTACCAGAGCTCCGTTCCAACTGCTAATCCATTCTCTTTCATGTCTTCCATAGGTGCACCCACAGAATATACCTTATTCTGCTCAACTTGAGTCTTCACAGCTTCAGTATCTGTAGGTGCAGGTGTCTGCTGCCATTTTGTTGCAGTTTTGTTCATTTTCTGTAACCACTGCATCATTGCACTTGATTCTTCCTGAGCCTTTTGCAATTTGGAGAGTTTAGTGTTCAGTTCCGCTATTTTGTCCTTGAGTAAGAGGCCAAGATCTTCATAACCATGACTTATGTCAGTCATGTCCTTTTTAATGGATGTTAAACCTAGGAGTAAGAAAAACAACTATACTGACACATTTTCAGGACATTTGGAGCAGAGGTCTAGAAATAAAAGTTTGTTTTACATGGTATTTTGTCACTTCTAGCTTGTCATTATTAAGCCTAGTAGATAAAGTCATAAGCTTTTCAGAAATAAAAGTTTGGATCATCTTATAATGCTATTTAGTCACAAATAATTCAAGAAAATTGCATAACAAGTGAAATAAAAAAGACATTTTAAATGTAACAAAAAACAAACCACAAAATGTTACTTAGCAATATCTCAAGCACCAAACTCAATAAATTAGGTCAAATAACGTTATCCCAAGTGACAAAATATCTCAAATTAACCAAAAAGAAAGCAACAAAACCAAGTGTCAAACTGAACAACTTGATTTTACTTATTTCAGATACACAAAACTGCAAAAAATGTTATATAAATATAATTTTTATGGAGATTGTGACTATTAGATTAAATACCATTGTAATTCAGGCTTGAAATTTCAATATAACTACTGTTTGCCTCTAAGATTTTCTCTTATTAAAAAAACATCAAATTACATTAATCAGTAACAAATTAAAATTAATACTCACCTTTATTTGCCCAAAATTCCTCAGTATTTGTGGCTGTTCCTTCACCATTTAATACTGCTCCACCTGCAAAAATAGTAACACTAAAATAATCACAGTTTCATAGTATTTCTATACATTAACAGTAGATGGCATTAAATCAAACCCCATCAACAGTAATCACACATAAAACACTGACTCAACTTCAAAATCAAATGAAGGTCCAAAATGTAAATATCAAACAATATCCTCTCTTCTATGTAAAATTTATTCTTAAAGTATTGTCTTAAACACTACCATTTCAGTATGTTTATATTATATAAATTAATCATTAAATATTAATTCATAAAAATTTTTGTGAAGTTGCTTTGTGTTTTATCCAATAAATTCCTTTATTCTAGGAAGAATCATATTTATTAAATTGTATTTTAGAGCAGTAAGTGGAGCTTTAGTTTTTTTTTAATTTGTATTTATTTTTATTTATTTATTTTATTATATTTTAAGTTCTGGGATACATGTGCAGAATGTACAGGTTTGTTACATAGGTATACACATGCCATGGAGGTTTGCTGCACCCGTCAACCCATTATCTACATTATTTCTCCTAATGCTATCCACCCCCCAGGCCCCCCACCCCCTGACAGGCCCCGGTGTGTAATGTTCCCATCCCCGTATCCATGTGTTCTCATTGTTTAACTCCCACTTATGAGTGAGAACATGCGGTGTTTGGTTTTCTGTTCCTGTGTTAGTTTGCTGAGAATGATAGTTTCCAGCTTCATCCATATCCCAGGAAAGGACATGAACATATCCTTTTTTATGGCTGCATAGTATTCCATGGTATATATGTACCACATTTTCTTTATCCAGTCTATCATTGATGGGCATTTGGGTGGGTTCCAAGTCTTTGCTATTGTGAATAGTGCTGCGATAAACATAGGTGTGTGTGTGTCTTTATTAGAATGATTTATAGTCCTTTGGATATATACCCAGTAATAGGATTGCTGGGTCAAATGGTATTTCTGGTTCTAGATCCTTGAGGAATTGCCACACTGTCTTCCACAATGGTTGAACTAATTTACACTCCCATCAACAGTGTAAAAGTGTTCCTATTTCTCCACATCCTCTCCGGCATCTGTTGTTTCCTGACTTTTTAATGATTGCCATTCTAACTAGTGTGAGATGGTACCTCATTGTGGTTTTGATCTGCGTTTCTCTAATGACCAGTGATGATGAGCATTTTTTCATGTGTCTGTTGGCTGCATAAATGTCTTCTTTTGAGAAGTGTCTGTTCATATCCTTCGCCCACTTTTTGATGGGGTTGTTTTTTTTCTTGTAAATTTGTATAAGTTCCTTGTAGATTCTGGTATCAGCCATTTGTCAGGTGGATAGGTTGCAAAATTTGTCTCCCATTCTGTAGGTTGCCTGTTCACTCTGATGATAGTTTCTTATGCTGTGCAGAAGCTCTTTAATTAGATCCCATTTGTCAATTTTGGCTTTTGTTGCCATTGCTTTTGGTGTTTTAGTCATGAAGTCTTTGCCCATGCCTATGTCCTGAATGGTATTTGCCTAGGTTTTCTTCTAGGATTTTTATGGTTTTAGGCCTTACGTTTACGTCTTTAATCCATTTTCAGTTAGTTTTTGTATAAGGTGTAAGGAAGGGGTCCAGTTTCAGTTTTCTGCATATGGCTAGCTAGTTTTCCCAACATCATTTATTAAATAGGGAATCCTTCCCCCATTGCTTTTGTCAGATTTGTCAAAGATCAGATAGTTGCGGATGTGTGGTGTTATTTCTGAGGCCTCTGTTCTGTTCTGTTGGTCTATATGTCTGTTTTGGTACCAGTACCATGCTGTTTTGGTTACTGTAGCCTTGTAGTATAGTTTGAAGTCAGGTAGCATGATGCCTCCAGCTTTGTTCTTTTTGCTTAGGATTGTCTCGGCTATACGGGCTCTTTTTTGGTTCCATATGAAATTTAAAGTAGTTTTTTCTAATTCTGTGAAGAAAGTCAATGGTAGCTTGATGGCGATAGCACTGAATCTACAAATTACTTTGGGTAGTGTGACCATTTTCACGATATTGATTCTTCCTACCCATGAGCATGGAATGTTTTTCTATTTGTTTGTATCCTCTCTTATTTCCTTGAGCAGTGGTTTGTAGTTCTCCTTGAAGAGGTCCTTCGCATCCCTTGTAAGTTCTATTCCTAGGTATTTTATTCTCTTTGTAGCGATTGTGAATGGGAGTTCACTCATGGTTTGGCTGTTTGTCTATTATTTGTGTACAGGAATGCTTGTGATTTTTGCACATTGGTTTTGTATCCTGAGACTTTGCTGAAGTTGCTTAACAGCTTAAGGAGATTTTGGGCTGAGATGATGGGGTTTTCTAAATATATAATTATGTCATCCTCAAATAGAGACAATTTGACTTCCTCTCTTCCTGTCTGAATATCCTTTATTACTTTCTCTTACCTGATTGCCTGGTCAGAACTTCCAATACTATGCTGAATAGGACTGGTGAGAGAGGGCATCCTTGTCTTGTGCCAGTTTTCAAAGGGAACGCTTCCAGCTTTTGCCCATTCACTATGATATTGGCTGTGGGTTTGTCACAAATAACTCTTATTGTTTTGAGATACATTCCATCGATACCTAGTTTATTAAGAGTTTTTAGCATGGAGGGTTGAATGTTATCGAAGGCCTTTTCTGCATCTATTGAGATAATAATGTGGGTTTTGTTGTTGGTTCTGTTTATGTGATGGATTACGTTTATTGATTGGGTATGAACCAGCCTTGCTTCCCAGGGATAAAGCCGATTTTATCGTGGTGGATAAGCTTTTTGATGTGCTGCTGGATTCAGTTTGCCAGTATTTTACTGAGGATTTTTGCATCGATGTTCATCAGGGATCTTGGCCTGAAATTTTCTGTTTTTGTGTCTCTGCCAGGTTTTGGTATCAGAATGATGCTGGCCTCATAAAATGAGTTAGGGAGGAGTCCCTCTTTCTCTTTTCTTTTTTTTTTTTCTTTTTTTTTTTTTGTGACGGAGTATTGCTCTGTCACCCAGGCTGGAGTGCAGTGGCACAATCTCGGCTCACCGCAAGCTCCATCTCCTGGGTTCACGCCATTCTCCCACATCAACCTCCTGAGTAGCTGGGACTACAGGCACCCACCACCAAGCCCAGTTAATTTTTGTATTTTTAGTAGAGATGGGGTTTCACCGTGTTAACCACGATGGTCTCAATCTCCTGATCTTGTGATCCGCTCGCCTTGGCCTCCAAAAGTGCTGGGATTACAGGCATCAGCCACCACGCCCGGCTAAGAGTCCCTCTTTTTCTATTGTTTGGAATAGTTTCGGAAGGAATGATACCAGCTCCTCTTTGTACCTCTGCTAGAATTCAGCTGTGAATCTGTCTGGTCCTGGGCTTTTTTTGGTTGATAGGCTATTAATTACTACCTCAATTTCAGAACTTATTGGTTTACTCAGGCATCTGCTAGATGCCAGCTGGAGCTCTCCTGTATGAGATGTCTGTCGACCCCTGCTGGGAGGTGTCTTCCAGTCAGGAGGCACAGGCGTCAGGAACCCACTTGAGATGGCAGTCTGTTCCTTAGCAGAGCTTGAGCACTGTGCTGGGAGATCCGCTGCTCTCTTCAGAGCCAGCAGGCAGGGATGTTTAAGTCTGCTGAAGCTGCTCCCACAGCCACCCCTTCCCCCAGGTGCTCTGTCCCAGGGAGATGGGGGTTTTATCTATAAGACCCTGACTGGTGCTGCTGCCTTTTCAGAGATGTCCTGCCCAAAGAGGAGGAATCTAGAGAGGCAGTCTGGCTACAGCAGCTTTACTGAGCTGCGGTGGGCTCTGCCCAGTTCGAACTTCCCTGGCAGTTTGTTTACACTGTGAGGGGAAAACCACCTACTCAAGCCTCAGTAATGGTGGACACCCCTCCCCTCACCAAGCTCAAGCATCCCAGGTCGACTGCAGACTGCTGTGCTGGCAGTGAGAATTTCAAGCCAGTGGATCCTAGCTTGCTGGGCTCCGTAGGGGTTGGATCTGCTGAGCTAGACCACTTAGCTCCATGGCTTCAGCCCCCTTTCCAGGGGAGTGAATGGTTCTGTCTCACTGGTGTTCCAGGTGCCACTGCAGTATAGAAAAAAAAACTCCTGCAGCTAGCTTGGTGTCCGCCCAAATGGCCACCCAGTTTTGTGCTTGAAACCCAGAGCCCTGGTGGTGCAGGCACCCGAGGGAATCTCCTGGTCTGTGAGTTGCGAAGACCATAGGAAAAGTGTAGTATCTGGGCCAGAATGCACCATTCCTCATGGCACAGTCCCTCACAGCTTCCCTTGGCTAGGCAGGGAAGTTTTCCGACCCCTTGTGCTTCCGAGGTGAGGCAACACCCCACCCTGCTTCTGCTCGCCCTCCGTGGGCTGCACCCACTGTCTAACCAGTCCCAATGAGATGAGCTGGGTACCTCAGTTGGAAATGCAGAAATCACCCGCCTTCTGCATTGATTTCACTGGGAGCTGCAGACTGGAGCTGTTCCTATTCAGCCATCTTGCCAGCCACCTCTCACTTTACTGTTAAAATTATCTTAATGATAAAGGTCCTGAAGCTCAGAAGGTGCTCAGTATATAAGTGTGTTGAACAATGCATACATGACTGACAAAAGAGCATCTGCCTTACTTAAAGATTGAAAATTGTCTGGTGCAGTTACATGGTGTTATCATGGGCTTAATGGAGGCAGAATAATTTTTTTAAATACATAAAAAAGAAGTTGAAAGTGAAAAAGAAAATAAATCGATTATTAAACTCATATTACGTCAACACTAAGAGAGAGCATGGTGGTTAGGAGTACCTAGGTCTTGCTGTATAACTTACCTAAATTTAAGCCCCAGCCTCACTAATTACTAGCCAGGTGACTGGACAAATCAATCAGCCAAACTGATGGGAATAATAATACCTAACTGTGGGAACCAAACACCACTGTGGGAACCAAAGGTCCATTGCTTAGCAAGTAGAAACTAGTCAGTAAGCAGTAAACTAACAGTTCACTTTTATTACATAACAATCTAGCATTGGTACTTTTTCATAATCAGAATATTAAAATATCAGTTAGACTTTCTCATACTAGTATCTATCGGCTATGTATCCAAAACACAAAGACATTTCTCAGATCAAAAACATAATAACAAGTCTAAACAGAAACATTAAAATATCTGAATCTTAACTTTGTCCCTTTAAAAAAAATTAAACATGATGGGATTTCAGATGGAAGTGAAAATATCCTGTAGATGCTCACTACTAATTCCTACCATGCTTGGTAGTTACCAAGAGTAAAAAAAAAAAAAAAAAAATCCCAAAGCAACAGCAACAACAACAAAAAAAACACTTGATATTTATGGCAAATATAAAGGGGACATGAAGAGCTAAAATAAATAAAGCACAGTAGAATTCCTCTTCTTAAAAAAAAAACAACAAAACTTCACACTTCAGGAAATCTGATTAGAAGAAAAAGGAGAAATCATCACACCATTATAATATGGGTAGTCCCTGAAATAGGATTAATAGAGTGGAATAAATGGTTGGCTGAGAAGGGCCCAGCTGGAACATCAGTATCACAATAGGGACAGCTGGGGGCTGGTCAGACTAGATACCCCACAGAGGATACTCAGAACTCTCAGAAAAAAGATATCAGAGCTGCCTTCTGCCCATTATTTTTTTAAAAAAACTTGTTACTGTATGTTTCAAACTAAAAACTATACCCATAACTTGCTTAAATTAATTTTAGAATCAATATTTACACATGAATCTCCCATTTTATTGAGAAAGGTGGCTCAACCATGACTTAGATTGCGATACAGATATGCCGGCTCACATACTGCATAATTGTTTTCTTTGGGAATGATGTACAGAATAAAATACGCAGGAATAAAATAACAGAGTGCCCACGCTATAGAAAAGGGCCTATTTCCTTCCCTCACTTCTTTCCCAGCTGCCCAGACTCATTTCTTTATCAAATATTATAATTAAATATTTTAAATAGAATTTCAATATCTCCATTTAATTAAGGTAAAAAGCAAACAAATTTGAATATGATCTGTTCCCTTCCCCAATATAACATTCCTTATTCTTACATATTAATTTAGCTACATTTTAAATACAGTCTAATAAAATAAAACATAAGAAGGATTTGAAATTTGATTAGTACAGATACATTCCCAGCACAGTGTGCTTACAGATGCCATGTTTCTTGTCACTTTCACTTTGTATTTCTGAGGTTATTTTATGCATTAATTTAAAAAATAACATACACAAAATTGACATGAGTAAACCTGATTCTTAGTTTTTGCCATAAATGTAAATAAAGCTCATACCTGATTTAACTGCTGCTATTGCCTTTGCAGGGGTGGTCACAGCACTTATTAAGTTACATAGTGAGATCCCACTGTTGTTTACTTTCTGAATCTCTGGTGTTTTTAAACTCCACTTTTCTTGTAATTTCTTGAGATATAAAAACACATTATTTTTCCATCTTAATATTTTCAGAGTTGCACATTATAATTCAGTTTCTTAAACATATCTTAAAGTAGTAATAATTGTAGACCCTGATTTGTGAGGGAGTCGATGAAAGAAAAAGGCACCTATTTGTTCCCACAGCCCAGGTGACTGTTATCTCAGTTAACGGTTGGGTATGTATGGCCCATTCTGCCTTCAAAGGTTTCAGAAGTGGCAAGTAAAATCCTAGCCAAAGTGGGAGTCAGGCTATTCCTGGCTGCTATGGGTTCCAAAATAACTGTCAACTGTAAGTCTGTAAAACTGTACTAGGTAAGAGACCAGTCACAAATAAAAGGTACTAGGAACAATAAAAATAAATAGGAATTCAGAACTTCATTTTACAGCATATTTTAATCCTAAAAATTTCAATTACTTTTAAAAACACACACACGGTCGGGCGAGGTGGCTCACACCTGTAATCCTAGCACTTTGGAAGGCCAAGGCAGGTGGATCATGAGGTCAGGAGATCGAGACCATCCTGGCTAACATGATGAAACCCTGTCTCTACTAAAAAAAATACAAAAAATTAGCTGGGCGTGGTGGCAGCCACCTGTAGTCCCAGCTACTAGGGAGGCTGAGGCAGGAGAATGGCGTGAACCCAGGAGGCAGAGCTTGCAGTGAGCCAAGATCACACCACTGCACTCCAGCCTGGGCAAAAGAGCAAGACTCTGTCTCGAAAAAAAAAAAAAACAAAAACACACACACACATCCACAAATTTGGAATGGGGGAAAAAAAATGCCATATTGGTCAAGGCATAAGCCTTGAGTCAGAAGACAAAAGACTTGTGCACTATTTATGCAGGAGATTCAAATAACTTCTCTTTCCAAATACTCTTTATAGTAATATATACAAGCTAGAGTAAAATGCTGAGTGAAGAGGATGTTTTGCTTAATATTATGAGAAGTGGTATAAAAAATTACTGAAACTAAGTAGAGATTTGGTAGGAAAGGAAACTTGATTACTAGAATAGTCAGCAACTCATTAATTCACCTTTTTTTAAAAAAGCAAATCCACTGAAAATTTATGTCCTTTTCCAAAAGAATTAGTTAAGCCCCATGCCATGATTTCCAAAGGTCAACAAAATATACAGTACATATATGAGGATAAAACTTAGATGATATTAGATCAAAGAAAACTACCATTAGTCTTTTAATCTTTCATTATTGACACAAATGGAAATTTAGTATTAGATAACAATGATTCACCTTAGTGTCTTCCAAAGATTTTCCTAAATCCTCTGCACCAAAAGAAGGCTGTACAATGGGAACTTTTTTTGTTGTTTCTTTTATCCATGACTTCAATGATTTAACAAGAACTTGGAAAGCATCCAACTGTTCTTGACAAGAAGTTACAGCTTCTTTTCTACATAACAAAAATCATACAAGAATTTAAGTCACAGAAAGAAGAATAAATAAATTATTATTCTCATGTCACACAATGTTAAGAAACCATCTTCCATGTACTCTAACCCTTTGATACAGGAGGAAAGGTTTCATAGGTGACAACTGAAATCAGCTAAATCAGTAGTCCCCAGCCTTTCAGGTACCAGGGACCAGTTTCGTAGAAGATAATTTTTTCCACAGGCCAGGGAGGGGGGATGGTTTTGGGATGATTAAATGCATTACATTTATTGTGTGCTTTATTTCTATTATATTTACATTGTAATATATATTAAAATAATTATGCAACTCGCCATAATGTAGAATCAATGGGAGCCTGAGCTTGTTTTCCTGAAACTAGGCAGTCCCATCTGGGGGTGATGGGAGATGGTGGCAGATCATCAGGCATTAGATTCTCATAAGGAGCATGCACCCTAGATCCCTTGCATGCAGTTCACAATAGGGTTCCTGGTCCTATGAGAATCTAATGCCTCTGACGATCTGACAGGAGGCAGAGCTCAGGCAGCAATGTGAGAGATGGAGAGCAGCTGTAAATACAGATGAAGCTTTGCTGCCACCACTCACCTCCTACTGTGCAGCCCAGTTCATAATAGGCCATAGACCAGTAGATACCTCAGGGGTTAGGGGACCCCTGAGCTAAATAACTGTTGGTCTATTTTTCAGGCAAGGTTCATTGATAAAGATAGGAGTATTCAAGAAATCTGTAGCCCATATGTAATGGCACTCTCTATAATGCTACATAAACTCTAAGAATACACAAACAGTTTGAACATTATTTACATTCAATGAGCTTTGATCTGTCCCCTTTATGTGATGCTGAATGCCGGCAGGCACAGAACCAGAAGGGAAAGGTTGACAATCACTGACATGAGGAAAACATAATGCCACCTACTGGTTTCTACACTATACTACAGTCACGTTTATGGATGGATAAACTGCTGCAGGTAGTCCAGATTCAAGTCTCCCAAAATGAGTTGAAACCTAGTGACTAGAGAATTTTCATGTGTGCCTCCCCTACAGAGACTCAGGAAACTCCCTGGTGAACTGTATGGGTCGTTCTGTATGCTCTGCACCACGGAGGCAGTGCACATGCCCAGCACATGAACAACTGTGAGGACAGTTACATCTGGCATGTGGATGACACGTACATATATGCAAGCGTGCAGAATACTGGCAGATAAGAATGCACTGCAGCTGGACTAATACTGATAACTACATTATTTTAAAGTTGGACCCATTTGAAAGAAGAAACAACCTAGAGATCACCTAAGAAAACCAAGAACATTTCTTCTACGCAATGTGAATTAAATACCATATGACAGGATGGAACATATAGCTCTGTGAGAAGTAAAGGCAGCACTCAAACATTTTAGGTAGAGAATTCTGAAGAAATAAAGAACAGTAGTTGGAAGAGAAATGACTTTTCTATGTTCTGAGGCTTTTCTACATAAACTTTAGCAAAATCCGATGTATATTCTAAACTAACGTGAGATCAGAAACACAAAAGCTCAATCACAAGGCCCTGTACAGCTTTTTAGCTCAACTTAGGTTCATTCACTTGTTTCTAATAGTGTTTTTTCACAGGTTCATATCTCATCTACTGCTCTTTAAAAAGTAAACTATTATATTAAAAAGGCCATATTGAAATTGCACATCGTTTCTGAGTTGAGCTCAGAAAGCAAAGAACCACGAGCTGTTGTTCAAGGTTATTTCTGCCTTTGCAAATAAAAATGTGATATTTGCCCTAGGCTTCAGAGACTACAGCAAGTTTAGATCATTTTCAGTAATATACCACCGCCATCGTTTTTCTTATGCAACATTTTCCACTTTTATGTAAGAAGTATTGAATTTTCCTTCTAAATGTTAAACCAAATAATGCAGTTAACTTTAATAGCAAAAAATGATCAAAATATAAAAACATCTATAAAGTAGCCCTATGCTTATTCTCAAGTTTTCAAAATTGTTTCAGTTATCTATATAAGTAAATACAAGTATCTCACTCTAATTAATATAAATAGAATAAAATATAATTTTTAAAGTGGTACTTACTTTTCTTTGATGGTATCCTCCATTTCCTTGAATTTCTTTGACAAATTATTTGTTTTTTCAAGGACCAAAGCCTTATCACTTGGTAAGCCATGGCTGGATATCTCCTTCAAGAGACTATGCAAAACTTCAAGATGTTTCTTGTGTTCTAAAAATTCAGAAGTTGATTCCTACAAAGCATTAAGATATTCAGTCAATATAAATGTTGCTAGATCTTCAAATGGCATTCCATCCAGAGGTCTGTGCGGGATCAGAATGGCTCTATTCATAATTTCACATAAGAATGAGTCTGCCTATGGCCAGTATTCTAAATATAATAAACATGCATATAGGCTATTTGAAAGGGAACACAGTAAACCTTATTTAATTTAAAATGCATTCTATATTTTGTCTCTTTGTGGCTTCTGGTACGTAAGATGATACTTATACTACCTATGATACATGTGATAAATGATATTTATTTCCAATCAATCAGCAAAGGCTTCAAGGAAAAGATAAGGTTTGAAATTCTTAAAGGAGTAAAACATAGATCTTTACTAATCTATAAGCAATTAAAATGATTGCCAATTATAATTCTGGCACTAAGTATATGAGTTTGCCCTAACTATTAATCTATCTGATTAGCCTCCTGAGTAGTAAGGGAGGCATACCTGCATATACTGAGACAATTCAGTAACATCTTTTCCTGGCACATCTACTTCAGTAAGAGCCTGAGTTTTTGTTTCTAAAAATGTCTGGAGCTTTTCTGAGAGGTTCTCAAACAGTTCTACTTTGGTTTTTAGCTCCTCCATTTTGGCAAGAGTTTCTTTGTGTTTATGACTTGCTTCTGAAAACCGAGCAGACAAGTCTTTCATTTTGGCTTGCAGTGAGGATGCAGTGGATGGATCTGTTGTTTCCATAAATTTCTTCACTTTTTCATTCATGGCATTTATACTGCTCTGACGACCTGCAATATCCTGTTCCAACATCTAAAATAAACCAAATATTGCATATCTTTTATTATGATGCTTATAAATAATGTGACAGAATTTTTTTAAATGACTATTCCTAACAACATAAGCTTGCACAACCTGTGCCTAGGAAGGTTAACAGTTGAAACTGAATGACAAGTTTGGTCTGTCCCTTGAGGAATGCCATCTTAAATCTCTCTGAGAGAGTGAAGAACAGCTGGCTAGTTGGTCGAAAGAGGCAGGAGGCTGCTGCTACTCAGCAACCCCTAGAATCTAATGGAGCCTGGGGATTAGCCATGGTCCTAATTCTTAAAAGACTAGACAAGACTGATCTGATTAACCTCATGTGCAGCTGGCTGAAACAATGATAAACAAGATAAGACTCAATGTATGCATAAGCCCTCTATAATGAATAATATTCAAGAAAAAGTACACAAAGTCCTTCCTACACTTCTTCACAGATAAACCATTTTACACACTTGATTTTGTGCAAGCATTACTTTCCACACTCATATTCAGTAAATGTCTCTTTTTTGTGTCCTTAAGTTTATCTTAAATCTAACTACACTTTGAGCTTATAAAACTGTTTTTTTAAAAAACTGAAAATGGGACTTTTTTTTAAAGTCACTTACAATGTTTTTACTGATAATATCCTGAAGAGCAGTAGAGTTTAAAGGCACTTGACCTTGTTCTTTCAGAGAACTTTCCACATTTCCCATCCAGTCCAGCATTTCATCCAAGCCATCCTGCACACTCAGTGAACGGGTCAAGGTTATCTGGAGTTTTTCATTTCGTTCATTAACAGACTTGGACAGATCCTCATATCTCCCAACAATGTCATCTACTCCAAACAGATCAGGAATATTAACCACAAAGTTCTCTTTGCCCTATCCCTTTTCAAAAACACATGAAGGTGAATCATACAATTTCCACACAAAAAATTTAAAAAATAAAAAGTTCAATGATAAATTCCTAATGCATAATCAGAACACCACCTAAAATGTTAAAATATAAAGAAAGAAAAGAGCCCAATGGATACTGAAAATTGAAATCTTTTTTTAAAAGTTAATATATATCCCATCTGCATTTGAAAAGAGATTTTTTTGGATGCATAAACATTTGAATTGTCACAGAGAGACAAAAGAGTAGTCCGAACAGCAAATCTTTGAAATAAATACTGGTTCTCAATCTGACATTTCACATTAGCCATACTTATTGAAAATTACTTTCGGAGGAAAAAAAGGTGAGTCACACACAGCCATTCTCAAGACAATACACAGTTACAAAGATTTCTGAAGAATTAACTTTTACATATAAAAATTATCACCCTATCTCCCTCCTTCATACACACGCATGCTAAGCTTTTGTCATACTTCACAACTTAAGCAAATCACTCAAATGCACAGAAACTGGCAGATGCAAGTAATTAAGAAAACAGGCAACAATGAAAATCCATTTAAAGTTAAGATTATGCTTCTAAAATATACACTAATTGAATTTATTTAAAAGTTTAACAGCAGACAAAAGAGAAAAATAAACAGGCTAACCTATCTCATATGAGGATAAACTTTATCTTCAATTCTAAAGATTCAAGATGCTAAAAAAAAAAACCCTTTCTCGTCCAGTTTTCACTTGACTAAAGCCCTACATGTTAACATCCTACATTCTATATTGTAGACCAATGAAAAGTTTGAACAATGGTTTTTAATGTATTCATCTCTTTCTCTCTGGAAAATGATGTTTTAAATTTATTTATCACTTATTGTCCGAGAATTTGAAAAATATTTTAATTATTTCTGAATGCTTTAGTCTTATACATTGTAGAACGCTTCAGTAGGGACAAGCTGTGTCCTGAAACATCTCTAACATCTTACTGACTTGTATTTGGCCCATGAAACATAATCTATACAACAAAATAATATAATTGTTCTAATGCTACAACATGAGAAAACATCTTGAAAATTTTCACTGGAGTGAGAGGTTAAGTTTGGATGATTTAAAGAGAAAATCATGCTCCTCTTACTAAAACTCAATGAAGCCCATCAGCATACTGAGTGGGGAGGGAGACAGCATTTAATATGCACGAAAATGCCATCGGCAGAGGAAACAAGCAGTGGGTTCAAAAATAAGCTCTCAACAATAGATGCTGGAAACTACTAGTTGGGGGAGAGGGGTGGGAAGGTAAGGGCTGAAAAACTACCTGTTGGAGACTATGCTCATTACTTGGGTGATGGGTTCGATCATATGCCAAACCTCAGCATCATACAATATACCTTTCTAACAAACCTGCATATGTACCCTCTGATTCTAAAATAAAAGTTGAAGAAAAAAAATGAGCTCTAATTTGGAAACTCACAAGAGCACATGCTCTGAATGGCAGCTTGAAGTTGGCAGGTTAGCGACTTCTTAATTGGGCAACTGCATCAACAGGGTAAGTAAAATGAGTGACCTGTTCAGCCATAATAAGTGACTTTCGAAGGAAAGCCAGCTATTTTCATATAATTAACAGATTTGAGTGTTAGTTTGCTATAGACTAAATGTGTCCCCCAAAATTCATATATTGGGGCCAAAGTCCCAATGTGATAGTGTTGGGTGCTGGGGCCTTTGGAAGATGTGATATTATCATATAATAAGAAATATTTGGTCTCTGGCCATAGCTCTTGACATAGAGTTCCTAAAACCCTTCTGATTTCCTCAGTAATACAGACACTAAGAGAATCTTTTGTTCTGATATTTGGTCGTTGACCTCAGTTCCTGACATAGAGCTCCTAAGACCTTTGTGATTTCCTAAGTGACAGGAGTGTATGGCAGAGCTCCTAAGTCCCTTGGAATTCCTTCATGAGGGGCATCTTTTGTTTGAATGAGGTGACGCCTGGTGGCCTCCTGGATAGTCTTAGGGTAGGGGGAGCAGGGGACAGTGGCAGATGTTGCCAGGGAATCAACCATGTGATTAGACAGTTGGAACTGTCACCCTGTCAACCTCTGAGGAGGGAAGAGGGGCTGAAGATTGAGCTGCTACCAATGGCCAATGATGTAATCAATCATGCTTATGTAATGAAGCTGCCATAAAAACCCAATAGGATTCGTCTGGGGAGCTTCTGAATAGCTGAACACATGGAGTCCTGAGCATGGCATGCCCATAGAGGGCACAGAAATTCTGCTCCCCTTCTCCCATACCTCACCCTGTGTATCTCTTCCATCTGGCTGTTCATCTGTATCCTTTGTAATATTCTTTATAGTAAGTGGGTAAATGTAAGTAAAGTCTTTCTCTGAGTTCTGTGAGTCACTCTAGCAATTAATTGAACGTGAGAAGGGTCATGGGAATCCTAATTTATAGCTGATCAGTCTGAAATACGGATCACAATTTGGGACTTGTGATTGGTATCTGAAGTGGGGGGCAGCATTATGAGACTGACCCCTTAACCTGTGGGGTCTGAAGCTAATTCCAGGTAGACAGTGTCAGAATTGAATTGAACTGAATTGAATTATAGGACATCCAGCTGGTATCTGTTGGAGAATTGTTTGGTGTATGGGGAGAAATACACACACATCTGGTCACAGAAGTGTTCTGTGTCATGTTCAATGGTGTATGAGAGTGAGTAGCAAAAAGAATCAGGTTTCCTCTCTCTCTGAGGAGGTAATTAGGTCATGAGGGTAGAGCCCGTGTGAATGGGATTAGCGCCCTTAGAAGAAGAAACAGGAGAGAAATGATGTCTCTCCACCACTCTCTACCAGCAAGATAGTGGCCATCTGTAAGCCAGGAAAAGGGCCCTCACCAGAACCCGACCATACTGGCAGCCTGTTCTCTGATTTCCAGCCTCCAGAACTATTGGAAATAAATGTATGTTGTTTAAGCTACCCAGCCGATGCTATTTTTGTCATAGTGGGCTAAACGAAGACACTGTTTAGTTTGCACTTCTTAGTGATAAAATATTGTCACTGAAGTAAATTCTTCATTTTAGTAAACTAAAAAATATTTTAGAAAAAGGTACAAAAATCTACTGTAAGAATGTTATTTTTTTAAATCATTGGTTTTCTTAGAAGTCAGAAAGATCTTAGAGAAACTCCTCTATACCTTAAATAGTTTCACATATTTCCTAGAAAATTATGCCAGAAGTTTTAGTTTTAAAATAATGTAACAAATGAATTTTAAGCAACTAAAAGTGAAACTATGTACACTTAACAATAAGAAAAAAATGTCAAAATGCCTCTTCGAGTAACATAAATACAAATAAGATAGTCTTTCTTTCTCCTTCATATCCTTATACCCAAGTCCTCACAGCAATGGTATCTAATGTGGATATATGAGATGCTGCATTGGGACAGAGGAACAAAATGTTAGAACTTCCATTCATATTTTCATTTTATACTTTAAAACTCTATATTTTTGTGTTTTATAATTATAACACATAGAATAATACAGTAATATGTTCACATGACTTATACATACATCTGCATATATGGGGATGCAGGCTGAAGATCATTTTTGACAGGGGTACATAATAAAAAACATCTGGATACATGTAAGAATGAAAGACAGGATTTCCCTTTTACACAGTGATCTTAAAAGAGCTAAGTTCCATTCTTCTCTTCAAATAAAATTTTGACTCAGATTTTAATTCATGCTCTATTTAGGGTAAAACATATGTCTAATCATCTGTTGTGGAATATTTTTACTTCACATATTCACACACAGAAATACACAATAACATTAAATATTGTGAAAAGCAGGGCAGTGAAAACAAAAAATACATATGTAAGATAGTAAAAAATATGTATTGATAATCCACTGCACATTTGGTATAAACTAAATACTGTGGTTAGATAGAAAGATAATATACAATAGCTCTTTTCTCAAGAAACACATTAATCACAAACTCTTGGGCTTAAATGATCCTCCCCAAATGTTGGGATTACAGGTGTCAGCTTTTGCACCCGGCCTGAGAGATGTGCTTTGAGAAGTCTTCCCACTTCTCTGTGTTCTAGAAGTTTTTTAGTGGCCTCACTCAAATTGAGAGCTCAGTTACACCA
Organism: Homo sapiens; assembly: GCF_000001405.40. NCBI lineage: Eukaryota > Metazoa > Chordata > Mammalia > Primates > Hominidae > Homo > Homo sapiens. The sequence continues at coordinate 56,578,078 of NC_000006.12, forward strand.
ATTCTTTAGTGATACTAGAAACTTGATTACAGCTGTAGTGCTACTTTTGTGCACAAAACATTTGGGGAGGATCATTTAAGCCCAAGAGTTTGAGACTAGCCTGGACAATACAGTGAGACCCCATCTCTACAAAAAAAATTTAAAAAATTAGCTGCACATGACAGAGCATTCCTGTAGTCCTTACTTCTCAGGAGGCTGAGATGAGGAAGACTGCTTGAGCCCAGGAAGTCAAGGCTGCAGTGAGACATGATTGTGCCACTGCACTCAGCCTGGGCAATAAAGTAACCCCTGTCTCTAAAAATAAATTCAATTCAATTCAATTAAGCACATTTCTCAACCTCTTAAACCCACGTTCCCACTATTGATAAAGACCCTCAGAGATTCTACTTTGGCCTTAAGTTGAAGGCCTAACTCTGCCCAATCCCATCAACCAAGAGAATTTTGTGAAGTTCTACTTCCTGTGGTGGACATTACATAGCGAGTTCCTGTTATGTTTTCTAAATATCAAATTTAAATTTAAATATACTCTTTTCAAGACACATAGCCCCCGCCTCTAAGATTCTAATATACCTGCCAAAGAAGGCATGCCTTTTCCCAGATGCAGGAACACCATTTCACAGAGAAAGAGCACATAGAACACAATCTATAACTAGTGAACATTTTTCTCCATATCTATTAGGACACCTTTCTTTAGAATTTACCTGTGAGACAGGAAGCAAGGACATGAATATCTTACCAAGTGTTTTCTGGATATCATTCTTGGCTGGAAGTAAAGATCCCCTGGCATCTAAAAGCACTTCAGCCGTTTTCTTCAGTTTCTCTACAGCAACCTGCTGACTTGATATCTGTCCTTGCAAAGCCTGTAGGATTAAACGCTTTTCAATTATACTCAGCAGGACTAAATAATAGATTTCTAATGTGGAAAAAATGATTTCTAATAAGATAAAGTAAAATTGGACAGAATAAACTTTTCATCATACCAACTTTCATCATCAACTTACTCCAGAGTTCTTCGAATAAGGCCAGTTATAAAGCAGCATTAGCAAAAGCATCAGCCAGTCTGGATAACACAAATTAAGTTTTGAAATAAACCTTTGAGCATATGTTCATAATAATTTCCCTGGTTCCTGATCATACAACCCTCTAACTTTATACCCTTAACCCCTACTTCTAGGCTTTGTACAATACCCCAACTACTACTAAAACAAACAACAACCAAAATTTGAGACCACTTCTGACTCCAGGAAAGGAGATAAATAAGCTCGCCCAAATCAGTAGATCCTGACTCAATACTGAGTCATGTTTATTTCTGTTAATTCAATAAAAGTTACTGAACATCTAACAAATTCAAAAAGCCTTGCTACATTTTGTGAATATACAAAAATAAAAACAGACACAAAGCTTACTTTCAGGGATTTTATGGTTCGAGGCAGGAAGTGGTAAGTGCCACAGGTGAGTCTGAAAAAATGCTGCTGGAAGTTAACAGGAAAAAAATGGGAGGGAAATGAGGGCCACCTCAATGGTAATGACACTGAGATGGCTCCTTAAGAAAGTGTGGATTTGGGAGAACCACTCCCTGCAGAACAAACAGAAGACACAAAGATGAGGACAGAAGAATCACAGGAGAAGGGGAGAGTCCCATCCAGTTTGACAATGCTTATGGGTGAGTAAATAGAAATAGGCCTGGAAAGGCTTCAAACATCAGGCTAAGGAGTTTACATTTTATCCCATAGCAATGGGGAGTTATGCAGGGCTTTTGGGTAAGGGGTTGAGATGCTCAGGGCTGTCCTATAGGAAGGCTAAATTTGTAGCACTGCATGGGAAAAGTCCAATGGAAACGAAATAAAGGAGAGATACCAGCTGGGGACAACTTCAGCAGTAACAAAGCAGTGAGGACTACTGAAGGCCAAGGGCTGAAGACAATTCCACCGTTCGGTCTGTTTGGACTGAGAAGGTGGAATTAGTTAGAGTTGGGAAGAGTCCAAAGGACTTGGTAACACTATGCAAAGCTGTGCTGCCACTATGGTAGCTACCAACTACAGGTAGCTTTTAAAATTTAAATTAATTGAAATTTTAAACAATTAAAAATTCCATTCCTTGGTTACAGTAGCCACATTTCAAGTGCTAAGTAGTCACTGTGGCTAGTGGCTACCAATTGAACAGAGCAAAATATAAGTAAAGTATTTCCAGCTGGTGCGGTGGCTCACTTGTAATCCCAACGCTTTTTGGGAGGCCAACTTGGGAGGATCACTTGAGGCCAGGAGTTCAAGACCAGCCTGGGTAATAAAGTGAGACCTTGTCTTTACAAAAAAAAATTAAAAAATTAGCCGGGCACGGTAGTCTGTGCCTGTAGTCTCAATTACTCAGGAGCTGAGTCAGGAAGACCGCATGAGCCCAGGAATTTGAGGCTGCAGTGGGCTATGATCATGCTACTGTTAATTCCAGCCTGGGTGACAGAGTGATATTCCTACTTTCTTAAAATAAATAAATAAATAAATAAATAAAAATTTAAAAAAATAAATTTCATAATTACAGAATGTTCTAGTAGACAGCACTGCTGGAGAGGGCAGGAACAAAGGACAAGAGGAGACAAGAGTAGAAGTGTCCAAAGATTTTGAGCCTAGGTAATTAGCGGAATTTACTTTTTCTTTTTTTTTTTTTTTTTTGGTTGGGGGGGCAGCGTCTCACTCTGTTGCCCAGGCTGGAGTGCACTGGTACAGTCTTGGCTCACTGAAGCCTTGACCTCACAAGCTCAGGTGATCCTCCCACCTGAGCCTCCCAATTAGCTAGAACCACAGGTGCATGCCACCATGCCCAGCTAATTTTTTTGTATTTTTTGTAGAGCCAGGGTTTTGCCACATTGCACAGGCTGGTCTCAAACTCCTGGGCTCAAGCAATCCTCCCACCTCGGCCGTCCAAAGTGCTGGGATTACAGGAATGAGCCAAGGCTCCCAGCCAATTAGTGGCATTTATTAAAAAAAAAAAAAAAAAAAAAAAAAGTGAGAGCAAGCTAAGAGTAAAGGAATGCCTGTTTTGGAATTCATGATTTCAAAGTGCTTTTGGGACCCTCCTCCAGAAGGAAACAGCAAAAACTGGAAATGGAAGAGAGTTGGAACCCAAACTGGAAACAGACATAGAGAATTGGAAGTCAAGATACACAATGTGACTCCTAAACAAGAAAGCACAGGAATGCCAGAGAAGGAGATTCTAAAGAATCATGGAGAATATTTATATATAAGTGATGGGGAGAGAAGAAAAAAAAGAACACATGTAATTGATGGGGTGGAAATGGGCCCAGAATAACTCTGTCCCCAAAGATTAAAGGAAGAGAGAAGTGGAAAAGGTTAACAGTGTCAACTGCTTCGGAAAGGATAATGTAAACTGAAAGACTAATGAGTCCTTGAATTTAATGAGTAGCAGTCCCCGCGTATCTCTGAGTGAACAGATGTGGCTCAACAATGGGAAGGAGGAAAAAAAGGTGGAAGCAGGAGCCATAGATACGTCTTCCAGAAGTTTGACCCTGCATTTCTAACAGCTCTTACAGATTTCTGCAAAAGTGGGCTGCCTGGCCACACAGGCCTATTCCCAGCTTTAATTTATCTTAAGCAACTCATGCTCCTCTTCTACTCCTGCATTTGGATTTCAAAGCCCCCAATGTCCAGTTGTAGATGTGAACTCATCCTTGGCCATGGGCCTAGCTTTCCAACTGCCTCTTGAGTATTTCCATCTGGATGTATGCAGTCACCTCCAACTCAAAAAAGCTGAATCTGAACTCATCATCTCATTCTCTGTACCTATACTTTCTCCTGGGGTATATCTAACTACCCAAATAGTCAACCTGAAGTTCCTCCTAGATTCCATCCTAAGGCTTATTTTCCACATGCAAATCAACCATTTAAAGCTTTTTTTTTCCACACGTGCAAATCAATCAACAATTTTACCTGCTTAATATTTTTTAAAAGTCAACTTTTGCTCCATATTTCTGGATCATTCCAGGATAATCTCTCTCTTGGATTGTTGAAAAAAGAATCCTAACTGTGTTAGATCCTGCCTCCAATCACTTCTCTAATATAGCTCCTAATGTGTTCTACCTAAAATATACATCTGACCACATATCACCCCTGATATAGTTTGGATATTTGTCCCCGCCCAAATCTCACATTGAAATGCAATCCTCAATGTTCAAGGGAGAACCTGGTGGGAGATGATTTCTCATGAATGGTTTACCATCATCATCTTGGTGCTGTCCTCGACAGTGAGTGAATTCTAGCAAGATCTGGTCATTTAAAAGTATGTAGCACTTCCCCACCTCCCCACCTCTCTCCCTCTCTCTCTCTCTCACTTGCTTCTGCTTTTGCCATGTCACATGCCTGCTCCTGCTTTGCCTTGCACCATGAGTAAAAGTTCCCTGAGGCTTCCCCAGAAGCTGAGTGATGTCAGTGCCATGCTTGTAGACCCTGTAGAATCGTGAGCCAACTAAACTTCTTTTCTTTATAAATTACCCAGTCTCAAGTATTTCTTTTCTTTTTTTTTTTTATTAAAGTTTTAGGGTACGTGTGCACAATGTGCAGGTTAGTTACATATGTATACATGTGCCATGCTGGTGTGCTGCACCCATTAACTCGTCATTTAGCATTAGGTATATCTCCTAATGCTATCTCTCCCCCCTACCCCCACCCCACAACAGGCCCCAGAGTGTGATGATCCCCGTCCTGTGTCCATGTGTTCTCATTGTTCAATTCCCACCTATGAGTGAGAACATGCGGTGTTTGGTTTTTTGGCCTTGTGATAGTTTACTGAGAATGATGATTTCCAATTTCATCCATGTCCCTACAAAGGACATGAACTCATCATTTTTTATGGCTGCATAGTATTCCATGGTGTATATGTGCCACATTTTCTTAATCCAGTCTATCATTGTTGGACATTTGGGTTGGTTCCAAGTCTTTGCTATTGTGAATAGTGCTGCAATAAACATATGGGTGCATGTGTCTTTATAGCAGCATGATTTACAGACCTTTGGGTATATACCCAGTAATGGGATGGCTGGGTCAAATAGTATTTCTAGTTCTAGATCCCTGAGGAATTGCCACACTGACTTCCACAATGGTTGAACTAGTTTACAGTCCCACCAACAGTGTAAAAGTGTTCCTATTTCTCCACAGCCTCTCCAGCACCTGTTGTTTCCTGACTTTTTAATGATCGCCATTCTCACTGGTGTGAGATGGTATCTCATTGTGGTTTTGATTTGCATTTCTCTGATGGCCAGTGATGATGAGCGTTTTTTCATGTGTCTTTTGGCTGCATAAATGTCTTCTTTTGAGAAGTGTCTGTTCATATCCTTTGCCCACTTTTTGATGGGGTTGTTTGTTTTTTTCCCGTAAATTTGTTGGAGTTCATTGTAGATTCTGGATATTAGCCCCTTGTCAGATGAGTAGGTTACGAAAATTTTCTCCCATTTTGTAGGTTGCCTGTTCACTCTGATGGTAGTTTCTTTTGCTGTGCAGAAGCTCTTTAGTTTAATTAGATCCCATTTGTCAATTTTGGCTTTTGTTGCCATTGCTTTTGGTGCTTTAGACATGAAGTCCTTGCCCATGCCTATGTCCTGAATGGTAATGCCTAGGTTTTCTTCTAGGGTTTTTATGGTTTTAGGTCTAACATTTAAGTATTTAATCCATCTTGAATTAATTTTTGTATAAGGTGTAAGGAAGGGATCCAGTTTCAGCTTTCTACATATGGCTAGCTGGTTTTCCCAGCACCATTTATTAAATAGGGAATCCTTTCCCCATTGCTTTTGTCAGGTTTATCAAAGATCGGATAGTTGTAGATACGCGGTGTTATTTCTGAGGGCTCTGTTCTGTTCCATTGATCTATATCTCTGTTTTGGTACCAGTACCATGCTGTTTTGGTTACTGTAGCCTTGTAGTATAGTTTGAAGTCAGGTAGCTTGATGCCTCCAGCTTTGTTCTTTTGGCTTAGGATTGACTTGGCGATGCGGGCTCTTTTTTGGTTCCATATGAACTTTAAAGTAGTTTTTTCCAATTCTGTGAAGAAAGTCATTGGTAGCTTGATGGGGATGGCACTGAATCTATAAATTATCTTGGGCAGTATGGCCATTTTCACGATATTGATTCTTCTTACCCATGAGCATGGAATGTTCTTCCATTTGTTTGTATCCTCTTTTATTTCATTGAGCAGTGGTTTGTATTTCTCCTTGAAGAGGTCCTTCACGTCCCTTGTAAGTTGGATTCCTAAGTATTTTATTCTCTTGGAAGCAACTGTGAATGGGAGTTCACTCATGATTTGGCTCTCTGTTTGTCTGTTATGGGTGTATAGGAATGCTTGTGATTTTTGTACATTGATTTTGTATCCTGAGACTTTGCTGAAGTTGCCTATCAGCTTAAGGAGATTTGGGGCTGAGGCCATGGGGTTTTCTAGATATACAATCATGTTGCCTGCAAACAGGGACAATTTGACTTCCTCTTTTCCTAATTGAATACCCTTTATTTCCTTCTCCTGCCTAATTGCCCTGGCCAGAACTTCCAACACTATGTTGAATAGGAGTGGTGAGAGAGGGCATCCCTGTCTTGTGCCAGTTTTCAAAGGGAATGCTTCCCGTTTTTGCCCATTCAGTATGATATTGGCTGTGGGTCTGTCATAGATAGCTCTTATTATTTTGAGATACGTCCCATCAATACCTAATTTATTGACAGTTTTTAGCATGAAGGGTTGTTGAATTTTGTCAAAGGCCTTTTCTGCATCTATTGAGATAATCATGTGGTTTTTGTCTTTGGTTCTGTTTATATGCTGCATTACATTTATTGATTTGTGTATATTGAACCAGCCTTGCATCCCAGGGATGAAGCCCACTTGATCATGGTGGATAAGCTTTTTGATGTGCTGCTGGATTCGGTTTGCCAGTATTTTATTGAGGATTTTTGCATCAATGTTCATCAAGGATATTGGTCTAAAATTCTCTTTTTTGGTTGTGTCTCTGCCCGGCTTTGGGATCAGGATGATGCTGGCCTCATAAAATGAGTTAGGGAGGATTCCCTCTTTTTCTATTGATTGGACTAGTTTCAGAAGGAATGGTACCAGTTCCTCCTTGTACCTCTGGTAGAATTTGGCTGTGAATCCATCTGGTCCTGGACTCTTTTTCGTTGGTAAGCTATTGATTATTGCCACAATTTCAGAGCCTGTTATTGGTCTATTCAGAGATTCAACTTCTTCCTGGTTTAGTCTTGGGAGAGTGTATGTGTCGAGGAATTTATCCATTTCTTCTAGATTTTCTAGTGTATTTGCGTAGAGGTGTTTGTAGTATTCTCTGATGGTAGTTTGTATTTCTGTGGGATTGGTGGTGATATCCCCTTTATCATTTTTTATTGCGTCTATTTGATTCTTCTCTCTTTTTTTCTTTATTAGTCTTGCTAGCAGTCTATCAATTTTGTTGATCCTTTCAAAAAACCAGCTCCTGGATTCATTGATCTTTTGAAGGGTTCTTTGTGTCTCTATTTCCTTCAGTTCTGCTCTGACTTTCGTTATTTCTTGCCTTCTGCTAGCTTTTGAATGTGTTTGCTCTTGCTTTTCTAGTTCTTTTAATTGTGATGTTAGGGTGTCAATTTTGGATCTTTCCTCCTTTCTCTTGTGGGCATTTAGTGCTATAAATTTCCCTCTACACACTGCTTTGAATGTGTCCCAGAGATTCTGGTATGTTGTGTCTTTGTTCTCGTTGGTTTCAAAGAACATCTTTATTTCTGCCTTCATTTCGTTAGGTACCCAGTAGTCATTCAGGAGCAGGTTGTTCAGTTTCCATGCAGTTGAGAGGTTTTGAGTGAGTTTCTTAATCCTGAGCTCTAGTTTGATTGCACTGTGGTCTGAGAGACAGTTTGTTATAATTTCTGTTCTTTTACATTTGCTGAGGAGAGCTTTACTTCCAACTATGTGGTCAGTTTTGGAATAGGTGTGGTGTGGTGCTGAAAAAAAATGTATATTCTGTTGATTTGGGGTGGAGAGTTCTGCAGATGTCTATTAGGTCTGCTTGGTGTAGAGCTGAGTTCAATTCCTGGGTATCCTTGTTAACTTTCTGTCTCGTTGATCTGTCTAATGTTGACAGTGGGGTGTTAAAGTCTCCCATTATTATTGTGTGGGAGTCTAAGTCTCTTTGTAGGTCACTCAGGACTTGCTTTATGAATCTGGGTGCTCCTGTATTGGGTGCATATATATTTAGGATAGTTAGCTCTTCTGGTTGAATTGATCCCTTTACCATTATGTAATGGCCTTCTTTGTCTCTTTTGATCTTTGTTGGTTTAAAGTCTGTTTTATCAGAGACTAGGATTGCAACCCCTGCCTTTTTTTGTTTTCCATTTGCTTGGTAGATCTTCCTCCATCCTTTTATTTTGAGCCTATGTGTGTCTCTGCATGTGAGATGGGTTTCCTGAATACAGCACACTGATGGGTCTTGACTCTTGATCCAATTTGCCAGTCTGTGTCTTTTAATTGGAGCATTTAGAGAACGGGCAGATTGCCTCCTCAAGTGGGTCCCTGACCCCTGACCCCCGAGCAGCCTAACTGGGAGGCACCCCCCAGTAGGGGCAGACTGACACCTCACACGGCCAGGTACTCCTCTGAGACAAAACTTCCAGAGGAATGATCAGACAGCAGCATTCGCGGTTCACGAAAATCCGCTCTTCTGCAGACACCGCTGCTGATACCCAGGCAAACAGGGTCTGGAGTGGACCTCTAGCAAACTCCAACAGACCTGCAGCTGAGAGTCCTGTCCGTTACAAGGAAAACTAACAAACAGAAAGGACATCCACACCAAAAACCCATCTGTACATCACCATCATCAAAGACCAAAAGTAGATAAAACCACAAAGATGGGGAAAAAACAGAGCAGAAAAACTGGAAACTCTAAAAAGTGGAGTGCCTCTCCTCCTCCAAAGGAACACAGTTCCTCACCAGCAACGGAACAAAGCTGGACGGAGAATGACTTTGACGAGTTGAGAGAAGAAGGCTTCAGACGATCAAACTACTCCGAGCTACAGGAGGAAATTCAAACCAAAGGCAAAGAAGTTGAAAACTTTGAAAAAAATTTAGACGAATGTATAACTAGAATAACCAATACAGAGAAGTGCTTAAAGGAGCTGATGGAGCTGAAAGCCAAGGCTCGAGAACTACGTGAAGAATGCAGAAGCCTCAGGAGCCGATGCGATCAACTGGAAGAAAGGGTATCAGCGATGGAAGATGAAACGAATGAAATGAAGCAAGAAGGGAAGTTCAGAGAAAAAAGAATAAAAAGAAACGAACAAAGCCTCCAAGAAATATGGGACTATGTGAAAAGACCAAATCTGCATCTGATCAGTGTACCTGAAAGTGATGGGGAGAATGGAACCAAGTTGGAAAACACTCTGCAGGATATTATCCAGGAGAACTTCCCCAATCTAGCAAGGCAGGCCAACATTCAGATTCAGGAAATACAGAGAATGCCACAAAGATACTCCTCGAGAGGAGCAACTCCAAGACACATAATTGTCAGATTCACCAAAGTTGAAATGAAGGAAAAAATGTAAAGGGCAGCCAGAGAGAAAGGTCGAGTTACCCACAAAGGGAAGCCCATCAGACTAACAGCAGATCTCTCGGCAGAAACTCTACAAGCCAGAAGAGAGTGGGGGCCAATATTCAACATTCTTAAAGAAAAGAATTTTCAACCCAGAATTTCATATCCAGCCAAACTAAGCTTCATAAGTGAAGGAGAAATAAAATACTTTACAGACAAGCCAATGCTGAGAGATTTTGTCACCACCACGCCTGCCCTAAAAGAGCGCCTGAAGGAAGCACTAAACATGGAAAGGAACAACCGGTACCAGCCACTGCAAAATCACGCCAAAATGTAAAGACCATCGAGACTAGGAAGCAACTGCATCAACTAACGAGCAAAATAACCAGCTAACATCATAATGACAGGATCAAATTCACACATAACAATATTAACTTTAAATGTAAATGGACTAAATGCTCCAATCAAGTATTTCTTTATAGCAACACAAGAACAGCCAAATAACCCTGTTAAAATCTCTTAGTAGTCTCCCTTGACAAAAAGGCCAAGACTTGAGCATGCTATAGTCTAAAAGGTCCAATGAAATCTATTCCCTAATTCTACCTTCAATCTCAACTTTCTGTTCCAGAAATGTCTAACACAGCTATTTCTTAGCTATTTATTCATGCTGGACCCAATGTCTTAGAAACTCTACATACCAACTTTTTCATGCAACCTACCCCCGCCATCCTGAACTTGGCTCTTCTTCACCTTTTAATACTCAGCTGGAAAACCTTCCCTAAGTCTCTCCTCACTCCTAGCTTTAGTAAGTACTCCTTACAGGAAATCCCATAAATACCCTGTGACTATTATTGGATTTTTCTGTGTCTTCTATCAAACTATAGCCTTCTTGAGAACTAGGAAGTCATCCCTTTTGGCTTTCTATTACTAGTGCCTAGATCAGTGCTTGACACATAGCAGGCTCCAAAAATTTTTTTCAGGAATAAATCAGCAACTAAGTAAATAAATGAACATATCAGATGTAAGACCTAAAAAGGTTTTCTTCTATTTCAGCATTATTTATTATCATTACTTAAATGCCTAAAGCTAATGGCAAAAATTTCCTCAACTAATCTTCATATCCAAGAAACTGAGATGACATACAGGCAGTCTGTGCATATGTCAAAAGGCCCACCAAACCACGACCAACATAGGATCTAGAATACCACAACCTACAGTTGTTTCAAGATGCCAAAGAATCCTCATCAGAGTGGATCTGTTTGAAAAATTCTCCTAGCAGTTTAATTACGGGAAGTGTAAAAAAAAATCCCTCAAGACATGAACTTTTTACCTGTGACCACACTGAATCTAGACCACAGGGACAGTTTATTCATATAACATGGTTATTTAGGAGATGAAGTAAGTGAAGGGTACCCTCCGAAAATTTTTTTTAGATTGTGAGTTCACCAAGGGCAGAGACAGGGTTTTAACATCTTTGTGCCTTCATGAAACTCAGCATACAAACATTTACTGAATGAATAAATACATCTAAAAGTGATCATGGTTCTATTAGAATATCCAATACCAAAGATGGCCCTGACTACCAGCTTAAAACTTAGAAGTGCATTATAAAAGAAGCATGTCTTCTTCACCTCTTCTTCTCAAAACATCACATGCCTTTACTCTTGACAATTATATTCAGGAGAGTTAATCATTTTTAATTCCTAGCAAGTATCAAGGTCCTAATTTAACAATAATAGTTGTTTATAGTGCTATTTTGGAAAAAAAACTGTTAATTACAGTATTCAAATGGGTACCTTATATTGTTTTGAATGGATTTCAAGGAAATTAAGACATGAAAGAAGGATCTGTGACAAGAGAATACCTGTTGGGACCAGAAGACAGCGAAGTCTATACACTTCTGGGCATTTGTACAATTCATAAAAGTTTCCTGACTTAACACCACCCCAAAGATTAGCGCAAGTCTGGAAGGCTGACATTGTCAGTCAATGCAATCCCCATTGCTGGTTCCACACCCAGGCCTTGAGACTGGTCCCAAAATCCTGTTTTCTGCACCTCTTATGGGGCTAAAATCTTGTTTTATCCACTAATTTCCCTGGAAGGGGATCTTGAGGAGTGTTATTATGGCCTAGTAGTATCAGATTGTTGACAACACAGTTCACAGTTCTTTGAATAATAATGCTAATAACAACATGCTATTGGCCAAAAGCATTTCAAATGAAATGAACAAATTGGATGCCCCAAAAATTACATTTATGATTCATCAGAATATAAGTAGAAGATAGTATGCTACATGTAGAAAGATCGATTTTTTGTAGTAGTCTCATGGGTTTATATTATTGTTAAAAGTAATTGTAAAATGTTAATAAACATCAAAGAAATGGAGGCCACCTAATCCTCATAAAAATTTATCCTTGATACATTCTGAAATCTTCTGAGAGAAAAATATGTGCATTATCAGCAACAACTTTAATTGTACATTTAATTTTTCAAATTACGCTATGACTTAATTAGAATTCATTCTCCTTTGAGATCTCTTTCTTTTTCATATTTCTTTAACTGTCTTAGGACTGTAAGAGTCTTCTGCAGCAATTACTAAATAGGTTTTTCCGTTTTAAAATTTATCCACATATCTGTTTAATTAAAAAACCATCACATTCTTTGGGTTTTATTCTTTTTCTGCTCTAGTTATATAAAAATTACTTTTATATGCAGTATAATCTGTTTACTAATATAGATCTAACTTAAAATGTGTTATTTCTATTTTATGCATTTTCTATACTTAAAATAACTTCCTAATTAAATGTAATATATGCAATCAATAATTATTTTAAATGATACGTATTTCCTACTAAAATAATGACCTTAATGTCACAGTATCTCCTCTACCCCCACCACATATCTTGTCCTTGAATATACAATACATGGGGATATAAAAACTTAATTAAGATAGATTTGTTCTTGTACCTGTGGAAAGGAGAAAGAAAAAAAAACAGGACTGAAAATGCACATTGGAAAAAAGGAAGCAACCCTGAGGAGGCTGCATGGATCTGGGGATGCTGACCTGGCCCACATCATCTCCCTAGTGTCCAGTGAAGGGCTGGATAAACTCTTCAGCCTGGGAAAGAAGCAGTGCCCTCCACCCTCTTGACCTCCCAGCTTGACCTCCTTCCCTGCTCTCATCCTATGCTTCCCACCCCTTCACGGGCCTTCTCTCTGCCTGATATTAACCTGCCACATTTCACCCGGGTATGACTTAGCTTTCCAGAGTTGTCAATCTCAGGCAATACCTAACTTTAAGCTTGCCCAGCAGGGTACCTGTTTCCCGTGCTAACAGCACAATTTTTCGACTCTGTAAATAATATGCAATTAACTTCTGAAAGACAGCTGTCTAACTGGCAATCCTGTGTTTATTTTCTAGCTGTAGCAGTAATAACCTACTATTATTAACCTGTGAAATGGAATCATATAATAGATTGATGGAATGAAACTTTTAAACTCAAAATTATTGGTCACATTAGTTCTCATCCTTTACTTTAGAATTTTAAAATAAGTTTTACATTATAAAAATAGATTTAAGAACTCTCCACCACTGTATGACTGAGAATCGCACTGTTATGCAGTTTTGACACCAAGCCTGTATTTCTGAAAGAGCAGGTGGACTTTTTGAGAACTGTATTGAGTAATTATTCAAGTTTGTATCTCTATGAATCATGAAGATATTCAGTAAGAACCCTAATCCTGGTCCTTAGAACCGCTGAATATGATGGTAGCATCCCTTCTTCCCTTCCAACTGTCCATTCCTTAACAAATATTTATTGAGTACCAACTTTGGGCCAGGTAATATTCTAGGTGCTGTGAATACAGCAATGAATAAAGCAGACAAAGACACGTGTTCTTGTGGAGCTTAATTCTAATGGAGGAAAAAACAGTGAACAAGATAAGTAAGTATAAAGATAAATAAGTGGCCAGGAAAATACTGAGTTTTGTTTGGGGATGGAGGGGCACGTCACAAGCCATAACAGCAATGTCAAACCTGTTAAGAAAACATCAGGAAGGCTGGGCGCGGTGGTTCACACCTGTAATCCCAGCACTTTGGGAGGCTGAGGCAGGTGGATTACCTGAGGTCAGGAGTTCAAGACCAGCCCAGCCAACATGGCGAAACCCCGTCTCTACTAAAAATACAAAAATTAGCGCCTGTAGTCCCAGCTGGTGGCGGGCGCCTGTAGTCCCAGCTACTTGGGAGGCTGAGGCAGGAGAATCACTTGAACCCAGGAGGCGGCAGTTGCCGTGAGCTGAGATCACACTACTGCACTCCAGCCTACACGATGGAGTGAGACTCCATCTCAAAAAAAAAAAAAAAAAAAAAATTCGGAAAAAAAAAGAATGTACTGTGGAGAAATAGAGTCAAAACTACCTCTGGAGGCAGAAGTATACTTTTCACATCATTTGTTCCCCTCTCTTAGCTGAAACTATCACAAAAGTGTGAGAAATTGGAAGCCTTTCAGTAAGACTACTGGAAATGTGGATCTTTCTCTCGCTTTTTACCTTGGTCTCTTCTAATTGCCTTTGAAGATTTTTGGGGTCCACCGCAATAGGTTCAGATAAGTGTTTGCTCGCTGTGGCCTCACAGGCCTGGAGTCCAGCAAGAAGTCCACATGAAGCATCTTCATAGTGTTGATATTTATCCACCAGATCTTTAAGATTATTTCCAAGAACATTGCACTAACAATCAAAAGAGAAAAGGGGTAGGAGATTAAAACCCACTATTTTCATATGCATCAAATAATCTTAGGACCTATAAAATATGTAACTTGGAAAAAAAACCAGACTTCCACCAAAGTTAATAAAAACTCTGTTGGGCTAAGATTTCCTCCTTTATATGAAGAGGTACCCTATAAGAAGCCAAAAAGTAACCATAAAATAAAGAGATAGTTCTGGATTTATACCAATTCAAAAACATATTTACAAGAGCTGAGTCTTAACATAGAATAAAAGATAAAGACATCAATCATCAGAGGAAGGAGATTTTGATACACCATGTGTATAGATATCGATTTGATGGAAGGGTTTTAAAGGTGCTTAATAAATTTCTATATGTTGCACAAGTTAATTAACAAAAGGAAGACAAAGAGTCTATATTAGAATGGAGCAAAGTCCAAGAGCCAGTGATGGTCTTTAAATCATTTATGCAACTTGGCAAGTCTGTTCAGATTATATTACAAACCAGTAAATATTTTCTTAGATTTTTTTTTTTCAAAAAAAACCTTTTACTTGACCACAGAAGTAAAACAAGCAAAACAGTCTTTTATTCATTAAGTATTAAAATAACATACTGATCAAATATACAAGACAAACACCTGCAGTGTTTGTGAAGAGGATAATCTGAGATGAAACCAGTTCCCAAGCTTGAGAGGCTGCAAGCATCTGTTTTTGCTTAGAGTCAATGCACAACCGCCATCTTGTGGTCACACTGGATATTAGAGCATTTGAGAGCTGGGACTTCTGGAAATCATGCTCTCAAAAACTAAAGTAACTTTAAGTTTCTCATATTTAAATACATTGTTCAGAAGTAAAGCAGGTGAATAAGATAGAGAGAAGGCTGGGCACTGTGGCTCATGCCTGCAATCCCAGCACTTTGGGAAGCCGAGGTGAGCGGATCACGAGGTCAGGAGATCGAGACCATCCTGGCTAATACAGTGAAACCCCATCTCTACTAAAAACAGAAAAAAAATTAGACGGGCGTGGGGGTACATGCCTGTAGTCCCAGCTAGTCGGGAGGCTGAGGCAGGAGAATTGCTTGAACCTGGGAGGCAGAGGTTGCAGTGAGCCGAGATCACGCCACTGCACTCCAGCCTGGGCGACAGAGTGAGACTCCTTCTCAAAAAAAAAAAAAAAAATAGAAGTAGGCTAAAGCTACCTTTTCCTCCTGTTTTGGATTTTAGGTTTCTTGCCTCTTGTTCCAAAACTATAATTGAAAACTATAATTGCAGATTGACTTTTCCCTTAAAAAATCAAAATAACATTACCTTAGAGTAGAGAGACCTGAACCGATCAGTAGCATGATCCAACTTGCGCTGCACTTCTCTGTGGGTTGCAGAAGTATCAACCTTGCCACCGTCTCTCTTGCTGCAAGATTTGGCAGCTTCCAACACTCTGTTTCCAGAAATTGTGATGTATCTCAAGTCACCTTTGTGAGAAATAACGTCTTCTGAGAAACTCTTCTGCCTCTTCAATTTGGTCATTAAACCATTGATGTCATCTGCACCTGCCTCCAGGTTTTCAAGTTCTTGTTCTGACTGCTGTAGCCAGTGCTCAAACTCGGTATAGTCAGCATCAAACTTTTCTAATTCTTCCTGCAGAGAGTGAGTTAACTTCATTTTCTTCTCTGACTCAGCCAGTGCAGTTTCATAATGCACTTTCAGTTCCTTCATGTTCTTTTGCAGTTTCTCTTTTTCTTCAGGAGAGAGATACTGACCCTGTTTCTCAAGCAACACTTGTGCAGACTGAGTGGCTATGATCACTGCTTGGTGCTGAGAGATGATCTTCTCGTGTTGGGCCTATGTGAAAACAAATTGATCATAATCTTCAAGCAGTAACGGGGTAACACCTGCAGGGAGCTCCTTGCCGCCTCAAGACTGACAGGTTTCAATGATCTACAGGGCTACAACTTGCTTCTCATTCCCCTTTTCAAGCTATACCGTACTCCCTTTTATTGGTGGATTTCAGAATAACAAGGCATTTTGAGCATGCTAATCTTATTTTAAAGAAAATTTCCAATCTTCTCTATGTACTTAATCAGATAGGACAGACACCATTTTTCAGAAGTTTAGAAAAACCAATTTCTATTCCAATTTTAAAATAAGTGTCTATAATCTGATCTCATTTTATTCCCTGCTTTCTCACAACTACCCAAAAAAGAATGTCTTTACCTAATTTTTGGACAAACAAGTATAATATTTTTTATTACGAAATGATCCTGGAAAAACTTTTAAATAGGGAAAAAGAATCTGTAACTTTAAGCTTTAAAAAGGTTTCAAAAATAACTAAGCAAGAACACTGTACATTCAGAGAAGCCCAATGGACATTAGAGAAGCAGATATAATAAAAGAGAATCCTGGAGCTACTCAGCTTCACTGGGCCTCAGTTTCCTGCATGTGAAAATGGAGACAATAACTCCTACACATCACAGGTTGCTGTTAAGGAGTACATGAGATCACATATGTAGAGCACTTCCTGCAGAGCTGGGCATGTGCCAGAAATTCAAATCCACTCTGAAGGCAGGAAGGCAGGGCTCCCAGGCAGGTGTGCTGCAGGCAAGTCACAGGTGTGCAGAGCTACTGATCCCCTCAGTCTTCAGGGAAGCAGGGAGGCATCAGGTAGGTGAAGTCCCTTTCCCTCCAGCCATAAGCATCTTCTTCCATTCACCCCAATTTGCCATACAAGTGTGGCAAAAAGGATACTAATCCTTCTGGGCAATTTCCCACATTTCTTATAATGGCTTACATGGAGCCAAATGACCCGCTCCCATTACCCCAGAGCCCCTTTTATTACCTCCAGATTCTTTGCTGCTCCCACCCTTACCTCCATCCCCACCCTGGTAAACACTTTAGGAGCTTTTTCTCCTGTTGTTGTCTAGTTACAGCTCTTTCATCAGATATCTGCTTGGCTAATTGCACCCATCTCCATTGAGTCCCGTTTAAATGCTGAAAACTGGTCCCCCACCCCACACTCAACCACCCTTACCTAACTCCTTTTCTCCCTTAGTACTCACTGCCTTCTAACCTACCATATAACTTAGTTATTGTCTACTGTAACATTCTCACTAACTAGTGTGCAAGGGGGGCACAGGGAATTTATTTTGCTCACTGTGTAATCCCAAGTACTTAGAACAGTGCTGGCACACAGGAGCTGAGTAAGAATAACTCTATGCTGTGAAAAGGACTTCCTTAGAAGCACTGCTATGGGGCAGCCGTTCACTTGTAAGTCTGATCCCAATTAGTCAGCTCAGAACTGGCTCATTAACACTGGTATCCTCACTGTCTATAACAGTGCCCGCCACCTAGTGGGCACATAGTAAATATTTTTAACTAACTTCTTTCCCACAGACTTGTGTTTTTGGTATTTGAAATACATTCATATGCTACCCCCACCCCACCCCGAGAAGGGCTTTGCACAAAATAGCATGGACAGACATATGCAACACCATATAAATGATCAGATCCATCCCCTTCCTCCTACAGATGAGGACTCTTAGGCTGAAGGAAGAGAATGGCTTGGCCCAGGACATATGGGACAACTACTGAAAGCTAGACGTTCCTGGCTCAGGTGCTTTGGCCCTCTCTCCATGCTGCCAGATTAGGACTTTCTTTCTTTTATTTATTTATTTACTTATTTATTTATTTATTTATTTTGAGATGGAGTCTCGCTCTGTCGCCAGGCCAGAGGGCAGTGGCACAATCTTGGCTCATTGCAACCTCTGTTTTCTGGGTTCCAGCGATTCTCCTGCCTCAGTCTCCCAAGTAGCTGGGATTACAGGCACGCACCACCACACCCAGCTAATTTTTGTATTTTTAGTAGAGACAGGGCTTCACCATGTTGGCCAGGATGGTCTCAATCTCCTGACCTTGTGATCCACCCGCCTCAGCCTCCCAAAGTGCTGGGATTACAGGCATGAGCCACCACGCCTGGCCCAGATTAGGATTTTCTAAAGCACAGATTCCCATATTCTTTGAGGTAAAATGATCAGATGGGAAATGCCACACTGTGCCTAAAACCAAGGGCTTTCCTGTGTGATATCTTTATGTTTAAGTCTACCCACCAGTATTTCTCACTACTTTGGTCAACTTACTAACTTTTCCTGACTTCTTTGTAACTGACTCACAATGTTCCTTTAGGAATTCACTAGATTTTTCATTTTAAGAGACTTTATTTTTCATAATAAGGTCCTATAATAGCCCGTTAAAATTGTGAGCAGTAAATACTCCCATTCTTCTTCTGGTTTAATTTGTATTTTCTATAAGAACCTCACAGGGAGTACCCTATTCCAAAGATTCCAAATATGAAGGGTAGGAACAAAATAAATAGACCTGCAAAAGTTTCTGAGGTCCAGAAACCGTCTGTCAAAAGCCAAATATTGAAATAAAATGAGTGACACTTTAAAAGTAGTTCTACAGAAGTCGCCTTTGCTCTTATAGTAGCATTAATGTTAGCTTTAATTTATGTCATGGAGTAAATTGGTAGAAGGGCTTTTATATCTCTTCTCAACAATAGCCTTAACTGAATAGGTGAGCTGAGCTCAGAAAGAACTTAAGTGAGCTCAACTTAGCCTGGACACAGTGGCTCATGCCTGTAATCTCACCACTTTGGGAGGATGTGGGCGGAATGCTTGAGCCCAGGACTTCGAGAGCAGCCTGGGCAACATAGAGAGACCTCATCACTACAAAAAATACAAAAATTAGCCAGGCATGGCAGCACAGACCTGTAGTCCCAGCTACTCAGGAGGCTGAGGTGGGAGGATCAATTGGGCCAGGGAGTTTGAGGCTGCAGTGAGCCATGCTTGTTTCACTGCACTCTAACCTGGGCGACAGGGTGAGACCTTGTCTCAAAAAAAAAAAAAAGATTGTTCTCTTAGAACACAGATTCAGACTTAGCAGAGTGAACATATGGCCTAGTTTTAAATCCAAATTCCAGCCCTTTCTAGATATGTAACTTGAGAAAGCTACTTTAATACTGTCAGTTACAGTTTCCTCATCTGTAAGATGAAAATAAAAACCCCAAGGAGTAACTGGGAAGACAAAATGAGTTAAAATGGAAAGAACTTAGAAGAGTGCCCACTTTAACTGTCCTATAAATGTTAACTATTATTATTAAATCTTTATAATAATTCTACTTCACTTACATGGAGAATGCCAACTCTACAATTTATTTCTCATTATTTTTTGACTTGCTTAGAACTCTCATAATAATTTATATCTGACATGATGAACACAGAAAAAAACCTCTTTTGTCAGTAAGGTTTGAAAAGAACTCATGTGCTAGGTTATTTCTCTCTTTACCAACCTGGAAATAGAATTGAACGATATCATATGTTTATAACAACACACCTTAACTTTCTGATATTGCTGATTCAGATTCTCCTGAGTGGTTCCAACTTGCCCATCAACATCAGTCTCCAACAGGTTACCATTAACTTCATCCTCTTCTCCAATTGCTGACTTGCCATCACCTTCTTGAAAATGGGTCCCGTTCTGTTCGATTACCTGTTTGTGTTTTGTCCCTGCCCTTTCTGAGTCTTTGTCAACATTTGACAACCAGTCCAAAAGGTTTTCTATTTTGGTTTTGCTCTCTTCCAGCTGCTTCACTGCTGCTACCTGGGAAGGGAAAGTTCACAGGAGGAATTCAGAACGTGGGCCAAGGCATAGTTTTAAGACATTCCAAAAGTAAATACTTAGAACATTTTAAATTAGAATGAGGGTACTAAAAACTGACACAATTGAAAACTTAACAACTGAAATTAAACCTCAGAGCAACAGGCAGTTACTTTGAAGTTTCCCCTGTTCTTAAAAATACATTCCAAAATTTTAACTATAATTGATGAGTGATCACACATTTCACAAGAAGAAAGTTTCACAACCTCACTTAAATATTAAGAAAAAGTTAAGCAAAGCCAACTCTTCAAACCTTTTGTAGTACTTGGTCAATTATGTACCTGGAAACCCAGAATCCCATAATAATCCTTAGTGATAATCCTTATTTACTACCACTGGATATTAATAATAAATCAAGTAGCTGTTAAGCTTTTTGACATAGCAATAGTGCACCACATATTTGAATAAGGACCTTTTCAGTTTCTTCCTTGATTGCTGTTGTCACAACTTTATCCAGCTCCTTTTTAGACTGTTCTGCTTTTAAATTAAGCTGTTCACACTTTATCTTAGCTTCATTAAGTTTCTGTTCAATCAAAGCCTTATCTTCCTGTGACAGCTTTTCACCATTCTCTTTTAAGAAGTTCTCTGTGTTTTTCACTACTTCAGCCAATGCCTGTGCACTTCCTTGCATATCTTTCTGTAATTCCTTATAACACAAAAGGAAAAAATATATTTTATTAAATTATTACCTATTTAGTTCTTCCAGAGTTGTAATTCTAAAAGACAGAGTGAGTACAGAGAGAGTCTAGTATATGTAGCTTGAATAAACATATTGAGTATGTTAATTTGAGTTTCAATCACAATACTTAATATAATTTGAAACTCAAACAATATTAAAGAAAAGCATGAATTTTCATGTTTAACGAAAGAATGCAGTCAGTGAAACACTGAAAACACATAAGTATTCAGTATATGATCTATATAAATTTGCACACACCAGATTTTTTAATATTATATGAGCACATGTACAAAGGCTTGTAAATATATGCTAATATTTATTGTTTCTAAACTTTTATTTTTTAATGTGTTTATCACTCAGGATAAAAATGAACTAATTTTCCCAGTGAACTAAGATACTTTCCTTTTCTAAACACCAGAATCTGTAATATGTAATGTTTGCTTCTTTGCCTAGCTGCTAGGTACCTCAAGATTAAGATCTCTCCTTAGTAGTTATAGCTTTCCTATGTCTAGATTTTTCCATGTAGTTTTTCCTCTTCTTTTCCTCCTTTATCATGCATTTTCATTCTCTATATGATACTGAGTTTTAATATTATTTTTTCCATACTTTATTTTAATCTTCTTCAAATTTGTCTTAGAAGTATTTGAATTGAAAGAAATCCTATTAATTGAGCCATGACTATGTGACCTTAACTGTGCTAGTGACTTACACAATATTTACTTAACTTTTATAATAATGTAACAAAGTGTGACCTATGAAGAAACTGAGGCTGTGACAGACTGTTATAAAGCTAACAATGTATAGAGTCTGGAATCTGAACCAGGAGCTATCTACTTACAATGAAAATGTTCTCTGTCCTGACACCAAAATAAAGATATCTTTATCTGTTGTTACTGTTATTTTTGCCCTTTCCTTCAATAAAAAGGAACAAATCACAAGAAAGAAGGAGTAAGAAGGAGCTAAGAAAGAGAAAGAACCCAAAGTGATGGCTATTTCCTCTGATTTGCAAGTAGTAAGTAGGTTGGCCTTAAATGAATCCAAATTCTAATTCATCACACAAGGTATTTTCATTATCAAATCCCCTTTAATATTTCCTCCACTCAATATCTCTTACCAAAAAAAGTCAAAAAAATTACCTAGCTTGCTTGAAGTTGGAAATCTAACTTTTAGTATAAAGTTTAAAGCTCAAGCCCAGGGCGTCTTGGGTATGCCTTGCTTCTAAAAAGCTAAAATTACTGGTATTTTCAATAATCTTCACTGACTTCCAAATGATAGTAATCGAACATAACATCAACATAGATCTGCTGATAGAAAACCAAATTCTACCTCTTGCTTGGACTGATATTTCTTTAACTCAACTGTGCCATCTCCAATCATGAAGGCTTCTTGGTGACCAATTAGGCGGTTTTCAGTTTGGGTAAGAAGATCACATATCCCTTGGAGTTTCTCTTTATACTCCTGCTGACGCTCTGCTACAATCTAAAGTGAAGAAAACCCAAAACATCTTAAATGTATGGTGGTCACAAAATCGCTATTGTGATAGCTTCTTATTAGAACACATTTTCCAAGTTTTGTCTAATAAGCTTTTATAAGTATGCTGTAAACATGATAGCAGTAGGGTACAAACTGAGCAAGGTGAGACAGAAAATATGAGCATATCCCATATACAAAGAAAGTGATCATGTTTAGATGAAACTGCTCAAGAGAATACTGGCCATGCATATTTGTAAGAGATGGAACTTCTGACCAACAGGAAGAAACATCCCATTTTCTTAAGCTGTTGAAACCTGCGACACATAGAATTAATTCTGCAAAAGGACATCAAAAGAGAAGTTAGTTGTGATTTGTAGGTTAACATATTTGATATGTGTATATAGGTTATCATGCTAGAGACAATGTCTGGTGCTTCAAGAAATAATAAAAGGAACATTGCATGCAATATTTTTACTTAATCACTATGTCTAAGTGCATTCTCACCTCTTTGCTCGTTATTGCTATTAGATATAGCACTCATATAATTCATTAAATCTTCTAAAAGATTAAGAAGTCAACACTAATTACTTGCACCTTTCATTTTCCTACTATGTATACACTAATTATTCATCTTATAGCCATAGATCACGTTTACTAAGAGCCTAACACATGCTAGGCAAGGTACTAAATGTTTTACATACATTCTTTTTATCAATGCTCACAACACTAGCAGGTAAGCGCTATTGTTATTTCCAATCTACCAATGATTAAACTGAGGTTAAGTAACTTGCCCTAGTTCACAGAATGAATGAGTAGTGCAGCTGGGATGTGAAATCAGGCAATCTAGCTCCAGAGCCCATGATCTGAATTGCTGTGCTGTATTGGTTCCCAGAGGAAAACGAAACTCTTAACCTTCTTTAGTCATATGTTCCTCAATGTGTTAAATTTCTAAGTGCATTCAAATTTCCTAGTCTTGGGGTGGGAGGCAATCAAGACTCTCACTTGAAGTTAAGTATTTTTGGGAGTCACAAAAATTCAAATCAACTAAATTATAGCATCATTAGTGAAAACAATATTGTTATACACTGTAGGATTTGTATGTACACTGTATCTTATCCATTAATGCCTTTCCAGAAAATCTTTCCTGTCACACTATACTCCTTGGGTATCTACATTATGGTTTCACACTAAAAACAATGAATGCCAACTCCACGAAGAAAGGCAAACCTTCTGATCATCAAGATCTTGTTCTAGATGTAACTGAGTCTCTAAACGTTCCACCTGGGTAGTTACTGACTCCTGTACATCAAGAAAACACTTCTGAGTTGTATTTAAGAGCCTCAGCAGTTGTTTGCTTTGGTTGGGAGACAGATCCTGTGCATATTCAGAAATGAAGAACTGCACATCAAAGGCAGTAGTCTCCAGCTGCATTTTGGTATGTCCAAGGTCTTTTAATACATTCTGTTAAAAAAGTAGTACAAGCTATCAGTAGAAAGTTAAGCCATGATAAAATTTATATTAACAATAATATTTATGTTTTGTAAATACATTTCTCACATCAGGGAATGGAAGTTTTATGAATTTTTTTGCTATTCATCAAAAATCTATTTATCATCTAGTAATAAATGATAAATTAATTATTTAAATACCATGGTAGTTAGTATTATATAAAAAGACAAATAATCCCTCTAAAAATGTTTTATCTTTACCTGTCACATTGCACTTAAAATATAACTCTGACAAAAGGCAAAGACCTAACTTAGGTATATTTAGCACACTGAAGAGAAACATCTACCTTAAAATATGACTTGCTAACATTTACAACATCCATGTAATTGTGGTAAGATATAAATAATACTTTGAGGGATTTGAAATATGAATGAAATATGCCAGAATTTCAGTTTTCTGACTCTCAGGCCAGAAGCCTAATCATTGTTCATGAGGAATGCTGTTGAAATTAAGAACTTAGAAAAAAAAAAAAAAAGTATGCCAAAAGTGACAACATATAAACACAGTCATGAGCCACATACGACAGGTCACATATAAAATGTTGGTCCCATAAGATTACAATGCCTTATTTTTCCTGTCGTTTTCTATGTTTAGATACACAAAAACCACTGTGTCACAATTGCCTACAGTAGTCAGTACAGTAACATGCTGTAGAGGTTTGTAGCCTAGGAGCAACAGGTATATCATATAGCCTAGGTGTGCAGTAAAGGATGCCATCTAGGTCTGTGTAAGTACACTCCTTGTTGTTTGCAAAACACAAAATCACCTAACAATGCATTTCTCAGAATGTAACTCCATCATTAAGTGATGCATGACTGTACTACAAATATTATTATGTATTTACATGATGATTTTTATATGGCTAATTCATACTATTATATATTTATGTGACTAACACATAAATAAATATATAAATAAAAATCTCAACATGTCAGTGGTGTAAGAGTATGATAAGGCTTTTGGGATAGCATCAGAATGATACCCTTAAAGTTGTGATTATTTTATAGTTGTGTCAACTATGAATAAAGACATCTCTAGAGACAAAGAAAGGAAATAATCCTTTGTAGCCTTAGCAAAGTCATATTTTCTAAACACTTGTTATATATTAAAGTCATAGTTTTTGAAATATATTTTGTCATCTTTGTTTTGATACTTGCCTTGAGAAACTCCAAACGTTTCTTTACATACTCAGAATCTTGAACATTCACAATCTCAATATCCTTCACAGATTTGCTCTTCTCTGATACCCAATCTGAGAATGACTTAAGTTTATGCAGAAATTCTTCATGGGAAACTGCTAGTTTAGACTAGAAAAAAAAATTGTGCATTCAGTTATCTTTCCCCAAAATGTCAAATTCTTACAAATAATGACTGTGGTTTAAGAGTTAGCACTCTAAAACTAAAATACTCCAGCTTATGACTAAATCCTCAAATAATAAAATTTTCTTCATAAATCAAAATTTTGACATTTTATGCCTACCATTTCAGAGTCGATCGCAAGCATGATCTGTTTCGTTCTTTCTGAAGACACGTTGCTGAGGGAAGAGAAGGCGGTCTTCAAACTCTGGTGGCTAATACTCAATTCTTCAACATGGCCTCTGGGAAAGTCACTGGGAAGAGACTTTAAAAACTCTTCTGCCAACTTCATATCTTTTCTTAAAATAACAGCAATTGGAGCTAATCCCAATTCAAATGTCTGCAAAGAAATATATCCCGGACCTATTTACTATTTAGTGAAAAACCCAAATATAAACATGAAACATAGAAGTGTTCTGCTTCTTTTTCCCAGTCATACATCAGCTGACTACCATCCATAAAGAGGCAGTAGACAATTCTTACCTCCAACTGTCTAAGTTGATTCTTCAAAGCTTCCAAGTTGTTATCCAGAGATTCCTGGTTGTCTAAGGGGGGTTTCATATCTTGAAGCAATGTCAAATACTCATGCATTTTTTCAGTGTGCTGTAAACACTGCTGTAATTCACTGGAAAACTAAAAACAAAGTTGGACATTTTAATTCAATAACCTTTATGCAGATGTTTAAAGCAAATGTATGGGATTATTCTCACATGGTTCATGCAGCTTTTTCTGTATAAAATGTATAGGTCAACTTACTTGTTCGGTTGAGCTATCTCCAGAAGCCATCTCTTTAGACCCTGAAGTACATTCCAAATGGCTTGGGAAATCATTACACAGATCCTTGAGCTTCTCATCTCTTGGCAATGTTGATGCCCACACAGTAGAGCTTTCTAGTCCAATTTCTTTTACAGTTTCTAAATTAGGAGAATAGTAGTTTCCTTCTTTGCTTTTAATATCACCAAGAATATGTGGCTTTTCTTCCATCATCTCAGATGTAGAACATGCTTTTTGATTAAAGTCTCCAACATGTTCTATTTTCTCTGAATATCCATCAGCAAGCAGTTTGTAGAAAATATTTTCAAGCTGCAGTGGAAGTACTTTAGACGTAATGCCTCTTTTCTCTAGGTCATACTCCATATGAGTTAATTCTCTCATCAATTCAAATACTCCTGTAATTTTTTGGCTATGTTGATCTTGCTTCAATATATTAAGGAGAAGCTCAGACTTAAGATTTCCAATACAGAAAGGATCATCTCTACTTTCTGGCTTTAGTTCTGATGAGTTAGTCATGGGGGAAACTCCAGAAGAGTCACTCATTTGAGAGTCGCTGGGCACAGTAGATGCCTCATTTACCAACTGTGATGTGGTAATCCTTTTAATTAAATTTTGAATTAAAATTTTAGTGTCTGCACAGGCTGAAGGTTCTTCAACCTCTTGAGGGTTCATATGACCTTCTTTCAACCTGCTTTTTAAGATATCCTTTACATCCTCCACAAATACCTGAGACAATTCAGGAATCTGAACCTCCTTTTCTTGGGATCTTGGAGACAAGGCTTGTTCTTTTGGTAGCTGTTGCTCAATTCTTTCTTTCTTATTATTAATTTCTAAGAATGAATAGTCAGTATTTAAAGTGTTACTGGAGTTATCATTTCCTAATCCATTTGCACACCGCTCCGACTGCAGAAAATCATTTTTCCCAACATCTTCTACATGTTTACGAGATAATATTGAAAGTGTGGCTTCAATACTTTCTGGTGTGAACTGAGAAATTTCTGTTCCTCCTCCTGAGATGCTTTCTTTACTACAAAGATCATTGCTTTGGATCATGTCATTAAGAGGTGAGTCTTTTTGGGTACTAGTGGACTTCTCTTTTGTATTATTAACTCCTAATTGTAAATGTTCTTTCATGGGAGGGGCAGTTATTAAAACATGGCTTGGGACATCTTCATTTGGTTTGGCTACATCTTTTGCTTTTATATTTTTAGCACAATGTTTTAAGTAAGTAAACAGATCAAGCTCTTTCTCAGGTCCATCAGTGAATGACTCCTCAAAATGTGTATTCCCTTCCCACGATGTAATGTCTGAAGTAATGTCATCACTAATCTCTTTGGAAACTGATGTGTCAAAAATTTCTTCAAGATTCTCAAACTGAACAGGACTTTTACTAACTATTATTTGTAGATTATTTGGTTCATCTTTAAGAGTTACAGTTGCTTTTTTAAGGCTTCCTTTCTGATTAAGTTCTTCATTGTTTGTGATTTGTGGAAATGGAAACTGACTATTAATTAACTTGAAACTATCCCTTGTATTTTTACCAGGCAAAAGTTTGAGATGCCTATTTTCTTCTTCTACTAGACCTTCTACAAGCACTTCTCCTTCACCCAAGTACATTTTCTGAATTGATGTTTCATCTTCTATTAGAATATCACTTTTGCCATCTCTCCCTTTAATGAGATCGCTTCCATTTCCTTGAGGATCTTTGTCAGTTACAGAGGCTATCAATGACAAATGGCTTTCCTCAGCAGGTTTTCCTATTAAATCAGGCTCAGTACAAATGATGTGATCAAGAGATGAGTCAACTTTTGGTGTCATATTCTTAAAATATTCATCTTTACCTTTCACAGAATCAGTCAATTCTGGCAATTCTGACCCTTGAATCAACTTAACCTTTGTGTTTGCTAGATCAGTACCTAATTCAGAAGTTGAACTGATATTATTATTATCATGTGAAATACTTGCAGGGCCAAAAGTTTTTTCAGATTCAGTGTCTTTAATGATAGGCGGCAATACATCCTTAAGTACCATCTCATGGTTCAACAGATTTTCTTTGCTTTTTCCAGCAATCTCAGTTGTATATTCTGGAAGGTTGCTTTTTTCAGTAACTAAGTTATTTTCACTAGGTGATGCTAGCTGTACAACATTTACCCTTTGCTGTTTTTCTAAAGAGCTACAACTGTGCATTTTATCCAGAAGAATCATTGTATTAATATTTTCATTTTCATCACTGTTTTCATTTAAAATAGAGGCACACAACTGGATATCCATATCTTCAGCCACATTTTGGCACCTGGGCTTTCCATTCTCATCTCTTATACCTCCTCCTTCTTCATCAATGCCATCATCATCATCGTCATCCTGATCATTACTGTCATATATATAATCCCCATAACTTTCTTCACTTTGCATAGAATCTAAATGATCAGTATCGGAGTGAAATTCCTGTCCAGTTACATACTCTTCCTTTCTTCCTCTCCAACTGCCACTGTCATCAAATTTTAATGATGCAGTGAAGCTCTCTTTTCCTCCTACAATATCATAATCAGTCAATGAGTCAGATTCATCACCTTCAAGGATATTTGTGCATTCCCTTTCTGATCCAGTTTCCAGTGACTGTCCATTCACCTTATCTGAGCCAACAGGATTTAAATGTATTTTTTCACCAGAATCTAATTCATCTTTCTCAACATCCATAAGGAAATCCTGAAGACAATGTGCTTTGTTCTTCACACTTAAGCTACCAACTGGTGCCCCCTGGGGAACCATGGAATTTTCATTCTCTTTTGAGACATCATAAAAAACATCAGCAGGAGAAGCCGTCTCATCATTTTCCTCTTGCAGTGTGTCGTAGTCCTCAGGGTGCAGGCAATCACGATCATCACCATCAAGAAGCAAAGAATCATGGTCATCATCTTCAAACAAGGGAGTATCATAAAAATCATCATCACTATCAGTGTCTGTTCCTGTGTTATTCTGCTGATCATTCAGCAGTGACGTTTCATAGTCACTAGCACTGATGGTTTCATCAAGCAATGGTGTAGCACAAGTAAGAGACACAATGGCATTATCAGTATCACCCCCTGGAGTCACAGCACAGGAATACTCTTCTATTTCAGACTCATCTTCCTTGTCTTCAGGCATCTGCTGAAAACCTGGATGTGTTTTTTCATCCTCACCAGAAGTATTTGAAATGTATTTATCATTGTGATATTGTACTTGAGGATTACTAGAAATCATATTTAAAGATTTCTGTCCATACTGCTCTCCTGGTAAACTGATGTTAATAGCTGCAATTCCCAGAAACTGGTCTTGAAATTTTTCTCCTATTCTTTGACCTGACAACATGGTTTTGTCACTGAATGATAAGGCTGGGGCTTCACACTTATTTCCATTGCTCTCTGGGGTGTGTGTATCATTAAAACTTCCCTGACTGTGCATCAATTTATCATGACTTAACAAGGCACTTAGCCTGGGGGAATAGTCAAAGATAGGTGAATCCCTGTTTGTATTATCTTCATTCTCTGTTTCATTCACACCACAGAATTTACTCATTTTTGATTTCATAATAGGATTTTCTATTAAATCACTTGGAAAGTTTTGAATGTTTTTAGAATGACTACATTCATTTGCACGTTCATTTGTTTCCACTCGGCTTTGATTTTCATAGTTTGTAAGTATGTTTTCAGAGTCACTTCTAAGCATGCTAATGTCTGCAAGTTCAGTCTGTGTTAAATATGATATGAGACTGGGAACACACACACTGGGTGAACTGTTAACTTTAGGATCAATTGATATTGTACTTGCCAGTTTTCCTGACTGAGAAAATTCACTATTGATAACAGTATTTCTCATTTCATTAAATTCTTCATCTATAGCACACTTTCTATTTTCAGGAGTCTCTTCATGTTCAGGTTCTCCACAGTGACATTTATTGAAACTACTTGGTGTAGCTGTACATTCATCCTTTTCTCTACCTGAAGCATTATTAAGAAATACACCAGATGAGCTTAAGACATCGAGACATTCTTTTATGGCTGTGTTTCCATCAAATTCTGCATGACAGCCTTCCAGTAGCATGCCAACAGCCTCATCCAAGTCTCCATCGTACAGCAAAAGCCTTTGCCCTGTGTTTGCATCCATATAGCTATTTATCATTAAATAAGATAGAAATAATTTTTTAGTTTCTTCTGAGGTCTGAGTAGTGACAGGTTCTTCTCCATCAAAAACATCCTCTTCTTGTCTGTAATCATGAACTGTGGAGGGTTGAAATTTACAAAAAGAGAGCCATCTTCTGGCATTTTTACAAGCTTCTAAATCTCCTAAATCTGGCATTTTATCAGGCAGTGTTATATTTTTTAAAATTGATGCTGTGTTGTTGTCTATAATTCCTAGCTGTTTAGCAGCATCCAAACCAATGACTTGAGAACTTTCTGGAATATAAAGAGCAGCTATTTTTTGTCTGCCATTCAGGATTTTGTAGGCCAATTCATTTGTAATCAATTCTTGCTGCAAGGAAGATGATGTGGGAAATATTTCACCAGAATGGGGCCAAATGAGTCCAACATAGCCTCGCTGAGCTTCCAGGACCAGAAGAGCACTGCTGGAAGTTATTAAATCACACTGTACTGCTTCGTCTACAGTTAAACGCTTGGCAGGGTTTGACTGGATGATTCCACCAGTTTGAACCTGATATGTGAGGATACTGCTAGCAGTGTCCCTGTCAATCACCCCTTCTCTGACAGCTTCTTCAACAGTCATTCTTTGGCCAGAGTTGGAATTGATCAGACCTCCAGAAAGAAGCTGTGCACTTAACAACCTAAACATGGTTTCACGGTCTATGAGACCTTCATGAGCTGCTCTTAAAATGCTTATGTTTCTTCCACATTTTAATGTTATTCTACCTCCTTCTTGTGGTCTCACAGGTAGAAGCCACATCCCTGTGTTTTCCTGTAAAGTACTTCTTTGTACCATATCTATTAAAGAAACCTTCTCAGAGGTGCAGGGGTCAATAAGATCTTTGCACATATTTTGCCTTTCCAGAACTTTAGAAAATAATGCTGAGGAAACCAAGTTCTGTTGGAAAGCCTTCTGTAGGGTCAACTGTTCTCCTGTGGCTGGAATAACCAGAGAGCCTGTAGAAAGCAGTATCTCAAGAACTTTGATGGCCATGGATTCTGTTATCATGCTTTGAGCTAGAGCATCCAGTACTGGAATTGTGGTAGGTGACGCAGCAGAAATAATCTCCTTAGCTTTACTTAGTTCTTTGAGTTGGCACAGAATTTGTTCATCAATAAGGCCATGACTTTTGGCATCTTTAAGGTCAAAGCACTTTCTTAATTCTGGTGAAATTAGACCAGAAATCATTAGCTGTGTCTCAAGCAACCTAATTCCTGTGTCATAGTCAATGAGGCCTCTTAAAACTGCTTGAAAGACTGAAAGGACTTCTCCAGTTGTCTGATCAATGGTGCCTGCAATCACTTTATCCAGCTGAAAGGAAAATGCAAAAATCTCAGGTCACTCTGTTACACAAGGGTGGGCGGAGTTTCATGCAACTTAGGTTTTTTAAAAAATAAATAATACATTTCAACATAAAAATCCTCTACTTACCAAGGCGCAGCAATGCTGTGAATGTTAGGCAGTTCAAATGCACAAGTGATCTATGTCAGTGATCTATTCAACAGCACAGGATGTGATAAAAGCTTTGAAAACAACATGCATCTGTGAATTGAAAACTTGATATCGTGTATATTGACAAGGTTAGTGAGGACACAACAGAGTAGATGATGATAGTGAGAAAACAGAACACATATCTAGAAGGCAAACCATGCTTTCTGCATTTAGGTGAGATTAGAGTCTAGTGGCAGGAAAGAGAGTATCAAACCCCATGCTATTGATGTTTACAGCATACAGACTTCTTCAAAGATAGTCAAAAACTAAGAAACTGGAAAAATTGTTACATACCCCCAAAATGTGACAAATTATGTGGAAAGTATTCCCAGGAGTAAGGAATTAAATATAAAGATAACTTTTTGAATATTGAATATTATGTTAGGCCTGTTGATATACACTGTCAAGTTTTAAAAGTTTAAGTACCAGCCAAATTTTAAATGATTTATACTTTAAGAAGATGCTAGGGCATCCTCACTATAATGTATGGCCTTGTATTACTCAAATAAGTCTCATGGATATCTCTGAAAGTCAAACAATCTCTAACACATCAATGCCACCTTTAGAGATGACCCACAGGCTCTTTTATAGCCTATAATATAATAAAATACCTACTATACTAGAAGAATGGCTTTTAAAGAGAAGAGTTAGAAGAATGAATGATACTTTTCTTTTACCATGCAAGGCAGAGATTAAGATGTCACAGAAACTGATGGTCAGCATGTGTAAGATTGCATTTAATAAACAACACTGGAATCTCCAAACATTTAAATAAACTCAATCCCTATTTTAACTACGTACAAAATTCAAGGTCATTTCTTTATTATTGACATAGATTTCCAGAGCCATGCAATCAAACTAAGCTTCTTGAAACAGCCTCATGTTTAAATAAATAATATTACCTTCTCCTCTACCTTTACATCTCCTGAGGTTTGTGATTCTTGTAGCTGTTTCAGAGATTCACTGAATAATAAATTATAACTTTCCTGAAGAGTTTTCACTTGTTTTTCCAATTCATTTCTTTCTTCATCTGTCATTCTAAATAACCAGAAATGATAAAAAGACTAATGCAAGTCGTCCTCAAGAGATAAAGATGTATTAGGTTCAATAATTTTGTCATATGATGGTAAAATAAAATATAGCCTCACATACATATTGCTCAGGTCTCAGTATGACTGTATATGAAAATTAAGAATGGCCTTAAAATATCTAAGGATCTTTCCCTTGCCTGAGAAAAGGACTGAAGGAAAGGGTGTAAACTAATGTATTGACCCTTATTTAACATACAAAATTCCAAAATAACAATTGCTGCTATCTGACAGAGGGTAAGGTCTCATTGTTAATCCCAACATGGAAAAGGGACAATAAGGTACCATTTCTCAAGATGAAACTTGTTTAGACTAAAGCACAAACAAAGAGGAAATTTATAAGGGGATTAACCTAATTTGCTAAGGTATACTATAAAGTCATTATGAAATAATCCTAGGAGGACATCCAAAAAGAATTTAAGAAAAAGGTGGATTCCTTCCCTGAGTGAAACACTGACTGAAATATATAAAGTGCTTTGCTGCAAAAAGTAGGGACAAAATATGAGAAACGAGGCTGCCATAGGTCTCAGCTAAGAAAATGAAGACCATATTTATACATATTTTCCAAAGAATAAGTCTCACAGAGTACTACTTAGATTTAAGACTTGACTCGGAGTCTGCACTCTACCTCTCACTTGCTATTAATTCTTACCTCTCTGAGCCTGTTTCCTTATCGGTAATACATGGGGATAATAAGAATATTTCAAAGTTGTAATAAAGACTAAAATTGACAATTAAATTACTAAGTTGATACTCTTTACATTACTATATTAATTGTGATTAGTTTGAGTCCCATATTTAACATTGCAATTAAAATTTACCACCTCTGTTTTGCTGAAAGCTTTTAAGAATACTTCCCCACTTAAAATAAAAGAGCTAACTACAACCAACATACTTGTCTCCATGTTTTGCCAAAAAAAGCTGTATAGTTTGAAGTGCTTCCGATAATTGTTCCTTCTTGGTTGATATTTCCTCACTGGAAATCTGTAAGGTAAAGAAGGCACATTCAAACTCTTCCTCCAAAAGGAGTAAACAGTATTTTTTTTAAAAAAAAGAAATTAATCAAGCTTTAGTCAAGACCCAAGTCTATTTTCTGGGTGACCCAAGTGAATAACCTATCAGTTATTAGCAGTCTATAGAGCTAGATAAGAGTATTTTATTTAGAATCCGTAAGGAAAGCTCCTCTCTCTATCCTTAATGCCGTCATTTTCAAGAGAAAATAATACATTATACGTTTCCTGCATCTGTCCTAGTCCAGCCGTGGATAAAGGTGGCCTCCACCCGCAGGTGGGCACTCAGCACTGGCCCAGTGTCATCCTTGCGCACTGCAGTCCTCAAAAAGACACATGACTGTGGGACACTACTTCCAAAGGGCATCTTCCTTCTGCCAAGCTCCTAGACACAATGTTCCTTTTGAAAAAATTATGGTGAAAGTAATAATCTGTAGGTATGCAGACCCAGAATAAAGAATTTCTAGCTGAGAGCAGTGGCTCATGCCTGTAATCCCAGCACTTTGGGAGGCCAAAGCAGGCAGATTGTTTTGAGCTCAGGCGTTTGAGACCAGCCTGAGCAACATGGTGAAATATTGTCTCTATGAAAAATACAAAAAGTATCCAAGTATTGGTGGCTCATGCCTGTAGTCCAAGCTACTCGGGAGGCTGAGACAGAATTGCTTGAGTGTGGGAAAGGGAGGTTACAGTGAGCTGAGGTCGTGCCACTGCACTCCCACATGGGCGACAGAGTAAGATCCTATCTAAAAGAAACTTTTTAACTATTGAAAAAAAGAACAAATAATTTCTAATGCTAAGACCCACTTTGTAAAAGTCATCTGTGACTGTCATCTGTCAGAGAAATAAAATTGATCTGTTTGGGGAAAAGCAAGAGGTCACACACTTTCTCCTAATTCCTCAGTGTATCATTTCCAAATCCCTTATTTCAGAAATTAATTGCCATTCTTTTAAATTAGCAGAAATAAGAGGAAATAATGGGCCAATGAAAAGATATATTTTCCCCCATGAAGTCTATTTAGAGTCAATTTAAAGTTTATTTTTCATGACTATAATCATGAGGCTGCATTGATTTTTGAAGGACATACTTATATTAACTAAAATTTCCTTTAACAGAACGACCATCAGCTGTTCTTAGACAGTTATAATTAACGCCATTATCTGCATTAAGAATGTATCTAGGGTACTAGGTCTAAATCTGACTTAGTAATGTTTTAGAGAATTTAAAACTAAAGAATGTCTACAAAAAAATTTTTTTTAATTAGCCAGGTGTGGTGGCATGTGTCTGCAGTCCAGCTACTCAGGAGGCTGAGGCAGGAGGATCACTTGAGCTTGGGAGGTTGCGGCTCCAGTGAGCTGTGATCATGCCACTGCACTCCAACCTGGGTGACAGAGCAAGACCCTGTCTCAAAAATATATATATATACACATGAAACTACAGAATATAAAAATACCAAGGGTTTATAATCAAAATTTCTCAAAAGAAACTAACTCTCCCAAGGAATCTTTGTTAAGCTTTATGTCCCCATTTTAGTTGTCTTCCTATTTAATGAGGGGGGAGAAGGATATTTTACATGAAATATATATATTAAAATTACTTGAAGCTTTTTGGTATAAAGCACCAAATGCAAGTGCTTTCCCACATCTCCCACATCCCACATATATAGTATGTAAGACTATGACTGAATACTTCACTTCAACTGAACAACTTTTCAAGTATATACTCTGGTCTGTAAACTTCTCCAAGAAAGAACCTCAAATAAGGAACACTTGCCTCATATCACAGCCAAGTAAGACAAGGCACTGGTGTTCTCCCCTATTTAGTCATGTCAACAATGTCTATTTTAATAGATGACAAGTGAGTACTGATGCAGAGCTAGAAGTGGGAGCTAAACATTAAGATTGGATGATAGCCTTGAAATTTCTAAACGTCAGACAAGAGCAGGAGGGCAGTGTAGGAAAGTATTCCTTGAGAAAAACGCTTCTTATCTTAGCGGAAATTTATTTTTTTAATACAGCAGCAATCCCACTGCTATCACCAGCGGCAGCAATACTAAAATGTACACCCCAACTACCAACATCCTAAGAGCTTTAAGTGGTGCAGTCCAAGGACATCTCCCAAGCTGCGGCCATCCAACTAATCCTAAGCAGTTGGGATACAGAAGATAGCCCGTTAAGACTAAAGAATTCACTAGGATAAGGGATAGTATCTAGAATTTCCAGTGATTGACTGTAGACACTTCCTTATGAGATAGAAAAGACCCAGAAAAGCACAACTAAAGTCAATAATCAAGAATGTTAATATCCTGGTTTGTATCTTCATTGTTCTTGAAACTTTTTATGTTTACATCTGTAAGAATAAGACGGCATATCTTTATGACATGGAGTGCATGGATCTACTCTAGACATAAAACAGAATGACTCTGCTCTTCAGCTATTCTTATTGTAATAATCAGGAAGCAGACCTAATTATTAGGAAAAGCAGCATACTGTATTCGTTTACTAAAAATAAGAACAATATATAACGTTCAGGCTTTGGAATTAAACAGCTTCTTCTGCCACACACTAACTTTGATTCTTTGGGCAAGTTATTTAATCTTTCTGATTTGCATTATATTGGGCTATAACAATGGGAAAATTAAGGTAAAAATTAAACATTGTGCTAGGTAAACTGTGTCAACTCAGTTAACGTCCCTGCTATTATTATTATTATTAAACCAGGACTTCTGTGAATACCTTTTGCTTAGAGAAGGGAGGTTTTCCAGCCTTCTCTGCATCTTTCAATGTCTTGCTGATATTTGATACCCATTTTTGCAATTCTTTGGCTTTTTCAACATGTTCTTTCTTTTCTTCTTCCAGTGACTTCTGACAGTTGTGAGCGGTAAGAAAAATATACACTGCATTAAATGACTTAGCTATTAAACTGACCTCTCCATAGCAAACAAGAATGTAAAAATTTTTTTTCATCACACACAGGTTACTAAAACATTTTATTCATTCACTTAACCATATTTACCATGTCACATAGCAGATGCACCTCCAAAATGTTTATGGTAGCAAAGAAAGCTATGGCATACATTCCTTAATGATTGGTCTAACCTCCCAGCTGTTCCATCAATGTTACAAATTTTAAATCTCAACTTTATTCATGAGGCACTAGAAGATCTTTGAATTGCTGCCTTTGCATTAGCATTACAATCCTAATTGTCCTGACAAAAAGGTACCATAGAAGGCTGATAGAATAGAGAACGTCTACTGTACATGTAAGGAAAATACACAGAATGAAGAAAATCCTTCCCCTCCTCCAACACATAATATTCATAATGTTAGCTTTCAAGTGCGAAGACTTAACTAGAAATGGGACATTGTGGTAAACATTTTAATATGCAAAGAAGGTCACTATATACAGAAAAAGGCAAAACTTTTTCATTTTTTGAAGCAATCTAAAACACTGCAGCTTGAAGGCTGTGGGAACGAATTTATATCTTTCTCTTTGATTCCATGGTGCTTCATGACGTGCTCTTTCAGCGAGTGCAATTTATCATTTAATAAATGATCACTATTCAATGAAGGGGAGTTCTGAAGAAATGACACTGTGAACTTGGAGTTCATCAAGTTTATCCCACATTCTACGTAAAAAAAAAAACATTTTAGTGTGGCCAAGTTTCAAAAAACCATTCTCAAGGCTAAATGAAACCATTTGAAGGGCATTAAATCTTATGTAATTTTCAATTTAAAACTTACTCTATTTTGAGCACTTAGCAATTTGCAGCCCTCAAGAAATAGAGTATGTTACATAATTCACAGACTGCATATGTAGCCGATATCATCATACTCTGAAAAAGTGGCATGAACCAGCCTGCATCACCCCTTGCACAGTTATTTAAACATGTCCCATTAGGAAGAATAGTAGAGGCTAGAAATTCCTGTCATCAGGGGCTCAGATACTTCTAACAGTTTAAGTCCTGTGTGGAAATCAAAATCAGCTTTTTCTAAGGCTTCTTTATATGTCAACTTTCTTTTTGTCTGAGGGCATATTATATTTCTGACATATGACTTTTGATCTTTGAGTTTTGTGGCAATGAGGACATCTATAATACCTACTTGGAGAGCCTCTTCTATTGATAACCGAGAGTGAACCTGTGGCTCTATCAACCCTCCTGTCAAGTACTGAAATTCCAAACATCGGATTCCCATTTCCTTATTTATAATATTTGCATTCACAGCTTCCACCACTGACATCATTTTGTTAGTGATGGGATGGCCAATCCCTGTGATTACTAATTCACACTGTCGCAGCTGCTGGGCAAACCCCTCATCAACCAGGCCTCTATGCAAAGCTTCGGCCACCCGGTACTTTTTGCCAGTAAGAGGATCAATTATGCCCCCTGTACTGACTTGGGCTTCAAGGCATCGGAGGGCAGTAATCCGATCAACCAAATTTCTACGGGAGGCTTTTAGTACAGAGATCCTTTCCCCACTAGCAGTCAGCCAATACCCTGCAACAGGACTGTGCAAATCTTTCTTGGGGACTAACCGGCTCAGCAAAGAATCAGCAAGTTCTGTAAGTGTGATGAGGCCTTCCTGATACTTTTTGACCAAGGCTTTGTCAATTGTTCCCTGCTCTATAGCCTCATTAATATTGAAGTGTAATCCTGTTTTAGTATCAGTCAGCATATGAGAAGAATGCCCATAGGATTCAAAAAACATAGCTTCCTTCCACTGATATTGCTGCCCTGAAAGTTCAAGATATATACTTTTCTCAATCAGGTTTCTCTGGAAAGCCTCATACACGGTCAATTCTGATCCTGTTTTAGTATCTACTACAGAAATTCTATGTGTTTTCTTGACATTGAGATTGGAAATGTTCCTCTCCCCAAATGGAAACAGAAAGCATTGGGACTCTACATCAAATACACACATTCGCAGTAATTCTGAGTAATACAGAGCTTGCTTGTTATTGGGATTAGGGAAAACTCTTGTGTTGCTGGATGGCTCATGTAAAAACTGTAAGATGGCATTATTCAACAACCCCTGCTGCAGAGCAATTTCTGGAGGAACACGAATGCCTCTCACAGGGTCAATGACACCCCCACTGGCAATCTGGGCTTCCAAGATATGTTTACCTTTTTGTCTGTCAAGCATTCTATTTTCCATAGCTTGAAACACTGACAATGTCTTAGAAGAATAAGAATATCCCACAGCTGCCTTCTCTGCCTCAAGAAGCCTAATTCTGAATTCGGGGTCAACAACTCCTTTAAGAACTGCATCTTCAACAGAATATGTCTGACCTGAAATGGGATCAATTATAAAACCTGTTGCAGCCTGAGCTTCTAAAAATGCCAAAGCCACCATTTTGTCTATTATGATTCTCTCGGCCGCTGAGGCAAATGAAATCTTTTCTTTTGTAGATTCTAGGTAAAGCCCTGCAATTGAGGTGGCTTTCGTCAGAAACTTGTTAAGAGTTTTCTGAACTTCTTCAACAGTCTTAAGACCGAGTCGCAGCTGCTCAATTGTTCTCATGTCCAGAAGCTTAGCTTCCACCAACTGCCTGGCAGTCACAGTGTGCCTAAGCCCTTGGAATTTAAATTCATCATCCCTGACTGAACATGCATGATCACCATCAAAGTTCTGGAAGGTCTCTGGTTCTAAGCCCTTCTTAAGGAAATCCCCTTTCTTGAGTCCACCAGATGCTCTGCACCCTTCAAGCATCCATTCTTCAGCACTGGGAACTGGGTTCTTTTCTTGTTTTAATGTTGTGACTTCTGTATGCATATCATACTGCTTGTTCTTAGCTATCTGTAACAGGAATTTATAAAATGTTAAAAGTCACCTCAAGAACATTATGTCACTTTATCCATTCTCAATCCAAACATAATTCTTTGAATTACAAAGACAAGATTAGTGAAAAGAAGAAAAATTTCAAACCAAGGAGGGTTCAGGAATAAGTATTATATTATTTTCAGAGTCTGAATTTTATCTTAGATGACAATTAAAGGTATTAAAATTATATCTTTAAAAAAGACTAAGACAAAGTCTAGCCACAGAATATGTTAGAAGTTAAAGCTAACTGCTTGGTTCTTCTAGCTTTTTTGATACTCACATTTTTCAGAATGTATCTCCACAGATATAACAGTATATCTATTACATCTGTATGTTTAATCTCAAACATTCAAAAATTAAAGTTAATTTATGATAAAGATTCAAGTAAGTTACCAGAAAGAGTATAGCATTATTTTCCTGTCAGAACTACAATGAGCCAATCACATTCAAAATTGTTTTAAAAATTTAGTCTAGGAGAGAAAGGAAACAAATGAGGAAACTTGACATTAGGTAGCTGATAAGGTCTCAGAACACAGAGTATACCTCTAAGGGTGTCAAAACCTTCACCAGTTCCATTTCACATGCGTTATCTTGATACCTAACAGGTGGTCTAGAATTGTTCAGGGCTTGGTCTCTTATCTTCTCAATTTCAGACAGTCTTGTAATGGGGTTTGTCTCATCAAAAGTTATCTGTAACTCGGTGCTTGTCTGAGAAAAGTACTCAGAGTAACACTGCTGGCTTTTCTCTTTCTCGAGTGGAGCCCCTGGTGGCTGGAATTGGACTTCTTTGGGTATCTGTTCAACAACCCGATGCTGCCACTTCTCTTCCAATGGCTGTGGTTCTTGAGTCCATCTCAACAGAGGGGATCTGGGTGTTGGGTGAAGGTGTCCAGTGTTTCTAGAGGACAGCTCTCCAGAGTGCTGGCACTCCTTCACTGTCATCTCAAAATCTGGTTTGAAGGTACAGTCTTTGGCTGTGCTCTTTTTTTGAATTTCACACTGGAGCAAAACTAATTGATGTTCATGCTCTTTGATCTGTTGGTCCATTTTTTGCTTCAGGTTTTCAACCTCACGCTTCTGGGCTATCAGCTCATCCTCAAGTTTCTGACATTTTTGGTAATGATTTGCTTCCATGTGCTGCCCTTGCTGCATTTGTTCACGATACTGTTGAAGCTGTCTTTCAAGTTCTTTAATGTTTGTTTCACAAAGCTTAGCATTTTCTTGGGCTCTAGAGTTTTCTTGTTGAAGAGACACAAAGTCAAGCCTAATGCCTGAAATATCATTTTCAGTGATGACTTTGGACTCCATTAATTTTTCCATCTTCTTCCGAAACTCCTCTGCTGATTGTTTGAATTTACCAGATTCTTCCTGAAACAGAACCATCTTTCTGTGGGTCATCTGCTCCTCTATGGTCTTTAAGTGTAATTCGTCTTGTACTTTTTTCAACCTGTTATTTAACTCTTGCACCTGAGCTTGTTGTAGCTGAACTTTCTGCTCCCCGCGTCGCTTCTCTTCTTTGGAAGCATTCAGTTCCGCATTCAGATTTCTAACTTCTTTCTTGGTATTCTGGATGATAATGTTCTGTTGGTCACACTTTTGCTTAAATTCACTTACCAAATTTTGACTTTTCGCCAGGTCTTCTTCTAGGCATTTAATTTTTCTTTGAAAATCCTGCTCTGTTTTTGTCTGTTTATGCAAGTGTTCATTTGTGCTGCGTAGCTGATCTTTAAAACCATCTGCCTGAATTTTCAGTGCTTCACATCTTTGCTGGATAGTTTGTTTCTCTAAAACTATATTCTCTGATTCTGCCTGAATTCTCTGCATCATTAATTTGGTTTCATTATTCTGCCTAGTAAGCTCCTCTACTTTTTGTTTTAGCATCTCTGCACACTCATTACTTTTCTCCAATTCTTCATTGAGCCTTTGGATTTTATCATTATTTTCTTTTTCAGCTTTGATATTTTGAAGCAACTGCTCATGGCTTTTCTCAAATTGTTCTTTTAGATGATCTGATTTTCTCTGGCAGATTTGTAGTCTTTCTAATTCTTTCTCATCTCGAAAAGAATGAATTTGTGAATTTAAATGCTGAATATTCTTCTCAGCTACAGCATGTGCCCTTGTGATTCTGTCTACTTCTCTTTGTAGTTTCCCTTTTTCATGATTAAGAGATTCTAATTCTAACTGATAATTGCGCTTTATTTTCTTGAGATCACTAGCTTCTTGCATGGCTTCTTCAGCTTTACCTGTGGTTTGATTCAATTGCCTACCAAGCTCTCTGAGTTGTTGAGAATACCCTTTCTCCGCCTGATCCTTCCTTTCCAGCTCCAACTTAAGGCATCTGAGTGTATTATTTGTTTCATCTAGTTTATCTTTTAGCAAACGAGCCTTTTCCTCAGATGACGTTTTTTCAAGCTGGAGGGCATTAAGTTCATATGTCAGCTCTCTCATGTCTTGTTCAGCCTTTCTATTGGCAGCTGTTAGTTCATCTACCTGCTGTTTGAGTTCTTCTGCTTTCTGCTTGTCATGTTCTTGCTGGAGACCCGTTACTGCCCTGCATGATGTAGCCTGTGTGATCGGACACACTGGCAATGCATTTTCTCTACATGTATACTGAATTTCAGTTATTTTTCTTCTTGCTTCCAATTCAATTTTCTGCTTTTCTTTCAACTGTTTCTCTGCTACCTGTTTCTGAAATGCAAGGTCTTTTTCCATCTGCTTTATCAGCTTCAAGAGTTCTTCCTCATTGTCTCTCTTTCTTCTTAATTCTTCCATTAATTTATTTTTTTGTTGCTCCAAATCATTGAGACTTAAATCTTTTCTTTTAAGATGATCTTCCAGTGTTCGTCTGGTAAAGGTGTTTTCCTCCAACTGATTGCGAAAATTCAGGAGGTTCTCTTCCACGGCAGCTCTTTTAGCCTCGGCCTCTATGGTGAGCTGCCTCACCCGCTCCAGTTCTCTTTCAGCGGCTTCCTTCTCTCTCACAATGGTTTCAAGTTCCCTGCGGTACTGCTTGGCTTCACTTTCAGCCCTTATCTTCTGCAGAGAGATATCTTCTACATTTCTCTGCTGCTTTCTCAATTCATTTTCTGCAGCCTCCCTGACCTTCGGAAGTTCTTCCTCTACTCGGGACTTTTGTTTCTTTAGTTCAGCTACCATTCTTTCCAACTCACTTATCTTTCCTGTAAGTTTGCTATTCTCAAGCACTGTTGCCTTCTGACGCTGAAGCAGATCTGAATATGCCCCATGTTCAGAAGTCTCCTTACACCTTTTAATCTACAAAAGACATTTTGAAAGTGTCAAGCCTGTTCTGTTCAAAATATCTTACAACGTATGAATCAATGTTCATAAAAGTACTTACAAAACCAAGTGAACTCAAATGCAGAACAAGCGCTATCACCACCACCAGCAGCATCACCTTCTTCAGAGAGGAAGCCTCAGAAAGTCAGCAGAAGAGGACAAAAAACCCTTCACGACAGGTTTTCTGAAGAATATCTTTTTGCCCCTCAGGAATAATTTTATTTTAAAAATTAGCTAGCTTAGAATTTTATAGCAAGAAGGGAATTTACAACAGATGAGGAAAGGGAGAAACGAGGAGGACAGATATTTTTGCAAACTCACATTGGGTGAGTGACAAAGTGGGAAATAAAACTCTCACGACGGTGCCCTTTCTTCTCTTGCATGCAACATAATCCTAAGAGGTAGGAAGAACACCCAACACATAGGAACCAAATGATGCTAAAGAATTTAGTTTTCTAACCTAATAGAAATTAAAAATGATACTTATATTCCCATGTCTTATGGTTAAAAAAACAAAGCACAGAACTTTAGAACAGAGAGCCAAATTAGGAAATAACATGGGGAAGAAGGAAAATTATACAAAAACTTGAAATTTCTAAAGTCAGATCCCTTATTTGTTTATACTTGCCATATTATGACAATTATAATAATCAGAATTGCTAATGCAAAGGCAGCTACAGTCCTGATGGCTCTGGAAAAGATGCGCTTCATATACTCACAGATTTTGTTGCTGTTGTTAATAACATGCCTCATATGAATCACTTTGACAAGCACCTTTAAATACTCCATAAATATAAAGATATTTGTTAAGTATAATAGCTTTTAAATATATACTTAGGGATTCAGCTCCAATGTATAGAAAAAATTATAAGAAAAAATTTTTACTCTACTAGGGACAGAATCAATGTCAGCTGGGAGGAGTATGCTTTACATTGATTATAGAACTACATGATCAGGATTAGTTTATAATTAC
Source organism: Homo sapiens (assembly GCF_000001405.40). Lineage (NCBI taxonomy): Eukaryota > Metazoa > Chordata > Mammalia > Primates > Hominidae > Homo > Homo sapiens. Next base: position 56,621,713 of record NC_000006.12, read on the forward strand.
AATTTAATTTCTCTTTATTAATATTCTAGTGTGTTAGTTTTGTATCATCAACTCAAGATCACCATAAAATAATTTAAACAGGAATACAGAAATTATTTTAGACAGATTTGTTTTCATTGAGAAGCTTTGGTGAATTTCAAGAATTTAATTTCTATTACAGACCATACATCTTATTTTGCTTCCTCTAATTTCTTGATCTCCAATAATTTTGATGAGAATTTCAGTTGTTTTCTTTGCTAACCTAAATAAGGTTTCTAATAATAATTCATACAGAAACAAATCTCATAATCTGTTATCTTCAGCACTCTATTTTCTTTATTTTAGTATCAGGGTCAATCCTGTGACACATGAGCATTTTATCTATTTAAATACTAAGTTTTCAGTATTTCTTGAGGAGGTTATTTCTAAGACAGTCTCAGTTGCTTATCAAACCTCCTTTAAAACTTAGCTATTGCTAAGAAATTCTGAGCTATTTCTCATGCTCAGATTTAGAAAAACTAAAAATTCCCTCAGAAAAAAATATCTGTTGTTGAACCCTCAATGCCTTAGGCAATGCAGTGATTTGTTAAGAATCTCGGCTGGGCACGGTGGCTCATGCCTGTAATCCCAGCACTTTGGGAACCCAAGGCGGGTGGATCATGAGGTCAGGAGTTCAAGACCAGCTTGGCCAACATGGTGAAACCCCGTCTCTACTAAAAATAGAAAAATTAGCCCGGCGTGGTGGCAGGCGGCAGGCGCCTGTAATCCCAGCTACTCGGAAGGCTGAGGCAGTGAATTACTTGAACCCAGGAGGCAGAGGTTGCAGTGAGCCGAGATCACGCCACTGCACTCCAGCCTGGGCAACAGAGATCCGTCTCAAAAAAAAAAAAAAAAAAAAAAAAAAATCATGTTGTCTCTTGACTTTTTTAGCAAATGTGAGAAAAATTACTAGAAATAATTTAGTCCAATTGCTGACTTGCTTTCTTGTGGATCTCAAACTTATTTGCATAAAAATAACTTCCTTAACTTTTCTCTAAATCTTCCTCAATCTTGCCCTTTAATCACGGTGATTAATACTTAGCATATTTTGTTCTCAGCACAGACTAAAGCATCTCTCTCTAATATCTAATATCTATTACAGATATTTTAGTAACATTTCTTTTAACTAAATCAGTATTACTTCTGAAATTAACTTGCATCCATCTTTGATTTTATGTTTATTATGGAAAATTCTGCTTTAGACCAAGGTTTTTCATGTGGGTCTTCAAACCTCAGTTGCAGAAACACCAATCTTTTGAGTCTAAAAATTAAGCTATGTATCTTTTACACGACATTCCATTAACGTAATGTTAAGTGGTAGTTTTTTTTAACCTATTTTAAATTATAGCCTTCGCTTGTTCTTCCATAACTGTATTTGCTGGTTTCAATTAACTACAAATCTTTGACATTTTTAAGGACAATAATAACTTGCATTCAATTAAGGCCTTCTAAAATATTTTTTGTTTCTATCAATTGTTAGCATTCTGCCTCATCAGATAAATCGAGTAAGTGGCCCATATATGTATAATCAGATACATACTATGAGAAAAGAACTTAAGTTATTTTATTTTATATTTAACTACTGCATATTCAATTTAAAAGATCTGTATACCATTTAAAATGGAATAAGATCTCTCAAAAACTAAAAATATAAGAAAATTATGGATGTTCTTTCATAGATGAGAGATGCATGCATTTAAGATGGTCACAAATATCCTGGTTCTCCTAAGCACAAAGGAAGAGGGTTATAAAGTCTTGCAATTAGCTATGTTAGTGATTTAGCTGCAGAAAACTGTTAACTCTGAACAGACTAAAACAGTTTATAAAAGTGGTCACATTTTTAGGAAACTGAGAAAGTAACATCCAATAGATGTTTACTGCTGTTTCAGCTCTCATATGGAGTTACATTAAGCATAATCACCTTTAGAATTTCAACAACAGTCCAATTTAAAATAGCTAATGGCCCACAATTTATTTATTTCAACATTCATTCTACTATTTTTGTCTGTTCTGGGGAATAGAAAGTACATCAAGATAACAAAGCATAGCATACTCCCTTTTAGATTACATACAAGAGCCTTTGGTGACCACTGATCTTTATAAATAAGTCCTTACTCTTCCTATATGATTTTTAAATATATGATTTATAAATGCAGAAATATGATTTTTAAATGCAGAATCAAAGCTGCAGAAGTTCTCCAAATCAGAGTGGCATTTAAATAGCCTTTTTAAATGCCATGTGCTATATCTTTTTGCAAAAAAAAAACAACAAAAAACTCCAAAATTCTTAAAAAGTATCATTTTGTAAAAACGTCTACTACTTCTAAGTTAGCATCTTTACATTATGTATAATAATTTTAACTTCTTGAGATACAAATTAATTTAAAATGCATAAGACAAATGTGTTCGTGTGGTATTCCTGTAGACATCATACCAGCAGTAACTATACTTCAAAGAAGTATACCTCTCAGCTGTGAGAAAGCCGAAAAATATTCTGCCAAACTGCCAAAATTTCGTAATTTATTTAAGACATTAACCCCACCATATTAGAGTCCTGAAGTGAAAATGTAAAGTCATGAAGTGAAATGACTTTCTATTTGAATGAATCTTAAAGACAAACAAAAATCTTAGGCCTTCAGTCATTTTCATTGTAATTTTATAATTCAATATTTATTTGTACATCTGCTACCGGCCACATAAATTTATCATGAAACATGTTTTGCTTTCCCAAACTACACTGTAGTTACTGCTCATCTCTAGCTCCTTTATATTTACAGGGTGCTCACTGTTAATGATTACCTCCTCCTCTTCCAGCCTCTTCAATGAATCACCAGCAAATTTAATATATTGTGTCATGAGAGTGACCAGGGCAGTATATCGAGTCCTTAGGTCCATGAACTGCAAGTAAGGAAAAAAATAATAAAAGCATTACCTCCAGTTACTCTTACTAAGTTGAATGAATTTTGAATAATAATTACATTAACTAGGCCTTCAGACAGCAAAGCACACAACTCCCCCCATAATAAATGATAAGAATGAGCTTATTATTACTATTATGCAAATCATGGCAAATGATAATTCTCTTCTAAATTTCACCATGAAGTACATAAGTACATTTATTTATCTCCATAGTTAATAATTAATCTTGAATAAACATTTTTAAAGGGTTTTTAAAAACCCTTAATAGAATGTATTGTTCTGGGTGTAGACTTTCTCTTTGGGATGACGAAAAGGTTCTGGAAATAAACAGTGGTACCAGTTGCACAATATTGTGATATACTGCAATGTCATTAAACTGTACATTTAAAATTGTTAAAATAGTAAGTTTTATACTATGTATATTTTACCACAACAAAAAATAAAATTTAAAAAGTAAGTGTTCTTTCTTTTATGCCCCTTCCCCTCTTTCTCTCATACTTTTATTACCTCTTGAATAATGAGATCTGCTGAACTCTGCATTCTTCGGCGTTTCACTGGAGATTTTTGTTGTGAATCTACCATGGCCCGGTAGGTCATTGTTTGTAATTCATAGTCCTGTATAAAGGAGTCAATAAGATAAAATGAATTGAAGCAAAGTACTAGAGTTTCATTCTACAATAATTTAACACAGATAATTAGAACCTAGATTCACTAAAATAACTTTAGTGATTTGACACAGATCATTAGAACCTAGATTCATTAAATTAAGTTTAAATAAAGAAAATATAGTCGTGTTTCACATGAAACATTTCAGTCAAAGACAGACCGTATACATGATGGTAGCCCCATAAAATTATAATGGAGCTGAAAAATACCTATCGCCTAGTGATGTCGTGGCACAATGCATTACTCACGTTTGTGGTGATGCTGGTGTAAACAAACTTACTGTGCTGCCCGTCACACAAAAGTATAGCACACACAATTATGTTCAGTATGTAATACTTGGTAATAAATGACTATGTTACTGGTCTATATATTTACCACACTATACTTTTAGTTGTTGTTTTAGAGTGTACTCCTACTTATTTAAAAAAAAAAAAAAAGTTAACTGTAAAACAGACTCAGATAGGTCCTTCAGAAAGTATTCCAGAAAAAGGCATTGTTATCATAGGAGAAGACAGCTCCATACATGTGATTGCCCCTGAAGACCTTCCCATGGGATTTGGAGGTGTAAGACAATGATATTGATGATCTTGACTCTATATAGGCCTAAGTTAATGTGTATGTTTGTCTCTTAGGCTTTAACAAAGAAGTTTAAAAAGTAAAAAAAAAAAAAAAAAACCAAAAATTAAAAATAGAAAAAAGCTTACAGAATAAAGTATAAAGAAAGAAGATGCTTTTGTATGGCTGTACAATGTGTTCGTTGTTTTAAGCTAAGTGCTATGAGAAAAGAGTCAAAAGGTTAAAAAAATTACAAGTTTATAATGTAAAAAAGTTACAGTAAGTTAATGTCAATTTATTATTGAAGAAATTTTTTTATAAGCTAGTGTAGTCTAAGTGTACAGTGTTTATAAATTCTACAGAGGTGTACAGTAATGTCCTAGGCCTCTACCTTCACTCAGAGCTCACTCACTAACTCACCAAAGCAACTTCTAGTCCTGCAAGCTCCATTCATGGTAGGTGCTCTATACAAGTGTACCATGTTTTGTATTTTATTCCCTATTTTTATTATACCTTTAATATGTTTAGATACACAAATAGATACCATTATGTTACAGTTGCCTACACTATTCAGTACAGTAACATGCTGTACAGGTTTATAGTCTAGGAGCAAGAGGCTGTACCATATGCCTAAGTGTGTAGAAAGCTGTAACATGTAGGTTTATGTGAGTACACTCTACAATGTTCGCACAATGAAAAAATCACCTAACAACGCATTTCTCGGAATATATCCCCTTTGCTAAACAACACATGACTGTAGAGCAAAATTACATTTTTAGGAATCTATCCAATCCTGGAGATGCTTCCAAGATGGGGACAAAATCAGAAACATGTAGGGTGGTCGGGTAATTTCCAAGTCTGTTTAGAAGCTCATGAAAATATATGTAACAATAGTGTAGCCCTATGCAGCCCCCCTTTCCTCCAGCTAAGCAATGGAACTATGGATCTGGAGGGCTAAAACTGAAAAGTTGTCAATGACAACTTGAAAAGCATGAAAAGTGTCCCCCTAAGTGAGAAAGTTAGAAGCTCTCCCATGAAATACCCTAACAATGTTAAAGAAAAAAGAAAGAAAAGTGATAAGAAACCAACTACAGAGCTATGTATTCTGGTGGCTGGGAGTGGCAGGGGTGTACATATGTGAGAGAGAAGAAGACGAATGAACTGGGGGGCTGTCATGTGACTAATTTCACAAAGAATTATTAGATAAGTGTCAAAAAAGTTCAAATGAAGATTCTTTTAAACACTGAGTGAAATGACTTGCATGGCTTTAACAGTACATGTAGAATCACAAACCTGAATATTAAATTTTACTAAAGTTAATGAATCTTCCTACCTTCACTGTAGCTGAGTACTGTTCTGCATATTTTTGACACTCGTCCATTTTGCTCTGTTTCATTTCTATTTCGGACACCAGCATCTATAAATATACACAGTTTAGAACAAAAATGACAAGGAATTCAGCTATTCTACTACATAAGATGCTCAGTAACTAAGACATATCTACATCACTTCACAGTACAGCTCCTTAGCCCTTTGCACTTAATACACAACTTGCCTTATGGGAAAATTACAAACTTTCAGATTAAGCCACAGAAGTGACCCACCCCATGTGGTTTTCAAAGCAGAAATTACTAAACTCCTTAGGAATTATCCAAAAGCAGACTTGATGCCCTTGGCCACCACCTATTTCTGAAGAAAATAGAGCTAGAGATGATTGGCCCCTAAGATAGAACAAAAATCTCAAAGCATTCAACTTTCTGTCAAATGTGGTATTTAATTTTCCATTGCTAACCATTTTTACTTATTTAGGAACCTAGAAAACTATTGAGGCCAGCAAAGTGTCAAAGAGATTTCTATACCTATGATTAAATAAATTATCATTAGGAATTTGAAAAGTATCCCAACACTCTCCACTTTCTGATTACCCATGCTTTCAAAAATTACTTCCAAGAAATAAAAATAAGTCATGTATGTAGGTTTGGGTTGCAAGATTTTAATATTTTTTATATACTCTCCACCTTCCTCTAAAGAGTTGGTGACTTTTTCATTTAACATAGGAAAGGAAGATGAGGAGCATGACTGACCAAATGCAGACATAACCTCAGTAGAGGGAATTATTTTTACATACCTTCTGTTGATTCAACTGTGTGGCTAGGGTTTTACTATTTTCAGGCTGATTTTCCTGAATCTTTCTCTGAGTAGTTTCAACCTGCTGGATCCAATCATCTAAAGGATGGTAAGTGTCTCTGTAGTACTTCAGTGATTTGCCAATGCCCTCTAAGTCCCGTAACCTAAGAGAATAGTAACCGAATAGTCACGGTGTCCAGCGATATCCATCAGGAGGGTGGAAGATGTAGAGATGGGAGAGACAAAATAATTGGACTGCAATGAACTAAGCACAAGACGGGTATGTATAAAGAACTCAAGGCTGCAGCACCCTGAGGCACACCCCCAAGGGCATTCCTTATTGGGTTGAATATAAACATTCTGCTCCCTGAGTTGTGCAATTTAGTGACAGTGATTATTCTAGGGACAAGCCCAAGAAGCTAAACTTAAAAAGCAAGAAAAGTGGAAGCTTAACCTTAATTATTATCAATTACAGTGTCTTGAATAGTAAGGCTTGCATCAAATGGCAGTTCAGTTTTGAAATAACGATAAGGTAGTCCAATGAATGGTTCAACATGGTCTCAGAGAGTATTTTCCAGGAGCTGTGATTACATACCTGTCTCTATGATTTAAAAAACCACCACATTAAACCTATGTATCATATTTGTTACAGAGATAACACATATTTGAACATAATTTTACTTTTGGAGAATGGCACTGTATCATAAAAGCATTTTATTTGCATTAATATAAGCACGAAAGTGAATGAGAAAGGACACGAATTCATTTATTTTAAGATGAACCCTAAAACCTTTTTTAATTCAGTAACTGAGAATTTTGACTTTCTTGTATCTTCAATTAAAATGAACATCAGGGCATTTCCATTTATTTACATTTCTTAAGTCCAGTATAGAAGCTACACACAGCCCTATCACATGCATGCTTCATGCTCTTACTAAGTCATGGTTATTTGAATATTATAAGTTGGTAATAATTAGAGAACTACATTGTTTTTTCCTTCAGAAAAGGCAAGCAGATTAACTATATAAATGCTAGAATACATGAATAGTAACAGAGTTGAAAAAATGCTTATTTTAAGTTAAATGTCTTACTAAAGTCCTCCAAGTAAGAAAGAAATATGGCTAAGTAGAGGTATTGTAATTAACAAATTAACTATGGAAGTAAAAAAATAGCCTCATATGTGTAGATTTTACTCATTTACCATAGATAGACATTAAATCTGTGCTAAAACTGAACAAAAAAGGATACTAACCTGTTGTCAATCTGCACATGAACATTTTGCCACCTTTCAACTAATTGATCTGCTTTTTCTTTGTGCCAGTCAAAATCAAGGTCCCGTTCTTTATACGTTTTAAACATTTCATCACTGATGGCTTTAGCTTTCTGCAACTCATCCTCTAAGGCATGGAATACCTGTCTCTTTTCATCTACTTCAGATCTCCATTGCTAAAATACATTAATTGGTAAAAGTTATAAAAATGTTAACCACTCACTGGGTAAATATATTATTTACCTAATTTTACAATTTATTTACAAATGACAGGTAGAAAATAAGATAAAGGAAAGAATATCTTTCATATGCACAATATTATATTAGTTCAAACCTTATGAAATTTTCAATATTTGTACTCTGATTTTTTAATGACAATTTTATAACGTTCAGCCTAATAAAATTTGCATATCAACAAAATAAAATATATTCCATAAGCAAGTTTGCTACCTCCATTAATAAAATATGTCTTTTTCATTGTCTGCTTTTAAGTGCCTACTAATCCCACTGTTAAAAAGAAATACATGCATTAAAAATCACTGAGATAACTTTTAAAAATTGCTTTGCAATAGTTTCACCACTTGCTAAAGAAATACACATAGATGAGTTGAACTACAAGTCTTTTTCCTTTCTCAGATTAACTTCTCTATTTACCTCCTTGATATCTTAAATTAACTTCTTTTTCAGCAAGTTAATCTATTACAAATAATTTAATTTTTAGCTTCGACTCCTCCTGCTGCCAACATGAATTGACTATCAAAAGCTACTGTCAAAAGGGTTCAAACTTCAAATGAGAACTCTCCTCAAACTAAAATGACTGAACATACTTAGAGTAAACTGTGAGATCACAGAGACACAAATGGAATAAATCCATTCAAAAATCCAAGATATTTAACACTTGATGTTTGAAGATCTAAGTGCTAGAGAAATACTTGTAGAATACGATATTTAAAAATATCCAAAAGTGAGTCTCATACCTTTAAAGTACTTATTAGATTCTCAATATTATTCTTGTCAGCTATAACTGCTTCTTCTTCACACAGTTTAGTTTCATAGAGTTTTACGAGGGCTTCTGCAGCTTGAGTGTTTTTTAACACCAAGTTAACAGTTTTCAACCTTAAAAAGGAAATTAAACAATAGCCACCTATGGTTAAATGTTTATTTTTGCATAATGTAGTCCTGAAGCACCATTATGACACATGACATAACATGTTCTTCACCTTGGAACACTGATACATTTACTATGAAACTGACATTTTTCTGGCTTTCTTCTTAATAGAGAGTATGTGCTCCAACCCATCCCCTGCCCCACAAGTGGTATTCAGCAAGAGACTGCAACATAAGATGGTTTCTTTCTAACTTTGTTTAAGTATGAGATGAAAATTCATTGGCTACAACTGCTGAGCTACCCAAATTACATGCAAAATGTGGGAGGACCATACATTACACACTCATCTCTGAAGCACATCCACTATCAACATAGAGAAGTGTCATCAATCCATAAAAATAATGTATTTCTTTTTTTTTTTTTTTGAAATGGAGTCTTCCTCTGTCACCCAGGCTGGAGTGCAGTGGCGCGATATCGGCTCACTGCAACCTCCACCTCCCGGGTTCAAGTGATTCTCCTGCCTCAGCTTCCCGAGTAGCTGGGACTACAGACGCTTACCACCATGCCTGGCTAACTTTGGTATTTTTTATAGAGATGGGGTTCCACCATGTTGGCCAAGCTGGTACCGAACTCCTGACCTCAGGTGATTCACCTGCCTTGGCCTCCCAAAGTGCTGGGATTACCGGCATGAGCCACCACGCCCAGCCAATAATGTATTTCTTAAGACAAAATAAAAGTTAATATTTATATTAATAAAAATAAAATTTTAAATTAATAGTAAATAAAAATGAGAGTTGTATGAAGCAATTTATATATTGAGATAGCAGTTACATACTTATCTATGTAAGTGGAAGACATAGAATAGACTTGGTTCATGTTCTGAAGGACCACATTAAGCTCTGATCGTAGGGTAGGGACTGATGAAGAGGCTGCTGCTTGACTGAAAAACTCCTCACACTTATTTGTGATTGTTCCCAAATCATCTTTAAGTCGTTCCAGCTCTTTCTTTAGTTTCTATAAAACAGAGAACAAACAAAGGTATCAGGCCATCACCTGTGATGAGGTGTTTTTCTTAAACTAGTTGAAAAACACACATTTCACATTAAGAACCAATGACTTAGAAATCTACATATTCTTTGTTTGTTATCAAAGAAACTACATCATAGCATTCAAGTTTTACAATCAATAATTCCCTTACTGTTCATCTCCTTAGCCTCAACATCTAACTTAGTACTTTTGCACACAGCAGGTGTATAATGACTTTTATTACAAGTCCTTATATCCTTCATCACAATGAAGGTGAGCGTGTACATATTCTCATGTTTACCTGAGTCAGAGGTAGACTGAATCCTAGTTTATAATCAGCAATAATTACACAATCAGACCTCACCTCACACTAGACTGGCTAGTGTGAGTGTGCAAAACTGAACATTAAGAAGTCACAAGAGTTGATACATAAGGTCATTAAGAGAGTTAGTTTTTTTCCCAACATATTTATAGCTCTCACCTCCTGTTCTGTGATTCTGAACACACTTTCATGCAAATCATCTCTTTCCAGGGGAGTTCGAATCTGTCTAATCAGCCGATCTTCACAGTTCTCTAACCGAAGTCTAATGTTTCGAACTTCAGAGATGTAGAGATTATAAACTGATTCCTCTTGCTCCTCTGTGAAAATAAATATGTTTAGAAAATACCTTGTTTTCTATCTCTTAGAAGCTTCTGTTTATGTTTTAATATGAGAATTTTATATTACTGGGACACAGCTAGTCAAGCAAATGATTCCTGTTTTCATCACAAACCCATTCTAAGGATATAAATCTTAAAACATAAATCTTAAAATTTAAGAAGAATTAATAAAATTTCCCAAATGCCATTTGAAGTACCAATTTCCGATTAAATGCTGTCCAAAGTAATACGTTGCTATTTTATGTTCACAAAAATGTGAATTATATTAGCTGCAAAAATTAATTACAAAAATCAAATAAAAATCCTTAAAAGTAAATATTAGGTAAATAATATTTAATGTTTAAGATTTTTAAAAAATAGAATATTACTAATAAAATTGTCTCTAATTAAAATTTTTAAAGTTCAGAATAAAATCTGTATTTAACAAAAGTTAACTAGGCAAAAACCTTTTGCTTTAATCCTTGTATAAAATCCAAGTTTGGTAAATGGGAAAATAATTGAATCTTTTCTGAAACTGAAGGATTGCAAAATAGTGAAAACGTTGAAAAGTAAGAATTCGTTGTTTGTCCAACCAGTTGGTTGGCACCTTTCATTAATTTATCATTTGGAAACAAATTAATCCCTTCTTGAGTCTTCCTACCTCAAACATGCTTTTACCGTTCCACCAATTGTGTCTACATATCATAGGCTGGGTGATACAATATACCTAAGATTGAGATTCCCATTGAGAGCAAAAAATAGCCAGAACTAAACACCTATGGGGAAAAAAAGACAGGGATCCCCATGCTTTACCTCTTTCTGCAGATTTAAGAAGTTCTTGATAATACTGCTTACATACATTAACCTCCTTTTCCAGTTGTGTTATATCTGAGCCTGAAAAGACTTGGGATTCCTGGCTATCTTCCAGAAAATCTTCAAAACGAGATTGTAGATTACTTAGAACTTGCTGATGTTCACCAGGTAGCATTGTCTTTATCTAAAGAAGACCAAAGACCCATGTAATTCATTCTATTACTCATAGATTTGAATGGGAGACACTTCAAACTGGTCGTGTGGTATATGCCAATCTAAACGAATAATCATAAATAGGAACATTTGAAATTAACTGTCTTTTTCATTAACAATTTTAGGTGGTTTTTTTTTGTTTTTTGTTTTGAGACGGAGTTTCACTCTTTTTTTTTTTGAGACGGAGTCTCGCTCTGTCGCCCAGGCTGGAGTGCAGTGGCGGGATCTCGGCTCACTGCAAGCTCCGCCTCCCGGGTTCACGCCATTCTCCTGCCTCAGCCTCCCAAGTAGCTGGGACTACAGGCGCCTGCCACTACGCCCGGCTAATTTTTTGTATTTTTAGTAGAGACGGGGTTTCACCGTTTTAGCCGGGATGGTCTCGATCTCCTGACCTCGTGATCCGCCCGCCTCGGCCTCCCAAAGTGCTGGGATTACAGGTGTGAGCCACCGCGCCCGGCCGAGACGGAGTTTCACTCTTATTGCCCAGGCTGGAGCGCGATCTCAGCTCACTGCAACCTCTGCCCCCCAGGTCCAAGCAATTCTCCTGCCTCAGCCTCCCGAGTAGCTAAGATTACAGGCATGCACCACCACACCTGGCTAGTTTTGTATTTTTAGTAGAGACAGGGTTTCTCCACGTTGGTCAGGCTGGTCTCGAACTCCAGACCTCTTAGGTGATCCACCTGCCTCGGCCTCCCAAAGTCCTGGGATTACAGGCGTGAGCCACCGCGCCCAGCCAACAATTTTAGGTTTTAACGACAAAGAAAAACAAGTCTACGAAACTCAAATGAAATCAACTGTACCCATCATCGTATATCCAACAACTACATTCTGCCTCCCTATCTCACAGTAAGTTCTGAATGAAATTTGTGATCTCCAGATTTCCTCAGTTCTTAAAAAGTGCCTTATATGCTATGGGCATATAACAAATATTCATTGAATAAATGAATATTAGCATGGATTTGCCGGACTCCATCCTATTCTAAAGCAAATACAAACTCTACGACACATATGAAAAGGCATGCACATTTTTGGACATATCGAGTTGACATACAGATTCATACTTACTGAAGCCACATTGCTAGCTCGAATTCTATCAATTTCATTGATGAGATAATGCCAGGATACTACACTCTTCATGTTTATGTGAGACTCATGCCAAAGAGTCAGGACATTCTGATACTGTTGCTCAATTCTGAAATACATGAAAGAGAACTCAGATTAATGTTTTTACTCCCTCTGAAAACACACTGCAATTTTTCTTTTTGTGTGAAATATTCCACGGATGAGTTCTAGAGACTTTTGATCCTGTGGGGCCTTGACAAAGTATTGATTGTTCCTTCAACCTTCAGAGGGCCCCCAAAACTAGCTCAACATTTTTAGCTAATATATACAAACCTGTTGGCAAGGTCCACCGCTTCTTTGTTTGGTGGAGGAACGGTGAAGCACACAGATGGGACCATAGCCTCATTCCCAGTAGGACTAATGACCTTCCATTTAGCACGATGAGAGTTATTCGCCAAAACACATTCATCGTCTTTGTAAATGGTTATCTGGTTTAAAATAAAGAGCAGAATAACTCAATGAGGTCACTGTTAACTGTTTTCCATACTCAATCCTGGGATTTTTTTTGTTTTATGAGGCGGGAAATCTTGATCACTAGTTAGCAATATGATCTCATTTACAAAATATATGAATAATGACAGAAACTGGTCTGTTTCTAGGAGTTACAAGTACCTCAATTTGTCTGTAGTCACAGATAGCTTTGATCGGAATAGAAGTTTTGAGTGGACAGTCAGAATTCCTTGGCTTCAGTTGAATTATTGTTTTTGCTTTTCCCATTAGGTTTGCTATAGTGCTTTTGTACTGCAGAAGTTCTTCTTTCTCTTCCTAAGTAATAAATACAGTGAATTTTAAGAAGTAAAAGACTTGTACTCTCCATGCCTTCAGCACTTTACACAAATTAAACTTCATCAGAAAAGTCTTCTCTCTGACTACCTAGTCTAAATTTTCAATCTTTCCTCCTCCACCCCATCTTGTATCCCTCTTCCTTTCTTTGGTTTGTTTGGTTTTCTTTTTCCTCTTTGGCATTTACACTACCTAACATACTATACAAATTTTACTTATTTATTCTGTTTATTGTCTAACTCCCTCTCTAGCATGTAAGCACCACAAAGGTAGAGATTCTTGTCTGCTTTGTTCACTGCTGTAGCTCTAGAACCTAAAACAGTGCCCAGGATATATTAAGAACTTAAAAAGTATTTGCAAAATGAATAACTAAACACACACGTGCACACACACACACACGACACTAAAAACCATCTTAAAATATCAAAGCTATCACATTAAAAAAACACTTCTGTTGTATTTGTTGCCAAAAGAATACTAAAACTGAATGTGCAAATGTGTAATTGAATTAGTGGGAAATATCAAGAGTGCCAATAAAATACAAAGTTCTGCTCATATAAAACACTAATCTAATCACTTATGCATACTTATAAAATGCATAGGTTTTGTATTAGTACCATTGATTCCTGAACAAGGTCTTCTAGCTTGTGAATGCTGCTTGATCTATCACAGCTGTACTTCCGCTGAATGGCATCTTTTAGATTCCTTAAGTAATCAGTAGCTTCTTTGGCATCATTGAAAAACTAAGGAAAGATGAAACCTGGAAGTTAAAGTATGTTAAATACCAGCAAAGCACACAGTTGTCACACTCCAATACCAAGGTCCTATGTGTACCCCTCATAAGTGAGAAGAGAATAAAAGCACAAGATAGCTTAATAGTCACATCTTTCCTTGGACCAAAGAATAACCCTTGAAGTTGAATAGTTATGAATGAACATACTAAGTGTCCAAAGCTTATATGATGTTTTGGCTCTCTATTATTTTGGCTGAAGGTCCATTTTAAATTAGGATTTAAACAATTTTTAAGTAGGAGTGAAATTCCAAGAATACTTAAAAACTTCTATGGTTTTAGAAGTTAAATGGTTATAGATGGTTGATTCTCTATATGAAAACAGTTCCTAAATAAGAGACACATTTGTAGAATAGAATAAAGATTTTATGATATCTTAAGAATTTTTAAAGGATTCCTGCATTAACAGAATACTTCAATCTATCTCATAGGACATAAAACCAACTCTTTCGGCCTACAAAGAAAACAATTCACATATATATATATATATATATACACACACACACAAACACACACACACACACACATATACATATATACATATATAACAGTGTGTGTATATATGTGTATATATGTATATGTATGTGTATATATATGTGTGTGTATATATATACACACATATATGTGTATACGTATGTGTGTATATATATACACACATATATGTGTATATATATATGTGTGTATATATATACACAGAAACACATTGTTATCCTAACAATAAATTATGAAAAAGATTCCTGCAAGTTAGCCAAAATCACAATACCATCTATTGAAGTTATGATTCTACTCACATACCTCGAAATACGCTGTGTTCTCCTTTATGTGCTGCTCCACACACTGGCAGAGCTGTAAGATCCAGCTCCACTGCGTCTGCATTGCCGCTCTGTAGGCCTTAAAGATAAAACAGAGCCATCATAACTGACTGGGGAGAAATAAGGCACACATACCTTTTGATATCGATGCTTCTAAATGCTAACTCTACTATCTAAATAGATGACCAATTGTTTTGGCAGAATAAGACTTGGAAATTAGGGCAGTGGCTGGGCATGGTGGCTCACGCCTGTAGTCCCAACACTTTGGGAGGCCAAGGCAGGCAGATCACCTGAGGTCAGGAGTTCAAGACCAGCCTGGCCAACATGGTGAAACCCCATCTCCACTAAAAAATACAAAAATTAGCCAGGTATGGTGGCACGCGCCTGTGATCCCAGCTACTCAGGAGGCCAAGGCAGGAGAATTGCTTGAACCCAGGAGGCGGAGGTTACAGTGAGCCAAAATTGCGCCATCGCACTCCAGCCTGGGGAACAAGAGTGAAACTCCACCTCAAAAAACAAAAACAAACAAACAAACAAAAAAAAAACAAGAAAATCAGGGCAGTAAAATTTTCCTCTTATCTAAGACTTCTCACTTGTACAAAGTCAGTCCTAAAGTTTAAATATAAATTCTTAAACCACTCCAGTTGATTTCTTTTCAATTTTAAACTTCTTGAAATTTCTTATTAAAATATAAGAAAAAAATTATCTCTGGCTACGGGAAAAAATATTTAAAAACTAAAATAAATGCAAGCTATCCCTCCTGTTTACAAAACCAACACTTGACTCCTTTGCCACCAACTCTTACATCTGCTTTGTGGAATCCTCCGATATGTTTTCTTTCGTGGCACATTCATCTCTCCTTTCTCTGAATTTTTACGGTGCTAGATCATAAAATATACCTTCTAACACAGAAATATATGGTTATGTCGGTTTCTCTTTGTTTTTGCTGGGATGAGGTTTGGGGAGGGTGGAAAAGAAAATGTGTGTACTCCCAAATTGGTGTAATTCTGGAATTATAATGATGATAATACTAGGAATTTTTATTTTAAAAATGTGTTTCTTGAACTTCTAATTTAATAGAGAGTGTATCTTTCATGAGGGTAAACAATATTGTACAAAGGATACCTCCTTCCTCAAGGAAACATGAAATACTCTTTTCTATTTAAGGTGCAATTCATTGATTTCCAGAAGAGGGCACTCGAGATGCTTTAATGACTATTTTAAGTAAGCCTGTCATTTTCCCTCCTTTTGGAAAAGTTCATTCCTGCTGAGCTATACTTAGGCAGGACTTCCGAATGGAATGTATGATGCAGCATTGAATATCTGGCAACATATCATGATCATATTCTACCTCAAATTAAGCTACTTTCAGTAAATTGGCTATAAAAGATGTATCATATTTTTTTCATATAAAATATGAAACAGTATTGATAATTAACTAAATATTATCCATGTACCCAAACAAGACACAGGACAGGCCGATGGGATCATAAAGATGACTAAGGTTTCATTTTACTTCTTAAGAAATTTTTTATTAATTAAATTATAATTTTTACATAAAAGTGATCAGAGTGACATTCACATGTTCCATTCCCATCAAAATTCTTGGCCCATAATAGTATTTCCTAACAGTTTTCATCTCTCCACCCTAAGAAATACTCTTTTTAGTGTATTAGTGTACAAAACCACATCCCAGGCCCTCCATTACTCTCCTTTCCCTAAAGATTCCCTACTCTTCTACGTTTTTAACATTCATATGTGACATTTCATGTAGACACAAAACCGTATTTTATATAAAAGATCATACATAACATCCCTAAAACTTCCTGATGAGCCTAGAATTGTACTAATCTTTTGAGTTATTATGATTTCAGTGAATCTATCAGATTCCTTTCCTCAATTGTGAGTTTGAAGCATGACAACTTTCAGGACCAGCATCATTTTTTTTCCTCTGGCAAAATATCACATCTGACTGCCCATGTGTGACAATCCCTACTTTCTTACATAATCCCCCTATTCTCCATTCAGAAAGTCACTAACTCTGTCTAATATACAATTTAAAACATTGTCCCAACTGCATAGGCAACCTGATAAATCCCATCTCAATTTTCCACTTCTGAATTTGAAATGTTCACTGCACATTATAAAGCCTTGTCAGGATGCTGTCCCAATACACCTCACAAAACCAGAGCATAAATAAAAGTATTAAATTGAATCATAACAGCTGGTATTTTTTTGAGAACAAATAATGTACCAAAAACTATACTAAGCAGTAAGAGTAAATTATTTCCTTCTTATTCTCATCACAACTCTATGGATTAGAGGTAATCTCTCCCATTCTTGGTAGGAAAATGAGGCTTGGCAATACTATGTCACTTGTGCAATGTTACACAATCAGAAATAAATAATATGGCAATGCTTACACAGAGAAGGTACTTCATATTTACAGCAATACATCTTCTCAGCCACAGAGGCTGACAAGGGTACTTTTATTCTAAGTGATGGGTGACATACTTAGAGCCAGAGAACTGAAGGCAATCAGTACAATTTGTCAGAAACATTTCTGAGCCAGGTTTTAATAAAAGTTAGATGGCTTGTAATTTTCAACTTCTCAGCAATAAAAGAATCTGAAGGGAAATAATCATATCAATATTCAACCAACACCATTACACTTTCCAGCTTTACCTCAATAGTTAACCGGGCTGGATGATTTTCTAGAAGTAGCTGCTCTGCTATCTCCTGAACTGATTTAATATTTTCTTCCTTTTGATCAAGTTCTCTCATTAATTCCTTCAAGAAATAATTAAGAAGTGTGTTAGAAAAATATATAAACCTAAAATGCAACCCTAGTATGCAAGTACAAAGGGTGTACTTACAGCATGATAATCTTTTTTCCTAGCTATGTTGGTGTTTCTCTCACTCCAGTCATAAGCAACTTCCTCCTCTTCTTTTTCATTCAACCAAATAAGTTCATTAGTCGCACGACTTACAAAATTATGGAGTGTATCAAGGTGCCGTTCTTGATTCCTGGATGTATTCTTTAGTAAGGAAAATCATCATAAGAATCATGTTTTTGCCAAATATAGATAAGGGAAACAGAAGGTTTAAAAAAAAAAACTTACCAAGAGTTTTGCATACTGACTCTCTAATCTGTGCAACTTTTCTGCATAAGTCAGTTTAAGAGGTGCTGTCATTTGAATCTATAACATGAGATTAAAAAGACACTCCAGTCAGGAATCTGAAGGAATTCTGACTCACACTTAATGTATCTATTATTGATTTACAGGGTCTTCATGTAAAAAGCAAAACAAGAGTAAACTAAAATGAAATATATACAAATTTTAAATTCACATACCTCACTGATTTTAGCTTCTTTGAGACTAGATTCAAATTCTTCAATAGCTCTATGAACATTTTTATGATTTTCTAAATGGCTTTCAACACTTGGCAAATCTGAGCCCCACTCAGTGCGGTCCAGTTGTACCTTCAGACAGTAAAATACTAAGTTTAAAAAAGAAATTGATAACAATAAAGACTGAAACACTCAGGTAAAGTAAACATTTTTTTACCTGCATCTCATCAACCCAATTCAAAAGATCCTGAACAAATTTCATATTGATTTCTTCTTCTGTTAAATTTTGATCCAGCAAAGAAGACTTTAGAAGGGGTTTTCGGATCTGCATCAACTTCAAAGTTTGCAATGAATTTGGCTCTACTCCTGAACTGAAATTTGGAACTAATCCTGATGGGAAACCAGGTGTATAAGCTGGAGTGACAGATGGAGTCAGGCGGGAAGTCATCCCTGATGACAGGCCAGAAGTCATACTAGAAGAGGTTAGGGAAGGTGTTAAACTCTGGGTCAGCCCTGAGGTCAGACTAGGGTGTAAGGTCTGTGCAAATCCTGAGTTTAAACTTTGAGTGATTCCTGATATCATGAGCTTTGTCTGTTCTGTTGTCAGTATGCGTCCTTTGCTGTACACAGAAGAACATTCGTTCCTTAAGGCCATAATTTCGTCACGCAGTTTTGCAACCCTGAAAAGAAAATCCAAAGGGATAAGGTGAAATATAAAGGCACTTGTAACAAAGAGTGAACTCTAATGTTAATTATAGGTTTTAGTTAATAATGATGTATCAATGTTGGCTTATCAGTTTTAGCAAATGTGCCACACTAATGCAAGATGTAAATAACAGGGGAAGAGGGAGGTATAAGGGAGCATATGGGAACTCTGTATTTTTCACTCAATTTTTCAGTATGCCTAAACGGCTCAAAAATACAAACAAGCAAAATGAGGAGGCAATTGAAATCACATTGCTAAAATTTTGCATCATGATTTTTTTCAATGAGCATTGTACTATGAGGACTTTCAATCTTATTTGTCTTTATAACTATGATTTATAATGAATACAATTACTATAGCATAATATGATCATTTTTACATTTATGTATATATTTTTCATATTTAGAATTACTATAGATTCCTAAAGGTGAAATTACTGAGTCAAAGGATCATTTAAAATTTTTGCATTTACATATTTATGCACAGAGAGAGAGAGAGAGAGAGAGAGAGAGAGAGAGGTTATAGCCTGAAATATTCCATACTTACCCCCATACACACACTTCTCAGTGATAAAGGTTTTTATACACGTATTTTCTTTCAAGATTTTGTTATGAACATTTTCATAATAGGATAAACAGAAAACTAAAAAGCTGAATTAAAAATGACACTTTTTGGCCAGGCATGGTGGCTCATGCCTATAATCACAGCATTTTGGGAGGCTGAGGCAGGTGGATCACTTAAGGTCAGGAGTACAAGACCAGCCTGGCAAACATGGCAAAACCCTGCCTCCACTAAAAATACAAAAAATTAGCCAGGTGTGGTGGCGGGTGCCTGTAATCCCAGCTACTAGGGAGGCTGAGACATGAGAATCGCCTGAACCCAGGAGGCAGAGGCTGCAGTGAGCCGAGATCACACCACTGCACTCCAGCCTGGGTGAGAGAGCAAAACTGCATCTCAAAGAACAAAAAACAGACACTTTTCTTAGATTTTTTTCTCTTTCAAACATCCCATGAATACTTTAAATGTATGTAAATGTATGCATGTAACTTACATCTATATCTAGGGTATTCATTTTAACGAGTTAGTTACTGCAGCAGTATTATACGCACCATAAAATATTTTTTCTATTGCTAATCTTTAAAAGACAAGTACCTACTTAAACACCAAAATATATAAAAATGTGACACACATTTTCAACTAAAAAACAGCAAAGAAATATATTTCATAAAATTTTCATACTCTACATTCCTATTTCAAATGCCCATGAAACAGTTACACAAAAAAAGGACAGAGAAAGAATAAGTAGCACTCTTACCTCTGTACCAATTGATCTGCCTGGTAGTATTTTCCATCAATAAGAATCTGTACATCAATTACATGCTGGCGTAAAAGGTTCTCACATTCAAGTATATACCCAGCAATTTCTGCTTCATTCTGAAACTGCACTCCTGATTCTAATCTTTTAGAATCCTGTATTTTAAAAGAACTCAGTATTAATTCTGTGAAACAAGTTTCAAAACAACCTGAAATATAAAACATCAAATATTGGAACAGAAGCCTACTTGGGCTTTCTTTAGTTTTCCTTGTTGGTTCAAAAATATGTTTTCCCTCTTCTTGTCTCTCAAGAGAGCAAACACCAATCATAATCTTTAACAAACTTTAAGTTTCAGTGGAGAGTATTACGAAGAATCAACCAAACATTATGTAAAAGTTTTAGTTCATCCAAACGCACAGTGACTCCTCTACCACAACCCCAATGGCTCCTAAAATTAACTTACAGACTGAAGAGCATTTCCAGCAAGAATCAGTTTGTCTTCACAGATGACACTGTCCCTCTGAACTCTGTTGGCAATCTGTTGCAACATTTCTAACCTAAAAGATGAGACAAAATAAAATAAAGCTTCTCCCTTTGAAGTCAAAGAGCTCACCATTCCTGAAAAGTGCTGCCCATCAAAAAGTAAAACACAATCCCACACCAATGATTCAATACCTGTGTCCATCAAAGGATTCACTGCCGAAGCTAATGCAAGAGTTGATCAGTGTTGGACCACAATGAACCAAGAGAAGATTTTCATTTGAATCAAGACTGGTTCGAGTGCTGGTAGTGTTACTAAACACAGAATCACTGCTACGGTAACTATAACTACTACTGTGCATTTTTATTCCTGAAACGATGTTCTTTCTTTCACCTTTCAAAGTAGACTAAAAGGTAGGAGGTCTGGAAAAAGCTCTACTTCTAACGGTGAAAAGTGGCAGCTGAATATTACAGCTTTTAGTGGCTCCTTAAATATGCTTCAACATGCATATGCAACACACAGCAAATAATATGCTGATAACTATTCAAAAGAATCTAGCCTAAAGCCATTCGTTTGCTAGCTGAGGTTTGCCTTTTGTAGCTTGTATTAAAACCCTACAAGTATGAACAAAGCAGGCAGATTGGGCGTCACTGGAAAGGATATGCCAAATATTTGCACTAAGAGTCATCCAATTGCAACCACCTAAAAAACAACTCAGATGCCTCACAGATGTCCAGGACAACTAGTAAAGATTATTCTGGCAATACCAATCATTAGCTAAAAGAACACAAATATCCAATCATAGTCTGACTTCTGCAAAAGACCAGGTCTGTGCTGAATAATGTAAGGAAGGCAAACAGCTAGAAATTATGAAGTACCTATAAACAAATGAATTTGATGAGAAGCAAAGTACGCTTCCATTTTAACCACCATGTCATTTGTTTATTAGGTTAAATTAATGGAAAAAGTATCCATTTACCTTTCTTTATATGACACGCTCCCAGTAATGTTACTTCTAAACCTACTATAAAGTGCCAAGTAGAATACTGATGCAATGCTTACAAATTTAATTTGTCTGTGCTTGTTTTTCCATTCTATAGGATATTACATGGCATAAGAACACTGGCTCTTTCCCATTTGTTTTTCATACACTTCCATGCCACATAGCTATTACTCGCAATACATAGACAATGCCAAAAAATTCGCATGAAGAAACATGAAGGCATTTATCCAACCAGCCTCCTAAATATTTTCCTACCTCCAATAATACTGTTACTTCTCCACTCTAAGAATAGATATTTTTCTTTTCAGGGGTCAAGAAAGGGGAAATTTGAGAGTGCCACACCAATTGCTTCTTGGCCTTTTGGCTAAGATCAAGTGTGAGAGTGCCACATCAAATATAGTGAGTGAACAGAATAGCTCAAAACAATAACAGTGGCACCTGGCATTTATTAAGTAATTATTATGTGCAAGAAATTAATCATTTTAGATACATAACTCATCTCATACTCATAACCACCCAATGTAGTAGGCACTATTACATCCTGTTTACAAATGAAGAAACTGAGGCTTAGACGGTTAAAGAACTTGTCTAACATCATACAACTTTGCAGGCTGAGCTAATAATCTAATTTAAAATTGAGTGGCTTCTAGGCCCTGAACTCTCAACCACTCTCTGCTTTCTTTTATGAACATATCTTAAAATTCAGCTACTGTTCTGATGACTAAAAATCTACTCTGTATCCTCTGGAATACTTTTCCATTATTTCAAATGATTAACATAGTATCTCATTTCAATCACTCAAATTACCTTTTCCGTAAAAGCTGCATCCTGTATATTTATGGCTTGTTTTGGTTTTAATAATCCAGTTATGTACACATATTATTATACTTTAACATAAATGTAATCAGTAATTTAATAAAGGACTGACAGGTTAGACATGCTCTCATATATTTATTTTATGCATTATTTCACAACGTTGAATCCTGAAGTCAATGTGTAAGGCACAGAGAACATGACAATACTGAGCACCTCTAATGTTGTGTCAGGCGCTGTGTAAAGCACTGGCAACGCAAGGGACAGAAAAAAAACAAGGGTTTCTCTCCACATTCTTGGAGCTCATATCTGTGGAATAGGCAAGACTTAAGCAATCACCGAAATAAATATAAAAATACAACCAAGATAAGCACTATGAAGGAACAATACATGGAAACATGAGAGTTCTAAGCAAGATATCTGAACTAGCCTAGGGAACCATGGAAAGTTTCTCGAGAAAATAATGTTGGAGCTGAGATCTGAGAATGTTTAGGTGTAAGGCAGCCAGTGTGGCTACTGTGCAGAGAGCAAGGGGGCTGGAGAGGTGTGTCTGGCCACACAGGCCTTACCCTGTAATATGGTTTGCCTGTGTCCCCACCCAAATCTCATCTTGAATTGTAATAATCCTCATGTGTCAAGTGTGGGGCCAGGTGGAGATAACTGAATCACGGGGGCGATTTCCCCCATACTGTTCTCATGGTAATGAATAAGTCTCAAGAGATCTGACGGTTTTGTAAATGGGAGTTCCCCTGCACAAGCTCTTGCCTGCTGACATGTAAGATGTGACTTTGCTCCTCATTCGCCTTCCACCATGATTGTGAGGCCTCTCCAGTCATATGTAACTGTGAGTCAATTAAACCTCTTTCCTTTATAAATTACCCAGTCTCAGATATGTCTTTATTAGCAGCGTGAGAATGGACTAATACACCCTGCAAGGTCTAGGTCCTATAGACTTCATGGCTAATGAGGAACACAGATCACAATTCCCAGGTACCAGGTTAAGACTGTAAGGGAGACAAATTCATCCAACAAGCATTTCCTGAAGACTAAATGGTACCTTCCTGGGCAACTGGATGTAGTGAGAGACAAAATGACAGAGAACTAGTGATGATTTCATGGAGTAAATCCACTTGTAGAAGCGTGGCAGAAAGGGAACCTGAACTAACATTTACTGAGTGTGTTCTAGACGCCATCCAACACCCTTTAAATGAAGGCAAGCTAGATTTTGGTTTCCAATGCCCCTTGGAAAGAGAACTATAGCAAAAAAATGTAATAAGAAATAAAATCAGCTGTTGTCCTATAAGCTTTTAGATCCAGGCCCTGGTGACTTAAGGTCAATATGAGAAATTACAAGTAATTTTGACTGGTTTTAAAACTGTAAAGCCTTATTAGATGAGACTTCACATACCAATCCAGCCTAGCCGGTCATTTATATACATTACTTCACTGATTGCCTCCTTAAAATCTCTTAGAAGAGTTTCTAGGTAAGAAAATGGAGGATCAAAAGGATTAAGAGACTTATCCAAGGCCAAGTAAACAGAGGTTTAACTTAAGTTCTTTCACAAGAACACAAAGGCCCCCTCCCCACTTGATATTCATGGCAGAAAACACCTCTGGCCTACCTTTCTACTTCTGGACGAAGGGCCTTCTCTCTCTCTAGCATGGCAATAATGAGTTTCCCCCACTCTTTTTCTATGTCATTTGGATGATAACCTTGAAGGAGCTTGATGCGTCCAAATTCTATCCAAATCTTGAGAAAACAAAAAACTTTAATGTGAAGCAAAAATGAAAACAAAACAAAACAAAGACTATGCTTGACAATACAAAGCAAATTTGAGCTTACCTCTAATAATTTATATAGACGTTTAATTTTTGATTTTTCTGTCTCCTTTGGTGGAATTTCTGTTTCTTTAAACTGTAAATACTGATTATAAAGTGCCTAAAATAAAAAGGACAAGAAATTAAGGACCAAACTTAAAAGATCTGTTTTCATGATCTCACTAAGCCACCACTTCAAGTGTTATGTACTGTATCATATGCAGTCAGTGGAATTCCTTTGTTAAACCGACACTCAAAGACAATACCAATTTCCAGCCAGCTGGTGACGTGGGTTATCTAAAATTTGATGAGGGTGTAATTATTGATGTGAGCCATGATTTAGTGCCACAGGGGGATCTGGATAATAATAAACCATTCAGTGTTTACTAGTGCTCTACTAAAAATCTCTCATCCTCCAAACAAGAAAACATACCCTTTAAAAGATGCACTTCCCAAATGCTGCACTTTAGCTTTCAGTCTTTGGAAAAATAATTTGAAGCAATTCCCATAAAGAAAGCAATAAAAAAACTCTCTTCTATTGCATGGTTCTATCCTTCAAAAAAAAAAAACTTCTTAGCAGAAAGGGCTAAAATTTAGTTTCAATGTCCCACTGGCAAATTTAAACAGATTTTTTGAACAAATGAAGGTAGATGCTATTAGTTGATGGGGCTATTATTACAGAAGTTTCAACCGTGTAATTAAGTTACTATCTAGTTTGTATACATTAATTTGGGAACCTCTTAAATACAGTGTATTTATTAAAAGGGACCTTCATAAAAATTATGTAGATAATGTATCTCCATATTTAATAGGTATGTACTAATTACTTCATTGTAATTCATGCAGCTACAAAACAAGACCCTGTAAATCTTTAGGATGACACATTTCTGAAGGATTCCATTCAAAGTTCTGCTAATGCAATTATCTGGCATTTCCCCATGATGTATTTTCTTTCCTAATCTATGTCTTGTTCTAGTCATCAGCAAGTACTCTGATCACTTCTTCTATAACTAAGAATCTACACTAACCAGAAGCCAGTACAATTCATCCAAGGGTCTGGACAATGGAAATCCATTTGGAAATAAGTGTATTTGAACATGAAATCTGAAAATGGTTTTGAAATCAGAATGCAATGTTTCAGGACGTCTGTTGGTCATTAAGCACCGAATACTCCTGTGTGCTAAACACTGTTCATGGCACCACATGGTCGTTGTAGGGAAAAGTTTTCCTGCCCTGGAAAATTACATGTCCATGTAGGGAAACATCACACAAACAGCTTGAGAACACTTAAAAAGTATCATATCATCAGATGCCAAGTAATTTCGTGCCAAGGACAAACTCCCCGTGGCAATGAGAATGAAAGCTGTTCTACAGATATTCTGTACGGATGCAGGAGCACAATGAATAACTCTAATGGAGCTCACCCTAGGTTATTACAGTTTTTTCTATCCCAGTTTGATCATGAAAATAAAGCTTACAAACCAAAGAATTAAGGCTTTGTCGGCAATATTCGCATTATCAGCTTCTAGAAATAAAGTAGACCACTTTGCTATTATAAAACCAAATATACAAATGAGACAACTTACTCTTTAATAAGTTTACATATTTGTAATGGCTTTTTGTAATGTTTTTTTTTTTTTTTGAGACGGAGTCTTGCTCTCTCGCCCAGGATGGAGTGCAGTGATGCGATCTCGGCTTACTGCAACCTCCACCTCCCAGGTTCAAGCGATTCTCCTGCCTCAGCCTCCTGAGTAACTGGGATTACAAGTGTGTGCCACCACGCCAGGCTGATTTTTGTATTTTTAATAGAGATGGGGTTTCACCATGTTAGCCAGGCTGGTCTCAAACTCCTGACCTCAGGTGATCCACCCATCTTGGCCTCCCAAAGTGCTGGGATTACGGGTGTGACCCACCGCACCCGGCCTATAATGGCTTTTATATCTGCAATGTCTTTGCCTCAAAAGCTTGCCCTAAGTTTTTCAGTATTAGCAAATGTTTTACTAAACCATGAATTCACTTATACTGGAAGTCAGACATGTATTTTCAAATTCATGGTGAAATACTGTGTACCTCTTCCTGCACAAAAGATGCTTCCTGCACAAAAGAAGCAGTTTTTAACAGGGCTCAACCACAGGCACACCCCCAATCCAGTGCCACACTTGTATGTACTTCCCAGGGTCCCTTCTACCTCAAGCCATCTCGGGGGCTGCAAGCATTTCCCATGTACTAAAATCAATCTGACAATGTCAGTTTCAGAGACTCTCTCAAATTAAACCTTTAACCTCTCAACCAAAGCTGAGTGACTACAGCTAATCTGTTTTAATTGTTAATGTTTTACCTCCATTTTCTCTGTATAATAAGAGAAATGAGTAATACAAATTTTGCCTACTTATTAATGGCTTTCCAAGGGCAACTTTTGTTGAACTTCTAAAATTACAGAATTATTATAGCATTACTTAAGGGTTTACAATTGAATCAATCCTATGTAATTTCTACAGTGACACTAACCTTCAGTTCTACAGGATTATTAGGAAATGTTCTCTCAGACATTGTGGTCACATGGTGTCTAATCCATTGGATGAGGTAGTTCACCATATTCTGGTATTCAATCCATTTGACTTCAACATCCTAGAACAATCAAATGATAGAAAAGGTTCACATCTGTAGATAATAACATTCATATCTAAGACAATTTAGTCAGAAGTCATTCTGTAAATGTATGTATTTGAAGCCTGACAGACAGAACCAGCTAAATGTTTTCTTACTTTCACCCAGCCCCAATCCCTGTCACATAAACACCTGTAAAATTTGCTATCAACATTTGGCCACTAACACTAGCCTTATGAGTGCCAATTCTGATCCAAAGAAAGTGGCTGCCTGGGGTATTGTATTTAGAAGGCTTTTGGGGCTCAATCTAAGCACAGCAGAAAAAAATCCAAAGTCAATTTGGGGTGTTTACCAGGGCTCAAGATTGGGCAGTAACAACTTGCATAAGCCAAGTTAGTTGCCATCTTTGCCAACTATTTTAGATCTAAATCTACTATGTATCTCAAACTCAAAAGACTTACCCAATATATAGGAAACCAGATATGTACACAAACTACAGGAAATGTATATGGTGGGATTATCCAAGTACTCAGTAGGCAAACTCTTTAAAAATGGAGGAAACTTGGAAGGCTGCCAACTGCTCTGTTTAAGTATTTGATGAGTGCTTATTATTATGTTCAAAGGTTGTGTTGAGTGTTATAATAAAAAAATACTTTAAGATATAATACCTATTGTCAAGGAGTTACTGTCTAAATGCAGAGGCAAGAGAGATACATAATATAAACAGGCAAAATGAAGAGCAGTATTTAATTAAGTGTTGAAATGTTGAAATAACTAAAACGGGTAGTACATGCTAGTTGAGATAAGAATCAGGCAAGCATATCTGTGCCTTAAAATAGTTTCTAAAGGCTTCTTGGGAAAGGCAGTATCTGAGATGTTCTGCAATGACCAGTAAGTAATTATTGATGGGGGGAGGTGAGTGGGGGTGCTGAAAGAGTGGATAAAAGGGGAGTCCCAAGTGAGTCAGGACATTGACATGGAAATGTCCTGGCTACCAGTAAACAGTTCATATTGGGAAATCATAGCTAAAACATGTAGGTAAACAGAATAAATATTTGCAGTTTTAAATGTCAGAATATCTAGATTGCATTTAACTTTGCAAGGAATATGTAGACACTGAAAATTTTCAAGCCAAAGACATCAGGTTTTAGACAGATTAATTTGGCAACAGTGTGCCGAGGCAGTGGGAAGAAGAACAAAATGGAGACAGAAAGCTGTAGGAAAGCTATCGGCCTAGTTCTGCAGTAATAGGCAGCAGGATCAGCATGAAGGTTGGGAGAAGCAGCAGCAAGAGATGGCCAAAGAAACATTCTGAAGCAACGCTCAACATTGAATCATCAGGGGTGAGCATGGGAACAGGCTACTCAGGGATCAAAGAGCATGAAGCCTTTGAAAAGAAGAACCTGAGGAAGAATATGGAAACAGGTCTAGAAACAGCACAGAGAACTGACAGAAGCAATCAGAAAAGGGAGCTCCTAATCCAGGGGAGCTAATCAAAGATGAGCTCCTAAATCTTCAAAGTAATGTAGGGGAAAAAAGGTGTCTGCAAAGAGGAAGGCAGAAATCCAAGTGAAGGGGATCATCCCCAAATATGTGACACATACTGGGCTTCCTGTTCTCTTCAGAAATGCATAAGCACTTGTTAGCATAACCACCCAAAAAAAAAAAAAAAAAAAAAAAGCATCACTGAAGTGAGTTACACAAACCTTTAAGAAATAGTAGACTAATAAACAGCCCAAAGCTATGTGTCAGAGACCTTTCCCTGCTTACTAAGTGGCTCTGCTAATTTGGCCAAATCCAATAATTTTCCTCTGGAGTCCTCCTTTAAATCACAAAAATGTTATCAAGCCAACTTATTTCATAGAATCGTATGAAGTAACAAATTTGAAATTGTTTTCAAAACTGAGATATTCTATACATACAAAAGAATAGCAAATACAGCAATGTAAAACGGCAGCCAGCTAAAAATGGAAAACTCTAAATTTCAGAAAGTTAAACCTTTTATTTATAAGATGATCGGTAACTATAAATAGCCTCTTTTATTTATGACACAAAAGTTTTAATGAGTTATACTTTAAATTTAATGGTAGAATAATGTCATGAAATACATAGAATATCAATTCATCAAACAGCATATTAACTCAAATTCTTTAAAATATATTCAACATTCAAAAACTGCAAAAATCATTATCAATAAATGCAGTCAATTGGTCATTACTGAATCAACAGCTTCCGGTGTGGAAAAATCAATACTCACATTTGCACCAATGCCTTCCCCACCTTCAGGGACTTTAGGAAATGCATCATAGAGAGATGACACGTAAGTTATTACTGATTTTTCATCAGGTGAGGAGACATCGACATCTAAAAACAGCAACATAAATTAATTATTTCACAATGTTGATAAATTACTTTTGATCAGACTTTCATGCCAGTCCACATATAATCAAGAAAATAACTCACCTTCAGGGTCCAGAAGTCTTATAACACCAATTTTTTCTGCTACGTAAAAAGCATGCTCTAAATTTGCAAGGTTGCTTTGAACAGCAACAGTATTCATATCTATCAGGTCCGGCCTAGGAAAAAATTCACTGTGTTAATTAGGTTTTCTCATGTGCCAATTCAACATTATATAATTATATAGGTTTCCATTTACATAACAACATCTGCTAATATTAACACCAAGCCTGCGTTAAAATGCAGAGACTTTCATCAAACATTTAACATTGCTCACTTATCTCAGAAACTTCTGTATCGAAAGCAAATATAACAATGAAAATATAACAATTTGAACATATATAAATTTCAACAAAGTCTACAAATATATCATAGTCAGAATATATATGAGTATTTGTCCTATTCAACTGATTTAAGCTACGCTACTCCAACAGCATCTTTCCAATCCAACCAGCATCCTGTCAATGTTTTTCCTCTAAGACAAAAAGCTTGTAGCTTAATTCAGTGCTGTGTCCATGGCCTCCCCATTGCACCATACCCTTTCACATCATCTTTGTCTTCTATAATCCTAGTCATTCTTCCAAGGAGAGATCAAGCTCCACCTCCTCTATGGAGCCTGGCTGATCTTCCTAGCCCTTATTTCTGTCTCTGTTTCCTGAACTCATACTTCCAGCCTGCACCCCACGATATGGCACTTAGGATAATCTTAGACTCCTTGCCCTATTAATTCACTGGTTCGTGTACATGTATATGTTGTTTCTCCCAAACCGTCAACTCCAAGATAGCAAGTACTATGTATTAAGAAAATTTTGTATTTTATCCTTCTGCTGTAATAAAGAATGATATATAGTACACCCTCAACAAATATCTACTGATAAGTTGGTAAGTAGGTTGGTTCCTTAGTAATCTGAATCATAAATGAATGTCTATAATAAGCAATAGTTTATGTTTTCATGAGCACACATGTGTGCATGTGCCCCCCTACACACACACACAGTCACACATCCCAGACTTCATATCTTTATAATTTGTGAGATTTACGTAACACCCTAAACCATGCAGAAACTTTGAAGCTAGCTCTATCTACATGAGAGAGGAAAAGATTCTTCAAATGCTTCTTGTAGAGAAAGTGGCAAAATATGGACATTGGAGACTTCACTCAAGGCTAGAAGCCAGTCAGGAAACTTGGATCTCAAAAACAAAGCATTGAAAGACTACCGGAACAATGTGGAAACAGGAAAGCCTTCAAAGAGTGGTACTCACCACCCAAAAAAATCACTGAGTAAGAACCTGTTGATAGCTTACAAAGAAAGGCTCTCTACAAGCTCCACAAGCATTCCTGTTTGCTCAAAATAATCATTTGGGAAACCACAGAAAGAGTGGGAGGGCTCAAAGGTAGTGTGGGAGAAATGAAATGCAGATTATTTTGTATACTACTTGGCAGGCTGCTTATATGAAAAGCTGTTTGAAAATATATCATTAATATTAGAAAGCTAAGTGGCAATTTGTACTCTTTTATGGTGAGAAAACAGACCTTTCAAGAAAATCTTATACTTTTATATCACTTTGCACTGTTCATAACCTGGGAATGTGGTTACCATCACCTACATGCTCATATTCCAGGAAATTATTAGGAAATCCTTTAATGTTTTCAACCTGCCACCAATATGACCACTCTTTTAAAAGTGACCCTACAATTATTATAGGAACAATAAATCCATTGACAACTATGGAAGTAAATAACAGACCTCCAAAAGTAACATTTTTTATTCACATAGAAACATCTGAAGAATCTGCCAACCTCAAGATTAGTAAACAGGTATGTATAGCAGTCTAGACAAAAACAAATATCTGAAGTTCTTTCAATAAAAAATCGTTTTGTTTCCGTAAAATTTGCACCTTTTAGGGAAATAAAAAACAGACTTTGTAAGTCTGCCAAATCTCAGAACAAGACATGGCATGTTATTATGAGAACCCTGCCATTAGCAAAGAAAGTAAACACTGAGTAATCCTAGAGGGAATGAATAAAGTCATTGAAGAATCAAGTTTTTCAGCTAAGAGAATAAAACATAAAACTTCCTTCAGAATGACATAGTCATTTCAACACAAAAGCAGCTGTAGAATACAATGAGTCTGAGTAAGTCATCTCTTTTATCATGATGTTTAACACTTTAATGGAACAAAAACTGAAATGGTTTTCCTCCACTAAAAGACAGCAGATAAAGAAAATTAGTTAAACAAAAAATGGGAAAAGGGAAAACTTTAAAAACCACTACAAAGCTGGGTGCGGTGGCTCATACCTATAATCCCAGCATTTGGGAGGCTGAAGAGGGCAGATCACCTGAGGTCTGGAGTTTGACACCAGCCTGACCAACATGGCGAAACCCTGTCTCTACTAAAAATGCAAAAATTAGCCAGGCGTGATGGCAGGCGCCTGTAATCCCAGCTACTCGGGAGGCTGAGGCAGGAGGATCACTTGAACCCAGGAGGCAGAGGTTGCAGTGAGCCGAGATCATGCCACTGCACTCCAGCCTGGACAACAAGAGCGAAACTCCATCTCAAAAAAACACAAAAAACCACTATGAAAAAGTAATAGCCTATAAAATTTAAAATGCTATTCCTCCCTTAGCTCATATCCTAACAGAGTGGTGGTCCCTTTGTCTTTCAAATCTGTCTTTCCTCTACCTGCCTGAAGCATCCAGAAGACGCCTGTGCTGTGTGTGTCCTGTCCACCACCTTCTTTCTTCATAGTCTCACTGGGATAACACAACCTTTAAAAACTTCATTTATTTTTCACACATAGAAGATACTTACTTTCATTCTAAAGGTTTCATTTCTTCGTAACATCTTTTTGTGGAATGTTAACAGGAAATGTCATTTCCATCTTAGGTTTGACTAACCAAAGAGCATTAGACTATATTATAGTGACCATGTTCTCATGTTATATTTTAGATAGTTGAACATTAACTATTGTAACTTGCCTGTTTTATGGAAACCTTTCAAAATCATATAATGTGATCCTTTGCCACTTAAAGTAATAAATGCTAGTCTTTTTATGGAAAAAAAGGCCATTCTCTTATTTTTTTTATTATTCTATGATAATGTTAATGTTTCAAAATGACCCAATTATCATACATTATAATCTTTAAACATGTTTATATCCCAGCTTTATCCCAGCTTTTCTTTCATAAGCAATTAAAAGTAGCTTACAAAGAAAATACAAGATAGCATAAACTTTAAATTAGAAGTATAAAACCAAGAAAAGGCCTTAAAATGAAATTGGAAGTGAGACTAAAAATTGCAAATCACTTATATGCAAGCTTGGTGCCCTGAATTTGTTTAAAAATATAGGGCAGAGAGGTATAGAAAAATGCTATTGTCATAATACAAAATAATTTTGGATAAAAGTAATGTTTATCTTTCATACAACACCCATCTTAAAAGAGCAATCTCCCCTAGGCTATATATATATATATATATCTCCACACGTATATATACATATACAGGTATGTTGGCATTTATGTATAGATAGATAGATATATGGATATAGTATAAGGATATCACCACCTACATTAACAGGTAGCCAAAGCTAGCTGAACATAAAAATTGCATGAGAGATTTTTTTGGCATAGATACCTCCAAGGTAACATTTCAGTACTCCAAAACTTTATTAATACATTAGCTCACATGAGAATTAGATAGGATTCTGCAGGAACATATGACTTCTACAGTGATATAAATGGCTAAAGATCAGGCTGGGCGCAGTGGCTCATGCCTGTAATCCCAGCACTTTTGGAGGCCGAGATGGGAGGATCACCTGAGGTCAGGAATTCCAGACCAGCCTGGCCAATATGGTGAAACCCTGTCTCCACTAAAAATACAAAACTTAGCCAGGCATGGTGTCGGGTGCCTGTAACCCCAGCTACTCGGGAGGGTGAGGCAGGAGAATCACTGGAACCCAGGAGGCGGAGGTTGCAGTGAGCCGAGATCGCGCCATTGCATCCCAGCCTGGGTGACAGAGCGAGACTTTGCCTCAAAAAAAAAAAAAAAAAAAAAAAGATTAGCACAACAGACCACTGAAGGCTTCCACAATATATCATGGCAAACACCAATACACTCAACTGCAAGGAGCATGAAACAACATCAAAGTACTTGGAAAGGAAGTACTTAGAAACATGGCAGAGAGGACACTAATTAAAGTTAACTAAGAGAAAGAAAAATGCCAGCTAAGAGAAGAGTGCTTTAGTGCAGACACAACATTACCAAATCCTGAACCAAAAATGTGACAATAGCTGAAAAGACACATATGGGAAATATCAATGGCCACAGTCCAAATCGGGATTTTTTTAAGGATGAAAAAATAAAGTGACTTAAATTCAGAGTCTGCTGGTTGTGCTGGCTTTCAGCTGGCACTCAATAATTATTTATGTGGATACAAACAGTAAGGTTCTGGCTACCCTGCATCTGCTTTCCTATATTTGAGAAATTTCCCTTTCATAAGTCTTGGGGGTAAGGAGAAGAGCAAAGCCCATTTCCCAGTACAAAAACAGAAATATGTCAGGTTTTTCCTGACTCTTTTATTTGCTCAAGAAATGTCCACTGCATACCTCACCCCCGTACATGACATTACCTGGCCAACTCGAATTCTTTCAGCAGACTCGGTTCCACCACCATTTCCTCCAGGAAGTACTTTCCTCTGTTCCCAAATGCCGTCTGTTATCTTCATTTCTGTATTTACCACATTTTTCATAACTATATATCTGCCTATCTCTCATATTGAACCATGGGCTTCCTGAAGGCAGAGCCTGTGTTTTGTCCATGTTTATATCCTCAATATCTAGCATAATGCTTAAAACATTAACTTTTGAGGATTAAATAAATAATAAAGAAAAACATGAGCTATGGGGACTGGGACATATCAGTGTTTCAAATTCCTGGAGATATGTTCCATCCTAGGCTTGTTCCTTTTCTTTTCACTAATTTCTACTGACAAAACCACCATCTATGGCTTCCAGCCAAGTTTTAGAATCCTTATCGAAATCCACATGGACCAGGGTACAATGTCATAGCTTCCCCATAATCCTAAACAAGCACACACCCTTTCGAGGTTTCCTAAAGGCTTTGTCTCTCCTAAAAAACAATTTGGAAAGCAGGCACGAAGTGAGGACAACAAACAGCGGTGAAGTATAAAAGTTTCAAAAAGCACATGTTGCTGCTTCTAGGTTCTCCTCCCTTCTTATGCTCTCATGTGCCCTCAGCTTCAGCTTCTGATAATGTTGCCAATTGGGATACCTTATAAAGTAATAACAATCACAAAACAACAACAGGGACTAATAAATACTGATACCTACTATGTGGCAGGCAATGCATTAAAGGACTTAAAGCATTATCTCACTTAATCATCTCAATTGACCCTAAGCAGTAGGTTGTGTTATTATCCTGAATTTACAGATGGAAAAACACCAAAGCATAAGGAAGTTATATAACTTGACCAAGAACACAAATCTGGTAAGTGGCAGTCAGGGTTTCAACCCAGGTCTGTCTGACTACAGAGCCTGATTTCTTCTCTGCAATATCCTGGTATCATAAACTGAGAACTAACTAAACAGTAACACCCCATATGAAGCTGAGAATACATAATAAAGAAAATACAGAACAAATTATACTTCTACTACTGGGCAAAATGATAATGATATTGGTAACCCCCATAAAGAAACACAATAATGTATATGTATATGTATGTGTGTGTATTGACATACTCAGAAAAAATAAATCATAAGAAACATGCTGAAGTTCCAGATTATTACCAAAACAGAACTCATCAATGTGTCCTATACCAATGTTTCCCACACTTGGGTCCTAATACAGATTAAGAATAGAAAGAAAGGCCTGGTTATCTGCATTTTAACAAGTTTCTCCCCCCTCCCTCAGGTGATTCGTATCAGGCAAGTTTGATAACTAAACCATGTTAAAAACCCTTCTTTCTAATAATTATTTAATTTCTTTTCAAGATTATAAGCATTTTGTATTGGGGAAAAAACATCCACAATGTCATCAGGCAATTATATAACGACACAAACAAAAGCACCCACAAGCAGAAACATGCTACTGCCTTATGCCCTCAGCAGGAGACAGTGAACCTTTTAACTCTTTTTCAGTGTTTATTTTTATTAAATATACAAGAAAAGAACACATTTAAATGTTAGCAAGGAGGGAGGGTGGGCATGTCATTTTATGTTTGCCCAACTCTGGAGTACACTGTAAAATAATGAAGCCTGGAAAAGATAGCATTTGGTCACATATATTTTTTTTAATCAGAATAAAAAACCCACCTAAACTTTGTGACTTGAGATATCTGATCACTTGAAAAAACACTGGACCACAGTTTCCTTCCTCAATTTAAAAAGGAAAGACAAGACAGAAAGAAGAATGGTGGTTGTCAACGGGTGGGGGGAGAGAGAAATGGGGAATTAGAGTTTCACGGGTACACAGCTTCAGTTACACTGGATGAAAAGAGCTCTGGAGATGGATGGCGGTGATGGTTGTACAACAAAGTAAATGTACTTAATGCCACTTAACTATCAACTTAAAACTGATTAAGATGGTAAATTTTATGCACCTTATCACAATCTAATTTTTTTATTATTTATTTTTTTTGAGACAAGAGTCTCACTCTGTCATCCACCCTGGAGTGCAGTGGTGCAATCTCAGCTCACTGCAACCTCAGCCTCCCAGGTTCTAGCAATTCTCCTGCCTCAGCCTCCCAAGTAGTTGGGATTACAGGCACCTACCACCATGCCCAGCTAATTTTTGTATTTTTAGTAAAGACGGGGTTTCGCCATGTTGGCCAGGCTGGTCTCGAACCCCTGACCTCAAGTGATCCACTCGCCTCGGCCCCCCCAACTGCTGGTATTATAGGCATGAGACACTGCGCCTGGCCGTAATTCTTTTTTTTTGACATGGAGTCTCACTCTGTCGCCAGGCTGGAGTGCAGTGGCGCAATCTCGGCTCACTGCAACCCCCGCCTCCTGGGTTCAAGCGATCCTCCTGCCTCAGCCCAGCCTCCCGAGTAGCTAGGAATTCTTTAAATTTTTAAAAAACAGTTTTTACATATTTGAGAGAAAAGCCTAAATTGAGGTGGAACACACACACAAAGCACAGAGCTGTGAGTCAGGTGTCCTGTGATTTAGTCCTAATTTGCTCTCTGACTTTGGACACACATCCTGCAACCTGTGTCTCAGTTCTTTCTGCAGAAAATGAGTATCAAGAATTACAGAAGTTAGAACAAAAATCACGTACAGAGCATCTGGAAATGTGTATGAGTATGGGAGGGGGGACATTATGGGCTGGTTATAGCATAAGGTTCAAAGAACTCAACTGATTTACCCAAGATCTCAAGAGATTTACGTGAAAGTAGTTGTGAAACTTAGTATAAAGGGCAATGTGCGCAGGTTACCAAAACGTATCTATCAGCATAAAAACAACACCATAAAAGGGTAATCGGAGAAGACAACCTGATGCTTTGGTATGCTACATAGAAATAATTCTTCCCAGTCAAAAAACTAGCAAGTTCATTCATTTATTCATTCACTCAATATTTAATATGCATTTACCATGTTCCAGGAAGTAAGGCACTGAGAACAGCCACTGTGCATATGGAGAGCTCAGAGCTCCAAAGGGAGCTCAGGAGTAAACCAGGAGAAAACCTGGTGGAAGAGCACTCAGGTGATGAAAAAAGGCATGCATAGGTCTGTGGTTGAAGGGCACAGGACTACAAGGAGACCAGTGCATGAGTGGGGAGCCAGCAGCCAGGGGAACATGGTAAGACATGGCTCTGGATGTGTGGCAAAGGGCCAAGACAATGCAGACTCTCATGAACGTCTTAAAGGATTGTAAACTTTTTCCCCAATAGCTATGAAAAGCCATCAAAATGCATTAAGGAGGATTAGAAGAGATTAAATGATCAGATCTGGGGGTGGACAGAGAAAAAAATTTAAATGGTCAAAGAACTCCCACAGAATCCAGTTAAGTGGCTATGGTGGCTTGCAGAAGAATGTGGCAGCAGTGGATAAAAAGTGGCCAAGTCAGGAGATATTGAGAAAGTCAAATCTACAGAACCCAGTTATATGACAATGGTTATAGTAATTAGGGCTGTAAGCATGGATGAGAGACAACACAGAGAGAAAAGAAAAAGTCCAACAGGCAATCTTGAAAAACTCGAGTGTTTACTGGCCTTGTGAAAGAGGCCAAGTTTACAGAGGGAACTAAGCAGGAGCAGACAAGAAGTGGGAGAAAAACCAGGAGTACAGTGTCATAAAAGCTAAAGGAGAGAGTATTTCAAGAAGAAAAGAATGGCCAATAGGGTGAAA
The DNA here is from genome assembly GCF_000001405.40 of Homo sapiens. Lineage (NCBI taxonomy): Eukaryota > Metazoa > Chordata > Mammalia > Primates > Hominidae > Homo > Homo sapiens. The sequence goes on from NC_000006.12 coordinate 56,659,495, forward strand.
TACTAAAATGTAAGGAAGAGGAGGCCTGAAAAATATCCACTGGATTTAGCTATACAGAAGTCACCCATGACCCAAGAATAAGTGTTTTAATGAATTATGGGGTAAGAGACTAGATTAGTATGTGTTGAAGAATGAGTATGAAGTGAAGAAATGATGGAGGATATTGCCACCTCTTCTGAGGACTTTGGCCTTGAAGGAAAGGAATGATATAAGGTAGTAGCTGGAATAAAGCATGCAGTTAAGGGAGAGTGTTTTTGTTGATTGTTGTTTTATTAACAGAAGAGGCTGCAACATGCTTAAAATCCAATAAGAAAGATCTATTGAAGGAAAAAGATGAATATATACAAGAAAGGTTTCTAAGGCAATGACAGAGATAAGATCCAGGGCACAGCAGGAGGGGACAGGCTTTGGGTAGGTGGAGAGAGGACTCCTGTGTTGAACAGCAGCAGCGGGGGTGAGGATGGATGCAGAAGAAGATAGGTTTGTGTCTTTGGTAGCAAAAAAGACTTTCTACTTGTTGGCTTCAATTTTCTCTGAGAGTAGGAGTCTAGATCACCTGTTAACACTGAGAAAAGGTGGTGGGAGGAGGTGCTGTGAGGAAGAGAAGGGTTAATCATACAGATAGAAAAAGACTGCTGGCCAGAACCATTTGAGGCTGGTGATAATGAAGTTCTAATGAAATCAATCTACCCTGAAGTATCGCTTTCTCTGGTGTGCTTCCTGTGTGGGGACATGCACAGACAAAGCACATGGCTGGGTTCATACAGGCTCAGCCTTTGCTGGCAAAATAGTACATACTCAGCAGTTTGCAAGGAATTGAAAAGGGATTGTGTGGAAGTGTAAAACAAAACAAAAACAAAAACAAGCCTCACTCCATTCCTAAAGATCATTTTTAGAACACCCTCTATACTACAGAACAACCCACACAGAGGTGACTGAAGACACATATGCCACTTAACATCTGCTTTTCAAAAGATCATATGCCTCACTTATCCTATGATAGCAGAGAAGTTACCGTAACAAATTCCTGAAGATGACTGTTTCGATTAAATCATGCTCAGACTTAGCATGTCCTTACTGTTCTTATTGGTGCAAAAAGCACCTCACCTTGCAATCACCAAAAAAAAAAAAAGAAAAAAAAAAAAAGGCCTGCGTAACTCAGTGTAGACATCCCTTCATGCTCATATTTGGGCACAGATTAGCAACAAGCTATGAAGGTAATTTTCCCTTGTTCTCAAAACTAGGTGCCTGAGTTTTTTCAAACATTCTTTTTTTTTTTTCTACAAAGTGACTCTCCATTAACAACAAGGTAGACAGCAAAGATGAGAAACAGTATATTTTTTTCTACAAAGTGACTCTCCATTAACAACAAGGTAGACAGCAAAGATGAGAAACAGTATATTTATAGCAAGCTTAGTTAGTACTTCAAGGTTAGAGTCTAACAAATTCAATAATTAAAACATATCTAATGAATTATGACTTTCTCACTTCACAAAGAACAATCAATCCCATTAACAGCCTAAATTTTAATGAATACAGAGAATGGTATTGATGTTGATAGAGAAGTAACTCCTCCAGTACCTATATTTTAGTGAATAAAAGGAAAATTTAAGTAAACTTTAGTGACTAATAAGGATAAATACACCCTCCCCAAAAAGGGGGTAGTGGGAATCAATTTATTTTTATTATGGTAGAAAACTAAATCTCAAACTACTTCATATCACAGGCTAAGATGATAATGTGAATAATCAAGTCAAAATACAAGAAGTGTTAAAACAAATAGATGAACCTATCAAAGAAAAACAGATAGAGTTACATATACCGGCTGCTCCTGTAATGTAAAAGAAATCTTCATGTGAGAGAAAGGTAAGAGAATGCTAAAGGGAAACATGACAAAGGCAGGACTTGTCAAGTTTCTAAGTAAGGAGAGTTTTGATCAAAACCCATCTTCCCTCAAGCTTTACAGCCCTATTGTTAGTGGATCAGTGGCAGCATGCGGGGGGAGGGGAAACTCATGTTGATTACATACTTCCTAAATCTCTAGGAGAGTGATAGGCACTCTCATAAGCTAACTCAAGACAGCCCCACTCTAACAGTTTTTTTTTTTTTGAGGCTGAGTTTCACTCTTGTTGCCCAGGCTGGAGTGCAATGGTGCCATCTCAGCTCACTGCAACCTCCGCCTCCCAGGTTCAAGCGATTCCCCTGCCTCAGCCTCCTGAGTAGCTGGGATTACAGGCACCTGCCACCAGGCCTGGCTAACTTTTTGTATTTTTAGTAGAGCCGCCGTTTCTCCATGTTGGCCAGGATGGTCTTGAACTCCTGACCTCGGGTGATCCGCCCGCCTTGGCCTCCCAAAGTGCTGGGATTACAGGTGTGAGTCACCGCGCCCGGCCGACCCTCTAACTTTTTAAATGATCACATCACTGAAATTTGTCAACTTACTTCGTCACTTTTCCCCCTAAACTCGTAATACATGCATGCTTAGACTAACAGCTTGCACATCAAACTGAGTGAAACATAGGCCTTCAATTTCATCACGGGCACATCTTTAAAAGCTGAAAAGAAATAATTTTATGAATGAAAGGGCAAAGTAAAAGAAAGAATAGAAAAAAAAGAGTGGGGCTTAGACCTGCTAAAAGGTAATTAACAAGTTAAGAAGTGTTTCTTTCTCAAAGGCATCATGGAGGGGAAACAGTGCAGAAGAGGTATGCATCAGTACAACTCTTTTGGCAGACAATTCAGAAGTACGTCTCAAAATTTTAAATGTAATACCCTTTGTCCCAGCAATTCCACTTCCAGGACCTTATCCTATGGATATATTCACATGCCTCACAAAGACACATACAAAGTTCAGTACAACAGTTTTAAAAGCAAAAAACAACATAATATCCATCAATAAGGCACTCTAAACAAAATGTTATACACATACAATAGAATACCATATGGTATTTTTTAAAAATCACAGATACAAGAAAAAGTAGGACTGTGGTAACAAGTGCCTGCTGTAGAAATTGCAACTAGGTTTGCCAGTCTCCCATGAAGAGGACAACCAGATGAGCTATCTTCCTACCGTGGCTGTGTCACTTTTTCAGTTTTCTGCTTCAAAAATGGAAGTAGGAGAATGTGGGCTATACCTTACATCACATCTATAAAGATCTTTTTTGGCCGGGCGAGGTGGCTGATGCCTGTAATCCCAGCACTTTGGGAGGCCAAGGCAGGTGGATCATTTGAGGTCAGGAGTTTGAGAACAGCCCAACCAAAATGGTGAAACCCTGTCTCTACTAAAAATACAACAAAATTAGTTGGGCATGGGGGCGGGGGGGTCATGCCTGTAGTCCCAACTACTCAGGAGGCTGAGGCAGGAGAATTGCTTGAACCCGGGAGGTGGAGGTTGCAGTGAGCCAAGATCGCACCACTGCACTCCAGCCTGGGTGACAGAGCAAGACTCCATCTCAAAACAAAACAAAACAGAACAAAACAAAACAAAGAAACAAAACAAAACACACAGTAATGGGAGGCTTCATATTACAGAGAATTTCTGTAAATTAATCTAGGCAAGAAGGCCAGGAACATAAAAAGAAAGTAATATATTCAGATATTTCCTCCAAATATTACATGCCAAATTACATCTCCCAAACTGTAGGTAAAACCATATAGATACAATAAAAATGGTCACCAGATGTAGACACTAACTCTTACACCTCACTTGGATGCAGACGCACTACATTATAAGCAGTGTACATTAACTCTAAGAATTTTAAAATGTGATAATGGTTAGAAGTCATCCATTTCTGTTCTCAAAGTTCAATCATTTTGAGTTCACTTGGCAAGGTAAATAAGCAATTTGATTTTTTCTACACAAGCTGAAATACTGTTAACTACTTTTTAATTGATAACTTTCAGGCTCTGTGTGTGTCTGGCTTGTGGCCAAACTACAGCCCATGGCCATGTGTATGCACACACATACATACACCCTCATACCTCTGGATTCTGCAGCCTGAAGGCTAAGTCAACACTAAGCCAACTTCCTATGGGAACATTTCAAACCCTAAAGGGCCTCCTCCCGGTATTAAACCAGTCCAATCCAGTTTAGCTTCTAAGGTGTGACTGAATTCACGCATGTGACTGAATCACCGGCCTCCAGGTCATGCTATTAAACAAGATGACTCTGACCACAGCTTTACAATCTAACCTTCACAATTACAGCATCTTTAAACTTTAATATAATGAAATATGATGGCCCTATTATATTCTCATTCAAAATGCAAACAATGGACAAAATAATTGCTATCCAACTACATACTCAGACAAGTGAAAAGTTCCTGGCTGCTTAATTAGAAAACATTTGACTGCTTTGCTCCTGCATACAACCTATTCCCAAAATTTTGAGTCTTAATTGGCTAACATATTTAAAACAAACCTATGAAAAGACTGCCAGGGACATTAAAAGGAAAATTATTTATTTATTTATGTTTAGCTTTTTTATTTTTATTTTTTAAAGGCAATTTAAATAAATGAATGAGATAAATTAAAAACAAGCATAAGACAGGCAGAAACTAGTAAGCAGAAATAATCTCTTCAAACACACACACCTCTAGTTTTAGTCTTGACATACTTAGTGTCTTTCCATAGAGCCACCTCAGATTTGCAAAGCCCTCCTGCACATTCTGCACTGTTCTCTCTGGCCTTCAGGTACATATTCATGTTCATGCCTGCTCAGGCAGACTTGTTTGCACACAGAGCAATGTTAGGCACTGCTGTTTTGGAATTTGGCTTTCATTAATGTTCTAAGGCAGATATCTACTTGGAGAGAATGAGAGAAGCCAGACAAGTCAGAGGCTAAATTTCAAGCTGGAAGTCAGAGCTTTACCTCTCTCAAAAAGAAGTCAATTTTACTGTGATGCCTCGGCAAACCCTTAAATAAGAGGAGAGCTGAACCCTCTGTTTGTAACACCTACCTCTGAGGAACAAGCACTACTGTCTGGGATTTCATTCCTCTATATCAACCCTAACTCTTGGTGACTTATTAATCCACTAGTGTTTAAAGGATACTCCTAGGATCCCTTGCCTATTGGCTCTTGGTTAATTCTACTTTATCCTCTCTTGCTTTTAATCTCCTTACACACCAGATGTTTTTGTGACAACCTTTTGATCTAAGTTCATCAAATCCAGTATTCTTTGTTAGTCTTTTGATTGAAAATTAAGGTAAGGTTAGGGGCAATAGTAAGGCTTATTTACCCAAGATATCTTACCAGTTGTGGTTTTTAGCAATAAGGTTGTATTATATTCTAAAAAAAGTTAAAGTATACAAACAGAACAAGCAGAAACTAGTATAGGTATGTAGTATTTTTATTATTTGAAACTTTTCCACTGAAAACTGAACATAACACACAGAAATTCCTAGAAGGAATTATGAACAGAATTTCCTAATACAGATTTAACAGAAAGACATAATGTATTTATCAGTGACCTATTTAAATAGAAGCTATAGAACTATCCCTTGCAATCTCTTCCACTAAATCATATAACTTTGTCATTCTTACTACCCCATTACATAATCCAGGCTCTTCATCCTCTTTAGGATAATGTGACATACTAAAACTGCTTAATTTCGCTGTGATTTTGCTCTTACTCGTTCTAAAAATCTTAAGTTCTTTCATTATCCATAATTTTCCTTAAGTTGTTATGAGTTGTTGCTGATGCTATTTTCATAGGTAGCTAATTCCAAGTTAAACTCTAAGGCTAACTCTAAGTTAAACAACTTCATTAAACCCTCATTAATTAAGGTTAAATAATTTTGGTAACTAATTAGTTAAACAACTAAATTAAACCCTCATTAATTTCTTACAAGGGGCAAAGACTTTAGTTGTCAGTTGTATATGGCACTATTCATTTAGTCATTTCTTAAGTTCATCGATAATTTTCATATATCTTTGCTGAAAATATCATTGAGCTTCAAGAATGCGCTATCACAGTTGTTCTGATCAACAGTTCCATTTCTTTAAATCTAGTTTGCCTAAAGGAAATTATGTAAGTAGTTACATGGAAGTATATGAAGATGAGAATTCAGAGCAACCACCTCCGTTATGTAAAAGGTATGTGATGTCAAAAATATGAGTTACTCTTTGAGCCTCAGTTTCTTTATTGATAAAAATGAAGTCATGCCATAAAGACGGCAACAACCAGACACTGGGGACTACTATGGGGTGGGGGCAAGGGCTGAAAACTACTTATTAGGTGTGATGCTCACTACGTGGGTGACAGGACCAGTTGTACCCTAAACCTCAGCATCATGCAATATACCCAAGTAACAAACCTGCACATATACCCCTAGAATCTAAAATAAAAGTTGAAATTGTTTTAAAAATGGAGTCACAATCTATTTCACAGGATTGTGGTAATTTTAAAAGCTAACACATTAAAAAACAGCTAGGACAGAAACTGCCACATGGCCAACATGATACATGTATTTCTTAGGTAACTACTTTGTGACTGTTACTTACTTTTTAACTTCATGGATCATTTTTATTCTGTAACATCTATAAATTACACTTATTATAAAAATTTCTCTTCACTGTTATTTCACATATTAATTCTCTCAAGAAACATGACAATTAGAAAATTATATTTTCTACGGAAAATTTTAGGATACTGAATTGTTAGTAAAACAAATACTCTTTATGGGGCTAACAAACATTCTTTTTATTTTCAAGAGTCATATTCTATATGGAAACACTAATAAAAATGTGCTGGACAATCCAAATTAATATATTTGATTAATAACTTATAACAGTATAATTTATATTAATAAAAAATGTGAAGGATGCTATTGCTCTGTTCCTATTTCAGATCAATATTTCTAAATCTTTAGAAGATATGCACCAAAAATCTTACTAAGTCACCTATCACATATAATACTGGTTTGCTTTTAAGTAAAAAATATATTTTCCTTCTAATCTCTGGAGAAAAATTTCCTATTCTATCTTGAGTATGCAAATTTGCTACATAGGGATAACCACATCCCTCTTTTCATCCACTACAGCAACCAACAGAAACCAAACCCACTGTGCCACCTCAGATAATTTTTATTGACAAAGCCAAGTAAAATCCATATAAATGTTTGATCTAGATACAAAAAATAAAGCCCAATAAAATGGACATTTTCCACAACAAATCCAAATACAGCACAAAACTTATGGGAATAATTATCAAGTAAAAACAATTATTAAGTAAAAAACTACTCTTTTTTTTTTTTTTTTGAGACAGGGTCTTGCTCTGTCACCTACCCTGGGGTGCAGTGACACAGTCACAACTCACTGCAGCCTCGACCTCCTGGACTCAAGCTATCCACCCACCTCAGACTCCCAAGAAGAAAATGAGGTGGAGGCAGAAGCAGGTAACGTTTAGGACCCTTTTTAGTCTAAAGCTGTACTAACAGACTACAAATACAACACAGAAGTCAGAGGTCACAATAGGCAGAGTCAAGCAACTGAAAGTAGAGAATTAAAAAAAAAAACTCCAAAGAAAATTCTAAATTCTAATTCTAAAATCTCTACAGGTGTATGCCACCATGCCTGGCTAATTTTTAAATTTTTTGTAGAGATGGGGTCTTGGTGTGCTGCCCAGGCTGGTCTCCAACTCCTGAGCTCCAGCAATCCTCCTGCCTCAGCTTCCCAAAGTGCTGGGATTATAGGCGTGAGCCAGGGCACCCAGCCAAGACATTACTCTCTAAATGTGATTATTATTGTCCAATACCAAAAAATTTGCTCATGGTGATATTTTGATTGTTTATAATTTTGTCTCTTTTTTCTTTTAGAATAAATCAAGGCATTCAACAGTGAGAAATACACACAATTCAACTCTCTTCATTTAATTTTTTCATATGCTGGAAGAAAAGTACTTAATTTTCTTTTCAAGTAAAGAAAGGCTCAATGACTTCAACTAAAAACGAAGTTCTACAGATGAAAAGTTTCTTCTAGTGAAAGAAACCACAATAATATTTTATAAGCCACAGGACAACGACAGAATTTCAGCAACAAAGAAATCTTGTAAGCATTTAAACCTGATATATGGTATTTTAACCACGAACCTTAACAAAGGAAAATAAAGCAAACTAGGAAAACCAAAGTCCTAAGTTAAAGCTAAACATTGTTCTAAAAAGGTATTTCTGCCAAAATAAAAGTTCAAAACAAATAATTCAAAGACTCAAATTCTCACCTAAAGCAGTAAGAGCTCTATGACATCAAGCTTTTGTAGGAAATTTTAGGATCTCTGACACACAAAATGAAATATTTAAGTACTTAGGAGAAAAATGCATTATATATATATATATATACACACACACACACACATACACCAATTTGTACTTATAATTATTCATGAGTACCACAGAGACAATGTCCAGAGGCCATTGTTTTTAAAAGTAGGGGTTTTTCTAATCTATTTTATTTTTTTAGAGATGGGGTCTTGCTATATTGTCTAGGTTGGTCTCAAATTCCTGGCCTCAAGCAATCCTCCGGCCTCATCCTCCCTGCCAAAAGTAGGTTATTTTAGAAGAATAGCTGGATCCCATATTTTGCTTCTGCCTAAAAAACTTCAAAGGAGAGAGCAGAACACACCCTCAAAGATGCACTGTTACAAATACTTTAGGTATCACAATTGAAATATTTTAATTAAAGGCCACAAAGATTCTATCATTCCAAGTATAGAATGTGTCCAGCTGCACAGCCTTCTCATGGCCTCTCATTCTAAGTCACCTGGAAAGTGTAATATGATGATGGCTGTGTCTACAGCCACTAAACCTTCACTCAAGAAGATCTGGTGCTTTAAACAAGTGTAGGCAAGTTGATCCTGGTTTTTCTTTTCGATTCAGCAACCTACACCCACCTCTATTTAAATGTTGTTCCACAAAGGAAGGATACAATTATAGTATTTTAAAATAGGGGCCAGGCATGGTGGCTCACGCAGCCAAGCACGGTGGCTCATGCCTGTAATCCTAGCACACTGGGAGGCTGAGGTAGGCGGATCACCTGAGGTAAGGAGTTCAAGACCAGCCTGGCTGACATGGTGAAATCCTGTCTCTACTAAAAATAAATAAAAAAAAATTTTAAAAAATTTAAAAAAATTAGCCGGGAGTGGTGGCAGGCACCTGTAATCCCAGCTACTTGAGAGGCTGAGGCAGGAGAATCACTTGAACCTGGGAGGCAGAGGTTGCAGTGAGCTGAGATCATGCCATTGCACTCTAGCCGGGGCAACAAGAACAAAATTCCGTCTCAAAAAATTAATTAATTAATTAAATAAAATAAAAATAGGGGCTCCTGAGTGTGTGTATGTGGAGGATTCATTACAGTTTTTAGACATTGAAATTTCCAAAATAAAAAGGGAGAAAGAAAAGGGGAGAGAAAAGAGAAGTGAAAGGAAGGAAGAAAGAGGAAAGAGAGGAAGAGAACGGGATGTCAAATCAAACAGAGCTGGTTTTGAGTCTTAATTCTCTAACTTATTAGCAGTATAAACTTGGTAAACCTAAGGTTCCTTATCTGTAAAAGCTGGATAATAACAATTCCTGCTTTATGAGATTGTCAGGAGATTTGAATGAGAGAACACGAGTATAGCATTTAAGAGAACGAGAAAGTAATCAAACCATTAACTATCCTATATAATTATTTTTATTGTAATCAAATAAATTGGTTAGTTTAATGACTTTATAGTTTATATATAGTTTATAATTTAATGATGTCATAGCTTTAGAAATATAGCAAGTTATTCAACAACCTGACATAATATTTGTAAAACCAAAAAAAAAAAAAAAAAAACTGAGGTAAAGAAATATATAGTTTTCAGCCTGTAATCCTAGCACTTTGGGAGGCCAAGGTGAGGGGATCACCTGAGGTCAGGAGTTCAAGACCAGCCTGGCCAAAATGGTGAAACCCCATCTCTACTAAAAATACAAAAATTAGCCGGGTGTGGTGGCATATGCCTGTAGTCCCAGCTTCTCAGGAGGCTGAGGCAGGAGAATCGCTTGAACCTGGGAGGTGGAGGCTGCAGTGAGCTGAGATCATGCCACTGCACTCTAGCCTGGGTGATAGTGCAAGACTTCATCTCAAAAAAAAAAAAAAAGAAAAAGTAGTATATAATTTTCAATAAATACTTTCCGGGGATTTAGCTTCTTATAAGGCAATAAGAACATGAACTCAAGAGCCAGATTGCCTAGGTTTGAGTTCCAAGTCTGCCACTCGCTGGCTGTATGACTGCAAGCCAAGTATTTACTGGGTCTCAGTTTCTGTCTGTTTACTGGGATGACAATAGGGATGTTGTGAGGAGAAAATGAATTAATATATGTAAACTGCTTAGAACAGTGTCTGGCACTTAGTAAGTGCTATGTAAGTATTAGCGTGGATTTAGCTGTTAATAATGCTCACCAGGAAACTATTTACCACCCCAAAACTGGCAATTGTTAAGCCCACTCACTAGAGTAATTAGACTAGGAGATATGAACTGGAAACTTGTGGGCTACAAGTCCAAACTAAACTCTAACCTTCAAACTCAGCAGTTCTTTAGAGGCAAAATCAAAGTCTGCTATCTGCGAAGTTACTGACAACATCCGAAGACATATTACAGCTGTGTGTGCGAGCGCCCGTGCGTGTGTGTGTGTGTGTGTGTGTGTGTGTGTGTGTGTGTGTATAAGCTACAATTCAGAATCATGGCCTCTAAGTAGTGGAAATGTGATTTTTAAATTTTTTTTTTTATTTTCTTAAGCCAGAGTCTCACCCTGTGACTCAGGCTGCAGTGCAGTCACATGATCACAGCTCACCGCAGCCTTGGCCTCCGGAGTAGCTGGAAATACAGGTGCTTGCCACCATGCCAAGCTAATTTTTTGTATTTTTTTGTAGAGAGAGGGTTTTACCCTTTTGCCAAGGCTGTTCTCGAACTCCCAGGCTCAAGCAATCTACCCACTTTGGCTTCCCTAAGTCCTGGGATTACAGGCATGGGCCACTGCACCTGGCCAATTTTTTATTTTAATTTTTCTGTATTTTCTAATTTTTTGCCATGCTTTTGCTTCTATAATAATAAAAGATAATTTTAAAATTCAGAGATGAAAGAAATGTGTCTTACAGTTGTATAAGGAAAAAATACACAAATTCCATACCTGTATTTATGAATGATGGCATTAAATAATTTTCCATCTCTCCAGCAGGTAGTGAAATTTTCACACCGAATTCCAGCATAACCCTCTGTTGCCTGCTGCGTCCAGAGTAGCAATCTCTCTTTTGCAGACATATCCTCTGACTCTCCAGTAACATGGATATCAGATATCTAGATATAACAGAAAGTGTTAAACCTTTAGGAAGGAAGGAAGCTAACTCAGATTAAGAACCTACTATGTGCCAAGCACTTTCCAAAATCTAAGATTAGGATAATAACAATTCCCGCTTCATGAGATTGTTAAGAGATTTGAATGAGATAACATGTGTACAGCACTTAAGAGAATGTGCCACATGTAGAAAGTTATCAAACCATTAGCTATTCTATATAATTATTTTTATTTAGCCCTCATACCTCTCCCTTATAAATTTTCCCCATTTTACATATAGGAAATAAATAAATTTTATCCATTTTACATATAGGAAATCTGAGTTTCAAAGAGGTTAACAACAGATTGAAAAAGTCAGATTTAACTCATTTGTGTCCAATTTAAAAGCATTTATTCTCTTTTTACTAAACCAAAACTCTACAGTATTGAAAATTCTACGTTCTTCTTTCCTAATCAGATTTGTTAATACAACTTAAGGAGGTGTTTTCCAAGTTCAAGTAGATCAGAGGTAAAACCTATAAATTACTCTATACTACCACCTGCAGAGCAGAATTTGATCCAACAGGTATTCTGTGTAAAGAACAATGAAAGAAATAGTATTCTCTCCTATATAACAATTTGGCCAGAAGTTCTAATTTTCTCATGAGTCCTTGCTTGGCTTGCTCAACCTGAAACCTTTATCAACTGATTTTTTTCTCCTGTATTTTGTTTTCATGAAGTTTTCTAAAAGTCTCTTCCACTGAATAATGATAAAACAAGTCACAAGTTTCCATGATTTACATTCTCCCAAAAGCATCTCTTTGATAAGGGTCCTACTTAATCTGCTGATAATTATATTAAGGCACAAAGTGACTTTACCAGGGGTCACACAGTAATTCCAAAGCTGAGATTAACACCACCAACAACTGTTCCCTCAATCAGTGCAAGACGCAAAGCCAAGGGATCAACAAGACAGGCTGCACGCCAGAATCAGAATGAGCAAGTCAGAGATGGGAAGCAAGGCATATGAAGAACAAATCATTCTGTCACAGGGAAAATATCACTTGACCAGAGTCATGAGACAGGCTTCTAGACCTGGTTCCTAGTCTCATAGGTTTGAATAATTCATTTCATGTTTGTAAGTCAACTTCCTTATCTATAAAATGAGGAGGAGGCAGAAGCAGATAACGTTTAGGACCCTTTTCAGTCTAAAGTTTTACTAACAGACTATAAACACAACACAGAAGGTCACAATAGGCAGAGTCAAGCAACTGAAAGTAGAGAATTAAAAAAAAACTCCAAAGAAAACCTGTTACATGTGGTAGTGCCAGGCTCAGACAGGAAGCCCTTTATTCCTCCCAGCTGCCACAGAGCCAGAGGCACAGCCAATCCAGGGACCCGGGGCAGGAAGGCTGTGGCAGTGAAAGCCCTTGCCAGGCCTCGCAGCCCCTGACTTCACTTGTTGGAAATGATGGGGGGCCTCACACACTCCTTCTCCAGTGTTCAGCAGAGGCTGCCATGCCCCATGGAGCTTCACTCTCAGCCATAGTCTGAGACACTCTGCTTGACAAATGGTCAGGATTTAAAAGCGGAACAAACTGTCTCAATTTTAATAATCTTTGCCAGGAATCTGTGCCAAACTCCAGAGCATGGAAAAGAACTCTGCACATGAACACATCATATAGTACACATAGAAGAAATTTCTTTTTTTTTTATGTGACAAAAAACAGCATAAAATTTACCAATATTCTTTGGCCCAAGTTCCAATGATATTCTGGTCCAAAATTATGCTACAGTACCTTTCTGGCACATCCCAAGAGTTTAAGTCCCATGTCCACCATTTACATGCTCAAGTTACTTAACTGCTTTAAGCCCATTCCCTTACTTGTAAAATGATGATGATAATTATACCATGTTGTGAGAATTCAACAACATTAGCACAGTGTAATGCCTGGCCCATAGTCCGCAAATGCATAATACAGATGAGCTATGTTATTGTTGTAGTTATTGTTATTCTTTCTGAAAAAGGGAGAAGTAAAACCTTGACTTTATTATTTTCTTAACTCTCTTCCCCATAGAGAGGAATAAAAGAATAAGTTTTTTAAATTTGCTGCCTTAAACTAATGAAAATCTACGATCGCAACGGTTCAGAGAAGCTAATCTAGGAAACTGTGAATGAAAAAGTTGAGGCCAGGCACGGTGGCTCACGCTTGTAATCCCAGCACATTGGGAGGCCAAAATGAGAGGATCACTTGAGCCTAGGTGTTCAAGACCAGGCTGGGCAACATAGTGAGACCCTGTCTCTATTAAAAAAAAAATTAGCCTGGCATAATAGCATGTGCCCATATAGTCCCAGCTACTAGCCGAGGCAGATCGCCTGAGTCTAGGAGGTTGAGGCTGTAGTGAGCCATGATCACGCCACTGCGCTCCAGCCTGGACAACAGAGTGAGGCCCTTAAAATCAAAAACAAAACAAAACAAAACAAAACAAAAAAAGAAATAAAAGAAAAGAAAAAGTTGAGCCTCTTGGTCTCTATAACCCTTTAAAAATTATAAAATCAACTGTTTTGGGGAACCCTTACAATTCAAGAGCCACCTAGATAGTATGTATAATGACAGATAGAAATGGTAGATAGCTGGGGTTGTGTGGGACTGTTTTCTGCTAATTCCATGCCAGTCAGTTACAAAAGCATTACCTGTTAACTAGGGAAGTCAGTAAAGTTCAACTACAAGATACCAGCTTAACAGGTTCAAGTGCTACACAGTTTTACCAGAGGAAGGATGTTAAAGGAGTTTAGAGGTCTGAAAATAGCCTAAATGTCAAGAGAAAATAATGTATTCTTGTTAAATAAGTTTCCAATAGATGAATTTCAGATTGTTACAAATACAATTTCAGACTGTTATACATACACACACTATTAAAAAGCGATAATTTTAAAATGCATATTCCAAGGTATATTCATATAATTTTACAATGCATATGCAAATGTTATGAACCAAGCTTTAAAATATCAAAGATTAAGCCAAGTTCCAGACTCCACTAGGCCCACAAGCAGGGCAGGTGAATTCTAACTCCTCCATTTTCAGCTTTTCCTGCTACTTCCAATAAACTGAACATCATCCTCTTATAGCAATTTAAGGTATTTTTTAAAATACTGTTACCATTAGCCACTAGTATATCAGACTTTTCATGATACTATGCAACCAAAATTAAAATAAAAAATAAGTTAAATGCTAAAAATTGTTTAAGTCTTCAGTTGTCATTCATAATCCCTGATCTGAAATCTGTGTGTTCAGCAGAACAGCCTGAATCTTCCACCAATGACAGGTTAATGGTTTCACATTCAGGTCAGATTCTAGAAAGTAATCAAGCTACCTCCCTTCAAAACCCGGAGGCAATGTAGTGATAATCAGAGAGGGTTTCAATTCATGCTGCCTCAGTTTAAATCTTAATTCCAACAGTTAATGAAATGAATGACCCAGACTACTCACATAATCTCCTAAAATCCATTTTCTTTCTTTTTTTTTTTTTAAGACGGAGTCTCACTCTGTCGCTCAGCATGGAGTGCAGTGGCACCATCTCGGCTCACTGCAACCTCCACCTCCCGGGTTCAAGTGATTCTCCTGCCTCAGCCTCCCAAGTAGCTGGGACTACAGGCATGTGCTAACATATCTGGCAATTTCTGTATTTTTAGTGGAGACAGGGTTTCACCATGTTGGCCAGGCTGGTCTTGAACTCCTGACCTCGGGTGATTCACCCGCTTCGGCCTCCCAAACTGCTGGGATTACAGGCGTGAGCCACCGCACCTGGCCTCACTTTCTTCATCTTTAAAACTTACATAATAACAACAACCTATCCAAAACAGAAATCAAGAAAGCAATCCCATTAACAATAGCTTAAAAAAAAGACTTAGTAATAAATTTAACCAAGGAGATAAAAGACCTTTATACTGAAAACACTGATGAAAGAAATTAGTCATGAATAAATGGATAGATATCCCATGTTCATTCATGAATTTGAAGAATTAACACTGTTAAAATGTCCATACTAGCCAAAGCAATCTACAGATTCAATGCAATCCCTATCAAAATTCTCATGACACTTCGCACAGAAATAGAAGAAACAATCCTTCAATTTGAATGGAACCACAAAAGACCCCAAATAGTCAAAGCAATCTTGAGCAAAATGAACAAACCTGGAAGCGTCACACTCCACCTGACTTCAAAATATACTACAAATCTATAGTAATAAAAACAGCATGGTACTGACACGAAAACAGACAGACCAGTGGAACAACAGAGAGCCCAGAAATAAACCATGCATTTATGGTCAATTGATATTTGACAAAGATGCCAATAACACACAATGGAGAAAGAACAGTCTCTTCAATAAATGATGTCTGAAAAACTGGATATCCACATAAAGAAGAATGATATTAGACCCTTATCTCACACCATATACAAAAATCAACTCAAACTGGATTAAAGACTTACACGTAAGACCTAATATTATAAAGCTACTAAAGAAAATGTAAGGAAAAGTTTCTTGACTTTGGACTGGGCAATGATTTTTTGGATATGACTCCAAAAGCACAAGTAAGAAAAGCAAAGACAGAAAAATGAGATTACAGCAAATGAAAAAGCTTCTGCACAGCCAAAGAAACAATAAACAAAGAAACACATTACAGAATGGGAGAAAATATGTGCAAACCATTCATCTTATAACGAGTTAATATCCAAAATATATAAGGAACTAAAACAACTCGGTAATAAGAAAACAAAAAACTTGGCCGGATGTGGTGGCTCACGCCTGTAATCCTAGCACTTTGGTAGGCCAAGGCAGGCAGATCATGAGGTCAGGAGATCGAGACCATTCTGGCCAACATGGTGAAACCCCATCTCTACTAAAATACAAAACATTAGCTGGGCATGGTGGCACGTGCCTGTAATCCCAGCTACTCGGGAGGCTGAGGTAGGGGAACCACTTGAACCCAGGAGGCGGAGGTTGCAGTGAGCTGAGATTGCACCACTGCACTCCAGCCTGGTGAGAGAGCAATGCTCCATCTCAATAAATAAATAAATAAACAAATAATTCAATTTAAAATAAAGAAAGGATATCATAATAGACATTTCTCAAAACAAGGCATACAAATGGCCAACAGGTATATGAAAAAATGATCAATATCACTAAGCAGCGAAGAAATGCAAATTAAAACCACAATGAGGTATCACCTCACACCTGTTAGAATGGCTAGTCTCAAAAAAAAGGAAAGATAACAAGTGGTTTTTGTTTGTTTGTTTGAGATGGAGTCTCGCTCTGTCGCCCAGGCTGGAGTGCAGTGGGGCAATCTCAGCTCACTGCAATCTCCACCTCCTGGGTTCAAGCAATTCTCCTGCCTTAGCCTCCCGAGTAACTGGCACTACAGGTGCCCACCACCACACCTGGGTAATTTTTTGTATTTTTAGTAAAGACGGGGTTTTGCCATATTGGCCAGGCTGGTCTTGAACTCCTGACCTCAGGTGATCTACCTGCCTCAGCTGCCCAAAGTGCTGGGATTACAGGCGTGAGCCACTGCACCCAGCTGATAGCAAGTTTTGTTAAGAATGTGGAGAATAGGGAACTTTTGCACTGTTGGTGGGAATGTAAGTTAGTAAAACCATTATGGAAAACAGTATAGAGGTGCCCAAAAAATTAAAAATAGAACTACCATATAATCCAGCAATCCCATTACTGGGATTATTACTTGGATATATATCCAAGGGAAATCTGTATGTCAAAGATATACACTCCCATGTATAATGCAGCATTATTCACAATGGCCAAGGTAAGGAATCAATCTAGGTGTCCATCAACTGAAGAATGAATTTTAAAAATGTGATATATACAAACAATACAGTACTGATCAGCCTTAAAAAAAAAAAAAAGGAGGAAATGTAGTTATTAACAACAACATGGATGAAACTGGAGGGAATGTTAAGCAAAATAAATCAGGCACATAAAGACAAATATTGAATGATCTCACTTATATGTAGAATCTAAAAAAGTTGAACTCATAGAAGTGGGGAGAGTAGAACGGTGGTTACCAGAGGCTGCGGGGTGGTTGGGGTGGAAGTGATTGGGGCGATATCGGTCAAAGGATGCAAAATTTCAGTTAAGAGGAATAAATTTCTCTTACACAACATAGTGACTATAGTTAGTAACGATGTACTGCATTCTTTAAAATTTCTAAAAGAGTAGATTTTAAGTGTTTTCACCTGAAAAATGTAAGTACTGAAGTAATGTATATGTTAATTACTTGAATTTCATAAGATGTTGTACATGATAAATATATGTAATTTTTATTTGTCAATTTAAAAAAACTTAAATATAATAACATCCTCCTTTGGTGGTTCTAAAGATTAAATAAAAACAGTCATATCAAGTGCTTATCACAGCGCCGCCACATAGAAAATTCTACAAATGTTAGCTTCTCCCACCACTACTTATCTATCTATCCATTTTCTCCCACCACTACTTATGTACCATCCATCCATCTATCTATCCATCTATCTGAGATGGGGTCTCACTCTGTTGCTAGGCTGAAGTGCAGTGGCAAGATCATAGCTCACTGCAGCCTCAAACTCCTGGGCTCAACTGATCCTCCCACCTCAGCCTCCCAAACAGCTAGGACCACCACCATGTGCCACTATGTCTGGCTAATTCTTTTAAATTTTCTGTGAGACAGGGGTCTCTTTTTGTTGTCCACGAACTGCTGGCTTCAAGTGATCCTCCCACATTGGCCTCCCAAAGTGCTGGGATTATAGGCATGAACCACAGCACCTAGCCCCACCATAATTTTATTATCTGCAGTAGTATTGCTTCCTAAAGCTTTTCACCAATCTGTCAGGTAGCACCAAAACAAACAAAATACTTTATACCAGAGTTCCTTTCAGAAACTTGAAGCCTTCATGCCTCACATCCTGGTCATTGCTGGCTACTGCCCAAATTCAAGTTCTTCCTGTCACTGAGCCTCTCCTGCCCATATTTGATCTGGGCTTTATCTCTCCTGACCCAGCTTGCTACCATTCCCAAACTTCCAAAAATATCTACCCCATGGTAAACAAAGTCTCATGTCTTCAATACCTTAAACTGCTTTTATCTTTTTACTGAACCCCAAGTATCCCCCATGGCAATAACTAAAATTCAGCCAAGTCCCAGACTCCACTAGGCCCACAGGCGGGGCAGGTGAATTCTAACTCCTCCAGTGATGCAAAACCAGTGGTTTTCAAATCATTACCTGTAAGTACAAAAAAAATCATTTTTACATTGTAGGCCAGTCTTGCTCTCTGGCTCTCCTCCTTCCTCTCCTTAAACACGATGCTCGCATCCCTCAAAGATGTGGCACCTGGCCGTGTGCCTGGACACCCAAATGCCATCTCCACGTAGCACCCACCATCAGTGCTTTGTTTCTTCATTTCAGCCAGTCATACACCTACATCCTGGATCTCATCATCTTGAACCAGAACTAGTCTACCTCAGGTATTTAACTTCTAAAAGTAGTTTCCTATTCTTCCAGCACTTTCCTTTGCTAATTCTAGCTAAACCAATTATCTGGCTTCATCAACATCTCACATTCCTTGACATGCCCAATTTTCTTCCTATCTATGAACGGTAGAGGAAGAAACATAATTTTTTCTTCAACTCTCATAAATTCTTAATTGGAACAGATCCCTGTAACAAAAGATAGATTAACTAGAGAAAAACGAAGAGTAGTTTATTATTATAATATGTATATTTCATATATACTTGGGGGACAGGGTGGGCTGTGGGAGACCAGAAGATGCCATGTCAAAATAAAAGCTTGTTGAGCTAAAGGCAATTAAGTAGCAGCAGATGCAGGAAAGCTCTCTACTCTCCATTTGCCTAAAAGCAGGACACAGATTTACAAAGACAAAAGGTATCCTGTCCCCCTCTACCAGAGAGAAAAACATTAACCAATAAAGATAACTTTAGACTGTTATGGGCCTGGAGATGGGACCAAAATTATCTACATGAACAAGCTTTACTAACGGGCCTTTGTCTGCCATTTCTTTCCCTTCCCACAAATTGCTGCCGCCAGAGACTCAAAGTTTTTTTCTTTTCTCTTGTCATTTCTCTAAAAATGTACTGCCCTTTGTTGAAGACACTATATAAAATGGAATTCAAAGCTGCCTCTGAGAACTGCTCATTCCCTGGGCTCTCCCATGTATGTATGAAACATACATGTTAATAAACTGTCTTTCTCTTATCAATCTGTCTTTTGTTGTAGGCATCCATTCCAGCTAACTTACGAGGGTTGAAGAAAATTATTTTTCTTCCTCTACAGATGCCCCTTCTATCTTTACATCCTTCTCTGTTTGTCTTGTACTATATTATTTATCATTTCCACCACTTCCTTGCTAATATCCGTAAGTCCTTCACATCTTTGTCCTTACTCTGCAACCACTCCACCACCAAACCTTAATCCTGATCAATCCAGCTGCACGTCTTCTCTGCTTTCACCCTAAGCTATAAATGTCTACCAGAGAAAAGCATACCACCATGTGGACTCCTGCCACCACAAATTCCAGGTCTGCAACCTCAGCTAGGTACTCAAAGAAATGTGGCAATTCTTCTTGGTGTCCTAACTGGCCAGCTCTTTCACCCCTCACAATATTGCTTTTAGTTATTTACTATTTGGCTGGGTGTGGTGGCTCACACCTGTAATCCCAACACTTTGGGAGGCCAAGGCAAGAGGATCACTTGAGCCCAGGAGTTCAAGACCAGCCTGGGCAACATAGGAAGACTATGTCTCATTAAAAAAAAAAAAAAAAAAAAAATTAGCTGGGTACAGTGCCACGTGCCTGCGGTCCAAGCTTCCTCGGGCCCCTGAGGTGGGAGGATCACCTGGGCCCAGGAGGTCAAGGTTGCAGTGAGCCATGACTATGCCACTACACTCCAGCCTGGTGAAAGTAAAACTCCATCTCCAAAAATAAAAATTCTTCACTACTTGTCTAAAACTACCTACCCTACCACATCTACTTTTATGTTTTTATGTTTAGCAAACAAATTTCCTCTCCTCCTTTATTGAGAAAATAGCTACATAAGTAAGAACCCCCTTCTGTCCTGCTACCCACAAACTTTGCTCCCATATGACCTCCTTTTCTCTTGGAGTTTAAATCCTTTCACCTCCAACTTCCTAGCGATCTCATTCTACCAATAATTCCCTCTCACGTGGGTCTCTCAGTATTTAAAATATCCAAATCTCTTCCATCCTAAAATAAATAAAAATAATCTTCATGAACTCAATTCCCTCTTTACTTAACACCATCTCTCTCCCATTCTCTTCTTAGGAAAGCTACCTAAAAAAGTATTCTGTATTTTCTTGTCTCTATTATCTTCACACCTCTACCTGTTTTGATTTGGCCTCTTTCTTACCATTCCACTAAAACTAAGTAAAGGTGACCAGACAAAGTGAGGGAATTCTTGTTCATAACTCTATTTTTCCAATAAAGAAGAAAATTAGATTGTTAACATAATAGAAGTGATGGGTAGGGGGATGCTGATGAGTTGAAAGATATTGTGAGAGATCATCTATCACCTCTTCCTTCACAGTCTCACTCATTCAGCAAACACTCATAAATGTCCACTTGTACCATTAACAGGCATTGGTTATACAACCATCCTCATGGAGCTTACAGTCTAATGACAGAAACACCATGGAGAAGAGCTCAAGGGTTGTTTTCCCATCCTTCCATTTTCTAATCCTGATCTCACTGAGGCATCTGTCACTGGCAATCTTTCTTCTTTGGCTTCCACAACGTCACCCCTTCCAGGCTTTCCTCCGGCCTCTCTAGCCATTCCTTCTCAGTCTTCATTAGAGGCTCCTCTGTTACCCAACCTTTAACATTATTCCCCAGGGCATAGGCCTCAGGCCTCTTTCCTCCACTCTCCTCACTCTCCCTGGATCATCTCTACCACAATGGCTTTAACTGCCACCTTGACAGGGTTGACTCCCACATCCCTATATCCCATCCCAAACCTTATCCCTAAACCCATCTCCCTATCATACACTTCTATTGCAATAGTAAAACTAACCATGTATTGACCACTTAAATGAGCCAGACACTGTGCTTAAGCTCTTCATAAAAATTACCTTATAATCTTTACAATATACAATATCATTTTACAAATGACAAAGAGACATAAAGTAATAATATGACCTGCTCAAGTTCACCCAAATTACTAATAGGTAGAAGTCAAATTTGAACTTGAATCTGTCTGGCTACAAAGCTGATACTCTTAACCACTGCGCTATATCTCACAGCCCCTTCAAACTCAATGTATTGAGAACTTAATTTCTCATTTTCCTTCCTGTATTTCCTCCTGCATTCCTAGCTCAGAGAATGGCCCCACCATTTACCCAGTTGCCCCCAAATAAAAGAAGCTGCTGGAGTCATCCTTGATGCGTTTTCAACCTCTGTGCCCACATCCAATTGGTAACACAGTCCTCTGCAGCCTCATCTCTCCTCCCTGCCCTCTGACACCCACCCCAAACACTCCTTGTGCTCCAGCCACAGTGAACTACTTCTACTTCCTCAATAAGAATGCATTTCCACAAGATACTATGCATTTATATGTACCACTCTCTACCCAGAGAAAGCCCTCACCAATTCCCATCCCGTGCTACTCCTCCACTCATCCTTCTCCTTGAGGAAGCCCCAGCTGATTCTGCCTCAGGGGTCTGTGTAAGGGACCTGACCATCTTCTGTGCTTTTGAAAGTACTCCACTCATACTGGTATAATAGCAGTACCTCTTGTGTGTCATTATTGTCTCTTGTTAGATCTTCTAGCCCTCTAATATGTGAGCAGTATATCCTGAAAGATAATGTCTTATTTGCCTTAGTGTTATAATGCCTAGCTAGGGCAGTGCTTGGCACATTACAGATACTCAGTAAATATCCAATGGACAAATGACTTTATGATTGAGTTGGACACCTTGAAAATCTGCATTAATTCATTAAGGAGACCAGGATTCTCTTGGTCACTTCTGCTTTATCATATATTTCAAGGTCCCACTGGGGAGAAGAGGCTTTATTACCTACAGTGGACATGCAGCCCCCAACCAATCCACCTATGAAAATGTCACTAAGCCAAATGGGTTTTGTTTGCTTATTATTTACAAAATACAAAACACATGTCTGACAACATTTTTCAAAAAACCTATTTTGGCACTATGTAAAAATAACCAAAACCTAGTGTTTGTCCTACAAGTTCAAAGAGAGTGTAACGGGGAGGTCAACATGCCTACATAAAACATCTTATGTCATAAATCCAAGTGAACTCATTCTGGACCTTGGCAATCAGAAAGTCGTCACTTTTATTTTACTTCTTCGTATGTTTGTTTTTGAGACAGAGTCTTGCTGTGCCACCCAGACTGGAGTGCAATGGCACCATCATGGCTCACTGCAGTGTTGATCCCCCAGGCTCAAGCAATCCTCCCACCTCGGCCTCCCAGAATGCTGGGATTACAGGCATGAGGCACCGTACCTGGCTTATTTTACCTTTTCACTTCACATAAGTAAGCTCAAAAACTGACATAAAAATATTGAAAACTAAGCTCAGCCTAAAAAACATCACTACCAACAACCAAAAAACCCTCACACTCTTTCTTACATCTGCTTTTCTTTTTCCGTCATTACCTCTACTCTTACACACAACACTGATACTTTACCCCATGTTTTCCCTTCTCCCTCTGGAGAGAGCTGAGACAACAGTCAATGACTGAAACACCAATAACTGGAACTAAAAGAAGGTGCAGAGGATTGCGGTTGAGAATCTGCAAGGAGGGAATTTGGACAGGCAAAGTTCAAACCAAAGAAGAAGGCTTGACCCCATTTCACATAGTTCCAACAGTGCTGTCACCAGACATATGCCTGCTCATGGTCAGTCAGAGATGTAAAACAACGTAAGTTTTGTTTCACTGTGCAAGTCTGACCAAGTGCCTCATGGAGCATGGTCAGGCAATGTGAGCCACAGTCTCAAAAAACAGCTGAAAAGGACATAATAAATATGAGAGACCAAGCAGAATATGTTGCTCTGCAGTCTGGGAACCAAAGCAACCAGTGCTGGAACTCTCAAATGATAAAAGGATGAGTTAACCCAACTCTTCTGAATCTGCCTTATGTTTGTTGGCTCATTCTACAAAACACTCAACTGTTAGTTTCTCATGCCCCTAAGGAAGATATTAAGTTAGTACAAAAGTATTTGCAGTTCTTGCCATTACTTTTAATGGCAATTTATTCACACACCTAATAATATGGATATATTAACTGTTCTAAGATTGATTTCTGTAGGAAGAAGGGGGTCTTATATCCCCATTTTCTCTCTTCCCACTATCAACTTGAGTCAAGGCAACTATTATCTCTAGTCTAGATTGTTACCACTAGTCTGGAATGTCAATACCAACAACATGTTTTGAAACACATTCGTGATACACCTCGAATAATATTGGGCTTCTACCTTCTTCTGGAACTAAGCCTCCGTGTCTGGATTAGTAACAGCCTCCTAACTAGTCTTGCTGTACCAAATATTATTGTACTCTCATTCCCAAAATGGTGTGTTCTTTACTGTGCCAGTGCGGTAATCCAGATTCAAGCAATTCTCCTCTTCTCTCCTATGATCAAATCACATTAATATCAAGTTATATGAACCATATGTTTCCTCTCTCCTACGGTAGTTTGTTCAAGCTACTTCTACCCTTGGAACATTCTCCCCATGCTCAACGTGACATGGCACGTATCAGGTGCTCAATAACTCTCTACTGAATAAATGGAGAGCAGGAGACTCAAGAGAGCAGCAACAAAGGAAGTATTAAAGACAGAAAAAGTATGAAAGATCAGAAACACACGTCTCCTGCTTTCATTTTGTATGAATGAGTTTTAACCCTGCCATGTAAACTTTGTCATTTCAGAAAATCAAAAGGTTTCCAATTAACCTCACTTTCCGATAATAACAGAACGCCCTTACCAATGCACAAAAGTGTCCAATGGGGAACACAAGCCTCGAGACCACTCAATGAGAACCTAGTGTCAAGCAAGAAAGCTAAGCTTCATCTGAATCACTTATCTAAAAAAATTTCATGAACTTTACATCGTATATAGCTTCAAAATGTCTTTTCAATAAAAGAAAACAAGCCAACCTATCTCATCTTATAGCACACTGATTTCATTCACAGCTTATTACTAAATGACCCACTTACTGCTAAATGAATTGCAACAGCCTCACCCATGTTAGTCAGCTGAATCTGTAAACATGAAAGTCCTATGAGCAAAGTCAATGCCACCAGACAACTGGGCAACAGAAGCACCCTATTTTTACAGATGCTGTCATGGTTATGGCATGCACTGAGTACACAGGAACTGCCAACTCCAAAGTTGACTTAGATATTCCCTGAAAGCTTATTCACTTTTTTAAAAAGTATGTATTTTATTATTCCATACAAAGAAAATAATGCAATTTTTATTTTTAAACATTTTTAAATAACTGTATAATTTAAAGTGTTATCAAATAATCTAAATAATTTATGTCAATAGTAGAAAAAGCAACATCTCTGAAGTTAAGAAAACAGAGATATTTAACTTAAAGAAAGTTATATAATGAAGATTAAGAAATCATGGGGATTCAAACTGAAGGAAAGCAGAGATATTTGGCGGATGCCCTCCTCTCACTACTGAACAAGCTTAGACTAAAAGAGGTGACGTCATTTGCGTAGGGTCTCACAGCATGCTAGCAGGAGACCTAGGGTATGGGCCCAGGTCTCCTACATTCTGGTACAGAATTTACAAGAGAATGGCATTTCTCCTTCATGTTTAGAAAAGAAATCTATCCTTACAAGTCAGACTAATTTTTCTTCTGTTTCAGCAGCCACAGTAATCCAGCTTCCTCTCAGTGCACCTACTGCCAGGAAAATGGCTGCACATAGATAGGTCATGAAAGGGAATCCCTTGGCTTTGCCTCACTCCTAAAGGCAGACCCTTTTCACTGGAGCTTCTCGGCTTCTATACTGGCAAAGGAGCTGATGCACAGAACACTACACATTTTCAGAGGAAGATACCGTCCTGGATCTCTCACATGAACTGGATGTCAGGGTCCATAAAAATTTTCCTCACGAGACCAGTTGTACCTCCTTAACCAACAGCCCCCACCCACCCCCCCACCCCACACAGAAGAGCAGATTTGCCTCTGGCATTATGTTCTCTTCCTCTCTCATATCAGAGTTACTCTCAATAACGCTTTTGAAATGTATCTGTACTAGTGAAGTGTAAATAACCAAAATGAGCTTCAAAAATTGGTTCCAGACCTAAGTAAACTAAAGAGCTTCTGCACAGCCAAAGAAACTATCAACAGAGTAAACAGACAACCTACTTTTAACCTGGAATAAATATTTGCAGACTATGCATCTGAAAAAGAACTAATACCCAGAATCTATAAGGACCTTAAACAAATCAACAAGGAAAAAACACATGACACTTCTGTTCATGTCCATTGCCTGCTTTTTAATGATGTTGATACTTCGCAAAAGAAGTCATACAAGCGGCCAACAAACATATGAAAAAATGCTCAATATCACCGATCATTAAAGAGATGTAAATCAGAACCACAATGAGATACCATCTCACACCAGTCAGAATGGTCATTATTAAAAAGTCAAGGCTGGGTGGCTTATGCCTGTAATCCCAGCACTTAGGGAGGGCAAGGCAGGTGGATCACCTGAGGTCAGGGGCTGGAGAACAGCCTGGCCAACACGGTGAAACCTCGTCTCTACTAAAAACACAAAAATTAGCCAGGCGTGGTGGTGGATGTCTGTAATCCCAGCTACTCGTGAGGCTGAGGCAGGAGAATCACTTGAAGAGCAGAGATCACGCCACTGAATTCTAGCCTGGGCAACAGAGTGAGACTCTGTCTCAAAAAAAATAAAAATCAAAATTAAAAAAAATTCAAAAAAGTAACACAGGTTGGTGCGGTTGCAGAGAAAAAGGGATGCTTATACACTGTTAGTGGAAATGCAAATAGTTCAGCCCCTGTGGAATGCAGTTTGGAGATTTCTCAAAGGACTAAAAGCAGAACTATCATTCAACCCAGTAGTCCCATTACTGGGTATATAACCAAATGAAAATAAATCATTCTTCTAAAAAGACATCTGCACTCGTATGTTTATCACAGCACTAGTCACAATAGCAAAGACATGGGAATCAACCTAGGTGTCTGTCAACAATGGACTGGATAAAGAAAATGTGCTACATACAGCCATACCTTAGAATACTACACAGCCATAAAATGAAAAAGCAAAATCATGTCCTTTGCAAAAACACGGATGCAGCTGGAAGCCATTACACTAAGTGAATTAACACAGGAACAGAATACCAAAAACCACATTTTCTGACTTATCAGTGACAGCTAAACATTGAGTACACACAGATACAGAGACGGAACAATAAACACTGGGTATTCCAAAAGTGGGGATCATAAGAGTGGGAGAAGGGTTGAAAAACTACCTATCAAGTATTACATGACAGGATCATTGGAAGCTCTAACCTCAGGATCATGCAATATACCCATGTAGCAAACCTGCACATGTACCCACTGAATCTTAAATATTTTTTTAAATGGTTCCTTCCAAGGTATTTCTATTCCAACAAATTGACAGGGTTTTCATTGTTGTTGTTTTGTTTTTTATTTTTGTTTTAGTTTCATGCTACCTTATCTAAGAAGGCTAACAAAGTTTTAAGCTAACTATGGAATTTGAAGAATACAGTCAGCACACTGTATGACACATAATAGATACTTAGTAAATATTTGCTAAAGAAATGAGAGGATGAATGAAGGTGGGATCACAGCGGGAGGGAAGGTGGCAGCCTGCTCTGGTTATACAGAATGCTCTGTGTCTAAAGGAGAGAAAGAAGTGTCCCGTTAAAAGTTTTGAAAACTTACAGAATTCTTTCTACTTAAAGGATGATCACAAAGTATTTCCTCTTTTCTCCAGAAACAGAAGACAAAAGGATATAAGTTATAAAGCACTTTACAGTCTCCTAAGTCTTTTTCACATACGTGACCTCGTTTAATCCTCAAAACAAGAAACCACCCCAATTTTAAGGATGGGAATAATAAGACCTGCATTGAATGTAAGCCTTCTGACTCAACATCTTGTAAGTTCTCCTCCCCTACTCTGCCAAGCTAAGTGACTCCCCGTAACACTGCTGAGGGAGCTATACCTATCCATGGACCACCTCCTTCTACAGAAGCAGAAACTGACTTGTGGGACACACAGTGGATGTAGAAATGATAGTCAAATGTTCTTCTGTGCAGAACACAAATCCCTATTGATTCAGAGGTTTACATACAAAAACGTTAACAAATGAAAATTCAATCCCTTTATATGTTTCTATTAAGATAAAAATAAGGATTATATTCTATTCGAGACAGTGTAGGTATTAGTAAGAATGAAAGCAGCAAGTCAAAAAGGTCATGCTCAGGATTCTTCTCCTACCTGATGAGTTTCATTATTGCAAGAGTAAAACCTTAACATCGGTAGGAAGATTGGTGCAAAGCTGTGGATGGCAGCAACTGGAATTCAGTTCCTGTTCCCACTATTTTCTAGCCCTGTGACTTCTCTGGGCCTCAGTTTCTTCTTTTGTAAAATGAGTATAATAATAGAACCTTCTTAGTGTGAGAGACTAAGAGGTACACACACATGGCTGAGAACGGTGCCTGCCCCACAGTGAATGGAGGCGTGTAAGAGGGTATTATATTTCTAAAACTCTTTTATTCACATCACTTGACACTACAGTCAAGCAAAAGCAAATTCCATATTGAATTTGTCAACACAGGCAAATATTTCCAAGCCAAGATGTTTGTTTCCAAGGACAATTTCTTTAAAAATGTTTAAACTATTTTGGCAGAAACAAATGTAATCAACACATTTTTAGCTCTGCTTCCAAGTTAAAAAAAAAAAAAAGTGTGAAAATGCTTCACAAAATATTTTTAACTGTAAAGACAGCACAAACATTTTTAAAATTTTAACTGGTACAAACTGCCTATATAAGGGAAGGGTGAAATGGAGAACAAAAGTAATTAAAAAGCTGATAAAGTCCAAGTGCTAATGCTCTAAATTGATAACTACTTTGAACAAATTATCATTTACTTATACAAACAGAGGGGAAAGGCTACCTTTTTTTGTAAAGCCAAGGATTTAAACTGTGCATGTCCTTCATTTAACTTAAAAGGCAGAGAAAGGCATCATGATGATAGGGACCCAAATTCTATACAATTAT
Source organism: Homo sapiens (assembly GCF_000001405.40). Taxonomy (NCBI): domain Eukaryota; kingdom Metazoa; phylum Chordata; class Mammalia; order Primates; family Hominidae; genus Homo; species Homo sapiens. The sequence continues at coordinate 56,688,115 of NC_000006.12, forward strand.
TCTAAAACTATATTTTCACAAACTGGTTATGAAATCTAAATGACTAGAAATAGTCAAGAGAAATCAATATGAATGTTCATTTTTAAAGAAAGAGATAAAATGGTTCAGCAAGAAATGAGTTAGTCAATTATAGAATGAATGACCTTCGTCTTCAAGATCTGTGGAGCAAGGCTAAACACATTCAGATTTTATCCTGGTCCTTGAATTCCAATCATAAATTTTATAGTCTAAGCTTCATAAAAGAGTTGGTGAGAGAAAAAAATAATGAATAAATATATTTCAGGTAGGTTGAATGTAATTCCTCTCACATTCTGAGATAGCTCTTAATTTTTTTTCAAAGTTTTTTAAATACAAAAGCCAAGGTAATAAAAATATTCAATTCTTCATTATTCAGAGACTGACAATATATTGTGTACAACAGCCACACTCATTTCTTAACCTTCTCTCTTCGGCTTCTTTACTTTAGGCCACTGCACTATTCATTAGCAATTCACCAAAGGATGGAAAGGAACAGAAATGCAGTTCAATTTTCATTACTTAATAGAGTCACCACATGGTTTGCTGAGAAGTTAAACTTATTCCTGATCATCACCCCAGGTGACTAATTCTCAGGTGACTAACTTTACAGCCATGGTCCCTGTCATTTGTTATGAACAAACAATGAGATATAATGCACAAGGAAAAGAGCTACGTTTTACTTATCTCTGAGTGCCTAGTTTGGGTTCAATACATAATAAATGTTTCATAAAGAAATAAAGGAAGAGAGGGAAAGAGAGAGGAGTAATAACACTGGACAAACAAAAAGGCATACACTTATGCACATGAATTCACAGAAATTTAAAACTGGAAAAGAGGTATGTAGGAAAAGGAGGGTAAATTGCCTCAGGTAACAGTTCAGCCTGGCAGACAATTTTGGGTTAGATCAAAGCTGTACCACTCATTGTTAAGTGAGTTGAGTAAGCTACTTAACTTTCCTGAGACTCAGTTTCCTCATCTATAAAGATGGAGCTCATAACAGAACACTTCAGAGACTTGCTCTGAAGATAAATGTAGTTGGGGAGTGCTTGGAATATAGCAGGACTCAACAAATAGCATTATTATTAGCAGTAGAATCATGATCTAGTACAGTATCCTCCTTTTATAGAAAATGAAACTGAGACCTAGAGAAATAAAGAAGACTGCCTAAGTCATGCAGCTGTCTGGTGGCAAAGCCTGACTAGAAGAACTTCGATCTTCTGCCTGCCAGGCCCGTAGTCCACATTGCTTATCAGAAAACCTACATTAAGAAGAAAATGAAATGGCAAATACTAAGCTAAGGTGATGCTGATTCTCTAAATCTGGTGTGTTTTTAAAAACACACGAGCAGGTGCCTAAAACATATACAATACTGTCTCATGACAGAAGATATTCTGATTAAATTAAATCTCAAGCAAGGTGTTTTTCAATAAGCAATCTAGAGGATTCTCCTGCAGGGACCCTGGGGCCAGGCTTTGAGAAGTACTGCTGCAGAATAAGAATAGTAAAAAGCTCCCTATCCAACGTCCTGACCCTTAGAATCACCTACAGAGCACCCACCCTTATCTATTACATTAGAATAACTGTAGGTGACATCCAGGCATCTATCTGTTTTGAAATATCTTCAGATGACTCTTACATGTATATGGCCAGGTTAGAGAACCCACAGTCTACAGATGATGAAAACAACTATCTTTGCCAATATCAACTTAACAAAACTGGGAAGAGGTGGGATTTGTGAAACTAAAGAAAAAAGAATGTTTTCTGGAAAGAGCTCAAGGACAAAGGTAGGAAACCTTGTCACAAGGTACAAGGTGAGTCTTCGACAAACAGAAGATCCTTGAAAAAGGTACAAACACTAAGTTCATTACTCCTTGTCTCCCAAAAGGATCTACCTTCTGCCACCTGTTTATAACATATCCTTCACAGATGACACTATTAACATCAATTCCTGCTCTAACTTTTTAGCAATCTCCCTTAAATTTCATTGACAAGTAAAACAAGTGGGATGTCGTGCCATAATTTAACTCAGGTAATCTTATTTACCATGTTGCCTTAAGGATTTATTTAACCTGAGTTTCCATTTTTTCATTCTGTATATGAGGCATAGTCTATTTTGCCTATTTCATAGAGTTGTTTGGATGATCAAATGACGCGATGTGTCTGAAACCATTATTCCAATTCCAAAGCAGTATACAAATCTAATATACTCCTTTTTTACCTACTTATCCTAATAAAAATATAACATGTTGATAACATTTATATGCAGCAGGAAGGGCTGGATGAATGGCCTCCACAGAGCCCCCTGAACCAGGAAGACCACTCTAGGTCAGCATGTCATTGCAACGACTCAAAAGGGAAGTAGGCTGAGAATGATGAATGTCACAGGACTAGGGGAGATCAAGTCAGGTTAAGATAAGCTCAAAAAATTGTACACTATTCTACTTAGAAGTTAACTCAAAAGTTAAGTCCAACCCTACATGCAACTCAGAGCAAAAACTGATCACATAGGGAAGCTATGAAAAAGAACAAACAAAAGGAATGTTGGTTAATCAGTCATTTCCGGGATGAAATGCCAATGAAGCGGCTGGAAGCTCTCATTTGCAACTAATTCTCCAATGAAAAATGTAGAATCCAATGCAAGATAAAGAGTTCTGTGGAAGTTTCCAACCAAAGATAATTAAGAAACAGAGTCAAACACCTCCAAGGTAACAGGAAGAATGTCCTAAGAGGAATAGCTAAACTCTTGATTTGGACTCTTTGTGTGCCACAGAATAAATAAATAGTCTTTATCTGAACTACAGGGACATGAGATGTCAAACCCTTCAGATAATATAATGACTACCCATTCAGCTTTAACCTAGAAGACGTCAGGCTTTATATACATTGCATTACAGTTATTTCGCAAATCTGACTGGTCAGTTTATGACTTATTTCCACATATATTTTCCATTGAAGGAAAGGCTAATGTACCACTAAGGAAACAGATTATAAAAATTTCCATTAATGCAAAAATGTACAGCTTACTTGAAGCCAAATTATGCTGGAAAACATATGTGAAATTAAACCAAGTGCTTATATTCATAAACATATAGTAGTCAAGTAGTTTTCTTTTGCACTAGGCTTTATGACAGAGCTACATAGATAATGACACAGACTGAATGCTTTCTTTTTAAAATATAACCACTGTAAAATATAAACAGAACTGATGGCATAATATTGGCAAGGTGTAGCGGTGTATATAAACAGGACACCTTCAGGAGAACTCAGAAACCAAGGTCAGTGATGATGGCGCACACTAACCCTCATAAAACCTCATTCTATCATTATGCAAATGATCTCTGCTCATTGATACAATGACCTTGCCAAGAATGTTTAACATCACAAATATTCTTTATGTTCAGATTTTTTATTAAAAGATAAAGTTAGGAATAGCTTAAAGAAAAAGCCATCAACTCCTGAGTAGTAACATGTAGAGGTTATGTGGATAATACATTTTTTGAGCAATTAAATAAATACCTATCTAATTATATTTTAAAGACAAGTAAAAACCCCAGATAAGTAACTTGTCTAAAGCTAAATATCAGTGTTAGGAATAAAGATCTCAACTTCCTAGTAGTCTGTGTCATTTTCAAATTCCTATGGCATGCTACCCTAACAATTTCTGATTTTAGACTGGGGCTGGGGAATAACATAAAGGAAAAGATGTACCCTAGCCCTCAAAACATATGCACAGAATTGACAGCAATTATGTGAATGTTTCTGCACATGAAAATCAACAGAGAACCAGAATCTGGCTTTTCAAACTCATGAATCAGCAAGTCGGTATTGACTGATAATTTTACAGTATCCTATTATTTGTTACAAAGCTATTGTCTTCTCATGACTATTTCTAATTGAACTTTTACCTACAGTCCAACTAAGCTTCCACAGGCTATTCCACAGGCAAAGTCAAGAATCATGAACCAGAAAAATTCAAAAGATATGCACTCTCTTACTGTAGTGCTTTTTAAAGTCTTCCACCAATAATGAAAATGTACAGGATTTTTAGATTAAAGTGTGGTCAAAGAATGTGCACAGCACAAAAATAAAATCATAACAATCAAACCTGAGGCTACTAACAAAACGCAACAGAAACTCTATGGCTTTTACATACACTAATATGAAAATAACTTTATAAAAGACAAATTAGATGTCAGTCTGATGTGAGCACCTGGAACACTTATTTACTTGAACTCAGACTCCACATTTCACTTACCTCATTTCCATCTGTGTCCTTAGAAACAGAGGACATACTAGTATAAAGGGAATGGCATCTCTTTTTTTTAAACTGAAAATGCTGTGTTGCATGAGGGCAAAATCTCTCAGTGTTTTGCTTTTCTTGAATACTGCTATAACTTTTTGGTGGGTCTTCAGGAAACCCACTTTTTTCGAGTGATCTTTCTATACCCGAGGGAATAGAGCTTAAGCTGGCTGCCTTTCGGAAAGAAAAAACATCAGTTTTTTCCTGGAATGTTATTTCGCTTGTGTTGACATCATCTAAATGTTTCTTCCTCTTTGCGCAATATGGAGTGCTGTCTTTTTCTGAAATCCTTTCATCCAGTTCACTAACTTTTACTTCTGTTTCACTGTCTTTAGCAGGAGAAGTGTTCACACAGTCAGACCAACTGCTTACAGCACTCGGCAGAAGTTTCTGTTTAACGCTGTCAGCTACAACTTCTGTCTTCTTTTGCTGAATACCATCTCCCAGTGCAGAGTTTAGGGTAACAGATTCCTGCTGTACCAGTCCCCTGGATAAAGGAGCTGGCTGTTCTTTTGAAGGCTGACTGCTGCTCTTCTTCTTGCCTTCATTTTCATTGTTTGCCCCAACTGACTCTTTGTCACCTCCAGTTTTTTTGATCGGTTTTCTTCTGAAATATTTTCTTCCAGGAGAGTATTTTTCAGGGTTCAAAGGAGTTTTGGCAGGATCTACATATTGTTCTTCTTTCTCAGCTCTTACACATCCACAGACATTCCCCATTTGATTTGTAGGAGATCACAGCTCCATAGATTCACTCATTTCAAAATCCAGAGCTTACTTAGATCCTCTCCATTAAGTCTGAAAATTCCACTCTGACATCTGTTCCACACAGACTTTATGACCATCCTCTTCAGTCTGAGGCCATTTTGCTTATGAGAAAGGCACACACAAGAAATGCCGTGGCATCCTGCCCAGCCGGTCCGTGTCTCATTAGACACTGTGGCTTATTTCTGGCCACCAATCCTCTTAGACAAACATTACTGCTCACTGTCAAATTACAACACTGATGAGCTCTCAAGGCAAACCCTTAGCTTCACTGTATGAGAAGATTATGACTGTTTTTAACCTTCGGTTTTCTGAAATGCAGATACACTAATGAAGTTTGCACTTAACCTTTGAAACTATTTGGTGGTTCAACGAATGAGAGCAAAAAGAAAGCAAACACCAGTCAGGAGAGATTTAGGAAAGTGCCCTTCAAATTTGGATTCAAAGTGCCTTTCAAATTGAATTTCAGAGACTCTCTACCCTCTACCATATATTTTTTTTTCTTAAGAAATACCAACTAATTTTGGTACTTGCACACAAACACATCAAAAGCTCAAAGATCTCTGTAAATTTTATTAAGACTCTTATTCAAAACAAGTCATAAAAAATAATAAGCTGATTCAATAGCTAGCAGGAGAGATAAGTGCTAAATGCTTATAATTCTCTAATAAAATTGTTTCTAAAAAAAATCAATCTTTTAAAATAGTTTATAATACTTTTCAAATAATATAAATTTCCAAGCCATGACCTTATCTAATTATTAGGACTTTAATGTGATACCAAATAGATAAATTATATAATTTAAAGCATGAAAGATTTAGCAAAAGGAAATATATGTGCATTCATATATATATATATACATATATATATATGTAGTTAAACTTTATATGTAACTTTTATAATCATACCCTAGTTAAATATTATACAGTTTTTATGAGGGCCTTGCTGGAAAAATAATGAATCAGTATGAGACTTGATTATCTAAGGTGTGCATATTTCTAACACTGAGTCATAGATATGGTAAAAAAAAAAAAAAATTAGAATAGCATGAAATGGATTTACACATAAGTACAAATCATTTCACTACTAAAAAAATTAATAATTGCCTTTCACTAGGTAGTCTTTAGACTGATCAAAAGATGGAACTCATTATATTTTACTAAGTAAGAATACTCAGTTAGTCAAGTTAGCAATGATACTGTAGATGTTTGTCAATAACAGATCCTGCATTGTAAAATTTTCCTTAATCATTTAAAAACATTCTCCGGTAGCAAAAACTGAACATCCCAGAAGAGAAGCTGGTAAAAATAAGGTCCCAGATTTTTTTTTGTTTTTAACTTGATTTTCAGTGTATTCAAAGGTAATGAGTGGTACATTATTCAAGAGACTATAAATGTATAATGGCTGATATTTGTACTAACATGATGGAGGGGCAACCAGTGATCTGCACTCCCCCAATCCTTCCCTCCATCTCTGCTGATGAAGTTTAGATATTTGTCCCCTCCAAATTCCATGTTGAAAATGTGACTCCCAATGTTGGAGATGGGCCTAGTGGGGGGTGTCTGGGTCACAGGGGCGGCTCCCTCATGAACGGCTTTCGGCCATCCCCACAGTAATGAGTTCTTACCCACTTAAGAGTTAGTTGTTTGAGGCCAGCAACGGCAGTTCATGCCTGTAATCCCAGCACTTTGGGAGGCCGAGGCAGGTGGATCACCTGAGGTCAGAAGTTCAAGACCAGCCTGGCCAACATGGTAAAACCCTGCCTCTAATAAAAATAGAAAAATTAGCCAGATGTGGTGATGCGTGCCCATAATCCCAGCTACTTGGGAGGCTGAGACAGGAGAGTCACTTGAACCCAGGAGGTGGAGGTTGCAGTGAGCCAAGATTGCACCGCTGCACTCCAGTCTGGGCGACAGAGCGAGACTCCCTCTCAAAAAAAAAAAAAAAAAAAAAGAGTTAGTTGTTTGAAACAGCCTGGTACCTCCTACCCCTCCTCCTCCTTCTCTCTCTCTCTTACCATGTGACAATCCTGCTTCCCCTTTGCCTTCCACCATGACTGAAAAATTTTCTGAGACCTTACCAGAAGCAGATGCCAGGACTATGTCTCTTATACAGCCTGCAGAACCATGATGATCCAAATAAACCTCTTTTCTGTTCTTTATAAACTACTCAGCCTCAGGTATGCCTTTACAGCAACACAAAATGAACTAATACACCTGCCAAACTAAGCAGCTGTCCATTTCTAGGCCATATACACTGCTACCTCTCCCAGAAATGGCCCAACTTAGTCTGCCTGGTTACTGGCATTCATCTTTCAAAGCCTATCTCTAGTATCTGTGAAAATTTCCTACATTCTCTAAAGCCATTCAGATCCCACTACAATGCTCCTTTCCCATACATTTCTATTTTCATTTATATCACCAATAATATTCATCACCCTATGTTATAGTTAATTTCATGGACACTCTCCCAATAAACAGAACAATATACTTCATTACCTTAGTATCTCTGGATCTAGCATGTGGTGGCTAATGATATAGGATTACTGTAATGATAATGCTTACCTTCAGAAAGCCTGACTGAAAAACAGATTCCATTTATGATGCTATAACAAATATTGTTAAAATAAAACAATTGGTCTTTTGAAATTGCTTCCATTATTTATGTAAAGTATAGAGAAAAAGGCTGAGTCACTCTGAGTGAGGATGATTACCACTGCTATAAATCTTTATATCTTGGCATAACCAAAAAACAATTCTTATCTCAAGTTATTGTCATACTAAAAAAAGTTATTTCATTTAAATAAGAGAGAACATTTCCATTTAACCAAAACATAGATGTGTTCCATTCCAAATAGATTTTGGTCTAATTTATGAATATTGGTGATAATTTGTTACATCATCTTATAATTAAAGCCCTAAAATACAATGGATTCTAGAACACTATGCCACAGTATATTAGAAGCAAAACTTTTTTTATTTTTTTGAGACAGAGTTTCACTCCTGTTGCCCAGACTGGAGTGCAATGGCGTGATCTCAGCTCACCACAACCTCTGCCTCCTGGGTTCAAGTGATTCTCCTGCCTCAGCCTCCCAAGTGGTTGGAATTACAGGCATGTGCCACAACGCCCGGCGAATTTTGTATTTTCAGTAGAGACCAGGTTTCTCCATGTTGGTCAGGCTGGTCTTGAACTCCCAACCTCAGGTGATCCACCTGCCTCGGCCTCCCAAAGTGCTGGGATTACAGGTGTGAGCCACCGTGCACGGCCCGCAAAACTTCTTTTGATACTTCTGTGACTAGTCTTCCTCTCTCCTCCAAAGGCAGCTGAACCCCAAAGGGCTCTCTTAGTATATAACTCCTTTTTGAAGACTTTTGCTTTAAATTTTCTCAAACTCAGCCTCTAAATACACTGCTTCTACCTCCCAACCCTTTTGGCTTGTTATTTTCTAGTCTCTGCTCCCAGGAGCTTGGGTCTCCAATGTCTTCTTTCTAGAACAAACTATTGACCTCTACTCCATCTTAATTTTCTTGTGGTCTCTAGTGGCATTTCATACTGCTCACCATTATTTCTACTTGAAATTCTCTTCCCTTGGTTTCATCAGTACATTTTCCTATTACTTCATCCATCTCTCCAAATGCTCCTTTTTTCTCTTTCCTCAGCAGAATCTTTTCCCGCAGGCCTTCTCCAAATTTTTATCCTTAGTGCTCCATCTCTTCTCCATCTGTGCTCTTCTCTTGGGTCCCCTGAAGATCCCTTCTTTCCGATAAAATCAGTGATCACTTGTGTAGTGATAACTTCTCCAAGTTTATATCTGTACCTCTGGCTTCTCAGCTCCACTCATGTCTCCAACTGCTCAGCAGACAGAGGCACAGGATATCCCACCATCCCATCAAGCCCACCCAGAAAGTAAGTGCTTTTCCCCCTAGCATCACCCCTGTGTCTCTCAGTAGTCTACTGTTTCGTAATCTCTCAGGCTAAAAAGTTTTGTTATCTTTAACAAATCCCTTTCCTACACCCTCTATGCCCTGTGTCCAAGTCCCTTTCTTTCTTCCTGGAAAGTGTGACCTCTTCTATTCAATTTTGCATCCCCAACTGAGTCCTGACCTTTATCACTACCTCAGCTTCACAGCTTATCTCTCTCACTATGGACTCTGCTCATTTCTATCTATTTTAATGGATGTTGTTTCCTAAAACACATTTTTTAAAATTTAGCAAAATTTAATTGAGCAAAAAACGATTTGAGAATCAGGCAGCCCCCAAACCAGAATGGATTCAGAGAGACTCCAGCACAGGTCCTGTCACCGAAAAAGATTTATGGACAGAAAATGGAAAGTGATGGACGGAAAAAGGAAAGTGATGAACAGAAACACATTTTTTTTTAAGCTCAAAGTAGTAACATGACTGGCATCACAACAGTAAGTAAAAGAGCCAAGAACGAAACTTAATTCTACCTCCCTCCGAAGCCTGAATGCTTTCCATTGCCCCAGTGATCCTTCGTCTAACATTCAAAATTCAGACACAGCCTACCTCACCAGCTGGTGATGAAGTGATTGATTCTCTCCAATAGACCTCTGACTTTCCCGTCTGGGGTTCTTGCAGTTTCAACTCTGCTAAAAGCTCTAGGATCTGATCCACTTAGGACTACTTAAATGATCCCTGACAAAGCCACTGAGGAACTCCATATGAAATCAACTTTTTGGCCAGTTCTACCTAGACTTTACCCAATTCTGATAACAAGGTCTGGTTCTGCGCTTCATGCCAAATTATTGCCTTCACTTAGGTTCAATATCTTTGATTCCAGTAATGCCCTCAGTCCTTTGGGGTCCTGGCTTCCAGTTCTGGTTACTGGCTCTCCCTGACATTAACAGCTCAGCTAAGTGGATATTCACCTGTATTAGCTGCCCTGTAGTCTGGCTGACTAACACCTTTTCCTTTGATTACCTGGATCTCCATGAATGTCCTTCTGCTGAAACTATTCAGCTGCCTCTGTTCAGGTCCTAGACCTACCTAGACTCTGATTCCTGTAGCTCTCCATACCTGTCAAATCTATCCTGTTCCCAACAAGCCCCCCAGGTACATTATTCTCCACCATTTGTCTACGTAACCTGTATTTCAGCCAACTTAAAAAAAAAAAATTTTTTTTTTTTTTGAGACAGAGTCTCGCTCTGTTGCCCAGGCTGGAGTGCAGTGGCGCAATCTCAGCTCACTGCAACCTCTGCCTCCCAGGTTCAAGCGATTCTCCCACCTCAGCCTCCCGAGTAGCTGGGACTACAGGTGCATGCCACCACACCTGGCTAATTTTTTGTATTTCTTAGTAGAGACGGGGTTTCACCCGTTAGCTAGGATGGTCTTGATCTCCTGACCTCATGATCCACTCGCCTCAGCCTCCCAAAGTGTTGGGATTACAGGCGTGAGCCACCGCGCCCAGCCTTTAAAAAAGTCTTATTCCTCACCAGATTTGTTTCAAAACCCCAGGTCCTTTTTGAAGCTGGCAAAGGATCACTTCCTCCTTCAAGATCCAACTGTACAGTAATCTATTGGTAAGATGTACTGAGTGCCTACTGTGGGTCAGGCTCTGTGCTGCACACAGAACATTTCTGGGTCTTTTTTATAATTTAAACTTTTATTTTAGATTCAGGGGGTACAAGTGCGGATTTGTTACATGGGTATATTGCGTGATGTTGAGGTTTGGGGTACAGATGATCCCATCACCCAGATAGTGAGCACAGTACCCAATAGGTAGTTTTTCAGCCCATGCCCTTTTCCCCCTCCTTCCCACCTCTAGTAGCAGAACATTTCTTAAGCAGACCAGCAGTTAGTAAACTAAAGCAAGTTCTAAAGTTAGGAATCTCCTTAAATCAAATGAAGATTCTTTTTAATGTATCACTTCCCCAAAACTAAATCAAAATCGGTCCTCAATTGGCTCAGGTTTATTAGATAATAATTCAGTCAATAAATTTGCATTTTCCTCAAATCTAAAGAGAGAAAGCACAGCTCTGCATAAAACATGAATACTTTTCTTCTTCACATCTCTTTATAATTATGCTGCCATCTAGTGTCTATCAAAGGAGGAAATAGTTGACAGTGCTAAGAACCTGTATTACTAAAAAACATTCTAAATAAGGACTAATCATAAAACATTTAAGTATCTAAAACAGGTAATACTTTCTAATGAGCAAAAAAAGTGTGTCTCCAGTCAATAAAAAGAAATATGTCTTCCAACTCTGAGATAACAGACATTGTCTTTAAAACTACATTTAAGTTTATCAAGAACAGGAAACTAGTTGCCAGATTCACAAGCAGCATGTTGCTTAAAAGAACAATTCAAATATATTACTTAAAGAAAGAAGCTTGAAATTTATTTTTCTTCCATAGAACATGAATGCATCATTCACCCTTCATAGGAACCACCTGAAAACTAGCAATTAGATGCTGAAATTAAGAAAATTTGGGCTTACCTGAAAGTGCAAAATTATTGTCCAGATTAATCCCAAAGTCAATTTGGGATTTCCATCTGTTATGTCATCATTTCTAATATTCACTAATTTCACCTGTTTTGAATGTGAAGAAGAGATAAAACCAACTGTTTATCAAACCTGAACCAGTTATCTTTACCTACATAAAAGCAATTCTAAAATTATACAAAGAAAAAATGGAATAATTTAAACACCAGTAGTCAACTAAATATTGTTTTACCCTTATTCTCAATCATTTTATATTACAAATCATATGGTAACAACAAAGAAAGAGCAAGTATTATTGCATTCTTGTCTTCCACAGCAGGGATCCCCAACCTAACCCCCAAACCTATACCATAGGGACTGGGCTGCATGGCAGCAGGTTAGCAGCGGCCCAGGAAGCATTACCACCTGAGCTCCACCTCCTGTCAGATCAGCCACTGCATTAGATTCCTATAGGGGTGTGAACCCTATTTGTGAACTGTGCATTTGAGGGATCTAGGTTGCGCACGCACTCCTTATAAAAATCTAATGCCTGATGATCCGAGGTGAAACAGTTTCATGCTGAAACAACCCCCACTCCTCCCACCAGCCAGTTCATGGAAAAATAGTCTTCCATGAAACCAGTCCCTGTTGCCAGAAAGGTTGGGGACTGCTGTTCTAGAGCAAGTACTAAAAGCATTCACTTGTCAATACAAAAATACAACTCCTCAAGTGAGAAGTCCTAAATATTTGAGATCTTAAAATTAGAAAAAATTTTGTCTTTTAAAAATAAATTTTATTTTACTTTTACCATTAAGTATGAAACTATCCTAACAATTCTAACAATTTTCTCAAATTTCCATTACAAGGTTTTAAAATAACTAGCATTATTTTGCTATCAATGTGCCATAAATATATAAGTCACTGGGCATTTGGAAGGCTGTTCAAATATTTTAAAATAATATAATACTCAGACTTAAAGCTTATCAACTGTCAAACTGTACATTCAGGTAAATAAATCAAATGATGATCCCTAACATTTACTTCCTGGACAAAATCATTTAATATCATGAATTTAAATACTGAGAATTATATACTATGATATTTAACATTTTACTTCTTGGACAAAATGCTGCCAGAAAACATTTCAGAAGTATCCATCTGGAAACTTTCACTAGAATGATGAATAATAAGCAAACAACAATAACATTTAAAATATTTAAGCACTGAGGATTTACTAGTATTTAATAGGGAAAAGCATTTTAATGTTCATAATATTTAAGAATAATAATGAAGAAATAATAAAAGCTAGTGTTTACCTCTCCCTCTCCCCCTTTTTCTCTTGCCTTTTTTTTTTTTTTTTGAGACAGGGTCTCATTCTGTTACCCCGGCTGGAGTGCAATATTGCAATCATGGCTCAACACATCCTCAATTTCCTGGGCTCAAGTGACCCTCCCGCCTCAGCCTCCCAAAGTGCTGAGATTACTGGCATGAGCCACCACACCCAGCCTCTTCCTTTTTTTCAAACTATTTAAAAAAAAAATTGCTGCCCCCTCTGACTCTCACTGTCTTCAATAATTTTGAACTCTCCTGCATTTTTTTGTACTAATTGAAAAATTACTAATATTTTGGCCTATGACGTAATGCCACCAAGTCAAGATCATATCCAATATATTAATTCTTTTCCATGATTTCTCCTGATACCTCAAGCAAGTTGGGGGCTATTGTCAGAAATGTTGTTATATCTTTACTCATAAATTTTCCAATATTATCTACTTATAAAAACAAAAGATTTCCTTATCCCTACTATGAAAAATGCTTATACTAAATTAAAAGTATTATATAAAGTATTTTTATAAAAATTAACTATTTTTATATACTAAGTGTAAAAAATGAAGTATTGCTTCCCCACAATTAAGAACTGTTCATAGGCATTCTTAACATTCTATTGCTACTAAAATGTCATTAACTTCCTAGGCAAATGCAATCCAATTCAAACAGAAAGAAAATCACAAGTTCTTACATAGATGGAAATGTAGTCACTTATAATTCCTCTGGGCTTATCCCTACTATTAACTTCTTTTCTTGGGAGCAAATGTTTAAAAACATTTTTAAATATTTGCTTCACCAAAGCACAAGCTTACTGGTTACAATTCACAGGCAAATTTAACCTTGTCATTCCTTGACATGTTTCTACGTGGATGTATTAGTAACATATATTTATATGATTACAGTATTTTCAAAACATCATACCTGGCGTCTTTTCAAATAGTCAAGTGCAATTTGTACATTCTGTAGTCTGTGAAAACGCATCCGACCTTTTTCTCTGGGCTAAGAACAGAAAAATGCAGGTATGAAAAAGAGTTTCTGTTATCACAGACCATGCTAATTTAAATATAATTTCTGTTCATCTTAATATATCAAAACAGTATTTACCGTTTAGGTAAGGCCATAAGATTTTCTAAGAAGGTTTCAATTTCTTTATATTGTCTGAGATTGAATGTAAACTACTAGGGATTTTTTTCCAAGTATGTTTTATTTAAACATATACTTTATGACAAATTTTTTGTTTAAACAAAAGGAAAAGAGAAGATGTTACAGAATATACAGACACTTAATATTTGGTAATAAAACAACGCTAGCCTACAATTATTTAGCTATGGAGGCACAAAAATAATTAAATATCATTCATCATTTTACCTTCTTATTGAACACTATTAGCAAGAGGGTTTTTATAACTGTATATACACACACACACACACACACACATATATATATACATATGGCATATTAATGAAAATGAGATAAAGTAGCATGCAGTTAGTATAAAAATCACCAAGAAGGAGAAAGACAGAGAAGGTTTACTTAGCCATGATAGAGAAAGAGAGAAAACCAATTAAAACCATATATTTCCTCTTTATTTTAGCTTTTTCACAAAAGTGGACACTACGATAATTAGAAAGGACTCTATACTCGTTTTATACTACTTGGGGATGGAAACAATTATTTTCTCAGTCTCAGGAAAAGTGACAGATGAGAATTATTTTCCTTAATGCCATTTCCCTTAAGAAATGTTACAAGTTAGCATGAAGGAAACAGAGGAAACAGAGCTGAGAAATGCTTAGCAAAAATACAAAAAATGGAGCTGAAATTTATCACATAAAATCTTCCAAAGGTAAAAAAGAAAAAAGACAATTGACAGCTTGGCTTCTTCAATATGTATAGGTTGCTGAAGCCAAAGGTGCCATAAGAAAACAGACAGCACACCACAGAAGGAAAAGTAAGCTCTGCATAACAAGTAGAAACGATGTTGATAAATTTACCCACTGGATCCAACAAAAGCACAATTTCCAGTAAAATCAAGGGGCACTAGGTATGTAGAAGACAAAAGAAGAAGCACGTCTGTCTTGCAAAGGTAGGCTGCAGTCAACTAAGAGTCACGGAGATTAAACAGCTCTGTGAGTTCTGTTGGAATACTGGATTTTTAAATCTCCCTTTTAAATACATGTGATATATTAGAGAGGTAAAACATGTCCATCAAATACCTATTGCCAAGAGGTGTGGTTTAAAGCAGAAACTTAAATACTAAAAAAAATTTCCCTAAGTTCTTTCATAAAAAGCAATAAATAGTTGCTATGTTTGAAATATCACTTCCAGAAACTGAATGAATTTGCACAAAAATTAGCAGACTTGTAAAATTTCCATGTTTATATACAATGTATATAAAATTGTTTAACTAAAATGCCATCATGTACTTTAAGTCTGTTTAATTACCATGCAGTGCACAGTAATGTATAAATAATTCAATCATTTTAGCTCTCTGAAGATAATTTAAAGAGAAAATATTTCCTTTATCCAATTTTTTGGTACACACACATCTACCTCAATGTGGGTTTTGGCCCTTTCTATGCTTTTCTAAAAAGGAGCCTGAACCCAGGAGTTACTTCTCTATCAGGTTAGCGCTCACCGCATGGGAACGGCTAGGTTAGTCAAGTTATGGGGGCGACACCTACCCCCTTATCCTCATCCTCCACATCCTCATGCTGTTCATATTCGCATGCTTCTGTTGCACTCACCAATCGTAAGGTCTTCAAAAAATCTCGCTCCCTTGGCTAATGAATATAACAGACAGAAGATAGGACAGCAAAGACACAAGACAGACCAGAAATGAAAAGAAGAGCATGAACAGAACATAATGAAGGAGAACAGGTAACAAGAAGGGGAAGTAATGTTCACCAAAAAAAAAAAAAAAATGACACCTGCGGAATGGGTTAGATCATTTTTCAGAAAGCAATGTTTATTTTCTTGCTATTTGTAAGTCTTTTAATATGTGGTTATATTATGCATCCAACTTCTGCTAAGCAAAAAAACCCAAAGGTAAAAAAGAAGCAAGAACAAAAATAGTATTTTAATTATAGAACTGATTATATAAGTGAAGTAATCAAAGTGCTTCAATCTCTCAAATTCACATCATTTGAAGTTTGAAAATGCTTAGGAATCTAACCAAAACTTCTTTTTCAGGCAGAATTCATAGCTCAAAAGATGAATGTTGCAAAAATCTGAATAGTCTGTACTGAAAACATACTGGTCCTATGCAGAAAAGATTACACGTTCTTCAAAATAAAATAAGAAAGTTAAAACTTACCAAGGTATCTCCTGAAAGAACCTCTAAAAGAGAAATCAAATTGTGTCCATCCCTTAAGTCTTCATAGAGATCATTCACATGTTTTCGAACCTATAAAGAGAAAAGCAAAATTTGGGGTCCTAGAACTCAGAATTATCCTTAACATTCTTAAACATAAAAAGGAGACAAGTAGAAAACATTCCTCACATGGTATTCATTCATGCACCTATTTTTAAATTTTTAAAATGCTTATTACTTAAAAACTAAATTTAATTTAAAAACTTAAAAAAGTGAATTTCAGATTAATAATTCAAGAAGACAATTCAAATTATTACATTTTTAAGACACCAGAACAAACATAAGCCTGGACTACTACATGGGGTTACAATTCTTCAAATACGGACAATGCCCTGACTTTATTCATGATTCCCGATACAGTGACCAGTGCCACCTTAACAAGAGGGTGGAGTTTTCACCCCCGCAGTTGATCTTCTACTTCTAGCCTAAAACAGGTTCAAGGATGCCGAGGAACATTTTTAGAAATCCATAGACGTGAGCTGGGTGAAGAGTATGAGACTCTACATATTATTTTATCAATATCTTATGAGCCTATAATTATTTCAAAAAAATTTTTTGAAATCCGTATGTGTCAGGTTAGAAGTCCTCTGTCCAAACCCTTCCTCTGCACAATGTAAGTCTTCTTATAACGGAAGATTTTCAAAACTAAATAACACTAGCACAAAATCAACACTCAACCTACAATAGCTTTCCCCGTTCCACAGGCCTGATTTAGAAGTCTGTGATTTTAGAACCCAAACCATCAAAGATTTCCCAAAAGCTTTGTTTAGCCTGCCAAGTAGGGATAGCTCTAGTAACCACATGGCCCACTGCAAGGTTTGTGTTGGACAGACAAATGTCAAAGCAGGTATTAAGATGGCTGTTCCACAGTGGACTGGCACATTTCCATTTTCTCGCCTTTCAGTGATTCTGGGCTACTCCCATGAAAGGAGCCAAAGAAGTGGGCAGGAAAGAGGCAGGAACCAGAATCCCACCTACTTCACCCATGGCACAAGCCCTGTATACAAATGAATCCAACTCCTTTGCACTTCCAAAATGTCAAGTGAGTATATAGCACAAAATAATGAAAAGATCTAAACTTATAATCAAAACTATATAACTACACAAACACAAAGAAGAGGCCTAATGTAAACTGGAAGCAAACTTTTATGGTAAGTCTCTCAGTCCCCAAAAATAGTTTAAATCCCATAAAACTTTATTATCTTAGTTGACTCTCTCTATATATATGTTTTACAATATCTTTTGTTAGTGTCAGAAAATGTTTTTGATTGATGAAGAAGAAGTTCCCTTAGGAATTTCTTATCAAATTTACCAGCTTTTACATCCAGTGTTCTGGCACTGTTTACATAAGTCACAGAACCTTTTAATATTCAATTACCCATCTAGGCATAATTAACTACAAATAATATAAATACTAAGCTTAGGCTCAATAGCTCTACCACAAAGTAACTGTTCATGTCAATAGTACCTTTGAAATACAGCAAAACTGAAGGTGAATCAAATTACTTTTAACCAAGTCTCCATCTTTACAAATTGACATTTTATTTTGATTTCCTAATTCCCAAGGAATATCAGTTGAATCTCTGATGTCATAATACCAAAGTAAGACAAAGTTTAAAAATACTTTATTTAGCCCCAAAAAATGTTATAACACATTTTGAGCAATCCTTGTTTAGAAAAACCTGTAAATACGCCATGCTCAGTGGCTCACACCTGTACTTCCAGCACTTTGGGAGGCCAAGGCAAGTGGATCAATCACCTGAGGTCAGGAGTTCGAGACCAGCCTGGCCAACGTGGTGAAACCCCATCTCAACTAAAAATACAAAAATTAGCCGTGCATGGTGGCAGGTGCCTGTAATCCCAGCTACTTGGGAGGCTGAGACAGGAGAATCACTTGAACTCAGGAGGCGGAGGTTGCAGTGGGCCGAGATCAAGCCATTGCACTCCAGCCTGGGTGACAGAGCGAGACTCCGTCTCAAAAAAAAAAAAGAAAGAAAGAAAGAAAGAAAAACCTGTAAATAACCAAATAAGTTACAAAGGAGTTATCCATTCAATTAGAATATTTACCTTGAGATACCATGAAATGACAACTCTCTCAACTTCTCAACTGTATTTCAGAGATGAATCAATTTTCAAGGGCCTCTTCAGGAACATATCTATTACATGCATGATATGTACGCGAACAGATAAGCACTTAGGGAAATGAGTACTAATACTGCAATTTCCTACTCATGGACTGGTTTCATGGGAGACAGTTTTTCCACAGATGCAGGGGAGGGTGGTTTTGGGATGAAACTGTTCCACCTCAGATCATCAGGCATTGGATTCTCATAAAGAGAGCACAACCTAGATCCCTCACATGCACAGTTCACAATAGGGTTCACAGCCATGTGGTGGCTCATACCTGTAATCCCCAGCACTTTGGAGGCCAAGGTGGGCGGATCACTTGAGGTCAGGAGTTCGAGACCAGCCTGGCCAACATGGCAAAACCCATCTCTACTAAAAATAACAAAAAAAAATTAGCCGGGCAATGTGGCGTATGCCTGTAATCCCAGCTACTTGGGACGCTGAGGCAGGAGAATCACTCGAACCCAAGAGGCGGAGGTTGCAGTGAGCCGAGATCATGCCACTGCACTCTAGCCTGGGCAACAGAGTGAGATTCTGTCTCAAAAAACAAACAAACAAAACAATAGGTTTCATGCTCCTATGAGAATCTAACGCCATCACTGATCTGACAGGAGGCAGAGCTCAGGTGGTAAGGCTGGCTGGCCCAATGCTCGCCTCCTACTGTGCAGGCCACTTCCTAACAGGCCATGGACCGGACCAGTACCTGTCTGTGGCCTGGGGGTTGGGGACTCTTGTATTAGAGCACTGTAAGAATTCACCCAGTCCCGTTCTAAGGCACAAGCTTGAATTTATAAGGCTAAGGCCTACTTAAAAACAAGGCAGAAAAGCTAAGCTTGTGAATGTCATGTACATTCTAAATCTATGTACTTCTCTGCGTATCTTCAATATAACCAGAAAGCAGCCAAACTCTAAAAGAGCCTGAATGGGAACACTAAAAGATTATATTTATATAAACAATATTATACAGCTCCTGATCCTCAGCCAGCTGCTTTGTCTCTCAAAATAAATGGCTTTATTGTGCAGGTCTGATATCCTCAGTACACAGAAGGACAGTAGAATCCAAGCACATGATTACTTTGGGGACTTCCAGGATTGTAATAGTGCTGAGAATTCTGTGCTCTCTGGTCCACTATGCCTACACCCTACCAGACTTACATTTCACTCTATATTCCACTTCTTGTGTCTTTCTCACTCCAGGACAGTTAAAGATGGGGTATGATTCTGAACACTTATCTCATAGTAAGGCAATTTCACAACTTGACTTGCCAGACTGAACAAAACCCTCTACATAAGGGAAACTTTCCAAAACCAGGTGTCATTTGCTACTATCGTATTTATGTGACAACAAAGGAAAATTAAAACAGACATGTTTAGAGAAGGAAAATAATAATATTAAGCCATGCAAATCTAAACTAGGAAAAGATGGCCGGGTGTGGTGGCTCACGCCTGTAATCCTAGCACTTTGGGAGGCCGAGGTGGGTGGATCATGAGGTCAGGAGTTTAAGACCAACCTGGCTAAGATGGTAAAACCCCATCTCTACTAAAAATACAAAAAGTTAGCTGGGCATGGTGGCAGTGAGCTGTGATCATGCCACTGCACTCCAGCCTGGGCAAAAGAGTGAGACTCCCTCTAAATTAGGAAAAGAGAAAACCTGTGATAAGGGAAAAGACATTTTAGTCCTGCTTCTGCCCTTGGCCTTATGAATTTGTACCAACAGCCTAAACTCTCTAGGCTTCAGGGTTTTTTTTATCTTTAAAATAAAGGTTGGAAAACAGAAAACTCCTAGTTCAACCTAGAGAACAAAAAGTCTGTAATCTTTAAATCAAATTATTATCATTTTAAAAAATCAATGACCTGTCAACTTAGAAAATGTATAAAATAAAAGCTACTCTTAAGACTTATGGCTTAATTTTTTAAGAATTTTAGAAGAAAATGCAGAAATAAACTAATTTAACTTCTATAATGCTTGAAAAAAATCCAAAGACACTGGCTATCCCCAATACTGCCTGCTTTTCCTGTCTCAGCTGACTATTCTGAGGGTCCACAGAAATACTGTATATGGAAAACATCCTACAAAATATAAGATATCATTTTCCGAAAAGCAAATGTCACTAACAATAATAAACAAAAACACACACACCATGAGTTACTACTAGATGCCTAACCTTGTGCTAAGTACTTTATAATACTGAGTCAGTTTCCTCAGCACAAATGAGTGGAATAAAAGAGGATGCTATTAAAAATTAAAAATCAACATTATGGGTAAAGGGTGGTCGGGAATGAACTGAGGGGAAAGAATTGGGGTTCCAATCTGATCGAGCAAGAAATTTAAGGGAAAGAAAAGAAGGGAAAGTAGACAGCTAAGCCTACATAGAAAAGCTTTTATTTTACCCTAGGAGTGAGTCATAGGCATTGGGCCTGGTAACTTTCCTTCACAGATGACTATACTAACCGCCAATATCCCTAACATTCCATTTTCAGTTTTTAATAAAGCATTCCTTTTTCTCTTTTTGGATATGTTCTCCCTATGGGACAAAAAACTGTCTGGATCAATAGTGCTAGAGGAAGTGACGAGCAAAGTAAAAGCACTATGAAATACTCTGGGATTAACTTACATAACTTGAATTACATAACAAGGCTGATACAGCATTTTCTGTATTTCACACAATTCTCGTAGAATTTTGCAGTACTTCAAAAAAATATGTATATAGCATTGCACCTAGAGTTTACCTCTAGGGGGCACTAATCTTTTACTTAAAAGAATATCCCAAGAAAGTAAAATAGACTAGAAAACACTCTATGGGCAACAAAAATTCTAAACAAGATGCTGGCGATGACATGGACAATATTTCAAATTTATTTTGGAGTGAGAACACATTAGCTCATGCCAGGTCTGTATTACCTAAATGGCTTAACTTATCAAAAATACTACACTGAAAATTTCCTTTTGTTAACCTATAACTGTTTGGTTTTATATAGGCTAAATCAAATTCAACTTTGAAGAAAAGAGAATCATTATATAACTGCTTGCTGAATGTTTAAACTTCCTTTTTTAAAAGTCTGACATTATAGTGGTTGATGTTAATCTAGACAAATTTCACAAAAATTTGACTTCCCATTATTTAAACTTATTACTATTGTTTAGCTGCAATTCAATTCAGGTCACAAACTATTTATTGAGCATTCATCCGTCATATGCCAGGGTATCCTTTAAGTTCTATGGGTACAAAGATGAATAATAAGAGTGCCACCTCTTGAAGCCTGTAATCTGAAATGAAAGAAATTTAGGCAAGAAATTGCAGTATAAAATAAATGCATTCAGAGAACACTCAGGAAGCTATGAGGAGCTTAACCCAGTCTGAGGTCTTCCCAGCAAAGAAGATGGGAATGTTGCAGGTGGAGGGAGGAGCAAGAACAAAGGAAAAAGGCAAGGACACACAAAACTACATATGAGTTGCAAGGAAGGAAAGCAGTGGTGAAGTCAATGAAGCATGAGGTGGAAGATGAGGCTGGAACGATGCGCCGGTGGACATAGAGGCTTTATATCCCAGGTTAAGAAGCTTGAACTTTTCCTACACAAAGAAAACTACGAATTTTAAACAGAATGAGGCCATAATATCTCTGACCAATATAAAAGCTTCCCTGTAAACTATTATCTTAAGCAAAAACAAATCAATCACAGGTAAAATCAAGAGCCCAATCTGTACACAATAATAGAGGAAAGGTCCCTCAGGAAAAAAAGGAAACTGGAAGAGTCATTCCATTAATGAACCTTGGGTAAAATGCAGGCATCCTAGTGAGCTCTGCAGTAGGGAGCAAAACATCAGCCACATAAAGGGTTCACAGTCCGCTCTTAAAGAAGTTCTATATCTAAAGGATACAGTATTCTGGAAAACAATCAGCTATCTTTAGAAAGAAACATAAATAATAAAAGAAGGCTTGTCCCAAATGAGATCGCCTCACTGGCTTATACTAACTGGGTGACGAGAAGAAGGATAGTTTGCTTTAGTGAAAATTATAAATTAAAATATTTTTCAATGCAATTTTTTTACATCAAACAAGTACGTTCATAAAAAATTAGCTGTCAGGTTCTCCTGGGAGAGTTCCTTAGACAGCCTACTTGAAAAAATAGAGGTAACATAAATATCAATATATTAACATATTAATTATTGATAAGAAAATTAATGCTTTTAAAATACACACAAAAAATGCTCAAAAACATTGTATTATCTTAGGTAGCTGCCTTATCTAAAGTTGTTTTTTCATTACAAATTTATTTCAGTACTACTTCTTCAGGAGTTGTGAAAGAATAAAACTACAATTCATATTCTACCTAAATTATTATAAATTCGAAATTGGTGCAGTTAAGTCAAACAGGGAAATATCCTTATTTGGCATGATAAAAAGGCGGTTATGGTTTTTTAAGGTACTACGTTAAGTCAACATTAAGGCCACATAGAATTCATCTCCTTTAGGTTATTTTTAAACTATGAAATAAAGGTATTAGTTACACATCTTAAGGTATTAATGGATAAAATAATAGAGAGTTTTTTTTTTAATCCACATTGGTACTAGGTGGTACAAATAATGTGTCTACTTCTTTGGACCTGATTCACTCCTTCACAAAGAAGGCTTCTCTTTTTAGCTTTTGGGTAGACAATCTATAATCAATTAAAATGCAAAAACTGAATGGCCTTTCCTAGTCTTTCACCACAAGGTGGAACTAGGTAGTTAAATAAAATAAAAACATTTATTAATATATTACAGATAAACACTTTAAGATTTGGGGTATTTTAGTCACTGTTTCACCTAGGTATTTTTTATTCTCTTCTATACAGTTTCGCCATGGTTGCAGTAACCTTTTTAAAAGGCTATTTCAATTTTTAAATATTTTTAAATAGGTAACTTTTCTGTAACAGTCTGAGGTTAGGGTTGGTTGGTTCTGGTTTGGTTTGAGTTTAGGTCTCTATCTTTCCTATCTTCCCTTTTATTATCAAGAAAACAGATAAAAAATCTATTTTTGCTCACATTTTCCCCTGAACCTGTAGATTTTTCATCTCTTGCATAGCTGTACAGATCTTGGTGTGGGGTAATTATAATGTAATGTAACTGAAAGGGAGAAATAAATTCAGAAATCAATATACTCTGCATAGTATATCTTTTTTGGTATCTGTCCAGTTCCTTGGACAGATTATTAAAGATGTATTCTTGACAAACTCCACACTACAATGTCTAACAAACGAGCGTCGGCTTGTAAAGGCATCAGCATTACCCATTCCACATATGAGAGAGAGAAGAACAGCTAATAAATATTATTGTGCAATCTTTTAAAAATAGGAGGAGGTGGCCGGGCGCGGTGGCTCACGCCTGTAATCCCAGCACTTTGGGAGGCCGAGGCGGGCGGATCACGAGGTCAGGAGATCGAGACCATCCCGGCTAAAACGGTGAAACCCCGTCTCTACTAAAAATACAAAAAATTAGCCGGGCGTAGTGGCGGGCGCCTGTAGTCCCAGCTACTCGGGAGGCTGAGGCAGGAGAATGGCGTGAACCCGGGAGGCGGAGCTTGCAGTGAGCCGAGATCCCGCCACTGCACTCCAGCCTGGGCGACAGAGCGAGACTCCGTCTCAAAAAAAAAAAAAAAATAGGAGGAGGTATTTTAGATAAGACTAAGGATGCTTCTTTCCAGTATTCTGTCTGTTTGGCAGGAGAATATGGGCATTACCTTTTACAGGTTTTTCAAATATCCTCCTAGCTCATTACTTATATAAATCTTTCTTTAAACTCTTTTTCACCTTAAAAAAATCATGGTAAGTACTACTATGTCAAGAGCAATTTTTAACACCAGCATAAGGAAAAGAGGAGAAACCAATCCATATCCTTACTATGCTCACCTTTTTCCTACTCCTCCTACTTTCTCATAATTTGGGCAAAAGAAAGAAAAAGCTGGGAAAGCAAGGGTCATTATCACTTAACGTGTCTAAGGAGAAAACCTAATCAAGGAAACAAAATTTTGATGGAAATAAGTGAAAATGTGTGGTTGTAATATAAAGACAAATAATGACAACGAAGTAGAATGCTATTATAATACTAATAGCTAATTAGACATAGTTCATCTGTGTGCCATGACTTAAAAAATATAACTAGGTGTAACAAAGTCTGCTTGACACAGGTAGTCTATAATGACACCATTACAGTCTTATTCTTTACCACCACTGTTTTAAAGAGATTCCACTATATTTTTAAATTCCAGCTTTTACTGAAAAGCTTTTAAAACAGAATTGTAAATACTTTAAAATAAAAATCATGCAAAGGTTATTTTAAATAATTTTAAATTAGTTTTATTTAAATTTATATCATGATCAAAATTCACACTAGTTCAAAAAATGTGTATTTCCTCATCAAATCCTCCCAGCTAATGACTCTCTTGTAACGTTATACCAAATTCATAAATCAGATTCAAATTGATCATTATAAATTTAGAGATGTATTCAAGTAAAAGCATTCTGTCTTTGAAACAACAACAAAAAAAGAGAGCTCCTGGGACAGATACAGCAACCTCTCAAGTCATGTGCTTCTAACACAAGGTCACTTTACCAGACTGACTTTCTCTTTATACCTACCTATCATTGGTTTTAAAGAAATCTTAATCATGGTTGGTGATAAGATGGAATAACATGTAGGGGAGTAGCACTGCAGTGCAGGGCATGGTATGATTCCAGGTAAAAGGCAGTCTGAAGACCCTGGGCAGCTGGTGAGTGGGAAGAGAAGCATCAGAAAAGGAATATAAGGATGTGACAAATAAAAATTTCAACTACTTTGCAATTCTGATTAAAGTGCTGGTTGTGGCAACTACCCTGAATACTTCTGAGCTGAATCATCTCTTTTGGGGCTTTTGTCAAATGAGCTATAGGTTGTCAATGCCTGACCTATAATCTCAACACACACACACACACAATCAAAGAACTACCTGAACCTCAAAAATTAACTTCATCTACTTCCTGGATAATGTCTTACATGGCTCTATCCTTAACCGAACAGTGAGCCACTTGCTGGAATGGTTACAATATGAGTCAGGCTGCAGACTCGAGAGGAAGCAAGGTCCTCATAGAGCGGGGTTAGTGCTGGGCAAGTAACAGAATCCACTGGTAGATACAGCTCCAGGAAAGGTGCAGCCAGCCAGGAGTGCAGACACCTTCTGGTCATGCCATCATGGGCACTTCCCGGTGTCCCTTTCAGAGCATTATTTCCTAAGGTGAGAGATTAGGATAGGCATGACACAAGTGGTTGCTTCATCTCTTTTTTTCAAGTCTCAAGGACTGGAAAATCTAGGGGTCTCTTCATAGCATATTTTATAGTTTTAAGGCTTTGACGATACTCTGATACTTTCAGATACTTTATATGCAAACTAATTCACTCCTCTTTAAACATAAGCTCATTTCCTTGGGTCCTTGAAAATAAACAACTGAGAGCAACTGGTTGCATCCTCTTCATTAAACCTTTGAAATAACCCAGGATTATGATCAAGACAACTGACAAAAGGAGAGGAACACTAAAACTATTTTTAAAGACACCCCCAGATGATGAGATACCACTGCCACTGCTACAATCCGTTCTGATGCTTAACACCTCTTCCCTGTCAAAGAATGTTTCCTTAAATCCAGATGACACTCCATGTCCCCAGTACCACGATTCATATTTTTCTAAAATAAAACCACCCAAAATCATATCTGGGGAACTGATATGTTTGGAATGGAATTATAAATACAGGTTTATTCTTTTAATTACTTAATTAAAAATTTGACAGATGCTATATACACTCCTGTTAAATTAATCTCTGCAACAGAAATATACTTTCTGTAGGAGGATTAAAAGTTTCAAAGTGATCACTTCCTAAATGACATCATAAGTCTGCCAAACTTTCAGATTCTAGTCTACTCAACAGAGATCTCCGGACCACAGATGCTTAAAAACTAGTTTTCCCAGTTGTAAAAGCCCAGTGTCACAGAAGAGGTACTGCACTGATGTCTCTTACTAAAGCTGAAATCTAAGTGGAAGTTATTTTCTCTCCAGCCCCTGTCTGAGCACACTCCCTTTTAAAGTGACAAGTTTCACCAAGAGCAGGCTAGAGCCAGGTAACACCTAGCAAATCAGGGGCCACACTTCTGAAAGTGAACCACATAACAGCTATGGGTTTACTGGAAGATGCTCAGGTCCCAGTGCCCTAACTAGAGCTTCATGTCCATTCCTGATGGCTAAGAGAGATTTTGAAACAAAATGTCTCCTGAATATTTGAGGTCACATTCTAAAACCTCTGCTGTGATATTTCTCTATTGATAACTCCTCCTCTAGTTACTGAAATCTTACTTTTCCTACTAGGTCAAATTCTAACGTCATCCAGGCAGTGATGGTTTCCTTCTTCTGCACTCCCATATTCTTTGGATTATACCAGTACACCAATCATCATTTTACTTATAGTTTTATGTAGACAATATACATAAATGTATTAATAATTTCCTTAAGAAGAAAGGGCCCTGTCTTTGGTCCTCACTGCAAATGCTTAATGTCTGACACAGTGCCTTTCATATAGTAGATATTCAAAGAACTTTTGTTGAATAAACAAAAGATTAGTCACCTACACTTTGCATTTGACCTTAGCCATGCACTCAGCTGTGGGCTCTTGAATGCCTGCCGGATCACAGGGAAAAAAACAGAAACTCAGGAAATGGATTCACAAATCCCATCAAATGACTTCCTAGCAGGGGATTTGTGTTTGCCCCAAGGCCCATCATGGCATCTATCGGAGTTAGTGCCTGGCATCATGTTCTGCCACACAGTTGGAGTTAAGTAAATTGCTTCTGAATGACTAACACATTGAAGAGAAATGTCCACTTCTGCATGCCAAGCCTCCTAAGTATTTCCCCTATTAAGGAGCACAGAATGACACCTCCAAAGTATGGTGCTTTGGCATGCTGAGCACTTTGAAGAGAAGAAATTGGAAGTCTTTAGAAGTTGCCTAACTTTCTAACCTTCTCTTGTTTCTCTCCCACTCCTCACCAAGCGCAAAGAGGGAGGATCTCTAGAATTTCCTTAGCTGACTAGGGAAATTTCTGTCCAAAAGAAATGCAATTGCCTTAAGACCTCTCTCTAGCAGTTACATCAAATAGCCAGGAAAGATTAACCACAGAAAAGAGAAGAGATTAAAAGTCATCACCATGCCCAGACAGACTTTTCATCTATTCTTCTCAGGGCAGCTCAGAGAGATTACCTAAAAGACTTTATCTGAATAATAAGACAAATGAAGTTCTGCCCCTCACCTTCCCAGCAGCTTCCCCAGAGCTCAGAGGAACTTTGTACCCAGGCCATTGTTCTTTAAGCTCATTCATTTCCCCTGAAAATCATTTATTGCCCCTCTAAAATTTCCTATACGCCCCCCTTCCCTCTCCCCTGTGAAGAGGGTACATAAGCCCTAACCATCTGGCCCTTCTTTGAGTCTCATATTTGAAGGACTTCCAAGTCTACGCATTCGTAAATAAATCTGTATGCCTTTTTCTCCTATGAATCTGTCTGTTGTCAGCATTTCAGCAAATCTTCAAAGAGGGCAAAAAGGAAGCTTGCCCTCCACCCCTAAAACTCTTATCCATCTAAATTAGTCTGGTAAATGACTGGCTGGAAAGTGTCTAGATAAATCAAATTTCAAGACTGAATAATGAATCGTAAAACAAAACACTTTCAATAAAAATAGATATATAGATCAATGGAACAGAACAGAGAGTCCAGAAATAGACCTGTACATTTATGGACAACTGGTGTTTGACAAAAGAACAAAGGCAATTCAGTGGAGAAAGGATAGCCTTTTCAACAAATGATGCTGGGAAACTGAATATCCTTACGCAAAATCATTTGCTTGAACCTTTTCCACAAAATGAATCATAGACTTAGATGTAACAGCTAAAGCTACACAATTGTTAGATAAAATCATGGCAGTAAATCTTTATGACCTTGGGTCAGGCAAAGATTTCTTATGTATGATACCAAAAGCATACATTATTTTTTAAAAACTTAACAATACGAGCATTTAAACCCAATCTAAAAATAGGCAAAGAGAACCGGGGGGATGGCTCACAACTGTAATCCCAGCTACTCATGAAACTGCCTTTGTGAAAATTACTTGAGTAAGAAAATTATGGTAGTGAAAGAGATCAGATCTAACCAACCCCACCAAACTGGGCAGTCCAGCCTTCAAACTGCCCTTAATTATTGGGAGACATTTAGTTTATAATTTAAATCAGTGGCCCACTACATTTTTGGCACCAGGGACTGGTTTCATGGGAGACAATTTTTCCACAGACCAGGGTCAGGGTGGTGGGGATGGTTTCAGGATGAAACTTTCACCTCAGATCATCAGGTGTTCGATTCTTATAACAAGCATGCAACCGACCGGGTGCGGTGGCTCACGCCTGTAATCCCAGCACCTTGGGAGGCCAAGGCGGGCGGATCACGAGGTCAGGAGATCCAGACCATCCTGGCTAACACGGTGAAACCCCATCTCTACTAAAAAAATACAAAAAATTAGCTGGGCGTGGTAGCAGGCGCCTGTAGTCCCAGCTACTCAGGAGGCTGAGGCAGAAGAATGGCGTGAACCCGGTAGGCAGAGCTTGCAGTGAGCCGAGATCGTGCCACTGCACTCCAGCCTGTGCAACAGAGCGAGACTCCGTCTCAAATAAATAAATAAATAAATAAATAAATAAATAAATAAATAAGCATGCAACCTACATCCCTGGCAAGCACAGTTCACAATAGGGTTCACACTCTTATGAGAATCTAATGGCACTGCTGATCTGACAGGAGGTGGAGCTCAGGTGATAATGCTTGTTCACTGGCCACTCACCTCCTGCTGTAACAGGCCACAGACAGAAACTGGTCTGTGGCCCAGGGGTTGGAAACCCCTGGTTTAAATGATAATAGCCATTCCCCCAAATTCAACTAACTGCCTTTGTAAAGCTAATGAGAGACCACCAGACTAAGGGATGAGAGGAGTCTAAATTCTGCTAAGGTACAGACATAAATGGTTACCCATCATTATTCCAGAGGTCGTAAGATATGCAGCTTCCCCAATTACTCCTGCAGATAGCATCACTATTGCAGAAGCTAATATGGCCTTTTGAGATGTCTTTTCAGGTTTTTTGCATATCTGACAACTGCTGGCTCCACCTGAACCCACCAATTACTATTTTGGCTCCACCCAGAAATGACACAGGTTCATAAGGACCATTTCCAACAGCCCTATGATAGCACTCTCAACCAATCTGCAGAAAGCACCCATTGTCTAGCCAACTGCCTCTCTTCCCCCAAGCTATCCTTGAAAACCCCAAGCCTCTGAATTCTGGAGAAGACTGATTTGAGTAATAATAAAACACCAGTCTCCTGTTTTGCTGGCTCTACATGTATAAAACTCTTCTATTGCAATTCCCCTGCCTTGATAAATTGGCTCTATCTAGGCAGCAGGCAAGAAGAGTCCACTGGGCAGTTGGTTACACTCAGGAGGCTTAGGTGGGAAAATTGTTTGAGACGAGTTTGAGACCAGCCTGGGCAACACAGTGAAACCTTGTCTTAAATAAATAAATAAATAAATAAATAGGTGTGATGGTATGTACCGGTAGTTCCAGCTACTTGGGAGGCTATGGTGGAAGTTTGAGGCTGCAATGAGCTATGATCATGCCACTGTACCCTATCCTAGGTGACAGAGCAAGACCTCATCTCAAAAAATAAAAAACAAAAATAGGCAAAGATCTGAACAGGCAACTCACCAAAGAATGTACACAAATGGCCAATAAGCACATGAAAAGATGCTCAACATTATTAGTCATTAGCAAAATTAAAATTAAAATTAAAATGAGCTAACACTTCACACCTTCTAGGATTGCTAAAATCAAAGACAATGACAAGTGTTAACAAGAATGCAGAAAAACTGGAATCCTTAAACATTGCTAGTGGAAAGGTGAAATGATGCAACCATTTTGGAAAATAGTTTGGAGGTTTCTTGAAATGTTAAACAAGATCTACCATATGACCCAACAATTCCATTTCTAGGGAAATGTGCAAAAGAAATAAAAACATGTGTCTACACAAAGTCTTGCACATTTATGTTTATAGCAGCATTGTTCACAAGAGTCAAAAAGTGGCAAAAAACCCAGATGTCCATCAACTCTTAGGTGGACATATAAAATGTGATCTATCTATAGAATGGAATACTAATTGACAATAAAAGGGACTGAAGGAAGATACATACCACAACATGGATGAACCTCAAAAATATTATGCTAACTAAAAGAAACCAGACAGAAAACAACATATATGATTCTGTTTATGTGAAATATCCAGAAAAGACAAATCCATTGATACGGAAACTTTATCAGGGGTGGTCTACGGCTGGAGGCAGGGGAGAAACAGGACAAATGGGTACAAGGTTTCTTTTTGGGGTGAGGAAAATATTCTAAAATTAGGCTATGGTAATAGTTGCATAATTCTATAAATTTACTAAAAATTGTTCAATTAAGCACTTAAATGAATTTTATAATATGTAAATTATCTCAATAAAGCTGAGATTTAAAAAAATATTTTAGTCACACTCCTTTTGAAAAAATGGAGTGACAGCAGTGTTCACACATGAAAAATATCTGTATCTGTCAAAATTCAATAAAAATTAATAATGGTTCCCAGAATGTAAGACAGAATGTTAGACTATTCTAATATGGGTCAGTACATACAACTGAAATACTCTTAAAGGGATGTGTAATTTGTATTTATTGAAAAATAGCTCCAAGATTATCAATAAATAAGTTAAAGGACTGATCATAATACTAATAAATAAGGAAAATCTGTCAGTGTCAACCACTATAAAACCCTTAATCTAGACCAAAGCCGGGGTTATACATTAAGAGGGCAAAAAGCAAATGGAAAGTCATGTGCAAAAGGTTACCAAGTGGTCTAGTTAGGAAACAGATTAATCTGAGTGATAAAGGAAACATTTCCTCAGTTCTACATTAGCATAGGCTTTAACCTTGACACACACGTAACTGAACTGTTATTTGAAAGTCACATTTGCAATGAGATCATCACTCATGACCACATCTTTCCTCAAAGAGAATTATCAGGAGAAATTCAGCCAGATATTGGGCAAAATTCACCCCCGACATTTCACGTAGGTTCTTTTCTATTTTCCCTAAGCGTCAGCCGGTTTGAGAAATAAAGGGACAGAGTACAAAAGAGAGAAATTTTAAAGCTGGGCGTCTGGGGGAGACATCACATGTCGGTAGGTTCCATGATGCCCCACAAGCCACAAAACCAGCAAGTTTTATTAGGGACTTTCAAAAGGGGAAGGAGTGTACGATAGGGTGTGGGTCCCAAAGATCACGTACTTCACAAGGTAATAGAATATCACAAGGCAAATGGAGGCAGGGCGAGATCACAGGACCACAGGACTGGGGCAAAATTAGAATTGCTAATGAAGTTTCAGACACCACTGTCACTGATAACATCTTATCAGGAGACAGGGTTTGAGAGCAACCGGTCTGACCAAAATTTATTAGGCGGGAATTTCCTCTTCCTAATAAGCCTGGGAGCACTATGGGAGACTGGAGTTTATTTCATCCCTACAGTTTCGACCATAGAAGACGGCCACACCCAAGGGAGCCATTTTAGAGACCCACCCTCAGGGTCGCCTTCTCTTTCTCAGGGATGTTCCTTGCTGAGAAAAAGAATTCAGCGATATTTCTCCCATTTGCTTTTGAAAGAAGAGAAATAGGCTCTGTTCCACCTGGCTCAACAGCAGTCAGAGTTTAAGGTTATCTCTCTTATTCCCTGAACAATTGCTGTTATCCTGTTCTTTTTTTTTTTTTTTTTAGTATTTATTGATCATTCTTGGGTGTTTCTCGGAGAGAGGGATTTGGCAGGGTCATAGGACAATAGTGGAGAGAACGTCAGCAGATAAACATGTGAACAAAGGTCTCTGGTTTTCCTAGGCAGAGGTCCCTGCGGCCTTCTGCAGTGTTTGTGTCCCTGGGTACTTGAGATTAGGGAGTGGTGATGACTCTTAACCAGCATGCTGCCTTCAAGCATCTGTTTAACAAAGCACATCTTGCACCGCCCTTAATCCATTTAACCCTGAGTGGACACAGCACATGTTTCAGAGAGCACGGGGTTGGGGGTAAGGTCACAGATCAACAGCATCCCAAGGCAGAAGAATTTTTCTTAGTACAGAACAAAATGGAGGCTCCTATGTCTACTACTTTCCACACAGACACAGTAACAATGTGATCTCTCTTTCTTTTCCCCACATTTCCCCCTTTTCTATTGGACAAAACCGCCATCGTCATCATGGCCCGTTCTCAATGAGCTGTTTGGTACACCTCCCAGACAGGGTGGCGGCCGGGCAGAGGGGCTCCTCACTTCCCAGATGGGGCGGCCAGGCAGAGGGGCCCCCCACCCCCCAGACGGGGCAGCCGGGCAGAGGCGCCCCCCGCCACCTTCCAGACGGGGCGGCTGCCGGGCGGGGGCAGCCCCCTCCGCCTCCCAGACAGGGCAGCTGCCGGGCAGGGGCGCCCCCCCCACCTCCCAGACGGGGCGGCTGCCGGGCGGGGGCGCCCCCCCACCTCCCAGACAGGGCAGCTGCTGGGCAGGGGCGGCCCCCCCCACCTCCCAGATGGGGCGGCTGCCGGGCGGGGGTGCGCCCCCCACCTCCCAGATGGGGCAGCTGCCAGGCGGGGGCACTATCCTGTTCTTTTTTCAACATGCCCAGATTTCATATTGTTCAAACACACATGCTCTACAATTTGTGCAGTTAACGCAATTATCACAGGGTCCTGAGGCAACATACATCCTCCTCAGCTGACAGGATTAAGAGATTAAAGTAAAGACAGGCCTAGCAAATCACAAGGGTATTGACTGGGGAAGTGATAAGTGTCCATGAAATCTTCACAATTTGTGTTTAGAGATTGCAGTAAAGACAGGCATAGGAAATTATAAAAGTATTAATTTGGGGAACTAATAAATGTCCATGAAATCTTCACAATCCATGTTCTTCTGCCATGGCTTCAGCCGGTCCCTCCGTTTGGGGTCCCTGACTTCCGGCAACAGAGAATTATCACAGAAATAAAATTCTGTCTAAGTAGTAAAGCAATATACTGAACTGGCCTATTCAAATACCATTTTGTTAAATAAATCAAAGAGGAAAGCTCATTCACAAAAGCAGTTATGGTAGAAAATCACATTCATAGAACCACAGCTGGATTTACATACAGGAAAGGAAAGCCACCTTCATAAACCGATTTAGGGAAAATACAGAAGACCATCCTGTCTTCACCATTCAAGTGAATATACACAAAACTTTCCCTTAAATATATACAAAACCTCACCCTAAGGCAGAGGTCAGCAAACTTTTTCAATACAGGGCCAGAAAGTATTTTTGGCTTTGAGGGCCATATAGTATATAACCACACATAAATGAATGGGTGTGGCTGGGTTCAATACAATTTTATTTATGAACAATGAATTTTAGATTTCATATAATTTTCATATGGTACAAAATATTCTTCTTCTTTTGTTCTCAATTATTTAAAAATGTAAAACATATTCTTAGCTCAGGGACATTAACAAAAAAAAAAAGGTCATGACTGGATTTGGCCCACAGGCCATAGTCTGTAGACCCCTGTCCAAAGGCTCCTTGGTTAGAATGCAAATACACTTAGGAGGAATTAGCACATTAGTCATTATCAGCCCTTAACTCCTTTAAAGGAGATGAATTATCCAATTGCCTTGCCCTGGCAAATTAAGAGTGGGAATGACTAAGTTTTTACAAAGTAACATTACCTTGTTCTTTTTTGACAATAAAAGTAGTACATGTTTGTTTATTTATTTATTTATTTATTTATTTATTTTTGAGACGAAGTCTCACTCTTTCACCCAGGCTGGAGTGCAGTGGTGCAATCTCGGCTCACTGCAACCTCTGCCTCCCAGTTTCAAGTGATTCTCCTGCCTCAGCCTCCTGAGTAGCTGGGATTACAGGTGCATGCCACCACACCTGGCTAATTTTTGTATTTTTAGTAGAGACAGGGTTTCACCATGTTGGTCAGGCTGGTCTCAAACTCCTGACCTCGTGATCCACCTACTTTGGCCTCCCAAAGTGCTGGGATTACAGGCATGAGCCACCGCGCCCAGCCTAAAAGTAGTACATGTTCTTTTTAGAAAAACTTTAAAGTAGTTAAGACTACAGGAATTATCCTACATTGTAGAAATAAAAAGCGGCTATAAAGGTAAGTAAATAGCTGAACATGTACAAAGGCAGGGAGGTGAAAGGTAGAAGATAATATAAACATAGTTGAGATCATAACATAGGTAACTTCTGTGCATGCTCTGGCATTGTATAGCTCTGATTACATGGCAGACTTTCCTTCAACTCATTTTCTGTCTTCAACTCAGTAGCCTTAAAAATTTCAAATATAAAAACTGAAAGAGAATATGTTAGAAATGTATGATAGAAAATCTTATCACATGAGAATAAAATAAAGGAAATGGAACTATCTGGTTGACAAGTTAAAAGAAAAACGTGGTGAAGGAGGACAAAATAGTTTCTTCAGGTATTCAAGAGCTGCCATATACATTTTATATCATTCTGGGGGGCTGGCCCAAGATAAGTAGGTGGAAGTTAGGGTATGAGAATTTTAGACAATTAAAGAAATAGCTCAGTTATAATTCAAGAGAACCAAAAGGGTAAGTCATCCATAAATTAGAAAATAATTGACCTATAAGAAGGGCTGTGAGGGCTGGGCGTGGTGGCTTACGCCTGTAATCCCAGCACTTTGGGAGGCTGAGGCAGGCAGACCACCTGAGGTCAGTGGTTCGAGACCAGCCTGAACAACATGGTGAAACCCTGTCTCTACTAAAAATACAAAATTAGCCGGGCGTGTTGGTGCATGCTTGTAATCCCAGCTACTCGGGAGGCTGAGGCAGGAGAATCGCTTAACCCCGGGAGGCAGAGGTTATGATGAGCCAAGATCACACCACTGCACTCCAACCTGGGCAAAAAGAGCCAAACTCTGTTTCAAAAAAAATTTAAAAAAGAAGGGCTGTGAGAAAACATTTCTGCAATGACCACCAAATTAACTAGGCCCCATCCAGATCTGTAACTCAAATTAATACAATATTAATTAAATTTGCTTGAAAGCACTCACTTTAAAACTCTACTGCAGGATTTCCCAAAGGGAGATTAATAGATACTCTTTGACAAAAGATTCCAAGACCAAATGAATTAGGAAACATTGGATTAAACAGGGTTCTCTCCCACAGAATTTTTCTCTTTTTAGTATGCTAATGTGTACCATAAATCTCTTCAACCAGAAAATGCTACTTTCCAATCTCTTTGGCAAATGAAACCTTCCTCCGCTGCTCCCCCAACCCAGGGTATCCCACAACACCGGTGTTCCTGGGAACCTGATTTGAAAACTGCTGTTTCCCTTCCAAAAAACATGTTTTTATTTAATCTTCTCAACACTGGAAAATTAATTTTAAAATTCAGCAAGAAAGTATTAATCAGAAATTAAATTTGAATTCTATTTAGCAACCTGGAAGACATGTTAAAACTGCTCTATTATATATACTGCTCAGTAAAATCAAAGTGTCCTTAAGTGTGTTTCTTAAGTTTTTTAAGTTAACATAAAATTAAAGTTAGATGTTTAAGACATTTGGGAACAATAACAAACTATGAGGTAAAAGAAAGGATAATATTAAAACCCATTAACTAGGACAATAGCTCTATAGGAATCATTTCTACTTTTAGAATATGCATGGATACTGATGCTGTGTCCTTCTGGTGTAACTGTACTTAAATCTAAGATAAGAAATGTTTACACTATTCTCCAAGAATTCAGTAAGTAGTATTGGTGTTTGGAGATTCCAAGTGTTGAGTTTGTTGGTTTAAAAAATAATAACAATAACACGGGAAGGCTGCTAATGCTCTTGTAGAAAACCTAAGTGCTAGAATCTGCTCAGGCAGGAGGTTGAAATGCTATGTTGTGGCTATGACTCTACTGGGCTACTGCTCTGCAAATTATCTAATCTCGGCTAAACTCAACTAGTGATATGATGGCTCACAAATAATCCAAACAGTCTCTGCCATGCACTCACAGCATCTCACCTCACACTGTCATATCCATGTGAAGGGGGAAAAACTAGTGTTAGAGTGGTTCTTGGCCAGACCACAGAAAACACATTCCTTATTTAGAGCTCACTGTTTAACTGGCATTCATCACTGTAATACTATTATAAAACCACTACAGTTGCATATTGCAGGCATTCTTCCCTTTTCAATATATAGGCAATATTATGACTCAAATACATAAAAAAGCAATCAGGACCACAAGCCACTGTTAGAGAAGACAGGCGGACAAATCTGAAGCTTTTTGACAATCTTAAGGGTCTATAGATATAAAGATATATAACAGGCTGTTTTACACACACACACACACTGTGTAACAGGCACTGTGTTCAAAATTCTATGTAAATTATTTCATGGAATATAACCCAAATAAGAGGGCACTATTCTTATCTGTTTTACAAATGAGAAAACTAAGGCCTAGAAAGGTTCAAAGTCATACTACTAGAAAATAGTTGAGGAGAGACGTGAGTCTAAGCAGCTCAGTCCAGAGTCTGTGCTTTTCCCCACCACACTGTGCCACCTACCCTGGGTCACAAAGTACAATGAAAGAATGTGTTGCAAAAAGTAGGAATATCTTAGAATAACTTACCACTGAGGCAGACTCCAGGTATGACTAGCTTACTACCCTGTTGACCTTCCTATGCACAGCTGACTTTTCTTCCTGAATCTATTTGACATTCCACTGGAGATTTATTTCCCAGCGGGATGGCTAATGTGCTCTATCATTCACAGACTACAGTGAATGAGGTTCCCATCAGTCTTTCTTCATGACCCTAGCTGAAACCAGCTGCTCTGGGAGTCCAAGATGAAACATGAACACTCTGGAAAAGAGAGTGCCTCGGGAGGACACACACATGCACTGGGCCCCTGGGTAGAAGAGGGTGATTCTAAGGAATGGACAAAGAAAAGGAGTTAGGTAGTTTGAAATTTAAATCTATTTGGGAATGAGAGGAGGAAACCACTCTTTCTCCTCTAGTATATGGCTTCTTGAGCACTTAACATCTGTACGATAGTATATGCATTAAATAAGATCTAGAGGGCTAGCCTGAGAACAAGACCAGTTCTTGTTCTACATTGTAACAAGTTTCACCCATTTAAGGAAATGCAATTTCAGGCCTCTAAGAATGACTTATGAAAGCTCCCATTCCATATGTTAAGAACTCTATACATATGCAGCAGCAAAAACTGACATATTAATGAATGCCATGGGTTCCTTAAATTTTAAACCTAGTGGATTTTCCAGGAGAGTTTTTTTTTTAATCACAAACAAGATTACTTGAAATTTTTTGATAAAAATATATTTAAGCAAACAACAGCATCAGAATATATTAACACTGTACATCAACAGCATTGTGCCATCCAGTCAGGTATGAATTTCAACACTTTTGGAAATACGCAATAGCCTTCCCAGCTTCAACAGCTTCCCTTTGAAGTCAGCCCTCTTTTAAATGTTCACAACACAGTAATTTCTTCTATATTATATTAGGTTCAAATGACTCAGTTTCCAAACTCCTCAGCAAGTCCAATTCCTTCCCTGGAAGGAGTGGCCTTCTACCTCTCTGATTACAGGTTTCATTTCCTTTGCTATTTGTCTTTCTCTGTCAGTCCCTCTGTCAGACTAAAACTAGTCTCTGAATTCTCCCTCAGGTTTGCAATATGGTAAACCCTCACTAGAGCCTGGAAATGGGGTTTTCTATTTGATTCTATGGAAAAGAATATCTTAGACCTTCAAAGAAACCTGGCTACATCTACAATAAGACAACAGTGGTTAAGAACAGCAAAGCTAATTAGTAACTTAGGGCAAATTAATTAATCTCACCTATGAATATGAGTAAACTTCCTACTACCTAGCTATAAATGGAGAAACTGGTTTATCCAGTGGACAGAACATAGCAGTCAGAAGAATGAATCCTAACTTGGACCCCACTGGTCAACCTGTTGGACTTGGGGCCTCAGTTTCTATACCTATAATTAAATAGACCTTTTTAGCTTTATAAGAAGAAAGTCACCATAAGTTTATTTCTCTTTTCCTGCAGACTAACGTTTATCTCACTCCTACCAAAGCAAGCCTTTCACTTCTCCATCATAGAAGTAATATAGTATACTAGTGGGAAAAAAAGCTTTATTTAGTTTCATATTCATTCATTACACATCAAATTCCTTAGTACGGTCTGAGGAAAACAGCAGTGTATCAGACAATATGCTAGAGGCCGCAGATGCATTGTTTCTTATAACAGATATAACCTGTCCTTATGCAGCTTTGAGTCTAGTTTTGAATAACAAACCAAGTCTAGTGCTTTAATCCTCCTACTACAGAACTGTAAAAGGAAAATAAATCTTGGGGCCCCAAAATCACTAAGCTAAAGGGAAAAGTCAAGCTGGGAACTGCTTAGGGCAAACCTGCCTCCCATTCTATTCAAAGTCACCCTCTGCTCACTGAGATAAATGCATATCTCATTGCCTCCTTTGGAAAGGCTAATCAGAACTCAAAAGAATGCAATCATTTGTCTCTTATCTACCTGTGACCTGGAAGCCACCTCCCCACTTTGAGTTGTCCCACCTTTCTGGACTGAACCAATGTACATCTTACACATATTGATCTATGTCTCATGTCTCCCTAAAATGCATAAAACCTAGCTGTGCCCGGACCACGTTGGGCACATTTCGTCAGGACCTCCTGAGGCTATGTCATGGGCACACATCCTCAACCTTGGAAAAACAAACATTCTAAATTAACTGAGACCTGTCACAGAACACACACACTTCCAATGTGAAGATCTGTACAACATGATTTAGAATATGTTAGCACCACTGAACAAAGTGTAATTTTTTTTCTTCTTTGAAAACGCTTTAGAAATTACCCTTTTCCAGCTAAAACAATGACCCTCAGGAATGCTGCTTGGCTTCTTTGCATACTTTTATCTGTATCTCTAAACTCTTGCCTAGTGTGTTGATTGAAGAAGAATGCAAATAGAAATTTATGGCTACATAACAAGGCCAGGGCATACCAGCCAAGATAGAGTATATGAGGGAATGCTGAAAGAAATTAGAACACAGCAAAGAGGCCATGTGCCCTAGCATATTGCTTTCTTTCTACTTCTCTGTCTCCATTTCTTCTTCATGATTCAAGATTCTGTGTCTTTATATTTTGGCATAATGCAATGGCATGATGTAGTTCTGTGGAGCCAGGAAGGACGAAGGACTAAATCTCAGCTCTGCCAACATTTTAGCTACTTCATGTTGGGCAGATAACTTATCCTCCCTGAGCCTCAGTTTTCTCACTGATAAAATAAGGATTAAATCAGATAATGTATGTAATGTATCTAGTGCAGGGTCAAGCACATAATAAGCACTCAATAAATGGCATTGACAGTGGTGGTAGTAATAATGATAATCAGGAATAAGAAAGTCAAGAAGAAGAAAAACTATAAGTTGACCACAAGATAGAACTAAAGTTATTTGAGGGAATTACTGAATAAAATTTTGGTGTTCTTAATTTGAAAAGATAGTTCACAATTTTATCAACAAACACTAAAATGACTTATAATTGCTTAAATGGCCCTCATAAGAAAAAACAAAA
Organism: Homo sapiens; assembly: GCF_000001405.40. NCBI lineage: Eukaryota > Metazoa > Chordata > Mammalia > Primates > Hominidae > Homo > Homo sapiens. Next base: position 56,728,256 of record NC_000006.12, read on the forward strand.
AGTTTGTCTTCTTGTCATGAAATAATTTTAGGTTCAAAAGATATTTTGCTATTAATCCATTTTTCCATTCTATATAAATAAATTCTTGTTCTGTATTCTTCAAAAATGTCAATTTCATACAAGTCTCCAAAAAGGCTATAGAAACTGTTTCCAATTAAAGCAGGTTGGCAGGACATGGTGGCTCACACCTATAATCCCAACACCTAGGGAGACAAAGGCAGCAGTCTGGCCAACATATTGAAACCTCGTCTCTATTAAAAAATACTAAAAATTAGCTGGGCATGGTGGCTCATGCCTGTAATCCCAGCTGCTCAGGAGGCTGAGGCACAAGAATCACCTGAATCCAGGAGGGAGAGGTTGCAGTGAGCTGAGATCACGCCACTGCACTCCAGCACGGGTGACAGAGCCAGACTCTGTCTCAAAAAAAATAATTAATTAAATAAACAAATAAAGCAGGTTAAAGAGACATGACACCTAAATGCAATACCTGACCCTGAACTGGTCCTTGCCCTCGGGGAAGAGAGGATGATGTAAAAGATCAACAAACAAGACTGAAATACAGACATTAAAATATTATACCAATATAAATTTATGAAGTTGCTAACTGTGTGGTCCAAAACAGAATAACCCTATTCTTAGGAAATACATACTGAAGTATTTAGAGGTAAAGGATTATGGTATATATAACTTACCCTCAAGTGGTTCAGATAAAAAAAGTACACACACACACACACACACACACACACACACACACACACGACTGGGGAAGGGAGAATAATAAAGCAAACTAGGTAAAACATTAACAAGAGCTCAATCTGGGTAAACAGTCTATCAGTGTTCCTTGTACTACTTTATTTTTGCAACTTTTTAAAGTTTAAAATATTTCCAAGTGAGTTCGATAAGGCTAAAGTTTAGGAACTACTAACATAAATCTAAGGTCTGGGGAAAAAAGTCTTATTTGTAGGTTTTAAGAACCCAAAGCAATACACTCTACCAAGCAGTATTTTTCATTAGCCCTTTATAAAGTTGATGCTTCAAAAATTCCCCTATTTTGGCTGGGGGCAGTGGCTCACGCCTGTAATCCCAGCAGTTTGGGAGGCTGAGGCGGGCAGACCACCTCAGGTTAGGAGTTCGAGACCAGCCTGACCAACATGAAGAAACCCCGTCTCTACTAAAAATACAAAATTAGCTGGGCGTGGTGGCACATGCCTGTAATCCCAGCTACCTGGGAGGCTGAGGCAGGAGAATCACTTGAACCCAGGAGGCGGAGATTGCGGGGAGGCAGAGGTTGCGGTGAGCCGAGATCGCACCATTGCACTCCAGCCTGGGCGACAAGAGCAAAACTCCATCTCAAAAAAAAAAAAAAAAAAATTCCCCTATTTAATCTGAGCCCACAGATGTGAAATTATTCTCGATCACTTTGCAATGGTCAAAACCACAGAGGAAATAGAGCTTTTTTTTCTGTTCTCTAAAAGATACCACTGTGTTCTCAGCTTGAGGATTTATATTATCTTCCCGCCACCAAATCAGAAAATAAAGAACAGTGTGATTGATTTGGTGGAGTCATGAAGTCACTGACTTCACTATGTGGGCAAAGAATATCTGCGCCATGAGTAAATTAAGCTTTCCAAAGTCGTGATGGAACAGTGATAAAATCTGTGATAGTCAGTTGGGTGTCTCCCATGCAGTAACCAAGTAGATGACTAACAAACAGAGTGTGTCCAACAATGGCATCCAGGGCCTCTTCCTCTCCAAATGCATTTATGTGTCAATAAATTAAAGTTTACAAAAAGAAAAAATATTTAGACCAAATATCCTCTTTCAAATGTGAAGGAATAAATTTAAAATATAGCTGATCAGTATTGAAGAATATATTTCCACCATAAATTGCCAATTAGATGGATCCTATGCAAGGAAACCACATTATATAGACTTCTCTGGACTCCAATCTTCCCCTAAAAATCATTTATCCCCTTAAACTACTCCTCCTAAACACAGTCTCTCATGGCTCAAGTTCTAATTCCAGGCCCAAGTAAGTGATTAAAGGGAGTCTTCTAATGATAGCTGTTAACATACTTCAGAAAATAAAGTCCTTCCTTCTTTCTCTGTCCCCCACCCCATTCCCCGAGAAAAGCAAAAGCTAAATCAGTACTTAACTCATAGGTGCCATTTCTCATATTGTTGTCCTATGAATTTCTAGACAGCAAATTGCACATGATGAGTAACAACAAGTAGTTATATAAAACCCTCTAATATAAAGAGGGAGTACCTAGTGTCATAGGTAGAAGAGGCAGAAATAAATGTTGTAAATGACAAAAGAATGTCATCAATTTTATATTTTGGAACAATTCTCCAGGTAAAATTTAGCTAACTGAAGACACAGGTATTTCCAATAACAACCAGCTCTTACTCTAGTTCTGCAGTTTAAATTATGCTAAAGAATAATATATAAATGTTCCTGACACCAGTAATTTACCTAGAAACCATGATTTGCAAGGTAAATAATCTGTGTGTTAACTGCACTTTATTCTTAAAAGTATTCTGAAGAATGATGAATCAAAAGGAAAACATTCTTAATAGAACAATCAGTTTCAAGGGCAGGCTTAGTCATACAACTGAACTACCGGAACACTAAAATTTAAATACATCTGGAAAAAAGCCACGGATGTCTGCTCACCAACAAATACAAGTTTTAATTAATTAGCCGATTTGCTTTAAACAAATGTAATTTTAGCCTGAAAAATACAAAATAAGGCCATATTAACTTTTTTCTGGAGAAAAGGTTACATTTTAAAAGTCCTCAGGGCCCATCCTCAAGCAGCCTTGGCCCAGGGCTGGGGTGTGCAGGGCACCAGGATGCCAGTGGGAAAGCGAGATGGAGCAGCAGTGGTTGAAGGCCAGGCTGAGGGCTAGGTGTCATCCACTGAGACTAAACAGAGTTTAGTGTTATCTGCTGGACTGTTGAGTGAAAAATATTCTCTGACCTGATCCTGAATTTTCCTTGATAATCAAAAGATTAAGAAACAGGGTCACACCACGTTACCCAGACTGGACTCAAGAGACTCTCCCACTTCAGTCTTCCAAGTAACTGGGACTACAGGTGTGCACCACTGTGCCTGGCCCAGAATTGTTTTCTTCATTTCATTTTTGGATTGTTCTTTGCAAGTGTATAGAAACACAATAGTTTGTTAAATACTGATATTGTATGCTTCAACCTTACTGAACTCATTTATTCATTCTGGTAGTTATTATGCTAGGTTCCTTGAGATTTTCTTTAAACAAGATGCTATCATCTGCAAATAGAGATGGTTTTACCTCTTCCTACTCAGTGAAACCATCAATAAGAGATTGATGTGTTTCATCTCATTTTCTGGCCTAATGCTCCTGATTCTTTTTAATGTTGTATTTCGCTGTTTGGATGTATCATAATTATTTTTACCAATCTCTTATTGATGAACATGTAGGTCATTTCCAACCTCTTGCAGTTATAACAGTGCTGCAATAAATAACCTATTACATACAGTCATAGAGTAATATTTCTCAAACTTTTTGGTCTCAGGATTACTTTACCTTTTTATACATAAGTTGCAAGTTTGGGCTTAGAAAGAATTTAATAATCATGAAAATTTTGTTTTCTTATAAAGTTGCTTTAATATTTGACATTGTTACCCTATCTAGATATTTTAAATGATATAATAAAACAAATGATGTCACAAATCAAATATTTAACTTTTTAAACAATAATATTTTTAGAGATTGCTTTTTTCTGGATAAACAAGGACTTTTAAAACAAAGAACTAAAAATCTTGAAATTTTTAATCAGGTTTCATGTTCCTAATTTTAATGGGTTCTAGTTCACAAGTGCTAGTTAATTCTTCACTAATCAGCCAGATGAAAGTGGAGATCGAAAAGGACCCTCTTCTAAGGAAGCAGCATATGCAAAGCTTAAAGATAAATGAGACCATGGTTTGAAAATATAGAGTGGCATACACTTGGTTAAAAGCAATTTGATCATCACAACAATTTGGCCTAAACAGCCATTTGGTTGAAAAGGAATATCCCCCAGTTATGGCTTTTTTTCAAGTATCGCTAATTTTGGTACATCATGGGTTGTTTTTCAAGCTTCTGTGCCAGAGTTTTCAGGAAAACTTTTTCTAATAATTGCTTTTGTGTTTCTAACTGATTTTCCAGAAACATTTATAATTTTGACTTTTTTCCTTTTAATGAGCATGCTTTTGAAATAAGCAAAAAACAACAAAAGAAACTGTATCGAAGAGCAAAAAAATCCTCACCAAATATTTTAAGAAGAAAATATTTATGCACATAAATGTAACAGTAACTTATACAATCATTTAAAAGCTCCACAATGTTTACTTTTGCCAGTTATATAAACTTTTAAAAATTGACCACGCCAGTATCAACCCTGAGCACTGTGTATATGCTTTTTTATAGCTACATAAATCACAACTTCCTAAGTCACAAAAATTAGCAAATAGTTGAAACAATAAGTTAAGAAAAGTAAACACAACCCCACATCCAAGGGGAACCTGCTGGGATCTGCAACCTATTGCAGTGCTCAAAGAAGTCAAACACTGGACACAGCGTCTCATTTGAATTCATATTCTCATTTCACGACTTCAAGTGCAGCTCTACCAGTAGCAGCTGTGGCAAGTTTCCCCTACTTTTAAACGAGGGAACAGAACCAGAAGATTTTGAAGATGCCCTCCAAGTGTGACTCTAAGTAAAACTAACTTTGAGGTCCAAAAGCTGCCAACCTTTCAGAAGTAAGATGAGTGTTCACTGACTCCCTTTCTGTGAGAAGAATGTGTGGGAGAAGAAGAAAAGGAGATTTAAAAAGGACTCCAGGCCCCCAAATCAACCTTTAAAAATCTGTGGAGGGGTAGGCAGGGGGCAAGGAGAGCACAGCTACAGGATTACCACAGGTAAGCCATTCTTCAGTGTCCCAGCAGAACTCTAAGGTAAAGAGGCAACACACCTATCAATCTCCTCAAAAAGAGTCTGAACCCCAAACTGTAGCTTTTTCTAAAATGAATAAACTAAAAGGAAAAGTACTTGATGTAATAAAAAGAGACACAGATAAGGGAAGCAGATGGGCACCAAAAGCAACTTACACTTAACTTCACAATTTTGTCTGACACCTTCCAAGTCAATCCACCCTTCTACACCATACGCTCTCATTTATAGAGTGCCTAACAATATGCCAAGTACTATGCTTTATGCTTATTTAGACTATCTCATTTAAATCCTCACACCAAGCTGGCATTACCACCATTTTACAGATGAGGGCATAAAGAGATTAAGTTCACACAAATAATGAATTGCAAAGCCTGGACACACCACCATTTACCTGACCTCAAAGGTGAGGCTTCTTCTGCTCCTCTGTTTGGTGTACATGTCACAGACTGATAACCTTGCAAAAGATGTTTTCCTTTCAAAGCTAATTTGTTCAAAATTAACATAATATACCTTTTACAAAAATGAAAAAAAAAAGAATCCAGTAAAGAAAGGCCTGTCTGGAGACTAACCTCTCAAGCACCTCACTGTCCAAAGGAATAGGACAAACAAGAATAGTTCTTGGAGTCACAACAAGGGTGAAAAAAACAGGGGGAAATAAGTGAATAATATTAAATTTAAGTTAACAAGATAAAAATTTAGAAAAGGCAAAACTTTTAAGAATTATTTAAAAGACAGGGAACACGTCCCTAGCCTGAGTCAGCACTCCAGGCAACTTATTACAGTATCCACACCCCAAACTTTACAGAGTGTCCTAGCCTGTAAGGAAGAGATCCTCTCCCATAAAGTATGTGCAGAATGAAAGAAAAGCTTGAGAGAGGACAGATGAACTGCCGCATGCTGCGTCAGAATTCACAATATATTTCCTCACAAAGCAGAGGGTTTCAACCTTTTATCGCTTGTGATTCTCAACCAGAGAGTGCGTGATGTGCCCTCCCTGAGGGATATTATCAGAATTTGAGAAAAAGGTTCTGTCAAGTGGTGAGAGAGACAAGACTGACACACCTCTAAGGTAATTCTGATACATCCATGAAATAAAAATCACTTTTATAGAAGATGACTAAACGCAATTTACATTATTGGTACCACTCTTAAGCTACATGATAGTTTAAATAAGATTTGTTGGCTAGCTTAAGAATACATAACCACATTTAAAATAACATTTCTATGTGAGAAAACTCCAAATAGAAACATGACCTATTTCAACTTTAGGGCTCTCCTTAAAAGGTGGGAGAAAGGGGAAGTGACCAATAGTTTATTGTGAAATCCTAAGGGTTCCTTACACAAGATTTACAGAAGGGCTTCAATAGGGTCCAATAACTCCACGAAATTACATGCAAATTTTGTGTTTATCTATTTTCTGGATAGTTTATATTCTCAAAATTACCCATGGTACACAAGTAAATATTAATTTAAGAACCATAACCATTAACTGCTTCATAGAGAAAGTTAGACATAAGCACCAATCACTGGATTAAATTAAGTATAAGAATATAATAAGTCTAGACTTCTGTCCCTACAATATCTTTATTCTCATCTAACCTTCTGCCATCCACATAAACCTGAGGCCAGAACTTGGTTTGAATCTTGAGAGAGAAAAAAAATCTTACTAAGAAATGTAGCTTTTCCATGCACTAACATATAAATATTTACAGATTTCTGAAACTTCTGAGATTTTATAGATTCCAATAGTAACAGGTTTTACTAACGTCACAGAATGCACTGAAATCACTGGGTACTTACCTATCCACCTCCATCATTACCCACCGTCCACACACCAAATAATTATAGATGCCTAAAATGCATGCAAAATTCTCTAGAATTTAAACTTTCAAGATGATTTTCAAAAGTTGTGCTTCAGAGCTATATAATCAATTACTGCAAAATAAACTGAAATATTCCAAACAATTCCAGGAAGTGAACGAAATAAAAACTGACCTTCATGAGATGCTGATTTATCCATTTTGTAAATGTTTTCTTCTGAACTTTGTCCCGTTCATCTGGAAGGAAAAAATATATATAAAGATAAGGTTGGTAAAATCTATGAATAGATGACTTTGTGATCATGAATATAAACAAAAATGAGATATTTAAAAGATATGCTTCAGTGTATTCAAAGTTTCTTGTTAAATTTTGGCAACTTCAGGCTATCTGTAAGAAAGTGTTTAAAGAGCTGCTTGTCAGGTTGGTCTCTTCCCAGTACTGCATTTACCAATATTCCTCCATTAAACAAATGCCCTCTGCCCCTCTGTCCCATAACCCCTCATCACCACCACCACCACCATGAAGTTGTCTAACGTAAGCCTTGTCCTTGCACTGAATTTCCCAAAGCCCTTTACCATATGTACATCCCATTTGCTCTTCACAGCCATAAGAGGAAGGGTTACTCCCATTTTGTAGAATAAGAAACCAAGACTTAACGAGGATAAAAGACTTGTTCATGATTACCCAGCAAATAGTTTAAAGTCTTGACAAAAGGCAAGGCCTAAATTGAGACTTTTTGGCTTGAAGTAGACTCTGGCTGAACATTAATTATTCTGCTTAATTAATATTAAGTAGTAATTTATTATTATTATTATTTGATATGGAATCTCACTCTGTCACCCAGGCTGGAGTGCAGTGGCATGATCTCCACTCACTGCAACCTCCGCCTCTGCCTCCTGGGCTCAAGCAATTCTCCTGCGTCAGCCCCCAGAGTAGCTGGGACTACAGGTATGCGCCACCATACCCAGCTAATTTTTTTGTTTGTTTTTTTTGTTTGCTTGTTTGTTTGTTTTGTATTTTTAGTAAGGGTTTCACCATGTTGGCCAGGCTGGTCTCGAACCCCTGACTTCAAGTGATCCACCCACCTTGGCTTTCCAAAGTGCTGGGATTACAGACGTGAGCCACCATGCCTGGCCTATGCTATTTCTTTCCTAGATTCCTGTGTTGAACTGTACAACAAAGAAATGCCCCAACTAGATCTTTACTGTGGACAGTGATCCTGCCCTGGTTCCTATAGACAGCACAAAGAAGAGTGAGAAAAGTTTTCTTCTGATTTAAGGAGAAAGAGCAATTGGAATGCTGTGGTTCATCAAGTTATTATTTCAAAGGAGAATGATAATCATCCAACACCTAAAGCTAGCATTCAAAACTGTATTACACTATCTTCTTCCTCCCTACTTCTAGACAGCAATTCCTTACTTTCTTATTTCCTTCTTCTCTCCTTTCTGCCTCCAGGGCTACCTCTTTCTCCTTCCTTGGTGGTCTTCTTTCCTCTTCTACCACAATTCAGATGTTCTCCATCCTTTCCCTGGGGGTAAGATATGTCTCGGTCTCTTTCTTCATCTCTTTTTCTCCTCATTCTTCATTCCTAACCCCCTTTAAACTACTGTAATATAACTAAAGTTTCTTTGAAAATGTTTGTCCTATTTATTAAAAGTATTTATGTTCTCTAGAATAACTTGAATGTAAACAAAAGTATATCAACTAGGGAAAATATACGCAATATGAGACAAATGTTACTATTATGAAAAAACAGCAAGAAGAAAAAGATTAACATTTTAATACATAAGCAGGCAAAAACAGACAGTTAATCAATTTTTTAAAAAGTAATGCCCAAGGGTCAGGTGTGGTGGCTTATGCCTGTAATCCCAGCCCTTCGGGAGGCCAATGCAGGCAAATTGTTTGAGCCCAGGATTTGGAGACTAGCCTGGGCAACATGATGAAATCCGGGGCAACATGATGAAATCCGTGTTTACAAAAAAATACAAAAATTAGCCAGACATGGTGGCATGCACCTGTAGTCTCAGCTACTTGGGAGGCTGAGGTGGGCAAGTCATTTGAGCCCAGGAGCTCAAGGCTGCAGTGAGCCATGATGGCGCCACTGTACTCCAGCCTGGGTGACACAGCAAGACCTTGTCTCCAAAAAATAATAAAATAACAATAAAAATGTAATGCACACAGGTACTCAATCTCACTAACAAAAAATAATAATATAAAGTAACACAGATAAAGCTTTCTAACTTACCAAATTGCCAAGATTTTATTTTTTAAAAAATTTCATGTTGAAAAGGACACAAGAAACAGACACACATATTGCTGATGAAAATGTAATTTAATTTAAACTTTCTAGACCTGCGTTGTTCAGTACTGTAGCCACTAGTCACATACACCTATTTAAGTTTAAACCAAAGTTAATTAAAGCAAAATACAATTAACAATTCAGTTTCTTTGTTGCACTAGTCACAATTTAAGTGCTTGACAGTCACATGTAGCTAATGGCTAACATATTGAAAAGCAGAGAAATAGAACATTCTAATCATCACGGAAATTCCTATCAGACAGCACTGCTCTAGAACAAAGCTCTACTGGACAGCGCTACTTTAGAATAATTTGATATAGAATAATCCCATCATCACAGAAGTTTCTGTCAGACAGCACTGCTCTAAAACAAAGCTCTACTGGACAACACTGCTGTACAACAATTTGTTAATATACATAAAAAGCCCTAAAAATACCTACGACCTTTCCCAGCAAATCTACTTCTAAAATCTATTCTGAAGTTATAATCATATTATGTACAAAATGTAACTATGAGAATATAAATCAGAGTGCTTACAATAGGAAAATAAAAATTCTGAAAAAACACAAATGTTCGAGAAAAGGAAATAAGGAAATTTTAGTAAAGTGATACAATGGTCTGTTCAAATTCAACTTGTTGTAAGACTACTCAGTGATAGTATTATCATTTAGAGTTCTCCTACTTTAATGCCAATAAGAATGGGGGGGAGGAACATATAACGTACTTTTTATTTCATAAGCATTTCTTCTCCAAAGTACCTCATTGAAACACCTTCCATTTCCTATCACTGTCAGGGAGAAAAAAAAGGTACTTATATACAGCCCATCTTTTGATTCTGCCTATAATACCTTTTCAGTGCCCCCAACTTCTAATCTACTTCTTATTTAAAAATTAGATAAAGGGGTGCAGAAAGCATTCCCAGACAGTAGAAGTAGTTTGCTAATTCTGAATATAAATGCTCAGAATTTATACTAAAATTTTTTTTTGAGACAAAATCTTGCTCTGCTGTCCAGGCTGGAGTGCAACGGCATGATCTCAGCTCACTACAACCTCCGCCTCCCAGGTGCAAGCGATTCTCCTGCCTCAGCCTCCCGAGTAGCTGGGACTACAGGCATGTGCCACCACGCTTGGCTAATTTTTTGTATTTTTAGTACAGATGGGGTTTCACCGTGTTAGCCAGGATGGTCTCAATCTCCTGACCTCGTGATCGGCCCGCCTCAGCCTCCCAAAGTGCTGGGATTACAGGCGTGAGACACCGAGTCTGGCCTGGTTTTATCTTTGTTTTGTTTGAGACAGTCTCGCTCTGTTGCCCAGGCTGGACTACAGTGGCACAATCTTGGCTTACTGCAACCTCCACGTCCCTGGACTCAAATGATCCTCTCACCTCAGCCTCCCAAGGAGTTGGGACTACAGGTGCATGTCACCACGCTTGGTGAATTTTTGCATTTTTTGCAGAGATGGGGTTTCGTCATGTTGCCCAGGCTGGTCTTGAACACCTAAGCTCACGCCATCCACCTGCTTCAGCCTCCCAGAGTGCTGGGATTATAGGCGTGAACCACTGTGTCTGACCCTAAAATTATTTTATTTGCCTCATTCCAAGTGTAAAACCCCCAGGCACTTTGCTTAAAACTGCTATCAAAAGCAATGATATTAATAATTATGAACCAATAATATTATCCACAAAATATTTATTAATTCCTCTATTGGCCCCTTAGGGGCATCATCTATACCTCATTCATCTTTGTCTACCACATACTAGATGCCACAAAGCCTCTATGCTGCAATGCCTCTATGCGCTCAACAGATAGATGCCCATTGTGTGAAATAATTTTATTTCAGGAAGGACAATCCAACTGAGGAAAACAATGTAGAATTACTTGTATACATATATACAGTAGTATATACAACTATATCTCTTAAAGCAATAATGGTGTCCTAAATGTCTTTCGGCCTTGCTATTCCTAGACAGTTCAAAATGAACCTAAATTACCAATTTGTTGGTAAAGCAAGAACAAGGAAACAGAAACAATTTACTAGTTCTCTTCACTGATAAGTGCAGATTCTGTACTTCCCTCATTTACTCACTCTTCATCCTAGCATCTATCTGGTCATTTAATGAGTCCAGTGCTATGGTGGTGCTGGTGTCAGAGGGGTGTGAACTAGAGCAACTCCATCTTGAATAGGAGCTAGGTAAAAGGAAGCTGAGACCTACTGGGCTGCATTCCCAGATGGTTAAGGCATTCTAAGTCACAGGTTGAGATAGGAGGTCAGCACAAGATACAGGTCATAAAGACCTTGCTAATAAAACAGATTGCAGTAAAGATGCTGACTAAAACCCACCAAAACCAAAATGGCAACGAGAGTGACCTCTGGTCGTCCTCACTATGACATTCCCACCAGCGCCATGACAGTTTACAAATCCCATGGCAATGTCAGGAAGCTACCCTATATGGTCTACAAGGAGGAGGCATGAATAATCCACCCCTTGTTTAGCATATCATCAAGAAATAACCACAAAAATGAGCAACCAGCAGCCCTCAGGGCTGCTATGTCTATGGAGTAGCCATTCTTTATTCTCAGCTCGCTACAACCTCCGCCTCCCAGGTTCAAGGGATTCTCTTGTCTCAGCCTCCTGAGTAGCTGGGATCACAGGCATGCGCCAACACACCTGGCTAATGTTTGTATTTTAGACAGGGTTTCGCCATGTTAGCCAGGTTGGTTCCAAACTCCTGACCTCAGGTGATCCTCCCGCCTCGGCCTCCCAAAGTGTTGGGATTACAAAGTGTAGGCCAGGCGTGAGCCACCGCACCTGGCCTACTTTCTTAATAAACTTGCTTTCACTTTATTCTGTGGACTCACCCTGAATTCTCTCTGGCAAGAGATCCAAGAACCCTCTCTTGGGGTTTGAATCTGGACCCCTGTCCTGTAACACTGAGACCACCAGGCTGCAGAGAAAGCACTAGTCTTGGTTTCTGAAGCTCATGACCTGGAGAGGACACCTGACAGAAAGGCAGTGTGGTAAGCACACCAGTTGAGAGAAGTACATGGCACTCACCATGTATGCAAGCACAAAAGAGAGAAGGACCAACCTCATCCAGGGCAGTCAGGTGGGGCTTAAAGGACAGGAAGTAGGGTAGCAAAACAGAAGCCAGCCATGTGTCAATTTCTCCACTAAAAAGAATCTCTGACTTAATCATTTAACATTGAAAGAGCCTTGGTTAGGACCCAACTCTTATGTTTCCCTACAAGGTTGCTTCCACTATCCCCAAGATACTGTCATTTTTCAAATGGAAGTGCTGACCACATCTCAGTCACAGACAGGGAGCTGGGGAATCTGGCTCTGTGATGTGATGTGAACTTTGGACAACTGATTGCAAACAATGGAAGTTCTGTGCCAAAGTCTAGCACTCATATCACATTTTCAGCAGTGATGTTCTAAGCATCCAGCAAAAAGAAAACAGAGTAAATGAAAAAAATTACTTCCTAGGTAATATCCATATTATTCCCATTAAATAACAACCAAGGCCCCTGATGCTAAATCCTCAAGAAAAAAAAATTAATAATATATTAAAAATCTTTATAATTCAAGAATAGAGTTTCCATATAAGTCACAAAATAAATTTAATCTATTATGTGTATTATATAAACTATTTTCTTCTTGGGTAAAAAAGGGTTAACAAAATAGATTTCTTCTTTTCTAAGTGAATAAAAACTGGTCCTATAGTTCAAGGAACATGAGGTAAAACAGATTCTATAGATAAATTGGCTAATTACTTACCAAAGCAGTATATTAAGAAAGCTGATTTAATCAAATAATTTACCTCTAAGTACAGAGGTACTTACTATACAAAGGTTCTTTTGATCAATGAGGTTTTGTTGTTGTTGTTGTGCTAGATGCTCAAAAGCACTGCTAATAACATGATATTTCGTAGGTACTACTGAGGTAATATCTAGGAATTATGATCCGTAACTAAAGTACATAAGATACAAAGACTAAATAACACACATAATTCATAAATTCTGATACTGTTTTCTAACAGGAACAACCTAAACCTCTTCTTTTAAACCATGATCAACTTAAATGAGTCCCATTCAAATACCAAAATATGCTCTTTAACATGAGAAGGCTTCCACAATGCTACAGGAATGAGAAAAGAGTTAATGTGAATTCTAAAGGCTTCAACTTTCTTCAAGAGAGCAACCTAGAGTCAGAGAATAATTTAAGTCTGGGAAGACTTTGTAAATCACACCACTTTCCATACACATTATTTCAAAAGGGAGTTATTTCAAAAGGGAGTATTCCAGATTACACCATCTAATTTTCCAATTACAAGTCTCATAATGGTTCTTTATTTCATTTCAGTTAGAGATGTCTAACACTGAGATTTATATTTAGAGCAATGTTGCTACAGCAACAAAAAGGGAAACTCATTCCTGTGATTTTAAACAATTGAACTTTTATAACATTCCTCTATTTGAAAATTATTTCATTTATAGATTAAGTTTTCAATAAAAATATATATTTATATCCCCCTTATAAAGTGTAACAGCTGAAAATATGTAACGACAATGAAGACAAAGAATAACAGAATTGGGGGGGAACAAATAAATGCAAAAAGAGTACTGATTATTACAATCTATATTGACTGGTTTTCAGTGAAATCCAAACAAAGCTAAACTCACTCAGTACCACACACGCAGTAAGTATTGAGATTATATAAATACATATTCTGTGGACAACAATAGGCAGGGGAGTTCTCTCCAGGGAGCCTCAGAAGTTGTCCTGATTTCAGTACAGGTTTTCGAAAGATGCCCGACAATCAGCTGAACTATCGCCATGCAAACCAAAGCAGGTAGTGCAACTTTCCCTTCCCAGTTCTGAAAACATGAAAGTGATAGTATATGTGATACTACTAACCCATACAGCACATCAGTCCCACCAGCTTTGCGTTCCAATCTTGATCATTTTTCATGAGCTGCCCCATCATTCTGCAGGAAATCTGTGCAGCAGTTCCCTAAACTCTCTCCGTACAAACTCTGATGTGTCAGAGTCCTGTTAACTTTCTATGTAGAAAAGAAAACACTGACTAGACACTCCTACTTGCAAGCTGAAAACTAGTCAACACCTCCTTTTAAACAAATATTAACAAAGCCAGACTCCTCTACTATTTTTGTAGGGGATATATACAACTGTTACTAAAAAGAAACCAAATTGTCTATTTCTTCTTTTCATTTTAAAGTTGTTCTTAAGAAGTCCTTTAAAAAAAGTTTTAATTCCCTTTTTTTGTTTTGCAATGAGGCGAACCAATAGGATGTTAGATTTCACAGCTGAACTAACTCATCACATTCTCTCTTCTAACACCCCAGGCAGAATTTCCCTGCAATAAAAATAAAAAAAATCCAGCCTAACTTGTTTAACTTATCCCTGATATGTGTGCTAGTAACATGATTTGGAAGGATCACCTTTATAGGCTAGACATACATCCTTCTGGGAGAAAACCACTTTTGGGTATTTCTTTATGTATGCCTTATGGATACATTTTCATTTGGATTTCACAATAATTCTGAGTTGGGTAGTACTGTCCTCAGTTTAAAGCTGTGAAAATTAAAGTTGTAGAGATTAACAATCTAGCCTAAAATTCCACAGCCAAAGTGGGATCTTAAGAAGTCTGATTCTAAACGTTTATGTCATCAAACAATAGAACCCCTAATCTAATAATGCAGGAAAAGCAAGGTGCCTCAAATTTAGGAGCACTTCACTTCTAAGTATGAATAAATGAATAATGAAAAGTCAAGACATAAGAACCCTTGTTCTAAACAAGCAAAAGACAAACTATCTTTGGCATTCTTATGCTTGTCTGAAACGTTAGACCAATAGACCTTCCTGAATAGAAACTGTATACATAGTTAATTCCAAAAAACAAACAAACAAAAATGATCACTACTTACTTCAGCAATAGAAAACCACCATTCAATCACACCACAATACTGCTGGATTAACAGTTGCCAAAATGCTTTAAAACATCTTTATATGATTTTCTAACCCTATTCTAAATATACTGTAAATGAATAAATTGTACCAGATCCTGCTGAGAAGTTCAAAGTATCTGCTTAGTAAATAGCCCTTCTCTTCCTATCTCTCCTTTTCCAATTATCTTTAGAGCCCTTGCCTCCGCTACACGAAAGCCTAAGCCTGTCTATTTCACTGAAACCAGGATAATAATAATAGCAAACACTTAGAGAGCACTTATTATTTGCCAGATGTTGTTCTCAATTACACACACACATATATAACACACACACACACTGCACATTATACTCATAACAATCAGTGAGATAACTTTCATTTACAGATGAAGAAACTGAGGCACTTAGAGGTTAAACAACTTGCCCAGGATCACAAAGCTACCAAGAGCAGAGAGTGCAGTTTGTAAAAGCCTACTCAACTTTATAATTTCATACTTAGGAAATAAAATTCTAACTTTTAAAAAATGAGTTAAAAATAAAAAGTAAAGCTTGGGCTGTGCATGATGGCTCACGCCTGTAATCCCAGTACTTTGGGAGGCTGAGGCAGGTGGATCACCTGAGGTCAGGAGTTCGAGACCACCTGCATGGTGAAACCCCATCTCTACTAAAAATACAAAAAATTAGCAGGGCATGGTGACAGGCACCTGTAATCCCAGCTACTCAGGAGACTGAGGCAAGAGAATTGCTTGAGCCCAGAAGGCGGAGTTTGCAGCGAGCCGAGATCACAGCACTGCACTCCAGCCTGGGCGACAAGAGTGAAACTCTGTCTCAAAAAAAAAAAAAAAAAAGTAAAGCTTGGCCCGATTGTTAATGGTGGGAATCCACAGAAGATGGAATTTACCTTCTGAGCTTAATGACTCTAAAGAGTGGAGGGAGGGGAGCTGCAATGCTTCACTAAGAAGTTACATCAGAATTTAAGGCAGGGATGAGATTTCTGAGTTTAAGGATCAGATGTGAATTTTAAAAGATGGAGAAAAACTTTGAAAAAGGCTGTATCTCAAAAAAAAAAAAGGTAAACATTAAGTGTTAGAGTTGTGTAGAAATAATATGGAGGGAGAAGAAAGGACGCTAGTCAGTTTCCCCATTACTGCCTGGAAATAGCTCTGTGGTACAACACAGTAAAAATATTGCAAGTAAACAGCTGTAAGATTGTTGGTATTATAGACGAAAGAAGGAAGGAATAGTTGGGATCGTTGAAAAGATCAGTTCCTGAAAAAGATGGACAATGGATGGTTGGTGAACAGGGAGCTGGGTGAAAACAAATCAAAGAGGCTGCACATCACCACCCTGCAGAATCCCATCTCAAACCACCTGTGAGCTATCAGCTCACACCCAATCATCAGCTGACAGCACTGCCTCACTCTAGTAACACCTCACTTGCCTACCTGATTTGACCTTCAACCACAGAAATCTCAGCCAACATTACTTGGTGACTGGAGGTTGTAGCTGCCACGTAGTTGAAATGGGTAATAGGAAAAAGTCCCCACTCTCATTTTAATTGAAAAATCTTTTCAAATGTTCATTCCCACAGGAACATCATTATGGTTTATTTCTATTAGTATAGACGTACAACTGATGTTCATGTTCTAGTCAATCCAACTTTCATCCACTCATCTGTGACTTATCTCTGTGGAAGGACAGACTTAGAGGAAGCTACTTAATAACTCTGAGCCTTAGCCACAGTCCACTCCCCAGCCACTCGCCCCTCCACCCTACTTTTGTTAAAAGGAAGGTCCTTACCAGGAAAGTTATCAGATAAAATTATTCATCATTAAGAAAAAGTTTCCAAAATACTTTAGGACTCCATAGGTGAAAGTATACAAATGCTGTTATTTCCACGTAATTTCTTAGCTTAGTCACTACTGCAAAGTCCCACATACATAAAGCCTACAGTTGGTCTCACAGTAATAAATATTGTCTGCCTCTGTTGTGGCAACAAAAGACTCTCATGTTGCTGCATGTACAAAGAAATATTGTAAGGTGTTAAGAAAAGCTTTCTTCTTGCACATTTCAAGAGAAGTGTGGAAATAACAAGTCCAACACACAGCTACAGTAAAATCTTTGGATTTATACTACCTGGTAGTACACGAAGAAATTATACAATATTAGAAATAAGACAATTCTTAAAACAAATGGAACCATTTAAAAATATAGAAAATAATGGTTTTAAAATAGTTGGGTGGGAAGAATATTTCAAAACAAGTCATGAACCAAAAAAAACTAAACAAAACTATCAAATTTGACAAACCACTGATATAACAGCAGACACTGTAGACAAAGTTTAAAAACTCACTAGAAGAAAACATCTGCTATATATGTAAAATATACATCAATAATATCCAAATAGAGTAATAACTCCTATTAATTAGTAAGAAGGACAGCTCTTCCTAAATTACAAATGATGTGAGCATACAATTCATAGAAGAAATGCAAATGGCCAACAAAAATATGGGGTAATACTAAAGCATCTTTCTAATCAGGAAATGCAGATAAAATTATTTCATATTGGCACAAATTTGTAAGAATGATAATGCTGAATGCAGAGAAATAGGTAGTCCCAAGCTACCGTAATGTGGGTGTGTAAAATGGCAGAGACTTTTTTATTTTTTATTTTTTTTAACAGACAGGGTTTCACTCCATCATTCAGGCTAGAGTACAGTGGCATGATCATAGCTCACTGCAAACTCAACCTCCTGGGCTCAAGCAATCCACTCAACTCAGCCTCCTGAGTAGCTGGGTCTATATAGGCACACCCCACCACCCCCAGCTAATTTTTAAAATTTTTTGTAGAGATAGGATCTCCCTTTTTTTGTCCAGACCGGTCTCCAACTCCTGGCCTCAAGCAATCTTTTAGCCTTGGCTTCCCAAAGTGCTGGAATTAGAGGTATGAGCCACCTCACTCGGCCACAAAGACTCTTTTGAGAGCAATTTAGTAGTGTCCACTGTAACTTAAAATCCATATACTTTCTGAACCAATAACTCTACCTGTAAGAAACAAATACTTGCTTATATATGATTAGCATACTAAGATGTTTACCATAGCAAAATATTTGAAACAATTTAAATATCAGTCACCAGGAGACTAAATGAATGAATTATAGTTCACCTTTCACCTATCCTATAAAATTTTAATAAAGGAAAATCTGCACATAGTAACACAAAAGAGGTTTACAAGATCAGTGAAAAAAAATGGAAAATAATATATATAAAAGGTGTATATCATGAGGAAGAGCAGTTTCATCAGTAGAAGAGAGTGGAAGCTATAAGGAGAGAGGTTGGTAGATGGTGTCTTTCCTATCTCATTCTACATATTTCCAGATTGAGTGCCTGATTATTTTACAAAGAGGGTGTATTTGTTTATTACTATTAATAATAACTGTGAGGGAAAAATGTGTTTCAGGTATTTTATTCATTTATGTATTACATATTCCGGTGGACTCTATGGAAGATATAGAAAAAAATACTGAGACACATGCCAGAGTACCCCATTCTGGTCTGAAGGCAGAGTTAAGCACTCCAGGCGTGACTGGACTTGCTCTTAGGCTGATGGCTGCAGGAGGGAAGGCAAAGGGGAGAAGACAGGGGAGGGGTGAGAGTTGGCGAGCAGAGGTGAAGGTGCAACTGGTGATACCTTTTTCAGAGAATGGCTGCCCAGTCTGAGATACAAAACAGTGAAGGCACAGGAGGTCTCTGAAAGGAGAATCAGTTACTGAGAATATAGTCAGAAATTATACTGCGTGAAGAGTCTCCTTGTTCAAAGTTTAATTGCCACAGAACAAAACAAATGGTTTTGTCAGCATTTGTCATGAATCCAGACACAGGACAAGAGTAGAATGGTAGAATGTGCTAGGTAAGCTGAGATGTAAACTACAAATGCCATAAATCTCTCCATACAAATGCTTTTTTGTGTATCTCCTCCTCTACCACTATCTGCTCTCCCAGTCATCAGATCTCCTGCCTTCCTGTAAGTGCAGTTGCTGAGCAGCTGAGGTTCAATCTTATTGTTGGCTGGGATCTAGGGGATCAGGTTCTGCTCTGACAAGGAATTTACTGGTATCTGTTCTCACAATTGGCTAAGAATTGAATATAAAACTCCTAGAATCTACCTTCTCCTACCTGAGCATCCTAAAAACATATAAAGAGATTCCTAATTATAGTTATACTGCTATAACATTTAAGTATTATATATAATCTAACTTCTGCTGATCTGAGTCACTGTTTAAGGACAGAAAGCTTCTGCAACTCTTAATCTGTAACATGCTAACCTTAAGAAATTAGACTTTTTTAAAAGGTTTTCACTATCAGCCTTTCTTTCTAGATTCAGAGCTCTAGATAAGAATATACCCCAAAGCACAGAGATATGTAACTCGATGAAAATAAATTCAATAAGCATCATTTCTACATTATTTATATGTAAGGTAAATCCATTATATTATGAAGACCTTAAGTAATTTGGTGTTTTAAAGTATTCAGTTTTGAAAACTTTTATAATCACTACATATATGTAAGGACATAAACAGAACAGTTTTCACTTTAAAAATCAAATTCATACAAGATACCTTCAAAATTTATTAAAGCAGGACCTCCAGTAACTCAGATAAAAATAAAATCAACAAATTATAAGGAATAAATACAGTTTTTCAAGTTTCTTTGAAATTTTATGACTTGTTGGTTTCTGAAAGAATCCTATTTCTTCTTACCTTTATGCTATTTTCTGTCCCAGCCAATAGCCTACCTGGACAACATATACCAACATAAGTTCATTAAATAAGTAGGTGCCTTTAGACTTCAAAATATAAAAGAATATATATTCCTATATATGGTTTCATATATGGTTATGGTTGTATATGGTTGTATACCCTGTATATGGCTTCACTAGATTGTATTTGGTAGGCTTTGGTAGGCAGCTATGGTAAGGACAAAAAACAAGATTTAGGAATCAGTAGGAGGCAAGGAATCTACATAAACCTAGGTTCAAATATTAGCATCAAAACTGGCTAGCAATTTCAGCTTGGGAAAATGATTTAACTTCTGTGCAACTCAAGTTTTCTCATCTATAAAACAGAATCATAGGTATTACTAGACACCTATTCACACAGTATTCTTATAAGCACTAAATACGATAATAGAGTATAATTAAGATTATGTAGTAGGCTCTCAAGAAATACACTGGCTTCCTAGACACTTCAATTAAATCAGCAAATTCTTATCCAGAACATGCAATAAACGTCAAAATCACAACACTATACACTACAGAATTTCACATCATCTCACAACAATCTTACTACTGTCTTTATGGATCATCATCCTCTTCTTATTGATTTTTTAAAAATAAATTTCAAAGAACATAACCTAGCCCAAGATTTCTGTAAGCAAGGAAACAGCAGAGCTGGAATTTGGCCCGGATATTCTAATACCTTTTCCACTGTACAAAATTAAGAGGTAAGGGTGAATCAAACCCATACAGTCTCCAACATCAAGGAACTAGGACAGGACATAAGATAAACAGATGTGATTTCTTACTATATCAATTCCAGAAAAAGAAAAACCAAAATAAAATGTCCTTGGCTGTTTAGGATCAAGCCGTTCACTAAATAAACTGCATAAAAGTCCCCTATATTGTAAATTAGAAAAAGGTACAGAGAAATTTTCATTCTTCTCAAGGTGATGGTATAAATCAATACAAGGTCAAAAATAAGAGCTTGGGCCGGGCGCAGTGGCTCAGGCCTGTAATCCCAGCATTTTGGGCGGGCAGATCACCTCAGGTCAGGAGTTTAAGGCTGGCCAACATGGTGAAACCTCGTCTCTACTAAAAATACAAAAAATTGGCCAGGCGTGGTGGTGTGCACCTGCAGTCCCAGGTACTCAGGAGGCTGAGGCAGGAGAATCGCTTTAACCCGGGAGGCAGAGGTTGCAGTGAGACGAGATTGGGCCACTGCACTCCAGCCTGGGTGACAGAGTATGACTGTGTCTCAAAAAAATAAAAAATAAGAGCTTGGGAGCTCTTGCCTTTCTCTGATACTGTAGGTTACTACACAGTGGAATGCTCTAATTCCGTTTACCCTGAACATAATCAGTTTTTCTTGATAAGTATGGACTGGTACCATGAATACGGCCTAAGGAATAAAATCAGATATACCTTAATACACGGCCTAATATTCATATAAGAAGTTCCATTTTTCATGAAAAAAAGTGATCTAGAATTCTTAGTAACTACTTTCATATCACTGTGGTCTCTTTAATTTGACCAGGGAGTTTAAGAGTATTTTTTCAGGTTGTGAGGCCACATTTTTTAAGGCAATGGAAATTACAGGTATGATTCACATGTGTAATGCTTTTCATTCCTATAATAGAACAGGGCCAGTCACAGAGTGAGTCATCAGCAGGAATAAATGGGTGGAGAACACCAAAGACAACTGCTCTGAACCACTGGAAAAAATTTTCATTCTGGGTTTGTTCATAATCACATGGCCTCCCACTTAAAGTTGCTTATTTAACTGTAGTTTACAGCTGGTATGGACAACTGCTTTAGTTACAGGATCACCATGCATGCCCCAGTGGGCTTTAGGAACCACACTCAACACAACCACACTAACCCAACACCATCCCAGAAGGGCTCTGCCGCTACCACCACCATCGCTGCACCCCTCTCCCTGCAGCCACACCCAGGAGTACAGATGAGCAAAAGGAAAGGCACACATTAAATGTTAAGTGTGTGGGGTGCCCGCAGACTTCTCTCTGAGGCTTAATTCCTCTTGGTAAAAAGATCTTCAAACCTGTTTTAGCTAAGGACTCATTCTCCCAGTCAATACCCAAAACACAACATGTAAAACAGACAGAGATAAAGTAGCTCTGACTGGAGTCAGAGGAGAAGAGTTTACCCACTAGAGAATATCACCTTGGGTTGATCATCTCCATACCTCAACTTTCTGTATCGTTCCAATTTTAGTATATGTGCTGCCAAAGCAAGCACCATACCTTAACTTTATAGTGAACTCTTGCCTTGTCCACTTGCTTGTCCTGAAAACCAAAGGCAAACTTTGAAGAACTGGACACCTTTCTGAGATCTCCTTACAGACATTTTAAAAATAATATACGCTTCTTTATTGCCTACTATGAGAAGAGTGGTCTCAAACTTTCAAATTCCACAGTCCCTCCTATCTATCTTCATGAGAAAGTAACATAGTCACCTTCTAGTCCCTAAGACAAAAAAAAGAAAATATGCAAAAGAAAAGAAGAGGAAATGCATTTTTCTTTGTTTCCACACTTTTATTAAGAAGTAGATAAATTATCTAACAAAAATCAGGGCTAGTAAAGAAGAAAGAATGAATGATGTGCCAATAGCAACAGACACATACTGAGGAAGTTTTCCTAATAGCTAATTCTGTGTGGTAAAAACAATCACCCTGAGATAGCACTGATGGGAGACTCCACTGGTATAACCTTTCCAGAATTTGGCAATACTGAGCAAAAGCTTTAAAAGTGTTCATAATGTTTTGTGTTCTATAAGCCAATGTCTCATATTTATATAGCACTGACTATATGCCAGGCCCTGTCCCAAGCATTTACATTTTTCACAACAGCAGATGGTTATTGTTCCTCTGTTACAGATTTTAAAAAGAGGCATTCAGAAGTTAAGTAATTTGTTCAAGGCCCCAGAATCCATGCTCTTAACCCCCAATGCTTCAGGTTCTGGAATCTAAAAAAAAATCCAAACTTCAGATGAAGATCAAAACAAGAAAATATTTATTTTAACATTAAATGCAAGTCATGCCTGTTAATAGTCAATATTTTTTAGCTATTATTATTAGCTACTAGTAGAAAAACATCCTAAACATCCAAGAATAGAAAAATTATCAAGTCAGTTATCATAGAGCCACAAAAAAAGATTACGCATTGATTAAATAGACGTCACCAATAGGGAAAAAATGCTTGGAAGTGCCTAAGAAAAAAGATTATAAGGGGATATGCCAATATAACATTAGTAATTAAATGTAGGTGGTAAGATAATCAGTAATTTTTATTTTCATCTTTTTTCTTCCAATTTTTCTTCAAAGAATATCTATTTTTTAACAATTATTTTTTTACAGCAGGCATTCTTGTGATATTTTGGTTTTGAGAATCTCTCAATTTGTACAATACTTTTTAAAATGTGTGACACTACTGCTGGTGTCAGCTTGAACATACAGGGTTAAAGCTGCAATCCCAGGTTCAGGCAGCCATTTAAAATGCTATGGAATTTTTCCCAAGAGATAATAAGCCACTGGGTTCCCTCAGAGAATAGAGAACCACCATGTGGCCCATTACCTACAGACCAAGTGAGCATTTAGCAGCTTCTGTATAACTACGAAATTAAACTTAGAAACTAAAATTTTTTTCCATAATGAAGTAATTTCAAGACTCCTAAAGCCACAGGTATGACTCAGGGATCTGCTCCAGGCCAAAATCATTCCAAAATAAAAGAGAAGAGAGGAGGGTAGAATAGGGATATTATAGAATTTTAAACTTCAGGCATCACCTGACACCTGACTAGAAAAGCTCAAAGCAAATTACTAAAAATGTAGAAACTCAGTCTACACTTTTTGCATACAAATCTCTATAAGTTAATAATGGCTTGAATCACAACTCTTATGAAGCTTAGATTTCCATGCTTCTAAAGCTTGTATCAAGCACACAAGTGGGTCTCCAGTATTTCCAAACTATTCTTTTTTTTTTTTAATGGGCCAGGCTTTTTAACAAGGTAGCATTCCATTCAGTCAACAAGCATCTCTTGAAAACCCACTAAGCACCAGGCAAGTGCTAAGCACTGGCAATACAAAAAGGCATCATGAGTCATCCTGTCTTAGTCCAATGGGAGACAGACTAGGAAGCCAGAATTTGCAAAACTGCATGGTAAGTGCTATGACAGAACTATGCAAAAAGAGCTTGGCTTGATTTTATGCTTTTTTTTTTTAAATCAAGGTACAACTAACATAAAATAAGTAAATTTTAAGTGTTCTGTTCAAAAAGTTTTGAGAATTGTTTGCATCCTGTAACCCGCACCCAAAACAAGATAAAGAACATTTTCATCCCCCAACAAAGTTATCTTGTGCCTCTTTGCCATTAATACCCACCCCCACTCCCACAGGCAACCTGATTTCTGACACTGTAGATTGATTAGCTCTGGTTGTTCTATGTTTCACATAAATATATGCATGCAGTCATTTGAATCTAGCTTCTTTCACTCAGCATAATACATTTGGGACTCATCCACACTATTACATGTACCAGTGATTTGTTCCTTGTGATTATGGAGAGGCATTTGACTGTATGGACTTACCAGTTTGTTTATTCAATCACCTACTAAGGCTGTTTGGACACTTTCCAATACAATAGCAGTTTGTATTACTATAAACAAGATTGAGTTTTTTTGTTTTTTTTGTTTTTTTTGAGACGGAGTTTTGCTCTTGTTGCCCAGGCTGAAGGGCAATGGCACGATCTCAGCTCACCGCAACCTCTGCCTCCCGGGTTCAAGCAATTCTCCTGCCTCAGCCTCCTGAGTAGCTGGGATTACAGACATGCACCACCACACCTGGCTAATTTTGTATTTTTAGTAGAGACGGGGTTTCTCCATGTTGGTCAGGCTGGTCTCGAACTCCTGACCTCAGGTGGTCCACCCGCCTCGGCCTCCCAAAGTGCTGGGATTACAGGTGTGAGCCACCACAAGACTGAGTTTATCTATCTGTTTCATCTCTTTGATTTGTATTTGTGTGGTTTTACGTAGGAGGCAGTGATATGGCGAGTATAAGGTAGAAGAAGGCATAACTGTGAGAGTGGATATGGTATGCAATGCATACAGAAGAGTCATGAATGGCTACACTAGAATAAAACACCTACAAAGATATGCCATGCTAAAAAGCTGGGAGTCTATCAGGAAGGCAACAGAAAACAGTGAACAGAACATTCAAATGGCTGCATATAAGCATTTTCCTCTCAGTTTAGAGAGCACCAACTTCAAAGGCAGAAATACCAGACCTCAAATCCCCACTCTGCTACTAACTCTATTGGCTAAAGCAACAGTCTTATTAAAGACTCCCTAAGATTTATTTGCATCATCTGTAAAATAGGGATAAATAGCACCCATTTCAAACACTTGCATAGAAGCTAAAAAGAAATAATGAATGTTATGCACCTAAGAGAATGCTTAACATAAAACTGTAGTTCTTCTTAGTGCTATTTGATAGACTTAAATGCATTGATCTCAAATATTTCCTGCAATCTAGTAATGGCAACATCAGAGGCATCCTTCTGGCTTCTGCTAATCTCTATCTACTTTAGTAACCACAGAATTATCAAATGGGACTCCAAGAAACCTATTGTTTTAAATTAAGTTAACCAAAGTTCTCTGGAGAAAATGTTTAGGAAAAAAATGAAATGAGTAAGCACAAGTTAACAAAATGAGGTTTGGAAGTGGCAACAGGACATGTATCATGGAGGCATATTCATTAACTAGACACTTGTTCATAGTTATGTCTACCCTTAAAACACAACTGATTGTCCAGTTAGAGTAACAGCATAACAGCATAGCCAGTGAAATGTCCATGGTTCCAAAATGCAGCCTAGAACAAAGAACACAGTAATGCTTCTTAAAATGGAGCTTTTTGTTTACATGAGCCATTTTGGAAATTCACTTCATACCACTGATAATGAAATTTTCAATTACAAAAGAAATGACTTTCGGTTTCTTTTAGCAATAGGAATAAGAAAGAAACTGAAGAATATATAGTGATAGATGCCATTCCAAGTGATCTCTGGTAAGAGTAAAGTAACTTATTTATAAAGTACAACTTCTAAAAGGAAATCAATTAATTCAACAAAAGAAATACGTAACTTATTTGTAGATGCTAACCTTTTAAAAAGTGTAAACAAAATAAGTAACATTCATAATAAAGGCAGATTTCTGTCTGAATTTATACAATTTTTCTATGAAATTTTATTTCTGCGATGGGGTCTGTGTGACTGATTCTTTCTAAGTTCTATGTTCTTAATTGAGAGATCCAGACTTCATTTAATCTACTTTAGCATGTCATCTATCACAGGTCCTTGAGAGTAAATGTGCTCAATTGCTTCTAAATACAGACCATTCTCATTATCACTAGTTTCTCCCACATGGCAACCTCATAAATATTTATTAGCAAAATATAGACAAAATCTGCTGAATTACAGAAACTGAAGATATAGCCCCTGAAAAGATCCAAGAGCTATGTAAACACAGCCACTAAAATAAAAATGTTACATATATTAGAGCTGGATTCAAACAAATCAACTCTTAAAAAAAATTAAAAAATTAAATCTTTGACCCATGAATATTTTAGTGTGGTAAAATAAATGACTTCATGGTTCCAAGATAAATTTGTAAAACCTAAAAATATTTTCTAACAGTCAAAACTAGATATGGATAAAGTATTTAAATTAAACATATGTTCTTTAGTTCATAAGTCCTGAATAATTTCAGTTAGTATAAGTTATTCAGAAGTTAGGTACTCTTCAGAATCAGAAAGGAATGAGATAAACAACAGGATTATAAAGAAAATATAATTGGATTATCCCTTCTATTTCACTAGCTTATAGTAATACCAAGTAATGTCTATTTTTTTCAGCTCCGAAGTACATTCCAGGACTATAAAAAATACCAGAAAATGTATGAAATGTATAAAACATATATAAAGTATATATTCCTTGCCATCAAGTCATTTCAAATCTAATGAAGAAAATAAAAAAAAAAAAAACAAGACATTAGACACTAAATAGGAAACCGGTTGACTACATGCAGAATAGGGACTGAGAGAAGAGTTACCAGTGTAACCCTGAGTACTTGTAACAGACCTGTGGGCACGCAGGAGGAGTTGTACAGGAGTTGCACAGTTGTGGGTAGCTAGAAGCTCAGAGACTGACTTTGATTATGTAAAATTTAAGAAGACAATTGTAGGTAGCAGTAGCAGAAATACACAAATGGAAATGAGCATAATGTGAGACAAGGAAACTAGTATTAATAAAATCACACTGCATTGGCAGAATACTTTCATGTAATTACCCCACTTTACATTCACATATACTCTGTAAGTAAGGCAGATACTTACATTTAAAGATGAAGAAACTGAGGTACTACTCAATGAGAGCAGCTTATCCTTATCACTGATCTCGTAATCAAGGCTTGATCACAGGTCTTCAGATTACCAAATCCCCTATTCTTGCTAAACACTACTAGCTCAGAGACTGACTTTGATGATGTAAAGTTTAAGAAGACAAAAATTTTGGTAGACTTTAAGGCAAGTATTATAAAATAATATTTTGAAATTTATTCCCATTTTCTCTTTTGCCTTTTGGCATGAAGTGTTTATCAGCCTAAAAAAGAGATTATAGAAATTCTATAAAAAGACAGGAATAACCATTTCTGGTTTATAAAATAGGATTATTCAGCAAGACACATAGCCTTGCTAGCCATACTATTGCCTGGAAAGATGTTTCCAAATTGCTTTTATTTCTGTCTCCCTTCCCTGCCTCCTTTTAATCAGGGGCCTGATCTAGCTCTTCTCCAGGGTAGAAAAGACACGCCACTTCCAGCGATGACAGCAGAGCCATAGGGCTAGCTAAAAGGAGGATATGATATAGTATATGTAGGAGAAAGACGACGGAGTCAAGAGGGGAGTCAAGACTAATTTTTCCTGTTCAGGCTTTGGCCCTGAGAGGAGGAGGTGCATTCAGTGAATAAGGAGTGATGTGGAAGGCACAGGGGGCTCTTGACCCACTCCCTATCTGGTACCGTGTAAAGGAGGCTACCCTTGGTTCTGCTTGGTACAGACCAGACACAGAAGTGTCTGTGTGTCTGGCTGGGACACCTCCCAGAGGGGTCATCCTAGCAGGGAGAGGGGGCTCTCTAGCAAGGGATACAGAGAAGATCACATGGGCCAGGAACAATCAAGCATCCCAGAAAGACTGCAGATGGGTGTGGAGCACTAGTGGAAAGCCAAGGGGAAGTCACATCAATGTGGGACACGGCCTGAGTCACAAGAATGGGCCAGAGTTCACTGGTAGCTGACTTAAGAATCAGTGGCCCACAAGGTGCCAGGCATCCAAGACAGAAAAGGGGTACAAATCACCCAGGAAGCAGGGGTCCTAAAAGCCAGGATAAAGACGCTGGCAGGAATGAGCACAGTGTTTTCCCCAGAAATGCAAGGTTGCAAAAGCCACATCTCTCCCTCAAGACACGCAGAGAAAAAGAGAGGGAGAGGAAGCTGCCTTCAACAACCAAGCATTTTTATCTAAGACAGAACAAAGATCAGAGGAGACTGTTCGATTTGCCACATCAGACTATGCTTTAAAACAGATTCAATTTTAGTACATTTTCTCACTAATCAGAAGGTGAAACTCATAAAGATGACTAGATCAGCCATAAAAGACAATATTTTCTCTGCATTTCCAAGTTCAATCATGAATTAAATCTTTCAAGCCTAGTACACAGGGCAGAAAAGTTGGTTTTATACAGAGAACAACAAAGAGTCATGGTCTTTTTTCAAGAGAAGTATTAATAAGACAAAAGCTCTCAGCAACTGTATGTGATACTGGATGAATCAATGCCTTGCAGCAAGCTCAGTCTCATTCCAGAAAGGGCTAAAATACTCATTCAGACTATTTTCATTTTAAAGCAAAGGAACAGAGATGGTTCCAGGAAGAAAAAAAAATACACTTTTAGAAAAGCAGGACTTCAAACAATGCAACTTTAAACAACTGAGAAACAGTGACAGATGGCCCTATTATGTATACACTAGAAATGGGATTTATTTTTTTCAGGAAAGGCTTTGAGAGTTGAGGCTAAAACACTGACAGTCTGTACATGGCATGTCATCTGCCAGTAAACATCAGATGTCCCTACAAACCCAAGTGTTTATAATAATGGGGAAAGAATGGCTGAAGTTTTATGTGAACACAAACGTAAATCACAACATTCTGAAATGCACAGTTTCTAACCATTCTGTTTATGGTGCAATATACAGTGTGGCCCAAGTTCTGGCAAACCACATAGCTCTTTTCAAATTGACAGTATAAGGAATATGATGTGAGCTGTGGACTCACAGCTGTGAGCTGTGCTACATTTCCTAGTAAAAGAAACCCTGATTCTGATGGGGACACATGGTAGCCTGGAATAAAACTACACCTCCCCAGCCTTACTTTCAATAACAAAGTTCCAGTAAATGAAATAAAAGCTAATGTGTTATATGGCAGCTTCTAGAAATTTTCTTTGTAAGACATCTGGCATGAGCCCCTTGCCCCTTCTTCCTTCCCTCCTCCTTTCTACTGGCTGGGGACACAGACCCGATGAATATGGCTCAAGCAGCCATCTAGGACCACAAAGCAGCAGCCTAAGTCTGCAGGAACAAGAAGTAAGGAGCCTCTGTGGATGGTGGCTATAACCATGCCAGTCCTGGACTGCCTCCTGCTGGACTTCTCTCAAGTAAGAGAAAAGTAAACTTCCTTCTCTTAAAGTTACTATTGTTTCATTTTCATGTGCAAAATAGAACCAATATTAGCCAACCTAATCCTACCCACAAATACAATGCTTTCCAACAAACCTACTACTAAGAGCTCTTTGAAATGGAAAATTTCCCAGGAAAGAAACAACTACCATTAATACAGCACAAAGTAAAGAACTTGGTATAATCAAGCGCGTACAACTGTAGCAGAAACTTTTCCCCATATCCTTGTATCCTTCTTTCTCAAAGAAACAAATTCTCTAATTATTAGCTAGGTGCAAATACACAAGGAATAAATACACATTTCCCAGCCTTCCTTGAGCTAGATGTGGCTATGTTCCAGTTCAGCTGTGGCCATTGAGATGAGAACAGAAGTGACTGTGCTACTTCTGAGGAGGGCCCTTGAAGGGGAATACAGTGCCTTTTTTTGTACTTCTTCAATCCAGATGGCTGGAATGCAGATGTGGTGGTGAAACATCTAAAAAAACATGTAAGAGTAACAACCTAGATGGCAAAGCAATGTGACAAAAGGAACCTGGGTCCCTGTTCCAGTTACTATGTGACAAACTACACTGGAATTCAACTATGAAAACCAACCATTTTTTTATGTTCAAGAATTCTGTAGGTCAGAAATTCAAACCAGGTACAAGGGGGGCAGGTTGCTGCTGTTCCATGATGTCTGGGCCTCAGCTAGTAACACTCAACAGCTGGGTGGCTTGACCACTGGGGACTGGAATCATCTGGAGGCATCCTCACTCACATGGCTGGTGGCTGATGTTAACTATTGGCTGGAACCTCATTTGAAGCAGTCAGCGAGAACAGCCACAGGTGTCATCTACATGTGGCCTGACTTTCTCACTGAATGGCAGCTTCAAGGTAGTCAAACTACTTTGTGGTAATTCAAGGTTCTAAAAGCAACGGACCCAGCAGCAAGGCAGAGGCTGCATCACCTTTCCTGACATAACCATGAAAGTCATGTGGTATTCTACTGGTTACAAGAGAGCCAGGTGCCCAACCAGATTCAACCAGAGTGCACAATGGGAAAAGCAGCAAAGAAGTTGCACACATGTTTTAAAACCCATACAGCGCCTGACCCTGAGCATCATACCAGCCCTGGCTGACCTCATGAAGCTGAGCTGCATTATCATCCTGCACTCCCCACCTCTCGACTGCTACATAAGTGGAAATACAAATGATCATTTAAAGCCACTATTATTGTGGGTCACTGCAGCAAATTTATAAAGAATACTTATGTACCCCAATATTTAAAAATAAATCAGCCCAGGCGCAGTGGCTCACGCCTGTAATCCCAGCACTCTGGGAGGCCGAAGTGGGCGGATCACTTGAGGTCAGGAGTTGGAGAGCCTGGCCAACATGGTGAAACCCTGTCTCTATTAAAAAGACAAAAAAAATTAGCCAGGCATGGTGGCACATGCCTGTAGTCCCAGCTACTCAGGAGGCTGAGGAAGGAGAATTGCTTTAATCGGGGAGGCAGAGGTTGCAGTGAGCCATGATTGCACCACTGCACTCCAGCCTGGGTGACAGAGTGAGAGACTCCATCCCAATAAATAAATAAATAAATCAAAAACCACAAGTAGCAAAAACGTCTATCTCAAGAAACTAATTTTACAGCTACAGGAATGACTTTGTAGTTTTAATTTATTTGATATTATTAACTGCTGGCATATTTTTTTCCATTCAAAATTTTTAATGACTATCAGAGACCTCTAATATATTACAATCCCTTTGTCAGTCATTTGCATGCTGCCAGTTTCCCTTCCTGGTTTGGTGCACTAAGGGGTTTCTGAGCTCAGACAATAAAGATGCTGACACAGCCAAGGAACTGCAGCCTGAAAACAAAGAGTTCCAGAGGCGCGTGTGAATCTGACTGGATGTGTCCTAAAGCCTCTCATTAAACAGCTACTCCCCATCAAAGACACTACACTCTAGGCAAGGCAAAGAGCACTCCTTCCACCTGCCATTCTTGTCCTCTAAGCAAAGTGAGTCCTTGAAGAATCTAATAGTTTCACAGAATCATTTTGTGGTCCAACCATAGAGTATGCACTGCATATGTCAAAATCCTTTTATTTTTTAAATTAACAAATAATAGGATTTCTATCTCCTTATACCCACTCAAAAAATAAAAGCATATAAAGGATATTTTGGTTCTTCCATGTCCCCCAAAAGCAAAAAAGAAAATAACTTTGAGAGAACACAAATTTAAAAGAAAATTGCACAAGTCTGAACATTTCTAAATATATTCAAAGACACATATCTAACTTTGAAATATGTACCTAGAGGCAAATAATTTAATAGCAAATCCATAGAATGAACTGCTAAGAAATGCCACATGATTAAGCCATGTTTTGGGGTAATATGGGTAAGGACATTAAACAACTTTGAGAATGAATTATTAAAATACACCTTTTAATGTATCTTATTTAAAACTTATTTAAAATTAGTTTCCAGCATCTCTTAATACTACTTTATTTTTTGTATGTCTCTCCATGTGTATCAGCCACTAAACCCCAGTAAGACCCACTGTGTAATGATGCTTAATCTTCTTCCTTTTTAAACTCTAATGTGTATCAGCTTTCAGATATTTATGAGCTCAGATCTTTTGGCCAGAATTTGGTTAAGTAAAAAGCAAGCTGATCAGGCCATAGATAAAGGCATTTGGTGCCAGGGTAATTATAAATACAAGCAAGTATTATATTTGCCCCCAGCTCTTGCCCATAAGGTGGCTGAAAATGCATCCTTGATTTTCCCTTATTCTGTCAATATAGGAATTACTACCTTGAATACTACTAAACATATCTTTAAGTAATAAAAGGTAGCATTTGCTGAGCACTTATTATATGCCAGGAATTGTTTTGAGTACTTTTCATGTATTAAAGTCATCAGATCCTTCAATAACAACATAAAGTGGATAGTATAATTAAATCTCCCTTTTATGGATGAGACTGAGATTAAACAAAAAAAAGTGTAGTGAAACTGCACAGACAACTCATGTGGTGGTTTTAAAACATGTCCATACATGGAAACTTCTCCCTTCAAGAGCTAATTCCAATCACTGTGCATGTAGGGACACTAATTAATGGAATATAACTAAAGTAACTGTGTTAGAGTTCTGAGACTAGGTCATAAAAAGCAATGTGGTTTCTTTCTTGATTTCTACATCACTTACCCTGGGGGAAGCCAGTTGCCATGTCTTGAAGACACTTAAACAGCACTGTGGAGAGGCCCACGTGGCAAGGGAGGCCCTCCTGCCCTCTGCCAGTGAGTGAGCCATCTTGGAAGCAGATCTTCCAGCCCCAGTCAAGCCTTCAGAGGACAGCAGCCCTGGGCAACATCTGAACTTTAACCTTACTCTCACTTAAGCCACTCCCAAATTCGTGGCCCACAGAGTTATTAAACGCTTACTGATTTAGCTGCCAAGTGGGGGGCAAATTGTTATACGGCTAGAAATAACTAACCCAGCTAACAAGTGACTGAGCCAGGATCAAACCCAAGCAGTCCAGTACTGAAAGCTGCTACTGGTCAGATAAATGCACACCATGTTATGTTGGTGCAAAAGTAATTGTGGTTTTTATCATTGATAATAGGAATTTAACCAAGCTATAATTTTACTAAACACCACAAATGTTTTCAAATTCCAACTACACAAGTTAAACAGCATAGTAGAGTGGTTCTCAGCCCTTCTCAACATTAAAATCATTTGTACAACTTTTTACAGATGCCCGGGTTTCATCCTCAAAGAGTGAACAGGCCTAGGGTTGGGTCCTAGCATCTTAACCCCAGGTTAGGAACCTATTAAAAAAAAAAAATAAGCTTGACTTCTCACAACTGTGCTCAAATTTCCTTCTGACAACTAAGATAAAGATTATTCGGTTCTACTCACTTGATACTTCAAGTCAAAAAAGAAGAACTTACATCACAATCACTTTTTACCAAATAATTATATATAGAAACTTGATTTATGAATCTGAATACAGCTTTTGCTTTCACTACACATTAGTGGTTATTTAGTGCACCTTATAGCTGAGTATCCAAAACCCCAAAAGCAATTTCTATTAGTTAACCAATCTTCTGCCTCATCATGGCACAGATGTCAACTTTAAACAAGACTCCAGAAATGTTTTTTTTTTGAGACAGAGTTTTGCTCTTGTTGTCTAGACTGGAGTGCAATGGTGAAATCTCAACTTAATGCAACCTCCACCTCCCGGGCTCAAGCAATTCTCCTGTTTCAGCCTCCTGAGTAGCTGGGATTACAGGTATGCGCCACCACGCCCGGCTAATTTTTTGTATTTTTAGTAGAAACAGGGTTTCTCCATGTTGGTCAGGCTGGTCTCGAACTCCGGACCTCAGGTGATCCACCCGCCTTGGCCTCCCAAAGTGCTGGCGTGCCCGACAAGACTCTAGAAATTTTAAAACAGTTTCACATAACTTGAAAGTGAGAAGGGGCTTTAGAAATCATCTCAGAATGGCCTACTTGCCTTCGCCCAGGCCCAACAAAAATTTACAAAGCAGAAGTGGGCTTCAAAAGCAGCTCCTCCAGAGTCCAGCCCCAGTGTTGCTATCTGGAAATTGGGAATGGCTGCCCGCACTCACAATTCGTACTGCATCCCTTGATATTATCTGTGCACTTCTGCCTCCCTTTCTTAACTATATACTTCTTTAAAGACAAGAATGCTATCATAACTCTTTTGTAGTCCCCTTCTTTCACTATCACAGTTTCACTTAAGAGTCACCCAATAACTGTTTGCTTAACAGAACAATGTAAAATACCTGCGCAACTACTTTCCCTTCATCTCTTTACCTCTACACATATTTTTGGATTTTGAAATGTGAGATATTTTTGCTTGATTAGTTTATTGCTCTCATTCAATAAGAACTTATTTTAACAATCACTTTGTACTATACCATAGGTAAAACAAATTTACGAGAACACCACCTTTTTTTTTTTTTTTTTTTTTTTGAGACAGAGTTTCACTCTTGTTGCCCAGGCTGGAGTGCAACGGCGTGATCTCAGCTCACTGCAACATGTGCCTCCCCGGTTCAAGCGATTCTCCTACCTCAGCTTCCCGAGTAGCTGGGATTAAAGCCATGTGCCACCACACCCAGCTAATTTTGTATTTTTACTAGAGATGGGGTTTCGACATGTTGGCCAGGCTGGTCTCGAACTCCTGACCTCAGGTGATCTGCCCATCTCGGCCTCCCAAAGTGCTGGGATTACAGGCGTGAGCCACAGCACCCAGCCGAGAACATTACCTTTATAGAAAGCATTTTCTCCTTGTTTACCTCAGGGATTTGCCATACATGACCATGTGTTCTAGTTTTCTCCTTACATATTTCAGGCAGGTCCACATAAGCATTAATTCATGCCTTCTCTTCCTGATCACTTACCTAATAAGTCAAAGCGCTGCTTCTTTATGCCTGGATCAAGTCCAACATGTCCTAGCTTTTCACTATGATTAATTAATTTAAAAATATAGGGATGGGCCAGGCATGGTGGCTCACGCCTGTAATGCCAGTCCTTTGGGATGCTGAGGCAGAAGGATCACCTGAGGTCAGGAGTTCGAAACCAGCCTGGCCAACATGGTGAAACCACGTCTCTACTAAACGTACAAAAATTAGCCAGGCATGGTGGCACGCACCTGTAGTCCCAGCTACTCAGGAGGCTGAGGAACAAGAATCACTTGAACCTGGGAGGTGGAGGTTGCAGTGAGCTGAGATCACACCACTGCGCTCCAGCCGACAGAACGAGACTCCTCTTAAAAAAAAAAAATACCTATACACACACACACACACACACACACACACACACACACACACATATAGGGATGGGTGGGGGTGGGGGGGAGAAAACCAAAGGATGTGCCTAGCAAATTACCATTTGTCTTGAGGAATGCTGGTCCAATCCCACAAGGAACTCTAGTCCTACATCACTTCCAGTTTTCACTTTGAAAATGTACTTAGACTAAGTACACAATGACCTAAGGTTTGAAAATATTTCTGTTCTCCAGTTTGGAGAGCTCCCTCTAATGAAACTACATACTATAAATATACAGATTAATATGCAATAGTCTAACCTATCAGTAGTGATAGTCCAATAATTAAGTATAGTATTAAGTCTGCAGTCAAAATTCATCTACCTGTTCCTGAGCACCCTTCCTCACAGTCAAAACCTTTTCCCAAAGTGCACATGCACACACACACACACACACACACACACACACACAGCCTCAGATGCCTCTGGAAGAGACATCAACCCTGGTCTGACCACTTCTGCCTAGACAAGGGCCTCTGTGAACCTCTCTTCCCAGTTTTTCTATGCTCCCCAGTGGCTGAACTGAAAAATGCAAGTCACCAACAAGCAAAGCAACAAGCACAATCTCCAAAACGTTTTCTCTTCAAACCACTGTAAGGGCAAATACCATATACTATTCTGCTTGGCTTGTAGCCTTTTCTTTCACTTTCTTTGGTCACTTTCAATATTCTGCAATTTCTGGAGCCCCACGACATGCTGCTTGATTTTCTACACTCCCTTTGCACTAGTAGCCTGGGATCCCCTGGCTGCAGGTGCGGTATGTTTACTCATCTAGCTCCCTAACTTTACTCATCTAGCTTTGCCTAATGGCAAAACTTGAGAGCAATGACCTTGTTTCATGTCTGTTTGTAGTAAACACACTGCCTAGCTGACAGAAGACATTCAAATATTTATGGGAAGAAAGAAGAAAATTTAAAAAAGAAGGAGTGGGAAGAACACTAAAAAGAAGGATGTTAGGCTGGGCACGGTGGCTCATGCCTGTAATCCCAGCATTTTGGGAGGCCGAGGTGGGTGGATCACCTGAGGTCAGGAGGTCAAGACCAGGCTGGCCAACATGGTGAAACACCATCTCTACAAAAATACAAAAATTAGCCGTGCATGATGGCAGATGCCTGTAATCCCAGCTACTCGGGAGGCTGAGGCAGGAGAATTGCTTGAACACGGGAGGCAGAGGTTGCAGTGAGCCAAGATCATGCCATTGCACTGCAGCCTGGGTGACAGAGTGAGACTCCATCAAGGAAGGAAGGAAGAAAGGGAGGGAGGGAGGGAGGGAGGGAGGAAGGGAGGGAGGGTAAGAAGCAATAGGCACTAACTTCAGGCTCAGGAAATCTGTGTATGATTGCCTGCTACTTGCTAGCCGTAAGAGTAGGAATAACTTATTCAGTGGTTCCAGTTTCTTATCTGTAAGACTACTGGACAATAGTCTATAATCTCTGAGACCCCATAACCTGTAGATTCTAACATCCTATTGTTTTATACAAAGTCCACCATGTTTGTGAAAGTCACCATGACAAACACCCATTTTCAATGATATTTTCAAAAGCAAAGCCTTGACCTTCTTTACTAGTTTCTGCAGATATCATTTGCCCCCAATTTTATGTTTTGAGATATTTTGAATTTCATAACAAATACTGAAATGCAGTAACAGAACTTGCAAGTGTTATCAAATTACTATTCTAGAATCATAAGAAGTCACTCAAGGAAGAAGTCAGGTAGAAACTAGAACTGCCAATGAAGAGAATGAATTCCAATCAACCATAGTAGAAATAATGCACGAAACATATGCATGCCAGGATATCATAAAGGAGAAGACTGTAAAATAAACGTACAGTGCAGAGGTGAGATATGCAAGAGATTTCTGGTCTGTCTTGAGGCAGAGGTGATGAGAGGCAGCAAAAAGCAATCTGTGCTTAGAGAACAGAGATGTTAAGATGAATGGTGAAGTATGAGTTATGAGATATAACAGAGATCTTGAGGTACTGCCAGACAGACTCAAGTTAAAGCAATTACTAGCATCTGGAAGAAGTCTCCAAAGATTTTACTCAGACTTCAGTTATTGGTCCCTGACAACTATCAGGAATGGAGCTATGACAGCCTTTTATTCAACTTTCCTAAGCAGGAAAACAAAGGCATCTCTACCACCCAAAAACTCAAAAATTTTAAACATTCTAAAAACACCTAAGTAACATTTCCTCTAAGGACTTAGCAAATTTGGTTTTGGGTTCATTGTGTTTACTTGAACTATATGTGGGCAAAGAGAATCTGAGCAAAAGGATTTGTCCTACTTAGCTAGTCACACGCACAAGTTAGTATTCTTACACTACAGCCTCATGGGACCAAAACCCAATCCATCCACTCTAACTGTGAAAGTTGAGCCTTATCTCTCAAAGATTGATTAATTGAAGCATGGATTCACATTTTGTAGAAAGCTTACATGCCTGAGACTTCAAGTCAAAGTCAATTTGCTTAATACAATTTCTATGATACAGTATAAAAAGCATGTTCTTATAAAACAAGAACACATGAGAACACATGAGTATAATGTCTCCCATGTCCATGACATTTCCACATCATGAATGTGACCACTGTTCACTGACAATGCATTCTTTCAACAAGTAGTTTCTGAGCACCTACTGCATGCCAAGTACTAACCAGGCTAGATGCCGAGATACAAAGATGGGTAAAAGAAATCTGGCTTTGACATGCTGGCTATCATGTTGTTTGGGAAGATAGCACTGCTGTCTTTCTAAAGCTTGCAGTTTCTCATCAGACATATAAGGCCTTTCTCTGCAATTGCTGCGGTATCTTTTTTTTTTTTTTTTCCTTTTTGAGACTCAGTCTCGCTCTGCCACCCACGCTGGTATGCAGTGGCGTGATTTCGACTCACTGCAACCTCCGCCTCCCAGGTTCAAGCAATTCTCCCGCTTCAGCTTCCCAAGTAGCTGGGATTACAGGCACGCGCCACCATGCCCAGCTAATTTTTGCACTTTTAGTAGAGTCGGGGTTTCACCGTGTTGGTCAGGCTGGTCTCGAACTCCTGACCTCAGGTGATCCACCCGCCTCAATCTCCCAAAGTGCTGGGATTACAGGCATGAGCCACCGCACACAGCCTTGCAGTACCTTTAATAGTTCTGATTATATGGGAAACCCCAATTCTCTTAACCTAGAAACACAAGTGGACAACCCATGCTTTAAAAATCTAATGAGTCAGTGCTTTTTTTCTGTTTTGACTTGGCTCATGCCCTTAAGCTACTCTTAAATAACACAGTAAGGAAACCTATTTATACCACCACAAGCAGCTGCAGCTTGTCAAAAAAAATCAATGAATTTTCTAAAAACATTTCTTTGGCTTGGTTTCAGTTTTCAGTTCATCTTAGAAGGTCATCAGCTAAAGATCAGGTAAGATCTAATGAATCAGCATTCTTGCACACAGCTAATGCTCTATCAGTCTCAACTTACACATTCATACATTTTTTAAAACTAATATTTATTGAAAACCTACTATGCTTTATGAGTTGAAGATACACTGGTAAACAAAACAAAGAGCCCTGACAATGTGGAATTAAATTCTAACAAAAAGAGAAACAGCAATCAATAATAATAAAAATAACAAGTGGCAGGGAGTGATGGCTTACATCTGTAATCCCAACACTTTGGGAGGCCAAAGTGGGCAGATCACTTGAGGTCAGGCATTCAAGACCAGCCTGACCAACATGGCGAAATCCCATCTCTACTAAAAATACAAAAATTAGCGTGGCATGGTGTTGCACATCTGTAATCCTAGCTACTCGGGAAGCTGAGATACGAGAATTGCTTGAACCCAAGAGGCGGAAGTTGCAGTGAGCTGGTATCGCACGACTGTACTTGCCTGGGTGACAGAGCAAGACCCTGTCTCAAATAAATAAATAAATAAATAAATAAATAAATAAATAAATAAAACAAATAAGTATTAGAGGATGTTCATAGTGATGGCTGTGAAATAAAACAGAGCAGGTTAAGAGAAATTGAGGGTGTGGAGGTTGAGGGACAAGTGAGAGGCAAGATGGAATTTTAAATAAAATGATCAGAGAGTCCCCATTGAGAAGGGGGGCATCTGAATAAGACTTAAAAGAGATGAAGGAGTTAGCCATACAGATATCTGGAAGAAAGACATTCAGATAAAGCCAACAGCCACTGCTACAGACCTAAGACAGGATATGCCTGGTGTACTCAAACAAGAGCAAGGAGGCCATTAGGTATGAAATAAAGAGACCAAGACAAAAAGTATTAAAAGATGAAGCTAAAGAGGTAACAGAAGAGCCAGGTACCACAGGACCATATAAGCCATTTCGAAGACCTTCAATTTGATTCTCACTAAAATAGGAAGCCACTGGAGGGAGCTGAGGCAAAAGAATAACAGATCTGACTTGTGTTTAAAAAGGTAACCATTGTGTACCGAGAAAAAGTTTCTCAACACAGAATATTTACCAAGTGCTTATTTCTAAGGTATAAAAAATTATTCCAACCTAGAATAGACAACACAATCCCAGAAAATAACAAGTTGAATGACTAATACTACCCAATTTCAATACCTATTATAAAGCTACAGTTGTCGAAACAGTGTGGTTTTGGCAAAAGAAAAGTCAAGTCGACCAAAGGAACATAACAGAGGGCCCAGAAATAGACCCACACAAATTTAGTAAAGTGATCTTTGACAAAAAAGAAAAAGCAATTCAACAGAGAATGGATAATCTTTTCAACAAATGGTACTGGAACAACTGGACATCTATATGCAAAAAATATACAAATTTAGGCACAGACCTTATACCTTTCACAAAATTTAACTCAAAATGAATCACAGACTAAATGTAAAATTCAAAACTATAAAACTTTAGG
Source organism: Homo sapiens (assembly GCF_000001405.40). Classification (NCBI taxonomy): domain Eukaryota; kingdom Metazoa; phylum Chordata; class Mammalia; order Primates; family Hominidae; genus Homo; species Homo sapiens. Next base: position 56,768,595 of record NC_000006.12, read on the forward strand.
AAGATAACATAAAAGAAAATCTAGATGACCCTGGATTTGATGATGAATTTTTAAATACAATACCAACATCATGATCCATAAAAGAAAAAACATAGGTTGGATTCATTAAAATTAAAAACCTCCACTCTGCAAAAGACACTGTTAAGAAAATGAAAAGATAAGCCACAGACTAAGAGAAAATATTTGCAAATCATGGCTGGGCACGGTGGCTCACACCTGTAATCCCAGCACTCTGGGAGGTCAAGGCAGGCGGATCAAGAGGTCAGGAGATCAAGACCATCCTGGCCAACATGGTGAAACCCCATCTCTACTAAAAATACAAAACTTAGCAGGGCATAGTGGAACCAGAGAGTCAGAGGTTGCAGTGAGCCAAGATCACACCACTGCACTCCAGCCTGGTGACAGAGTGAGACTCCATCGCAATATACACATATATTTGCAAATCACATATATGATAAAGAACTAGTATCCAAAATATACAAAGAAATCTTAAAAAATCAATCATAAGAAAGCAAACAACTCAGTTTAAAAGTGGGCAAAATATCTGAACAGACAGTTTACTAAAGGAAATATACAGTTGGCAAATAAGCATATAAAAAGATGCTCAACACCATATTAGAGAATTGCAAATTAAAACAACGTGAGACACCACTATACACATCTATTGGAATGGCTAAAATCTAAAAAGATTACAACACCAGACGCTGGCAAGGAGGTGGAGCAACAGAAACTCTCTTTAACTGATGGTGGAAATGCAAAACAATACAGCTACTTTGAGTTGTTTCTTACAAAGCTAAACATAGTCTTACCATATAATTCAGCAATTACACTTCAAGGCATTAACCCAAATGATGTGAGAAGAGGAAGGATGCGGGAACTCTGTACTTTCTGCCTAATTTTTCTGTAAACTTAAACTGCTCTAAAAGTCTATTAAAAAAAAATTGGTCAGGCACGGTGGCTCATGTCTGTAATCCTCACACTTTGAGAGGCCAAAGCGGGTGGATTGAGTCCAGGAATTCAGGACCAGCCTGGGCAACATGGCAAAACCCCATCTCTACAAAAAAACACAAAAACTAGCCACGTGTAGTGGCAGGGACCTGTAGTCCCAGCTACTCAGGAGGCTGAGGCAGGAGAATCACCTGAGCCCGGGAGGTCAAGGCTGCAGTGAGCCAAGATCACGCCACTGCACTCCAGCCTGGGCAAGTGGCGTTGCAAGTTGAGACCCCGTTTCACAAAGAAGGAAAGAAAAAATGTATTCCTGTCCTCAAAAAGCTTATTCTCTTATTACTTTATTATCCATACTCTGCCCACTTCCAACATGGAGTTAACACATACGAAAAGGATACTAAAAGTAGAAATAAAATATCAAAACTCATGTGTAAGGAAATCAATACAGTTACATCAAAATTTTGGCTAAAGAGTTATTTATTGATGTTCCTTTGCTGACTTCCTTCAGTCAAGCCTCACTATATGTTCTCATTGCATATGAATCTGCCCTTCAGAGCATCCATTCTGGTGTTATAACTTAATCAGTGTCTAAACAGCAGATAAGACTCCTAAACAGCAGATAAGAGAGTTTAATGATGCAATAGTAACCAGGAAACCATTAATTTGGTAAAGAAACTGGGGTACAGAGAAGTTAGACAAATCATGAAAAGTCCCACTTAAAAATGGTACAGCCAGGTTTTCAACATTTGGTCTGTTTGACTCCCAGGCCTCATGGTATTGGTGTTACGCCATAAAGTATGATATAATTTTTGGACCTAATGTTATCTTCAAGTTGTAAAAGGCAGTGACTCAATAAAAATAATTTAGTTAAGCTGAAAATCAGCTGAATTTAATTTATAAAGATCATAATTTCTCCTAATTTCAAACCCTGCTAATACAATAAAACGCAGAGTGTGGGATGCCCTATTTCATTCCATGCATCCACATAGAGTTGGGGGCTCAGGTTCACTACTGGATAAACTAAAAGTTGGCATCCTCAGTCAATTTACCTGAGTGCTGCAACATAATAAGGGTTTGAAATGATGAACCAGGATTTTTCCCAGGCTAGTTTTTGCTACACCTGTAAAATGGGACTCTTACAGTAAAACCTGCTGCCTTTAAAAATGAAAACAAAGGGGCTGGGCACAGTGGCTCATGCCTGTAATCCCAACACTTTGGGAGGCCGAGGTGGGTGGATCGCCCGAGGTCAGGAGTTTGAGACCAGCCTGACCAACATGGAGAAACCCCGTCTCTACTAAAAATCCAAAATTACCTGTGCATGGTGGTGCATGCCTGTAATCCCAGCTACTTGGGAGGCTGAGGCAGGAGAATAGCTTGAACCCGGGAGGCAGAGGTTGCGTGAGCCAAGATCACACCATTGCACTCCAGCCTGGGCAACAAGAGCGAAACTCCATCTCAAAAAAAAAAAAAAAGAAAAATCCAGCAAGGAGCCTAAATTATCAAGGAGTAAGGTAGGAATTTGAGAAAAGAAAAGCTCTATTTATAAACATATCTCTTCTGGTCAATATAAACACAGCCTTAGAGCTACCACATCCCAAAATAATTTATCTTAAAAAAAAAAAACTCTGATTATACAATTACTAGGAGGAATCTTAACTATATTCCCTTTATATAAGAGTCTCTTTAAAAGGGAATGGAATCATAAATATTACCTTAGAAATCTGAGTATTACTTTAGAAGTTCATAAATTCTTTAACACAGGGCCCCCAATTTAGGCTAATGATAATCCTCACACTAGTATGTGACTAAAATTGTCTGCAAAGAGCAGTTGTCCAACTGACATTCTGGATCTGTCTGTGATATAATAGGTAAAGAATGTGGTGTCATTTAAGGAGACACTATAATTTCCTGTACTGAATGCAGAGTATTAAAATGTTGCTGTAATTTTATTTTTTTCTAACATTTCTAAATGTATAAATCATCATCAAATAAACACAAAAGCCTTGCATCAAAATATTTAGGTATATATTTTATTATTGACTATTTATGGACAAGATGTTGAGGCTCCATTTTCCTATCTAAAAAACTGGAAATACCTGGACATTGCTTGCCATGAATACAAAATGCACACATGTAAGAGCAAAATCAATCACAACTACAGGGAAAAAACTGCATCAAACACTAGAAATCATTAACAGTTTTTGGCTCATAGCTCTCTGCAAGAATCTGATGAACCCTGTGGACTTTTCTTCTAAATGCACATATACATGTATACAAAACTATACCTTACAAACTTAGAAAGTAACCGACCTTTTACCTCAGCCCAAAAACTTCTAACCAGGAGAAAAATCCCATTATAACATTGCATTGAAGAGTCACTAGACATGTACTTTGGCCTCTAAGACACAGGCAGAATGACTTATATATAAAGTATTAATACTCCAGTGAGAAAATAAAAGAATACCAGTATTAGTTATAAAAGGTTCTCCAAAAGGGAAACTGAAATAAAAGTAGGGAAGAGTAACACCCTAGCATGTGGGGTCCAGGTTATTTTAGACATGAGGATTGAGTAATGCCAAGAAAGCTGACATGTCAAAATCTCAACTTTTAAAATAGGTATATTTTTAGGCTTCTTTAGCAGGCTTCGGTTATGTAAATGCTTAATCATTTGGTAAAGCCGAATGTCAAATTTACATATAAAAACACATAAATTTGCAATATAACATCTAAATTATTTCATGTGATGGAAAATAAGAACTAAAAATACATGTTACTTATTAGCTGAATCATAGGTAGAAGTTTCTTAAAGTGATGTTTTTATGTGATGATACTGCCCATACTAGAAGAGCGTGGGGCAGGAGACTGCATGGCAGAGCAGAAACGGCACATACTGCAAGCTAACTCTCTTCGATCTGCTCCTAGAACTGCAACTGATTAGCCATGTGATTCCGATCAAGTCATTATCTTTCGGGATCCCAATTTTTAAAACCTATGAAGTTAAAGGAATGCCCCATATGACCTTTAAAACTGCTAATTATTTTATTCTAAAGTTATCTAAGAGTATATCAAAAGTAAACAAGAATCAGGGTCAATTAGTGGAGCAGAACAATTAAAATCACAAGTAGTTTTCATTAGAGGATGCCCCAAAACAACATTTCATACATGAGCGAAAATTCCTCAGGAATGTTGCTGCCACAAATATTTTGGTCCTTCAGAGTCATTGTGATAGCCAGCCTCCAGGAGGAATCCCAGTAATCCCCACCTCTGTTATGCACATCCTTACACAGTCTCCTCTCACAGTGCACTAGGGTTGTCATTGTGACCAACTGTATACAGCAAAAATGGTACGTTACTTCCAAGATTGCATTATAAAAGACAAAATCTTCAGCTTGGGTGCCTACTCTCCCTCACTCTTGGTTTCTTGTTCTAGGGAAAGCATGCTGTCATGTGGTGAGCATGCTGTGGCTTCTGGCCAACAGCAAGCAAGGAACTGAGGTGGACCAACAAGCATGTGAGTAAGCCTGGAAACAGATCCACTAACTCAGCTGAGCCTTGAGATGACTACAACACCTTGACTGCCACCTGATGGGAGACCCTGAGCCTAAAACACACAGCTGAGCAATTCCTAGATTCCTGTCCCTCAGAAACTGTGATACAGTAAATATTTCTTGTTTTAATCTAGTAGGTTTTGGGGTAATTTGTTATATAGCAATAGGTAACAGATACAGTCATCTTTTATTCTTTTTTTTAGCCTCTTGGACCTTATAAGTTATTGGTCCAGATTTATTTAGTTATTCTTTCACCCTGTCTCTTATATAACCACTGCTTATATATATACTTTTTTCATTTCCTTTGCAACCACCCAGATTTGGGTCCCCTGAATCTCACTATTAAAAATACCACAAAAGTCTATACACTATATCTCTAAGTCAAGAATCCCAAATTCAAATATATATGAGATATTCAGGCAATGTCAAGTGGACTAAGCATAAGGTAATGGGGAGGTTGGGGACAGTGGTGAACATCAGGATGAATGTGCCTTCTTAGGGTGCTGTCTTCTGCTCAACCCCAACCAACTGCTGCCATGTGAGTATGTGGGCCCAGTGTTGCCAGATCACCTGCTTTTATACGAAGACCCTAAACTCTCTATTTTTATGATATTTCTCAATTTTTGAATATTGGCTTAAAATTGTTACAGTATATAGAACAAAATATATCTACCATCTGGACTCAGCCTGTGAGCCACCAATTTCCAGCCTCTACTCTAGATCAGTCTTCCTAGAATTTCTCTCAGGCTGGGCGCGGTGGCTCACGCCTGTAATCCCAGCACTTTGGGAGGCCGAGGCGGGTGGATCATTTGAGGTCAGGAGTTCAAGACCAGTTTGGCCAACATGGTGAGAACCTGTCTCTACTAAAAATACAAAAAACAGGCACGGTGGTATGCCCCTATAATCCCAGCTACCTGGGAGGCTGAGGCAGGAGAATCGCTTGAACCCAGGAGGTGGAGGTTGCAGTGAGCTGAGATGGCACCACTGCACTCCAGCCTGGGCAACAGAGTGAGATTCTGTCTCAAAAAAAAAAAAAAAAAAAGAATTTATCTCAGATCTTGATTCCCCTGCTCAAAACATTTAAGAGTTATCCATGACTATCCATGGTTCTCTAACTGAGAAAGCTGACATTCACATACCTCTTCAATCTACCTGACCCAAACTTACCTCTCCAGCCTTATAGTCTCTATTGAAATGTTCTGTTACGGCAGACAGGCCTATCCAACACTCTCTAAAAAAGTCATTTCCCACCCACAATATTCCAGCCAACTTGCCCCATCCATGCCCTACCCATAGCTTAAAACCAAACCAAATATCACTTCCTCAGGTAAGACTTCCCTGACAGCCCATCATCCTCTAAAGTCCTGCAACAAACAACAGTCAAGATATTCATTTAGCCATTCAACACATATCAGTTCAATGGCTCTTTTACTGCCATCTTGAACTTTTCTTTGAACCTGGTATGTTTATCTTTTCAGACATTTATATTGTTCACTAACTATGATGAAATATGCTATCTACAAAACTGAATTCAGTTCACTTCAAACCATAATTACAGAATACCCTGAAGTCATCACCTACTAAATTCTGTGCTAAAGATTATACAAAGAAGAAATACAAGGCCGGGCATGATGGCTCACGCCTCTAATCCCAGCACTTTGGGAGGCCGAGATGGGCTGATCACCTGAGGTCGGGAGTTCAAGACCAGCCTGACCAACATGGAGAAACCCCATCTCTACTAAAAATACAAAATTAGCCAGGCGTGGTAGTGCATGCCTGTAATCCCAGCTACTTGGGAGGCTGAGGCAGGAGAATCGCTGGAACCCGGGAGGCAGAGGTTGTGGTGAGCCAAGATGGCGCCATTGCACTCCAGCCTGGGCAACAAGAGCGAAACTCCATCTCAAAAAAAAAAAAAAAAAAAGGAAAAGAAATACAAATCCCTAACATCCGGGAGTCTACAGATTCTTGCAAAAGCAAGATGCAAACAGCTTCAATAGTAGAGTGTAATAAGTTTTGAGGGGAATTTTAGTTACAAGAGTAACTAAATTCTCCCAGGAAGAACAGAAAGAACAAGGAAGAGATTACAGTTGATCTGGGAGAGGAAGAACAGTTTACTAAAATAAGCCTCTCCTCATCCTCTTCAGCCAACAGGCATCCTCTAAACAACCCTAACAGTCTCCGTTAAACCCAAGCACACCTGCATCCATAGCCAACGTCATTACTATCCACAAACTTTTAGGCTGCTTTGTTTATTTAACCTTGAATATCTCCTTTTTATCTCTAAATGGAACTGTGGCCATCCTAATTACATAGACAATGGGTACCAAAAAGTATTTCACTTACTAACTAAAATAGGTCTAAAGTTTTATAAGCTATGATTTCAAAATAGCAGTATTACTCTTAAAGATAGATGGCAAAACATTTCAAAGGCCCAGCGCTTAGATATTGGTTTCTAATATCAGCTTCCAATAAAAGGAACCAGGGCTCCTTAGAGAAATGGTTGATTTCAGGGCTAGGGCAGGAAATACACAAGATGAGCCTCAAGCACCTTGGAATGTCAGAAAAGGAAGGAAGTGCTCAAAAAACAAAGCAAAGGAGCATAGCGAAAGCACACAGGAGCAAACCTGAAAGAGCTCCCAATGGCCAAAGCTGGAATAATTTGAGCAACAAAACAAGTAGCATAACATTGGATTATAATCCAAAGTATAAATATCTACAAGTCCATATTGACATACATCAAGTGACTGAATGAATTAAAAAATTAGAGAAGAAAGAAGTTTCCTTCACACAAAAATCCAAACAATTTATGTAGATATTCTCCTCTCAAGGATGTGAAGCTTAATTCCCCATCCCCCGTTGTGGGCTGCACTTACAGTGCTTTGCTTCCAAATAATGATGTAAGTAAGGATGGGGGAGGAAAGAAACCTGGCAAACTTTACCGCAGTCAGGTAATCAAGGATAATAACATCATAGTGACAAGTCATGTGGGTAGCACCTACCCTTGATAAGACATGTGAATTGATATGTTAATAATGGCACTTCACCTCTGTGGTCTTCCTTGCAAAGACCCATAACCTCAATCTAACCATAGGAAAAACATCAGATAAACCCAAATTGAAGGACATTCTACAAAATACCTGACCACTACTCCTCAAAACTGTCAAAATCATCACAAACAAGGAAAGTCTAAGAAAATGTCACAGACCAGAGAAGACTACAGAGACATGACAATGAAATGTAATGTGGTATCCCGGATAGGATGCCAGAAGGCAAAAAAACAAAAAGGACGTTAGGGAAGAACTAATGATACTCATATCAAGTATGGAATTTAATTAAAGATTATGTACCAGTGTTGGTCCATTAGTTATGATACATGTACATACTAATTTAAGATGCTAACAACAGGGGAAGTTGGACACAGGGTGTTCAGGACCTACCTGTAATATTTTTGCAACTTTTCTGTTGCCAAGATCTAAAATCTATCCTAAATCTAAATCCATTACTATTTAATACTATTGTAAAATCTAAAGTATTCTAAAATTAAAAGTTTATTAAAATTTTTTTTAATTTCAAAAGGGTCACATATTTTGAAACCTTTCAAGAGTGAAAAAGAGGACTGCAGACTTAAGATTCACAATAAAAAATATTGTTAAAAAGGCAAACTCTACACCTAAATTATTTATTTTTATTTTCAAAATATTTTTTAAAAACTTACTGGCACTAAATGACCTTTATCACATCCAGAGATTTTATTTTGAATAGCATTACCGAAGCAAATTGTTTAAACATCACAATCAAATCAAGACTTGAATCTCATCAACATACCAGGGAAAAGTCAGTTTTGAGGAGACAGGCATTGTGACAGCTTAATTTGAAATTTTAACAATTATAGTAATGGAATCACACACAAATACTGTTTGGTCATCCTAACATGGTCCATTATGTTTTATAAATTGGCTAGAAATTAAGAATGAATACTGCTCATCTTCATGCAGAGACAAAAATGCTTCTCTTATTGCTGATTATTCTTTACTTGGCAGTGGCTCCTAACACTTGACTTGAATTAACCCTGATTTATCTAAGGAAGTACAAGACATTTATGTTTAAGGCAATCCAACAAATAGGAAACCCTGTTTCTGAATAAACTCTGAATCAACTGAGAAGTGAGATAAAATAGATAAGAAGTAAGAGAAATAAGTTAGATAGAAGGATAAGAGAAATACGAAGGCAAAAGGAGCAAAATATTACCTTTACTAACAATATAACCTAGCTTAAAGAATATTACTTACTACAGGCAAGTAGATGGTTTCCAAACACTAAGTCCCATAATTGAAGACTTACCCTCCCAGTCACAGGCAATGCAGTGTCATGCAAGTGGGACAGCCTGACCCTGTAAAACTTACAGCATGATGGAACAGGCTAAATCACAGATAGCTTGCTCATAAAAGAAAGAGGAAAAAGTGAGTGGTCCAAATAAACCCACTTTCTAATTTGAAACTCACCAATCACATTCAGTCACTTCCAAAAGGCACAAGAAGGCATAAATATTACACTAATGGGGTCTCTGTCATATGAAGTGAATCATTAGAAATAGGAAAGAAGCATTTCCCACATAGGATTTTTTTTTTTTTAAGATAGGGTCTTGATTTGTTGCCCAGGCTGGAGTACAATGGCATGATTGCAGCACACTGCAGCCTTCTGGGCCCAAGCCATCCTCCCACCTCACTTCCCAAGTACCTGGACTACAGGCATATGCCACCACACCTGGATAATTTGGGGGCGTTTCTGTTTTTGTAGAGATGGGGTTTCACCATGTTGCCCAGGCTGGTCTCAAATGCCTGAGCTCAAGCAATTCCCCCACCTCAGCCTCCCAAAGTGCTAGGATTACAGGCATGAGCCACTGCCCCCGGCCTGTAAGGAGTATTTTTAAATGCAAAAGAAGGTCTAAGAAAACTTAAATGTAAATATTCCTTGGTTCAGTTATTCCAGTTACAAATTTATTATATCACGTATAAGCACAAAAATTGAGTAAATCCAAGGAGTGCTTCTACTAGCATAGTTCTTTAAGTCAGTAGTATAAATGAAATCAAGGAATTGGGAGCCTTTCATTCATCTCTGTCTCCCTAAGCAACACCATGAATTAGGATAAAAACAAATCAAAATTGTCCAGGTTATCATGGTACAGAACTGAGGCAGAAATATTGCAAGAGGATTACAGGTCTGAGGGCCTACTGGTGCCCAGAGTCTTCCTTATTCTTTTCTCTTTTTTTTTTTTTTTTCAAATCTGTTAGTTATTTTTTTTTTAATTATACTTTAAGTTTTAGGGTACATGTGCACAACGTGCAGGTTAGTTACATATGTATACATATGCCATGTTGGTATGCTGCACCCAGTAACTCATCATTTAACATTAGGTATATCTCCAAATGGTATCCCTCCCCCCTCCCCCCACCCCACAACAGGCCCCGGTGTGTGATGTTCCCCTTCCTGTGTCCATGTGTTCTCATTGTTCAATTCCCATCTATGAGTGAGAACATGTGGTGTTTGGTTTTTTGTCCTTGAGATAGTTTACTGAGAATGATGGTTTCCAGCTTGATCCATGTCCCTACAAAGTACATTAACTCATCATTTTTTATGGCTGTATAGTATTCCATGGTGTATATGTGCCACATTTTCTTAATCCAGTCTATTATTGTTGGACATTTGGCTTGGTTCCAAGTCTTTGCTGTTGTGAGTAGAGCTGCAATAAACATACGTGTGCATGTGTCTTTACAGCAGCATGATTTATAATCCTTTGGGTATATACCCAGTAATGGGATGACTGGGTCAAATGGTATTTCTAGTTCTAGATCCCTGAGGAATCACCACACTGACTTCCACAATGGTTGAATGAGTTTACAGTCCCACCAATAGCGTAAAAGTGTTCCTATTTCTCCACATCCTCTCCAGCACCTGTTGTCTCCTGACTTTTTAATGATCACCATTCTAACTGGTGTGAGATGGTATCTCATTGTGGTTTTGATTTGCATTTCTCTGATGGCCAGTGATGATGAGCATTTTTTCATGTGTCTTTTGGCTGCATAAACGTCTTCTTTTGAGAAGTGTCTGTTCAAATCCTTCACCCACTTTTTGATGGGGTTGTTTGTTTTTTTCCTGTAAATTTGCTGGAGTTCATTGTAGATTCTGGATATTAGCCCTTTGTCAGATGAGTAGATTGCAAAAAATTTCTCCCATTCTGTAGGTTGCCTGTTCACTTTGATGGTAGTTTCTTTTGCTGTGCAGAAGCTCTTTAGTTTAAATAGATCCCATTTGTCAATTTTGGCTTTTGTTGCCATTGCTTTTGGTGTTTTAGACATGAAGTCCTTGCCCATGCCTATGTCCTGAATGGTATTGTCTAGGTTTTCTTCAAGGGTTTTTATGGTTTTAAGTCTAACATTTAAGTCTTTAATCCATCTTGAATTAATTTTTGTATAAGGTGTAAGGAAGGGATCCAGTTTCAGCTTTCTACATATAGCTAGCCAGTTTTCCCAGCACCATTTATTAAATAGGGAATCATTTCCCCATTTCTTGTTTTTGTCAGGTTTGTCAAAGATCAGATGGTTGTAGATATGTGGCATTAGTCTTCCTTATTCTTTTTTTTTTTTAATATTATACTTTAAGTTTTAGGGTACATGTGCACAATATGCAGGTTAGTTACATATGTATACATGTGCCATGCTGGTGTGCTGCACCCATTAACTCGTCATTTAGCATTAGGTATATCTCCTAATGCTATCCCTCCCCCCTCCCCCCACCCCATAACATTCCCCAGAGTGTGATGTTCCCCTTCCTGTGTCCATGTGTTCTCATTGTTCAATTCCCATCTATGAGTGAGAACATGGGGTGTTTGGTTTTTTGTCCTTGAGATAGTTTACTGAGAATGATGATTTCCAATTTCATCCATGTCCCTACAAAGGACATGAACTCATCATTTTTTATGGCTGCATAGTATTCCATGGTGCATATGTGCCACATATTCTGAATCCAGTCTATCATTGTTGGACATTTGGGTTGGTTCCAAGTCTTTGCTATTGTGAATAGTGCCACAATAAACATACATGTACATGTGTCTTTATAGCAGCATGATTTATAGTCCTTTGGGTATATACCCAGAAATGGGATGGCTGGGTCAAATGGTATTTCTAGTTCTAGATCCCTGAGGAATCGCCACACTGTCTTCCACAACGGTTGAACTAGTTTACAGTCCCACCAAGAGTGTAAAAGTGTTCCTATTTCTCCACATCCTCTCCAGCACCTGTTGTTTCCTGACTTTTTAATGATTGCCATTCTAACTGGTGTGAGATGGTATCTCATTGTGGTTTTGATTTGCATTTCTCTGATGGCCAGTGATGATGAGCATTTTTTCATGTGTCTTTTGGCTGCATAAATGTCTTCTTTTGAGAAGTGTCTGTTCATATCCTTTGCCCACTTTTTGATGGGGTTGTCTGTTTTTTTCCTGTAAATTTGTTGGAGTTCATTGTAGATTCTGGATATTAGCCCTTTGTCAGATGAGTAGGTTGCAAAAATTTTCTCCCATTTTGTAGGTTGCCTGTTCACTCTGATGGTAGTTTCTTTTGCTGTGCAGAAGCTCTTTAGTTTAATTAGATCCCATTTGTCAATTTTGGCTTTTGTTGCCATTGCTTTTGGTGTTTTAGACATGAAGTCCTTGCCCATGCCTATGTCCTGAATGGTAATGCCTAGGTTTTCTTCTAGGGTTTTTATGGTTTTAGATCTAACGTTTAAGTCTTTAATCCATCTTGAATTAATTTTTGTATAAGGTATAAGGAAGGGATCCAGTTTCAGCTTTCTACATATGGTTGCCAGTTTTCCCAGCACCATTTATTAAATAGGGAATCCTTTCCCCATTGCTTGTTTTTCTCAGGTTTGTCAAAGATCAGATAGTTGTAGATATGTGGTGTTATTTCTGAGGGCTCTGTTCTGTCCATTGATCTATATCTCTGTTTTGGTACCAGTACCATGCTGTTTTGGTTACTGTAGCCTTGTAGTATTGTTTGAAGTCAGGTAGCGTGATGCCTCCAGCTTTGTTCTTTCGGCTTAGGATTGACTTGGTGATGCGGGCTTTTTGATTCCATATGAACTTTAAAGTAGTTTTTTCCAATTCTGTGAAGAAAGTCATTGGTAGCTTGATGGGGATGGCATTGAATCTATAAACTACCTTGGGCAGTATGGCCATTTTCAAGATATTGATTCTTCCTACCCATGAGCATGGAATGTTCTTCCATTCGTTTGTATCCTCTTTTATTTCATTGAGCAGTGGTTTGTAGTTCTCCTTGAAGAGGTCCTTCACGTCCCTTGTAAGTTGGATTCCTAAGTATTTTATTCTCTTGGAAGCAACTGTGAATGGGAGTTCACTCATGATTTGGCTCTCTGTTTGTCTGTTATTGGTGTACAAGAATGCTTGTGATTTTTGTACATTGATTTTGTATCCTGAGACTTTGCTGAAGTTGCTTATCAGCTTAAGGAGATTTTAGGCTGAGACAATGGGGTTTTCTAGATATACAATCATGTCGTCTGCAAACAGGGACAATTTGACTTCCTCCTTTCCTAATTGAATACCCTTTATTTCCTTTTCCTGCCTAATTGCCCTGGCCAGAACTTTCAACACTATGTTGAATAGGAGTGGTGAGAGAGGGCATCCCTGTCTTGTGCCAGTTTTCAAAGGGAATGCTTCCAGTTTTTGCCCATTCAGTATGATATTGGCTGTGGGTCTGTCATAGATAGCTCTTATTATTTTGAGATACATCCCATCAATACCTAATTTATTGACAGTTTTTAGCATGAAGAGTTGTTGAATTTTGTCAAAGGCCTTTTCTGCATCTATTGAGATAATCATGTGGTTTTTGTCTTTGGTTCTGTTTATATGCTGCATTACATTTATTGATTTGCGTATATTGAACCAGCCTTGCATCCCAGGGATGAAACCCACTTGATCATGGTGGATAAGCTTTTCGATGTGCTGCTGGATTCGGTTTGCCAGTATTTTATTGAGGATTTTTGCATCAATGTTCATCAAGGATATTGGTCTAAAATTCTCTTTTTTGGTTGTGTCTCTGCCCGGCTTTGGGATCAGGATGATGCTGGCCTCACAAAATGAGTGAGGGAGGATTCCCTCTTTTTCTATTGATTGGACTAGTTTCAGAAGGAATGGTACCAGCTCCTCCTTGTACCTCTGGTAGAATTCGGCTGTGAATCCATCTGGTCCTGGACTCTTTTTGGTTGGTAAGCTATTGATTATTGCCACAATTTCAGAGCCTGTTATTGGTCTATTCAGAGATTCAACTTCTTCCTGGTTTAGTCTTGGGAGAGTGCATGTGTTGAGGAATTTATCCATTTCTTCTAGATTTTCTAGTTTATTTGCATAGAGGTGTTTGTAGTATTCTCTGATGGTAGTTTGTATTTCTGTGGGATTGGTGGTGATATCCCCTTTATCATTTTTTATTGCATCTATTTGATTCTTCTGTCTTTTTTTCTTTATTAGTCTTGCTAGCGGTCTATCAATTTTGTTGATCCTTTCAAAAAACCAGCTCCTGGATTCATTAATTTTTTGAAGGGTTTTTTGTGTCTCTATTTCCTTCAGTTCTGCTCTGATTTTCGTTATTTCTTGCCTTCTGTTAGCTTTTGAATGTGTTTGCTCTTGCTTCTCTAGTTCTTTTAATTGTGATGTTAGGGTATCAATTTTGGATCTTTCCTGCTTTCTCTTGTGGGCATTTAGTGCTATAAATTTCCCTCTACACACTGCTTTGAATGTGTCCCAGAGATTCTGGTATGTTGTGACTTTGTTCTCGTTGGTTTCAAAGAACATCTTTATTACTGCCTTCATTTCGTTAGGTACCCAGTAGTCATTCAGGAGCAGGTTGTTCAGTTTCCATGCAGTTGAGCGGTTTTGAGTGAGTTTCTTAATCCTGAGTTCTAGTTTGATTGCACTGTGGTCTGAGAGACAGTTTGTTATAATTTCTGTTCTTTTACATTTGCTGAGGAGAGCTTTACTTCCAACTATGTGGTCAGTTTTGGAATAGGTGTGGTGTGGTGCTGAAAAAAATGTATATTCTGTTGATTTGGGGTGGAGAGTTCTGTAGATGTCTATTACGTCTGCTTGGTGCAGAGCTGAGTCCAATTCCTGGGTATCCTTGTTAACTTTCTGTCTCATTGATCTGTCTAATGTTGACAGTGGGGTGTTAAAGTCTCCCATTATTATTGTGTGGGAGTCTAAGTCTCCTTGTAGGTCACTCAGGACTTGCTTTATGAATCTGGGTGCTCCTGTATTGGGTGCATATATATTTAGGATAGTTAGCTCTTCTTGTTGAATTGATCCCTTTACCATTACGTAATGGCCTTCTTTGTCTCTTTTGATCTTTGTTGGTTTAAAGTCTGTTTTACCAGAGACTAGGATTGCAGCCCCTGCCTTTTTTTGTTTTCCATTTGCTTGGTAGATCTTCCTCCATCCTTTTATTTTGAGCCTATGTGTGTCTCTGCACGTGAGATGGGTTTCCTGAATACAGCACACTGATGGGTCTTGACTCTTGATCCAATTTGCCAGTCTGTGTCTTTTAATTGGAGCATTTAGTCCATTTACATTTAAAGTTAATATTGTTATGTGTGAACCTGATCCTGTCATTATGATGTTAGCTGGTTATTTTGCTCGTTAGTTGATGCAGTTTCTTCCTAGTCTCAATGGTCTTTACATTTTGGCTTGATTTTGCAGCGGCTGGTACCTGTTGTGCCTTTCCATGTTTAGTGCTTCCTTCAGGCGCTCTTTTAGGGCAGGCCTGGTGGTGACAAAATCTCTCAGCATTTGCTTGTCTGTAAAGGATTTTATTTCTCCTTCACTTATGAAGCTTAGTTTGGCTGGATATGAAATTCTGGGTTGAAAATTCTTTTCTTTAAGAATGTTGAATATTGGCCCCCACTCTCTTCTGGCTTGTAGAGTTTCTGCCGAGAGATCTGCTGTTAGTCTGATGAGCTTCCCTTTGTGGGTAACTTGACCTTTCTCTCTGGTTCTCCTTAACATTTTTTCCTTCATTTCAACTTTGGTGAATGTGACAATTACGTGTCTTGGAGTTACTCCTCTCAAGGAGTATCTTTGTGGCGTTCTCTGTATTTCCTGAATCTGAATGTTGGCCTGCCTTGCTAGATTGGGGAAGTTCTCCTGGATAATATCCTGCAGAGTGTTTTCCAACTTGGTTCCATTCTCCCCGTCACTTTCAGGTACACTGATCAGACGCAGATTTGGTCTTTTCACATAGTCCCATATTTCTTGGAGGCTTTGTTCATTTCTTTTTATTCTTTTTTCTCTAAACTTCCCTTCTTGCTTCATTTCATTCATTTAATCTTCCATCGCTGATACCCTTTCTTCCAGTTGATCGCATCAGCTCCTGAGGCTTCTGCATTCTTCACGTAGTTCTCGAGCCTTGGCTTTCAGCTCCATCAGCTCCTTTAAGCACTTCTCTGTATTGGTTATTGTAGTTATATATTCGTCTAAAGTTTTTTCAGAGTTTTCAACTTCTTTGCCTTTGGTTTGAATTTCCTCCTGTAGCTCGGAGTAGTTTGATCGTCTGAAGCCTTCTTCTCTCAACTCGTCAAAGTCATTCTCCATCCAGCTTTGTTCCGTTGCTGGTGAGGAACTGCGTTCCTTTGGAGGAGGAGAGGCGCTCTGCTTTTTAGAGTTTCCAGTTTTTCTGCTCTGTTTTTTTCCCCATCTTTATGGTTTTATCCGCTTTTGGTCTTTGATGATGGTGATGTACAGATGGGTTTTTGGTGTGGATGTCCTTTCTGTTTGTTAGTTTTCCTTCTAACAGACAGGACCCTCAGCTGCAGGTCTGTTGGAATTTGCTAGAGGTCCACTCCAGACCCTGTTTGCCTGGGTATCAGCGGCAGTGTCTGCAGAACCGCGGATTTTCGTGATCCGCGAATGCTGCTGTCTGATCGTTCCTCTGGAAGTTTTGTCTCAGAGGAGTACCCGGCCGTGCGAGGTGTCAGTCTGCCCCTACTGGGGGGTGCCTCCCAGTTAGGCTGCTCGGGGACCCACCTGAGGAGGCAGTCTGCCCATTATCAGATCTCCAGCTGAGTGCTGGGAGAACCACTGCTCTCCTCAAAGCTGTCAGACAGGGACATTTAAGTCTGCAGAGGTTACTGCTGTCTTTTTGTCTGTGCCCTGCCCCCAGAGGTGGAGCCTACAGAGGCAGGCAGGCCTCCTTGAGCTGTGGTGGGCTCCACCCAGTTCGATCTTCCAGGCTGCTTTGTTTACCTAAGCAAGCCTGGGCAATGGCAGGCGCCCCTCCGCCAGCCTCGCTGCCGCCTTGCAGTTTGATCTCAGACTGCTGTGCTAGCAATCAGTGAGACTCGGTGGGCGTAGGACCCTCCAAGCCAGGTGTGGGATATCATCTCCTGGTGCACCGTTTCCTAAGCCCATTGGAAAAGCGCAGTATTCGGGTGGGAGTGGCCCGATTTTCCAGGTGCCGTCTGTCACCCCTTTCCTTGACCAGGAAAGGGAACTAACTCCCCGACCCCTTGTGCTTCCCGAGTGAGGCAATGCCTCACCCTGCTTCGGCTGGCGCACGGTGCGCTGCACCCACTCTCCTGCGCCCACTGTCTGACACTCCCTAGTGAGATGAACCCGGTACCTCAAATGGAAATGCAGAAATCACCCGTCTTCTGCGTCGCTCACGCTGGGAGATGCAGACCGGAGCTGTTCCTATTCGGCCATCTTGGCTCCTCCCCCTCTTCCTTATTCTTGATCTTGTTTGTAACTGTTTCCTTACACTTGAGGGAAGCTGAGCAGCTTTAGGCTCTATCTATATTCACTTATCAACATTATCACATCTATATTCACACATCAGTATTATCATTCTATTAAACTTTCATTGTATTATAGTTAACTCTCTGAGGGCTCATTTTCATGTCCCCAGCACCTAACTCAGAAGCTGTCATTAATGAATAAAACTGTGTGTGTTTGTGTGTGCATGCACATATGTGCACGTGTGCATATATGAGTGTGTGTCTTTCATTTGGGGGGGAGGGGTTGAAGAAAAACAATTAAAGAGTCTACTACTAGCAATGATTCATTCCCCCATCTCCAAGTCTTGAATTGTTACAAAATGTAGTCTTTATTGCTTTCAGGTTCACCCATTTCTTAGATAGACATCCTTGTATTTGACAGATGTGTGTTTGTTCTATTAGCAGATAGTAAGCCTGCATTCTTCAGAATTTAACACTAATCTTGTCTGGCCATTTACAATATCTGACTTCCTGATCACCTAATAATGAGAATACCCTAAGACCTACTTGCTGTTTCCTATGTGTTTATCACCAAGCTCCATAGTTGCTGATTACTTCCTTTGATATCATGCCCCTAACATCCCAGTCCCAGTACCTTTTGGTTTTGTTTTGTTTTGTTTGTTTTTGAGACAGAGTCTCGCTCTGTCACCCAGGCTACAGTGCAGTGGCACAATCTGGGCTAACTGCAACCTCTGCCTCCTGGGTTCAAGTGATTCTCTTGCCTCAGCCTCCCAAGTAGCTGGGATTATAGGCACCCGCCACCACACCCAGCTAATTTTTGTCTTTTTAGAAGAAACAAGGTTTCACATGTTGGTCTCGAACTCCTGACCTCAGGTGATCTGCCTGCCTCAGCCTCCCAAAGTGCTGGGATTACGTGGGAATCACCACTCCCAACCCCAATACCTTTTTAACCCAAGAAGAACCTAGGAAGTGCCAAGTAAAGGATACTGAGAGTCCATCAATGAGGGGATAAAAAAATCATCCATCACCTGAATGTGGGCAATGTGGTTCCTTTTTAAAATTAATGCATTACATACTCTGAACCAAGGTAACAGCAATAACTAATATTCACAGGATTATTAGTCACCATGTGCCAGGCACCGTTTCAACAAATTTACACACAACAAATAATTTCATTTCACAATAACCCTATGAAGTAGGTACAATCAATGTTCTCATTTTATACATGAGGAACTGGAGACACAAAAAATGGTCAAACTATCAGAGGATGAGAGAACTGAGAACCACTGAGGGAATGGGAATTCTTAAGCTCTCTCAGGAGCATGAGTTGGTAGGATAGACTCTGCATGCTGAGCACATATAGTGAAATGCACTATAATGGAATGAATAATATTCTATTCACAAAAAATAAGGCTGTGTCTATTTATTATCATGTCTTATTTCAGATGAGTATAGTGAAGCTCAAAGAGATGAAGTAATTTAGCCAGGGCCGCTCAAACAGCAACTTGACTTCACTTGGAAGTACAGGATTGAGTCCAACAAACTAGACTAAATAGTCTACATTCCTAGACACTATACAAAATGATACAAAATAGCTTGAAGTATTTTATGGGCTGAAGTACTTCAACAGCTAAGACAGGCTGCAATTCTCACCAGGATTGGCATGGACAAATATGAAATTGTAACACAAACCACAAAAAATAATATGTAGACTTCTATCCTTTAGAATTAATATCAAAACTTACAGAGAAACACAGTAATTAACCATAGTGATTAATTATGTTTGAGTGATTAATAACCAAATAAATGCCAAACTTTGTTTTAAAACAATCATGGTTATTAGATTCTAACATGAAAGTGTTTAATAACTTCTTCTATGAAAGTACTATAATGTTAACTTGATTAAATGAATATTAGGTAAGAAAAATGCAACTTTATGAAGCATATATTCTCTTCAAAATCAGACTTTGAGGCTGGGTGTGGTGGCTCACACCTGTAATCCCAGCACTTTGGGAGGCCAAGGCGGGTGGATCACCTGAGGTCACGAGTTCAAGACCAGCCTGGCCTCTACTAAAAATACAAAAATTAGCCAGGCATGGTGGCGGGCACCTGTAATCCCAGCAATCCTAGCTACTCGTGAGGCTGAGGCAGGAAAATCACTTGAACCTGGGAGGGGGAGGTTGCAGTGAGCCGAGATCACGCCATTGCATTCCAGCCTGAGTGACAGAGCAAGACTCCGTCTCAAAAAAAAAAAAAAAAAAAAAAAAAAATCAGACTCTGAAAACATTTAATTATAGCAAGTATCGAAAGTATTAAGTTCTTCTTTTTTTTTTTTGAGACGGAGTCTTGCTCTGTCACTCAGGCTAGAGTGCAGCGGCACGATCTCTGCTCACTGCAGCCTCCGCCTCCCAGTTCAAGCAATTATCCTGCCTTAGCCTCCCAAGTAGTTGGGACTATAGGTGTGCACCACCAGCTACTTTTTGTATTTGTTTGACCATGTTGGTCAGGTTGGTCTTGAACTCCTGAACTCAAGTGATCTGCCCACCTTGGCCTCCCAAAGTGCTTGGATTACAGATGTGAGCCATCGCTCCCAGCCTAAGTATTATGTTCTTTATCATCAGGTACTCTGAACATCAAAAGCTTATAAATACCAAATTATGTAAGTAACAAAATTGTGTAAGTAATAAAAATAGCACAAGAGAAATATTTTGTTACAGTGGCTACAGCACAATATGTAAAATTAAGAAATGAGTTCTGTTATTTATACATGCAAACTACTTTTTTCCCAAGTATTAACAGTCTAGATATTTTTCAATGTCAAGATACATTTCTGCAATACTCCATCCCAATGAGTTGATAAATGTACCATAACCTACTTAATGAATTCTCCAGTACTGAGCAATTATGATTGCTTCCAACTTTTTGCTATTACTACAAATAGTACTGTGAATCATGTTAAACTTTTGTAAGCATACTTATATTAAACTTGTTAAACTTTTGTACACATGCTTCCTTATAATTCCTGAAAGTGGAATTTCAGAGTCAACATGAATCTGTACCTTGTCCTGCAGAAAGGTTGTATGATTTTTAGTCTTAGTAGAAACATTGTTTTAAATGGTACAATATGAAATACATATGATTAATTGTTAAATATTTGTATTTTATAACCATTAATATATAGTGGTACAGTGGTTCACACCTATAATCCCAGCACTTTGGAAGGCCAAGAATGGAGGATCCCTTGAGACTAGCCTCAGCAACATAGTGAGACCCTGTTTCTATAAAAAAAATTTTTTTTAATTAGCCAGGCATTGTCATGCACACTTGTATCCTCACTACGTAGGAGACTGAGGCAGGAGGATCATTTGAGCCCAGGAGTTCAAGGTGACAGTAAGCTATAATTGCACTACTGCACTCCAACCTGGGCAACACAGTGAAACCCTGCACCTAAAAAATTAAATAAAATTGAAAAAATATATATAGTTATATATGCATATGTACACACCTCTATTATACAAATGATACCTTTTAAAATGCTGTGCTTACTTTTTTTAATTGCAGTAAAGTAACTATAACATAAAATTTACCATCTTAACCATTTCTAAGTATAGTTTATTAGCATTAAGTATATTTACAATAGTCACATTATTGTGCAATCAATCTCTAGAAGTTTTACATCTTGTAAAACTAAAATGCTATACTCGTTAAACAACTCTCAATTTCCTTCTCCCCCAGCCCCTGGGAACTACCACTTTAACTTTCTGCTTCTGTGACTATGACTACTCTAGATGCTTCATGTAAGTGGAATCATACAATATTTGTCTTTCTGTGACTGGCTTATTTCACTTAGCATTATGTCCTCAAGGTTCATCCACACTTTAGCATGTGTCCGAATTTCCTTCCTTTTTAAGGCTGAAGATATTCCATTGTATGTACATACGACATTTTGTTTATCCATTTACCCATCAATGGACACTTAGCTTCCACCTATTGGCCACTGTAAATAACGCTGCTATGTACAATATCTGTGCTTATTTACAAATATTCATACACAGCAGGAACTCTTCCTAGCTTGACCTCATGATATTTCAGACTCCAGTCTCTACCAGGGATGCTCTCTTCTTTTATTTCAGATGAGTAAAGTGAAGCTCAAAGAGGTGAGCTCATTTCTCTTCATGCCTAGACTGCTCCCAGGTTTTCAGGTCATACTTCTCCTTCTGTTACCCTTCCTGGACATGTTTTCCTTTGCTGACACTGGGGACTTTCCCATTATTTCTCCAGAGCCGGAATTTTTCTTGCCAGAAAGCAAAAAAAAAAATTTTTAACTGTCCAATCATCTGTGATTTCTCATTTATATAGTTACTATCTACTATGATAGATAGTAAGTTTTATCATGCCCGTTTTACAAAAGAGGAGATTGAGGCTCAGAGTACATTGGTAATTTGCCCAGTGTCACAGAGTTTGAATGAGCCAAGCCAAATGTGGACCTTAAGTCTGTCATATTTGAAAGCCTGTGTTCTTTTCACTATGCATGCTACATTTTAAAAACTGTCTTATTAATTCTCAGTCACTAACACCTACCCCAGATAAAGCCTATTATTAATCTCAGAATATCAGATTTATGTACTTTGGATACTTACTTTATCTTCTCATTCACAGCCCAGGGAGAAAACACACCTTCTTCCTCCTTTCAGGCTTCCTCTTAGAATAGGTCATTAATCACTAAATATGTCTGTGTACTGAGTTTCATTTGTTCAGAAATAGACTACAGTTTTCTGGCTGGCAGCTGGAAATTAAATATATTTTACTACCTTATTTTCAAAATTACTCATGAACTTTAAACACTCCAGGGTAAAGGAAATCTATCACTATACTAAGAAAAATGAAAACCAGTTTGTACTGGACCATAAAACCTAAAAGTGCCCAGTGATTATACTGACCAAATACAAGAAAGCTTTCCGTTGTTTTGAACAAAAGAAGTCCCCATTGCCCACACTTTGGCCAACAAGACCAAGATACCTGGATCACAAGCTGTCCAACAGAAATGCTACTTAGAGGGTAAATAATCAACCTAACAAATTCCTTCCCACTTAGAAAGGTTGAAGGTGAGAGACAAGATGCAGAGACACATGGAATGAGAAAGAGAGGCCAACAAAGAAGGCCAAGAGAGTGGGTGAATGAGAGTAGCTGATGCCAGAAGCTACCTTTTAGATCCATGCTACTATGTATCCTTACACGAATCCTTTATCCTTTATCATTTTCCAGTAGCCTGAATTAATCTCTGTACTTTGAATCCAAATAAGACTGGTAAGGCAGTGAGCCGAGATGGCACCACTGCACTCCAGCCTGGGTGACAGAGCGAGATTCCGTCTCAAAAAACAAACAAATAAACAAACAAATAAGACTGGTAAAGGTATAGGTATAGTAACTGAGACACTGTATTGTGTATATTGTAGGTGAGAGCAATTAGATAAATACAGTAATGTTGTGAACCAGAGTTCTCACTGCTGGGAACCAGGGATATAAAAGTGGGAGAAGGTTTAAAAAAAAGAAACCTACAGTATCAAATTTGAATAGCGAATATCAGTAATAAATGTATGATTTAAAAATTAGCTACCCAGCCAGGTGCAGTGGTTCATACCTGTAATCCCCACACTTTGGGAGGCCGAGGTGGGAGGATCACTGAGCCCAGAAGTTCGAGACCAGCCTACGCAACATAGGAAGATCCCGTCTCTACAAATAATTTAAAATTAGCCAAGTGTGGTGGCACATGTCTGTGGTCCCAGCTACTCAGGAGGCTGAGGTAGGAGGATCACCTGAGCCCAGGATGTCGAGGGTGCAGCAGTGAGCCATGATCACACCACTACACTGCAGTTTGGGCAACAGAGTGAGACCCTGTCTCAAAAAAAAAAAAAAAAGAAAGAAAGAAAAGAAAGCTATCTATTTCCTAGATATTCCTATTGAAAGGGTATGGATATAATCATAATCAGCAGCAATAAACATATCTAGTGCCCAAATCTTGATTTATAAATATGAAGAACCACTGAAACAAACTGAATTCTTAGAGAAATCATCTATTCCAACTCTGGGGCAGGGAAAGCACAAAGTGAGCCTGAAACATCTCGTTGTGCCAAAAAGCAAAGGAAATGCTTAAAGATTACTGAGAATATGGTAAAAGGACACAGAAGCCAACTTCAAAAGGCTGCCACTAGCCAAACTTGGGACAATTTAATCATCAAAAATAATCACAATGATAATGAATTCTAACACACTGAGGTTTTTTTGTTTTTTTTTTCTAAAGAGACAACAATGACATTAAAGAAGAGAAAAGGAGGAGATGAGGGAAAGCTCTTCTTTGTGGAAGAAAGCCAGCTAATAAACAAGAAATGATCACCATTTTTACAATTAAATATTAATAACTCATTCAGGTAAGGATCAAGGAATACTATTAGGTAAAAGGTTTTGGGGGAACATGACATGTACAAATTTCCCAATTTATCCATTAATTACAGGAGAGAAAAAGTAGTAAAACAGGTTCTTTTACAATGAAGAGATCTAGCAGATACCATCTCAACTAAATGATCGATTTTTTTTTTTAAGAGATAGGGTCTCACTATGTTGCCCAGGCTGGCCTGTAACTCCTGGGCTCAAGCAATCCTCCCATCTCAATATCCCTAGTAGCTGGGAACACAGGGGTACACCACCACACCTGACTAAGTGATCAAATTCAACACCACCATTAATGGAATACACTGATATGTGCTTCCTGATATGCTGCAATAAGAAGTAAACACTATCACTGCTGTAATAATTTTGCCACAAATGTTCTAACCTGAATCCAATCATAAGGAAATAATAAGACAAACCCAGATTGTGGGACATTATATAAGACAAATGGTTGGCTGGGCATGGTAGCTCACGCCTCTAGCCCCATCACTTTGGGAGGCCAAAGCAGGTGGATTGCTTGAGCTCAGGAGTTTGAGACCAGCCTAGACAACATGGTGAAACTCCATCTCTACAAAAAATACAAAAATGTAGCTAGGCATGGTGGCATGTACCTGTAGTCCCAGCTACTCAGAGGCTGAGAAGGGAGACTCGCTTGAGCCCCTGAGGTCAAGGCTGCAGTGAGCCCATGATCGCACCACTGCACTCCAGCCTGGACAACAGAGTGAGACCCTGTCTCAAAAAAAAAAAAAAAAAAAAAAAAAAAAAAAGCAAAAGGTTAGGAGAGGGCACTGTTCTAGCAATCCTTATTTGCATCTTGGAGTCCTGGAGGGTGGGGAAGAGCTAGAAGTTAAAGGTTAGGGAAAATCCAGGAGGGATGCATATTGTATGTTAGATGGTATCATAGAATTGTTTCTTAGAGTTGAAAATGGTATTATGATTATGTAAAGAGGATGTCCTTATTCTGACAACACAAATACTTAATTATTTAGAGACAAAAATGTCATGATGTCTAAACTTAAATTTTAATGGTTCAGTAAAAAAAACTGAGAAAGCACAAATTCAGCAAAATGTTAACACTCAGTGAACTAAGGTGACAGGTATACATAGGGTTTGTATAACTATTCTTTCAACTTTTCTGTAGACTTTAAGTTTTTCAAAATAAAATGTTGTTCTCTTAAACTACCCACAGAGAATTCTAACAAAAGAGGTCCTAAGACAGACAAGAACACTATGCTTTTGAAAAGAAAAACAAGATTTTTTTAAAGGTTGCTTTTGGTAGTATAAAAAGTTTTAATCTGGCTTTTTCTTAGTGCAGCAAATTTCAGACTGGGTTTCTAAATTTGCATGAACATGCAGTGAAGAATGTACATATTGTCTCGGATAATAATACAATCAATTTACCAAAAAACAGTATTTTTATTAAAAGTTCCTTAAAGTGCTATGTTATCAATTCCCTTAAAGAAGAAAAAGATCTTAAAGTGAAACATTACATTATAGAGTTTATATTTTAAATGCACAATAAAAGAATGAAAATGAGTTATAATTTCTCAATTTTCTATGTGACATCGCTGAGGTATAAATGGTACCAAGAAAATGGTATTTTAAATGTTAATACAGTCATGACTGATTTAAGGAGAAAAGTCAAGCTTTTTTGGTTGAAACCAACACAGTGTTTATAGGGTTTCTAAACCAAACATTTTATTTTAATACAGGCTGTCAACCTGCATTGCAACAGAAGAGTTTAAATAACTTTTCCAAATTTAACTTTCAGTCCAACTGATTGCAGCATGATCTGCCACCAACCAAAGAACACCAAGTATGAGTTACTGCTACGCTTCTGCAGACATTATACACACCAAGTATTTCGACTGAACCTCAGAGCTGACATGCAAAATAGAATCATTATGACAATCTGAAGCCTTTTACCATCTCTTTATTTTTCATTTACCACAATCATATTATTCAGTTCTGATTATACAGAGTAGATGACCTTTAGCTTACCTCCACTCTCTCCTGAAAACACATTACGTTGACAGTAATGGAATCTGTGTTTAGGGTACATACTTACCAACAAGGAGAAAGGAAAAGGAGTTGAGAAGAACAAGGGCATTTGGTAGCTGGAAAACCCAAGAACAAGTTGTACCTGACTCAACAGAGAGGTGACCACTAAGCCAGCAGCCAGGAAAGCTGAGAGAAGCAATCTGATTCATACCTTGAAACCCCACAAAAACCTCACCAGAAAAGGATAGCAGCAGGTAGCCATGAAAGCTGGGGTGGGGTGGGCCTTGACACAGAAAGGACAAGTCTAAGACAGAGATTCCTCTCCCTTGCCCAACCCCCAGGAGGCTGGAGGTTTATTCTCTGGAGAGAGTCAAAGAGACAGGGGCTCTAATCAGCATGACAAGAGACATAAATGAGAAAGGCAAATTAAGCATGCCTTCACATCCTAAAAGTCATCCTCCAGCCATCTTCTGCCAAATCAGCTTCCAAAAGTGGAGTTGAAAAGAGTACTCTCTAAGGAATATGACCAGCCCAAGAGAAAAGATCCCAAGATTCTGATCCCAGGAGTTCCCCCACTGCAATGACCCAGCCAGATCCTATGGTAAAGGCTAAGGTTGAGAAGTCCACCACACAGATAGCGAGTCCATAATTAGCTTTTAAACATAAATAGGTACATAGCCAAGGAAGGCTTCTGAGCAAAGCCCCTTATAGGAAAAACCAGGAGGCCAAAACAAGTAACAGATTTTCAAAAAGTAATTTAGAGGAAACAGAGCAAGGAAGGGAGATAAAAAGTTAACAAAAAATTATTAATATCCTTAGAAAGGAGGGAAGATACTGCATCCTTAAATACAAACAGGAGTCCATAAAAGCAGAATAATTAGAGTACAAAAAAATGAATTCTCAGAAAAATTAAAATAGGATTACAGAAAAGGAAAACTCAGTGAAAGGGATGGAAGATCAAACTGAGGAAATCACTCTGTAAACAAAAGGAAAAAGTTACAGAAAATCAGAGAGACAAGCAGAGGAACTACAAATAACAAGATTTTTAAAATAATAGATCAGAAGAACGGGAGAAAATAAAATTTTTAATTACCAAAATTAACATAAACTTCCAGATTAATGGAACAATCAAGTACCTAACACAACGGATGGAAAGGGACCTACATCATAGCATATCATCAAGAAATTTCAGCAATGAGAGACAAAGAAAAGACACTAAAACAGTAGTTCTCAACTCTGGCTACATCTTAGAATTACCTAGGGAGCTTTTCAGAAATATCTATGTTTGGGCTCCACTCCAGACCAATTACTTCAAAATCTCTCATACCAGGATTTGGTCAAAGTCCCCAGATAATTCTAAAGTGAAGCCAGGGTTAAGAATCACAATCCTATAATGTCAAGAAAGAGTGGGGGAGGGAGAGAGAAGGGAGGATGATCTTGAGATTTTGTAATAGCAATAATGAAAGCCCAGAAGACAACAGATCAATCAGCGCTTTCAAAATTCTAAAGGAAAAATTATTTCCAATCTAGATAGTACCAATTAAGTGCAAGAGCACCAATAAAAAATTTTTCCAGGACACACAAAATTTCTCTTCCATGCATCTTTCCTCATGGTACTACTAGAGAAGACAGTTTGTCAAAACAAGGTTGTAATCAAGTCTTGAGACCACAGGATCCAGCAGAAAGGGATCTCACACAGAAAGAGGCAAACAGCAACCCCGGAGTGATGGTTATCTGTGCCCCAGGGATACGGGGCAACCATACAGAACGAAACAGAACAGCTCACAAGGTTCTGTGCAAGTAAGACCCAAAAAGATGCAATACCTAATGTGTCTGAATGTTTGGAGAAAATAACGTTAACAACTGGGGGTGAATTTATGATAAATACATAGAAAACTAAGCAAAGAAGCAAGACAATTATTAACTACAGAGCACAAACAAGGAAAGTCATGCAAGAAAGAAACAGTCATAATTTACTCATGACTCAGCTGTGAATAGCATTTACTAAATCACAATAATGTGACAAAGAATAGTGATCTAGACTAATGAATGTGGTAACTACATTGGGAAGACAGAGAATGGAGAGTATGACCTGTCTAGTGGTAGAAACGGTGAGAGTGAGCTAAATGTTCTTCTTCCAGAGAGGAAATCCAATACACAGGGCACAAAACAGAAAATCAAGAAGTAGATCCAAAAATTTGTTATCTAGTGATATGATTTAAATATCAAAAGAAACAGCCTGCAGTGTGAAATGCTTGTCTCTAGGATGCAGGCAATGGTTGGGAGTGGTGGGGGTGAGTGGCTACAGAAGCAACTGCAGATTTTCATAATAAGATTTATAGAATTATTTCAGTTTTAAACTATCTACATAAACAATCTGATTAAAAAACTAAATTTTAAAAAATAAATATTGTTATATACTGTAGTAACGTAACAAGGAAGGAGGGAGAGAAGGAAGGAGGAAGGAAGGAAGGAGAGAGAAAGGAAGGGAGGGGACTATAAGCAGAGTAAATCCTCATCTATTTTAACAGGAATTAAGAGCAAATGTCTGCAGTTTGCATATTTTTCTAAAAATCACAGCATAAGCATTTTATTTAGAATACAGAAGTACAGGCATATCCATTTTACTGCACTTGGCTTTATTGTGCTGTGCAGATATTGCATTTTACATACTGTGGCAACCCTGTGTCAAGCAAGTTTAATGGCATTATTTTTCCAACAGCATGGGCTCACTTCCTGTCTCTGTGTTATATTTTGGTAATTCTCACAATATTCAAACTTTTTCATTATCATTATATCTGTTATGATGATGTGTGATCACTGATCTTTAAGGTTACTCTTTAAATTCTTTTGGGGCACCACAAGCCACAACCATATAAGACAGTAAACTTAATCAAGAAATGTGTGTTCTGACTGTTCCAACAACCAGCCACCATACCCCTGGCCTCTCTCCCTTTCCTCAGGCCCCCTTATTCCCTGAAACACAACAGTATTAAGATTAGGCCAATTAGTAACCCTACAAGGGCCTCTATGTGTTCAAGTGAAAGGAAGAGTCACATATCTCTCACTTTACTCAAAAGCTAGAAATTATTAAGCTTAGTGAGGAAGGCATGTTGAAAGCCAAAACGGGCCAAAAGCAAGGCCTCTTGCTCCAAATAACTAGCCAAGTTGTAAATTCAAAGGCGAAGTTCTTGAAGGAAATCAAAAGTGCTACTCCAGGCTGGGCATGGTGGCCCACACCTATAATTCCAGCACTTTGGGAAGCTGAGGCAGGCGAATCACCTGAGGTCAGGAGGCCAACATGGCAAAACCCTATCTCTACTAAAAATACAAAAATTAGCTGGGCGTGGTGGCAGGTGCCTGTAATCCCAGCTACACAGGAGGCTGAGGCAGGAGAATCACTTGAACCCGGGAGCGGAGGTTGCAGTGAACCGAGATTGCGCCATTGCACTCCAGCCTGGGTGACAAGAGCGAAACTCCGTCTCAAAAAAAAAAAAAAAAAAAGCTACTCCAGTGAATACATGAATGATAAGAAACAGCCTTACTGCTGACGTGGAGAAAGTTTCAGTGATCTAGACAGAAATTCCCTTAACCAAAGCCTAATCCAGAGCAAGGTCGTAACTCTCTTCAATTCTATGAAGGCTGAGAGAGGTGAGAAAGCTGCAGAAGAAAGATTTGAAGCTAGCAGTAGGTTCGTAAGATTTAAGGAAAGAAACCATCTCCATAACATAGTTCAAGGCAAAGCAACAATTGCTGATACAGAAACTGCACCAAGTTATCCATAAAATCTGGCTAAAATCATTGATGAAGGTGAATCTAAGCAACAGTTTATCAATGTGGACAAAACAGTCTTCCAATGGAAGACTATACCATAGATATCTCTTTATTGGAGATGCCACATAGGACTTTCATAGTTGGAGAGAAGGCAAAGCCTGGCTTTAAAGCTTCAAAAATCAGGATGACTCACTTATTAGGGACTAATACAGCTGAAGTTGAAGTTGATGCTCATTTGCCATTCTGAAAATTTTATGGCCCTTAAGAATTACGCAAAACTACTCTGCTCATGCTCTATAAATAGAAAAACATGCCTGGATGACAGCGTATCTGTTTACAGAAGGGTTTAATAACTATTTTAAGCTCACTATTGAGATTGCTCAGAAAAAAAAAGATTTATTTCAAAATATTACTGCTATTGGCAATGTACCTAGTCCAAGAGCTCTGATGGAGAGGTACAAGCAAATCAATGTTTTTTTCATTCCTAATAGCATAACATCCGTTCTGTAGCCCATGGAACAAGGTGTAACTTCAACTTTCAAGTATTATTATTTAAGAAATACATTTTGTAAGGCTACAGCTACCATCAATAGTGATTCCTCTGATGGATATGGGTAAATTCAATTGAAAATATTCTGGAAAAAATTCACCAAAAAATTCACCATTCTAGATACCATTAAGAACATTCATGATTCATGGGAGGAGGTCAAAATATCAATATTAACAGGAGTTTGGAAGAAGGTGATTCCAAACCCTCATGGATGACTTTGAAGGGTTGAGGACTTCAGTCCAGGAAGTAACTGCAGATGTGGTGGAAATAGCAAGAGAATTAGAAGTGAAGCCTGAAGATGGGACTCAATTGCTGCAATCTCATGAGCAAACTTGAATGAATGAGGAGTTGCTTCTTATGGATCAGCAAAGAAAGTGGTTTCTTGAGGCAGAATCTACTCCTGGTGAAGACACTGTGAACACTATTGAAATGCCAACAAAGATTTAGAATATACATAGGACTTAGTTGATAAAGCAGCAGCGGGGCTTGAGAAGATTAACTCCAATTTTGAAAGAAGTTCTACTGTGGGTAAAATGCTAACAGCATCACAGGCTGGCTCCAGTGGCTTGCACCTATAATCCTAGCTACTCAAGAGGCTGGGGCAGAAGGACTGCTTGAGTCCAGGAGTTCTGGGTGGTAGTGAACTATGATTGTGCCACTGTGCTCCAGCCCAGGCAACAGAGCAAGAAACTATCTCTCTTTTTTTTTTTTTTAAATCACATACTATAGCTAAATCTTTCAAGAAAAGAAATGAATTGATATGGCAAACTTCACTGTTGTTTTATTTTAAGAAATTGCCACAGCTACTCAAATCTTCAGGAACCACCACCCTGATCAGTCAACAGCCATCAACATCAAGGCAAGACCCTCTACCAGCATAAAGATTATGACTCGCTGAAGGCTCAGATGACCTTCAGCATTTTTTTTTTTTAGCAATAAGGACATTTTTGTGTTTTTTGTTTGTTTGGTTTTGTTTTTTTTTTGAGACAGAGTCTTGCCCTGTTGCCCAACTGGAGTGTAGTGGCACAATCCCAGCTCACTGCAACCTCCACCTCTTGGGCTCAAGCAATTCTCCTGCCTCGGCCTTCCAAGTAGCGGGGATAACAGGCACGCACCACCATGCCCAGCTAATTTTTGTATTTTTTTAGTAGAGATGGGGTTTCACCATCTTGGCCAAGCTGGTCTCGAACTTCTGACTTCAAGTGATCCACCCCACCTCGGCCTCCCAACATGCTGGGATTACAGGCATGAGCCACCACGTCCAGCCAATACAATCTTTTTTAATTAAGGTGTATACATTATTCTTTTAGACATAATGCTATTGCACACTTAATAGACTACAATATAATACAAGCATAACTTTTATATGCACCAAGAAGCCAAAACATTTCTCTGACTTGACTTATTGCAATACCTGCTTTATCGTGGAGGTTTGGAACTGAACCCACAGTATCTCCAAGATATGCCTGTAACCACCAGACACATTTAAACATAATTCCAAATAGACTGTGGGAACCGAGTAGACAAAGGGAAGAAGGGGAACTGAAACACTTCATTTTCGTTATAAATCCTTCTGTACTGTTTGATTTTGTAATCATGTGCATATAGTATAGTGTTTTGAAAGTTATTCAAAGGTTTGTTTTTAACTGGCAACCTGCTTTATTTACTAACAATTTCTTTAGAGTCAACTCTATTGATATAATTCTAGTTCATTTTCTTAACTGTACATAGTAATAATTGCCCAACTATACAATCACTAACTTATCCATTATAATACTGATAAGCATTTAGTTTGTTTCTGAAGTTTCTCTATGAAAAGCAATAGCACAATGAAAAACTCCTATCCCCAATCTCCATGGTGCCTCTGATATCCTAGGATGAGAACATCCCCAGCGAAAAAGAATCTGCCTCTCTCTAGAACAGAAAATTAGGTTTTGTCTGGTGGAAGATTCAAGAAACTCAACAAGTTTCAAAAAGTTGTAGAGAAGCATTTTCAGAGGTGTTAATAGTTACAATGCCATGTATATAGCAACAACCTGATAAAAAATAAAAACAAAAAAAATAAAAACTCCTATCTAAGGTTGGGCATAGTGGCTCACGCCTGTAATCCCAGCACTTTGGGAGGCTGAGGTGGGAGGACTGCTTGAGCCCAGGAGTTCGAGACCAGCCTGGGCAACATGGTGAAACCCCATCTCTCCAAAAAATACAAAAAATTAGCCAGGCATGGTGGCACACACCTGTAGCCCCAGGTACTCAGGAGGCTGAAATGGGAGGATCACCTGAGCCCAGGAACTCAAGGCTACAGTAAGCCATGATCACACCAATGCACTCCAGCCGGGGCAACAGAACAAAACATTGTCTCAGGGAGAAAAAAAAAAAAAAAAAAAAACCTCCTATCTACTCACACATGTGCAAAATTTTAATCTGTTCGGTTGTCTTCAAACTTTTTACATTATGTTGCCCCAAAGAATTTTTAACCTTTGCCACATTTTTTAAAACATAAACTCCAGATTTTATATGGATTTCATCAGTTTTTCATTAATATCCTCTTTTTGTTTTAGGATCTCATCCAGGACGACAATGCATTTAATTGTCGTATCTCCCCAGTCTCAAAGGCTGTTTTTCACTTACACTCAGGAGATACTTGTTTAAGCACGGTCATTTGTATAAATTTAACCAAAACATTTAACTTCTCTGATTCTCAGGTCTGTTTGCTGTAGAATGAGGAAATACCGCTATCTGAGAATATCTAATAAGATAATAATATGAAAAGGCCCTATAAACTGTTTTCATACTGGGAGTGTATATTTGCTTAATACATATTATTCACAAGCTAGTCAAGGATCTAAAATGTCTTCTCTTATAAAATGTCCAGAGAGAATTAAAATTCTCTTCCCCACCCCAACCCGCCAAATATGTAACTTCATCTTTATAACTACATGGAGAACCCAAAGACTCGACATGTTCATAAAGGACTTACATATAATGTTTGAGAAGCCCCAAGGAAAAAAATCACAATGTAAGTCTAAAGAAGTGATAATATAAAATGTATTTAATGTTCTAATCTTACTAATACAAGTCACACAATAATTTTTTTTTTTTTTTTTTTTGAGATGGAGTCTTGCTCTGTCACCCAGGCCGGAGCGCGATGGTATGATCTCAGCTCACTGCAACCTCCACCTCCCGGGTTCAAGCGATTCTCCTGACTCAGCCTCCCGAGGAGCTGGGATTACAGGCATGTGCCACCACACCTGGCTAATTTTTGTATTTTTAGTACAGGAGGGGTTTGGACATGTTGGCCAGGCTGGTCTTGAATGCCTGACCTCAGGTGATTGGCCCACCTCAGCCTCCCAAAGTGCTGGGATTACAGGCGTGAGCCACCACACCCAGCCGTCCACATAATAATTATTAAGAGAGAAACTAAAGCCAATTTCTAATTCCTTAATATCTACTACCATTTCTATTTTTTGTTTTTTCATTCATCTATTTAATTTTTATATTTAAGGAATAATCTGAGCATTATTAGCAGAATGATGACATGGAATTAACAATATGAGTACCCTATTAAAATTTTTATAATTCTATAAACAATCAAAATTATATTTTCTGATATCCATGGACAATGAGCAACAATTTTCTTAGCTCTATGAATTTAAGTACCACTTTTCTTAAAACTCTTAGGGAAAAAATGTAAGTCAACCTTTTAAATTTGGTAACGGGAAACTCAGCCAATAACACTTTAACAAAGTGTAGCATGTAAGATTTTAATAAATATTTTTGTTTGGGCTTTAATACTACTAGTTTTATACATGTATATATATATACATATATACACAAACTATGAACATCCTAGTAGGATTCAACCACTGAGAATTATATCAAATATTGACTCCTAACTGCCAGCTAGACTCTAACAGGACATTAAGACAAAGACATCTTTTAGGACAAAGCATGAGCTCATGGGAACGTACTAATTTATCTGATATAGCACAGTGCCCTACTTTTTAGTAGCAAGACCTTTCCCTTGCTTTACACACATTACACCCATTGATATCCATGGGAGCCTGATGCAGGAAAGGAGCACCATGTGGCCTCTTGGAAGGGAAAAATTTATGTCTGCTTTTGAATGTTGTTTGCCACCTGGAAGCCAGCCAAACCAATATAAACATCCCCATTCATAAAGCACTGGATAATTCTTTGTCTTCAGTAAATTCCAGACTTTTGAAAAGGTCAAATTCAATTCGAGAAAAGGGAAATCATTATACTTTAAGAAGGCCCAGAACACAGAAAGAATATCATACATTAAAAGATAGTACAGTACTGACAAATAATCCAAAATACTGTAGCTGAGATGAAAATCTGCAATAATAGCTGCCATTTGGGGGCTGTTTTTAATGTGTTAAGCATTGAGCTAAATGCTTTACATAAATCATCCCATTTGATTCTCACAAAAATCAGGGAAGTGGATGTTATCCATATTTTGCAGGTGAGGAAAGTCAATCTTAGGTTAACTGGCAGAACCAAAACTGTAAAACCCTGTGCTCCTAAAATACTACAGCGTACCTACCATTAACTGTAGAACAAGGGCAATAATATTAGCCAAGTGTCTGGATATAGCCTATTCCTTGGGAAATCACTTTTAAAATTTATGCTGCAATCTTACTTGGTAACTTTGCTTAGTTTTCCATCGGCGTTGTTTTTTTCTTTCTTAATATCTATCATAGTGACACTATTGATTAAATACACCTTCAGTTTCTTAAATGTTAAGGAGACTGCAAAATATGAAAAAAAACAATAGAATAGCCTTTAATGGGACCATGTGAGTACAAGCATCTTCCATTTAACCTAACTACCACCATTTTCTTTTGATATAATTATCAAACTTTTCACGCAATCATTTTCTGCACTGCCAGAGGCAGAGCTCCCTTTCAATAAAAAAGATATGAGGAGATGCTTTTCCAACTCGTACAACCCCTGATATGAATCTTACAGGCAGACCAGGCTGGCCAACAAAGTCAACTCCCATCCTGACAGACCAAGAGTTCAAATACTTTAATACTGTGGTAACCCCGACCTTTTACATTATTCTAAGATGCCTTCTGTTAAAGCTTAGAACAACTCCCTAGGGAGCAGTGCCACAGGAATTTCTGTAGTTCATGGAAAAATCTGAAAAGCACAGATACAATTTCTTTGTAACCCAATCTCCAAAAATGGGAGATTTGAAGTGAAGGGAAGATTTGTGTTAGAAATGAAGGCAGCTTTCCCATCACATAAATGAAAGCAAAGAACAAAGGTCAAGGGTCACCACCCCATTTCACTGAATCTAAAGTCCTCAATACCAAACATATGACCAAATTCAGTCTTCCAAATTGTTACAATTTAGCTGGCTATCTTTACTGCGTAAATTTGAATATACTGTTTAAATCATAGATTTCATTTACAAAATCAAACTACCAAGACACAGGATACACTAAGGTGTATATATTGCATAATTAAGTAGTAAAACATCCCAAGGGCTCCAACCACAATTAGATTTTTACCGTAAGGATTGAATGCATGGTAATCAGAGAGATCATCTGTGACTCTGCAATGAGAAGGATTTACACAATTTCCAAATTCTGAAAACCAGGTTATTGCAATGCCTCTGAAATACAGTTCTAGGAAAAGCTGTCGTTAAGTAAGATTAAAAATAAATGTTAAAAAAAAATTTAAGGTAATTATGACCCTAGTTTCACAGAGATAACTGTTTTGGTATTACTAAAATTTACTATTGATACTATATACTGATTTAAAGAGAAAGAAATAACAAGAAATATTATATTGCTTGCTCCAAAGAAATCTTAATATATCTTAGCCTCTTTTGACAATTAAAATCTGCTGAGGCTCAATACAGGTTTACCTAAAATTCCACTGCAATAGTACATTTTTTAAGGCCACATCATAGAAGAGACAATGCTCTAACGACCACGCTAAAGAAGTTCCATTAAATACATATGCACAGAGGAAATGAACATAACTGTATTAAGCCAAACTATAATCCTCCCCAGATCTTGTTAGAGTAAGCCTTTATTCTGTTGATAATAATTATCAGTAATCCCTTACATACAAGAACACTTCTCGCCCATTACTGATTCATAAAAAGTAGAATCAGCAAGTTTTGCTACTATAGTGTCATTTCAAGCTGTCATTTCAAGCTGAGGTTGCTTAACTAATTTTGAACT
Source organism: Homo sapiens (assembly GCF_000001405.40). NCBI lineage: Eukaryota > Metazoa > Chordata > Mammalia > Primates > Hominidae > Homo > Homo sapiens. The sequence continues at coordinate 56,804,879 of NC_000006.12, forward strand.
CACTTTACAAGATGTAAAAATTATATCCCTTTTAATTCTAAATTTTTCATTAAATTTCATTTAGGGTACAAAATTGTGAGTGTTCTGATTATATAAAGATCATTTCCATATTTTTAATTTTATATTTAATTTTAAACATTTAAATAAATATATATTCTACAAATCATCATTTATTCATTAAAATTACTCAGATTACTTTTGTCTGTAAAACAAGGTCTAAACAACTGACAGAGTTCTCAAGCTAAGTTGATAAATAATTCATAAATCATGTGCATCATGCAGTTTCTAAAGAAACTGAATCATCTGGGACTGGGGAAACAAACGAGGCAGCCAAGAGTTTTGATTTCCTATGTGGGTGTCAGCAAATCAAATACCTTCCTTATGACTGAGTTAGTTTATATAGAAACAAGGTAAAATACAAGGTCTTTGGAAAATCACATTCACTATTGGAAGACAAAATTTCCATGTTATCTTAAAAAATAAAACTGAACTTACTATTAACTGAAATTTGAAGTTAATATCACCATGGAGTCAAAATACTATCCCTGAACTACTACAGTAGTTATACCAGCTCTTAAGTAAAAACGAACAGATTCACATTAAAAACAAACAAAAAAAAACACCTTCAGTATTTCCTAGTTAAGCAGAATGATTAAAGAGCAAAACAACTGGTTAAACTATCAATTTGGTTAAATGATTTTTATTGAATAAGACAAGCATGGGATGTCACTTTTCAAAGAACTACAATAAGCTGCTAACATTTATTATCTACCATGTGCCTACTGGCACCATTCTAAGAGTGTAACTTAAATTAATCCTCAAAACAGGCAGGTACTAGTATCATTCCCATTTCAGAGAAAAGGAAACTGATACACAGATGGGATACACACTTTGCCCAGATTTAAACAGTTGGGAAGTGGCATATTTTGTTCTAAAACCAATACTGAATACAATGTAATGATTATTTGATGATTCAGAAAGGAATAGAATATTTAGTCCCAAATACAGACTCTTTCTGAAGTTAAATCATGACTGTACAAAAATGTAGACATCACATAGACACAGATATCCCAAATCTCCCCGTAAGAAATTGCTTTGCATTTCCCTGAAGGACCCTGACAGTGCTGACATGCAAACCTCATTAGGATGGGGGTAAGTGACAAGGTTCTGATTTCAAAACAGTGGACTTTCTGAATTCATAAGACTGAGAATAACAGTGTAACAACCAGTTGATTTAGTCACTATCAAATTATTTTCACATCTCATCTTCTAAAAAGTTTTAAATAAAAAATATCATTTTCTCCCCCACTTTCCCATAAATGAGGCAAAATTTAAAAATATATATTCTGTGCAAACACTTAAAGTATGTTATTCTAGTTAAGTTATTGCCCAATCTACAAAATACTCCAGTGGAAAATGGGGTGATAGTGAGCTAGCCCCAAACTCTGAAAATTAAACCCATAAACACATAGTAGGAGAGATTAAGACAGTGACATACAAAAAGAGCAAAATCTTCCAAGCAAAAGCAGAAAGCAATATTGGAAAATCAAAGGAAGACTGGACTAAATGCAAGGAAAGCTGTGGCCTAATCAATGGTATTAACATAATCCAAAGGAAGAATGTGTAAACAGCTACAGCTGGAGAATGAATGGTAGTGTGGAGTAGAGAAAAGAGAGGCCCTAAAAGCAAGCGTGTGGCAGTGTTCATCAGCCATGCTGACCATAAAGGGAGCCCTGAGCAGCTGCTACTAACCATCTGGTTGCTGGGCAAGAATAACTATTTGGCAGAGGTGGATCCAACAGGCCATCATTACTTGATGGTAAAGATGACAATGATGATAATAATGACAACAACTTGTATTGTGCAGTAAACTTTTTGCCAGGCATAACATTAGGCCTTTAACATACATCAATTCACTTAACCCTTAGACAAAACCAATGACATATTATCCCTATTTTATAGACAAGGAAGATGACGCTCACAGAAGCTAAGAAACTTGACCAAGGTCACTCCATAAGTGACAGAGCCATGATTTGAACCCAGATATGAGTCTATATAATATACCTATAGCTCTATATACCTATAAAGATGGCTGAGAGAAATTAAAGGAGATCTAAATATATACTACGTTCATAGATCAAATGACTCAATATTGATACTTGTGAATTTCTCCCCACTGACCTTTTTTTTGAGACAGGGTCTCGCTCTGTCCCCCAGGCTGGAGTGCAGTGGCACAATCTCAGCTCACTGCAACCTCCGCTTCCCAGGCTCAAGCAGTCCCCCCATGTCAGCCTCCCAAGTAGCCTGGACTAGAGGTGTGTGTTTTTTGTAGAGACAGGGTTTTGCCATGTTGTCCAGATTGGTCTTGAACTCCTGGGCTCAAGCGATCCACCCACCTTGGCTTCCCAAAGTGTTGTGATTACAGGTGTGAGCCACTGCATCCAGCCTCCCAACTGATCTTTAGACTCAACACAATTACAATCAAAATCATGGCAAACATTTTTATAGAAACTGATAAACTGATTTAAAAATTTACATGGAAATATAAAGGAACAGACTAGCCAAAACAATTACGTAAAAGGACAAACTGGGACTCACATTACCTGATTGCAACATTTAAAGCTATCATCATCAAGATGGTGTGGTAATGGCATAAAATTAAACACACGGGTCAATGGAACTGAACAGGGTCCAGACAGACCTAGCAATATAGGGTCAACAGATTCTTCCCAGAGGTGCCAAGTTAATTCAACGGAAGAAAGGACAGTTTTTTCAACAAATAGTGCTGGAAAAACTAGACATTCATACGTAACTAGCATATTACCTAGCATCATACACAAAAGTTAATTCAAAACAGACCACAGTCCTAAATGTAAGGGACAAAACTATAAAACTTCTAGAAAAAAATGTAGCTGCATATCTTTATAATCTTGAGTTAGGCAACAACTTCTTAGACATGTCATCAAAAGCATGAACCACAAAAGAAAAAAATTGGTAGGCTGGACTTCATCCCAATAAAAATTTTTTGCTGGTCAAAACATAATTCCTATTACTTCCAATTCCAGGCATACTATGGCTTCTCATACAGATTTTCTGATAGAAAAAAATGTACTAGTCTTCTATCCAACATGAATGTCCAAACCACTTGGCTGTTGAATTCTTTTCACTATACGTTAATAAACAAGTTCTGGTTTAAACATCAGGCACCTTGGAGTTTGTTTACCTAGAAAGGGTGAGTCTCCCTGGGCTAAGAACCAGACCCTGAGCTATGACGTCATCCAAGTAACACCCCATGACTTCTGGCCCACCTACCCAAGCCCTAACAAAGTCCACAACTGTTTGTTATAGTTTCTTTTGAAAAACAGTACTTTGTTTAAAAAAAAAAAACCAACTGAGATTGTCCGTGCTGCTACTTTTTTCTCAAAAATACAAAAGTCTATAGGAATCGTTTATATTTGCTATTAAATACTCCAGCAATAAAGTTTGAGGACAAAAAGCGTTGAGAGACATGAAACATGAAAAGTTTGAAATAAAAACAAACCACAGTAATAATAAAACTTAATGCAGTGGGAAAAAAATGTAAAATTCATGTTTTCCATTCTTATTTTTTAAATCATGGAGAAGAAAGGGTAAAAAATGATTTACCATTTATCTAATATGTTGTAATTGTTTCCTAAATGAAAATAATAAAATTATCCACAATTGAGCTAACCCAACATTCCTTTAATAAAGAAGACTACGGATGTGGCTACTTAGATTCAGCATAAAATATCATTCTATTTACTTTTTGCTATTCAAATTAAATTTGATTTCCCACAACTAGTAAGATGTATTCTACAATTTGTTTTCCTGCAGTAAGATTCAATTGAGAGGTTAAAATAAATGAACCAGTGAAACTTTTATAATCAGCAGATGGAGCACAAGCTAATAATAGAAACTAGACAACATTTCCTCCCACCTGCTGGTATTCTGTGTTTATCAGTCAGTGATAACTTCAGTAATTTGTGAATAATGGCTAGTGGGCAAATTTGTTGCATGAGTCTGGTGTAAGTCTGGTTTATATTGGACTGCCTAATGTGAATCCCACAGTGCGGTGCAGCCTTCCTCATCACCCACACTGCCCTCCATGGTCATCTGTAATGTCAAATCACTCAGCATCTGATGGCAAAGGGAACAGCTGGGAGGCAGGATTGTGTGAGGACTCTACACTATTGACTCACTCCTCTCAAACCTCCCCACCTTCTCTTGAAAGGCACTCATCCCTCTTCTGCCCTGTGATCTGCTTCTTGGTGCTCTCCCTTAAGCCTCCAAGATACTACCGCACCCCAAATTCTTTCTCTGTCTCCCACTCCAAAGTCAATCTCATCAGTCACAAAGTATTCAAGGAATGGGTCTGGTATCAGGGAACAAATCTCAACTGCCCCTCCCCGAGTGAGGCATAACTTCTGAATGCTCCAATCATCTTTTTCTGTCAGGGCATCAGTCAGGGTGCTAGCTAGAGTCTCAGGGGTATACAAATCTTTCAAACACTATTAAACAATCTTATTTCACAACCTAACCATTTGAGTGGTAGCATAAATTAAATTTAATAATGAATATTGCCATCTTATGATGATTATATTCTTATATAGTCAAACATTAGAAACCAAAGAAATTAGAGCCTGCAATATACTATCTCTCATAGTTCTACCTGAAAGAAAAAATGTAAAGCATTAAAATATTTAATAAATTTTTGGCTGATGCCTGCACACATTTAATTTAATCTCCCACCTTCCACATAGATCATTGATAAAATCATAGTAAACGTAACCATTCATGATTCATTCTGTGGCAAGATACTCAATAAAGCTTAATTATGTTTACCACCTTGAACTAGAACAAGAAAAGAAACTGATATATTTTAGACAGATTTTCAATCACAAGGGTATAACTTTTAAATAAACTTCTTTCTGCTTCATTTTCCCCTAAGAAATTATATGAACAACTTAAATTTTGATATGCAAATTTTTAGGAATTTTAAATATAGCATTTTTACCTATCAGTATTACTTTATTATTTTTGTCTCCTAGTAGCACTAAACGTGTTGGCCTATAGAAAATAAAAGGATGACAACCCGTACTTTCAGTAAACAGTTAAAGAGCAAATTTTAGTTATAATATATTTATGGGCCAGGTAAAGTGGCTCACACCTGTAATCCCAGCACTTTGGGAGGCCAAGGCAGAAGGACTGCTTGAAGCCAGAAGTTCGAGACCAGCTTGGACAACATAGCAAGACCCCACCTCTATAAAAAATTAGCCAGGCATGGTGGCACGTTCCAGCTACTTGGAAGGCTGAGATGAAAAGATCGCTTGAGCCCAGGAGTTCAAAGCTGCAGTGAGCTATGACTGTGCCACTGCATTCCAGCTTGGGTGATAGAGCAAGACTCCCATCTCTTAAAAATATATGTATTATATCTACACACAACATGATACCACCCCTTCCAGAAATGGCAGCATTTTATAGTAATACACTGAGACTATGTCAGTTATTCATAACATACCCAAGTATAAACATCTGAATTCTAAGGAGTTTCTTGTTCAACCATGTGTAAAAGTTCATAAATTCTATGTTAAAAATCTTATGTTCCTACCTTTTAAGAACCTAATAATTTGCAAATCCCCTTCTGAAATATGTGATCATATTTGCAAATCCTCTTCTGAAATATGTGGTATGTAATGTTAAAGCAGTGAGGGACATCAGATGTAACATAATGCAAACTACACACCACATACACTAAACACCCACCACCCCTACCAAAATTAAAAGGCAAATGATTTGCTCAGGGTCTCACAGGGAAAAAAAAAAAAGGCAGTATCAGGGTAACTCCAGGTATCCTGACTCCAAATGTGTTTTATTCCTCCTGCTACATCATGTCATCTTCATTAAGAAGAACAAGATACAGCCTCCTTTCAGGCTGGAACACCTCAGGTTTTCAAGGAGTTCTGACCAGCAAAAAACCTGGGAGAAAAAAGTAGAATGGGAAGCTGGGTATGGTGACTCTTGCTTGAAATCCCAGCACTTTGGGAGGCAGAGGCAGGAGGATCGTTTGAGCCCAGGAGTTCAAGACCAGCCTGGGCAACATAGTGAGACCCCCCATCTCTACAAAAACTACAAAATTTAGCCAGGCATGGTGGCATGCACCTGTAGTCCCAGCTACTTGGGAGGCTGAGGTGGGAGGATCACTTGAGCCTGGAAGGTAGAGGCTGCAGTGACCTGTGATTGTGCCACTGCACTCCAGCCTAGGCGACAGAGCAAGACCCTGTCTCAAAAAAAAAAAAAAAAAAAAAAAAAAAAGGTAGGATGGGGAGCATGTTCCCAGCCCCAACCTGAGAGACGAAGCAGGAAGTACTGGGTCCCTGACAGTAGAGAAAGGAGTAAGCCAGGAAAGTCTCTCAGCTGACACCAGGGAGGGATCCAGAGAAAAGCCAGGTCCTCTCCCCCTGCTACCAGAAGGAAATGGGCCATGGACCCAGCTCTGGATTTTCTGAATGGAATGAAGTAAAACGTCAGGATGCTATAGCATCATCAATATTATGCCTTGGTTTCCTAACAGAACATGTTAAGGAAATGTGCTATTATGAGATCCATTTAAGCCCATTTAAAAAGAAACTGTGAAGCAAATCCATTTGTAAATTGGATACTATCTTTCATTTAAAATGGAGAAGAAAAAAACAAAGCTTAAAGTTAACTACCAGCTGATGATGAAACTGTGTCAGCCTTATTTTCCCATTTGCCTGGTAAACACAAGGTGACCTGCCAAAGGTCTTTCTCATTTTCACCAACCACAATCTGATATATCAATGTCAAGACCACTTTGAAAACAAGAGAAAGCACTCACTTCTTTATTAATAGATAAAGTGATTAGAAATATAAGTTCCTTGATAAGACAAAAGCAGGCCAGGCACAGTGGTTCACACCTGTAATCCCAGCACTTTGGGAGGCCAAGGCAGGTAGATCACTTGAGGCCAGGAGTTTGAGACCAGCCTGGCCAATATGGTGAAACCCCATCTCTACTAAAAATACGAAAAAAAAAAATTAGCCAGGCGTAGTGGAGCACACCTGTAGTCCCAGCTACTCAGGAGGCTGAGGCATGAGAACTGCTTGAACCCAGAAGGTGGAGATTGCAGTGAACTGAGATCACACCACTGCACTCCAGCCTGGGCAACAGAAAGAGACTCTGACTCAAAAAAAAAAAAGAAAAGAAAAGAAAAGAAAAGAAAAGAAAAGAAAAGAAAAAAGAAAATATTCTATGGCAACTGATATAAATCTGACAAAAATTCTTCACAGTTCTGTAACATGGATAGCATGTTTTTTAAACAGCTTACTTAATTTTATATCAGGCTTTTCTTGTTGTTTGTTTGAAACTGAAATCACTCCCTTAAAAATAAACTCAAATGTTTTTCTACTGGCTAAAAAAAGACAGAAGTGAAAGAAATGTCTTAATCAGGTCATAACTCATTCTAATTAAGATGAAAATTTACTAATAAATCTAAAATAAAATTTTTCAGAAAAACATCTAAAAAGAGTAAACCTGAAACATAAACTGTATTCTATAGGAGGAGAAAACATTCTGAGGTAAATCTTATAAGGGATGAAATATTTCAAATGAGAGATCTAAACTAAGATTTACTTGCCAATAAAACAGCTTTTAATATTCTGAAACATGTGTGCTAAATAAAGTAGACAAATGTCTTAAATGTGGGACATTATTGAAAATCTCAAATTCTGCCATAAAACACTGGAATAAAACAGTCTTGAATATCAAACCTCACAATATACTACCATATTACAACCCTAGATGCAAATATTCTCATTTAATTTAAAATGTCCACTTAACGAGAAATAGGAACACTTTTACACTGTTAGTGGGACTGTAAACTTGTTCAACCATTGTGGAAGTCAGTGTGGTGATTCCGCAGGGATCTAGAACTAGAAATACCATTTGACCCAGCCATCCCATTACTGGGTATATACCCAAAGGACTATAAATCATGCTGCTATAAAGACACATGCACACGTATGTTTATTGCGGCACTATTCACAATAGCAAAGACTTGGAACCAACCCAAATGTCCAACAATGATAGACTGGATTAAGAAAATGTGGCACACATACACCATGGAATACTATGCAGCCATAAAAAAGGATGAGTTCATGTCCTTTGTAGGGACGTGGATGAAATTGGAAATCATCATTCTCAGTAAACTATCTCAAGAACAAAAAACCAAACACCACATGTTCTCACTCATAGGTGGGAATTGAACAATGAGAACACATGGACACAGGAAGGGGAACATCACACTCTGGGGACTGTTGTGGGGTGGGGGGAGGGGGGAGGGATAGCATTAGGAGATATACCTAATGCTAAATGACGAGTTAATGGGTGCAGCACACCAGCATGGCACATGTACACATATGTAACTAACCTGCACATTGTGCACATGTACCCTAAAACTTAAAGTATAATAATAATAAAAAAAAAAATAAAATAAAATGTCCACTTACGAAGCAAATACTTTTTAAAATTCGATGTTAATATACTTAATTCTTATGCTATTTCTTAAGAAATACAAATTTGCCTAAAGAAACTACAAAGAAATATTTAAAATATTCCAGTTCTTTTACCTACCAACAGTTATTCCTTTACAATACAAATAAAACACGTATAAATAATAAAACTAGTTTCCTACTATTTAACAAGCAATTGAAATATAAATTTGAGATACGCTTTTCAGAAAAACATTCTTTTAAGCCAGCCGAATTTCAGAAAAACAGTTCTTAATGGATAATTGCTATAGCAAAGGAGGGGAAATGAAAATTCAAAAATGAGATGGTGTTTTTGTGGTTGCTCCTTAATATTTTGCTATTTGTTTTTACAGGTCTATTCCTTCTGTGGAAATTTTTCTAATCCATTATACTAGAGTTTCATTATGATGCTGTTCTTTGGAATCCAAGATTACATGCCCCAAGAGATTAAAACTTTAATCATTAAGAACCTTGTAGGTATTAAAACAGATCTATCTTATTTTAAGCATGAGGAAAAAAAAGTTACCATGTAGTCAAATAAAATAAAAATCTGTATCTTTCATTACTCATGTAAAGAAATTACTAAGTCTATACATGCTTTTTGTATTACTAACTCAAAAATACATTGATTCTCAAAGAGAAAATAAAAACAAGAAAGCAGTAATTGTGATGGTCTCAATATATAGACAAAACTACACATTATTATTTATTATATAAACAAATATAGGTTCGCATAATGAAGGCATATTTCTAAATTACTTCATTTTTAAAATACAAAATTCATGTATGTGGAAAATGAGCAAAGAAAACAAACTATTTCACTTTGTTAAGTTTTACTTTTACCATTACACAAGGTATTTTTGTATGAAATATGATGCTATTGCTCACTAAATAAATAAAAAGCAAAAACACTCTTTGATCAAAATCCTTCCACAAATGGAAGGACTGAGAGAATGACAGAATGCTTCTATTTGGGGATGTCGCTGCATTAAAAATTAGCAGAGACCGTCCTGGTGACAGAAATAGCACCTGCCACTAACAGTCCTGCAGAGCAGGATTTAACCTCCTAATAAGTCTATGACAGACCAAAGAAAACACTTAATTTGAGGCATCTCTTTTTCCACTCTGTTCACAATGCAGCAGTTTCCTTCAACAGCATTTGTCACAGCAAGTTACAGCTGTGCTTTCAGAAAAGAAAAGCCTAATTGCACCACGCCACAGAACTATTAAAAGCAAACCCTGAAAAATGAAAATGAACTCTCTACTCTTAAGATGTTTGGCAGAAGACTCCAAAGGTAACTCTAGAGGTATACTTCGTCAAAAATAACTAATGATATATTTAAAGTTTAATTGCTGAATCAAAATATTATTGAACAAAAAGAGAGGCAAAATATACACTGAAAGCTTTTATCTGTTTGTTCAGTGGTACTCCCACCATGTTCCAAAAATGATTTGAAGTCACTTACAAAATTACAGCAAGATAAATGAGAGGCAGGACGGTGGCAGAGACAGCACAGTGTAGGTGAGACATGAGGGGGCAAAGGCTGCAGAGCCACACAGCCGAGGTTAGAATCACCGCTCTGCCACTCGCTATAATCCCGGTGTGGCCGTGGGCAAGTCGCTTATCCTCTCTGTGCACCCATTTCCTCATCCATAAAATAAAAATTATAATGTTTACTGCACTATGCAGATTAATTTAACATATATAAAGCATTTAGAACAGTATCTGGCAAGCAGAAAGTTTTACAGAAACATTAGCCTGAAAGGGAAAAGTAGGGAGGAGAATAGGGTATGAATAGAAAATGGAGCTATAAATAAGGCCAATGCACACAGCTTCCTATAATGTGCAGTATATATAAGACTTGTTTTTCTTTTATTCATAGTTGCCTGTCACACCAAGGTATACGTATAAACACAAATTTTAAATTTGAGGCATTTATAACCACTTTATTTTTATAGGGCAGGACAGCTTTAGTATATCATATCTACACTGAGCAAATTAATTAAGCACTGTATTTATCTAGCTTGAGTTTGTCATCTTTTTCCAAAAAGGATTATGACCAATTCAAGCAATTTTTAAATCACAGAAATACTCTGCTTTTAGAACTGGGTGAAAGGTCTGTGCACATGCCCTTTAAAGATGATCCTCACAAAGAGATATGGAAGATGCCTCTGAAGCCCAAGTCCCAGCACCTCTGCCTCCCCTAAGTTCAGAGCTTGAGCCATTTCAGAGGACACCAGGAGTGCAACTAAAGTTAAACAAGCACAGCTGACCCTGAAAGTAGATTATAAAATATTGTAAACATCTGGTTTCCCACTCTAATTTAAATATTTTAGCCAATAATTACCCAAACAATATCAATTATATTAAATGAAAAAAAACACTGCAAGACTATTAAATAAAATGTGTTTTAATCTACTATTAGCAAATATTTGCTAGCATCTAAATAGACATAAGGCATTCAGGACACAAAGATGATTTCATACAATTTGGGTATCTGATAACAAAATGATGAAAGATCATGGTCTCATTCCCTGACTCTGAAAAAAAGTAAGATTGAGTAATTTATCTACTTTTCTTTCTTCCTCCACTCTCCGTGAGATTTTAGGGTTCTAGCCATAAATGTCCGTACAAAGCATCTCTGATCAAAGGGGCAACTTTAGGGTAGAAAAATAAACACCCTGAAAGGAGTACTCCCTCAATCTCATTAATATCACAATCTCTCCCCTAAAACTTCCTGCTGACTTAATTCCAATTTTATATCCCCCTTTACTGAAGTCGGTTCAATAACATGAGGTAAACCCAAAGTCACAGGGTTTAATCAGCTGATGAAAATTTAAGAACCTTGACAAACTGCTTACCTGATATTTTTTTCGCTTCCTGTAGCGCCAAACTAATGCAAAAAGTACTTCGATACTCTGAGGAGAATAGTGAGACCTGTTTCTACAGCCCCTTTAATATGCCCTCTTCTGCACACAGAAGAGGCTTCATCCACTTCATGCAGATTCAGCCAATAAAGAGATTTAGAAGAGCACCCAAAAGCTGTGGCATGTGTAAGCACACTTATCTTTGTCCCTAATGTATTATTATAGGCCTATGGTTCAACTGCATAGCAACAGCACTCTTTTGTGATTGTTCTCGTTGCTCATTATAAGCATCCTGGCAGTTTATTAACAAGCCTTATCTATGAAATAAACAATACCATAGGAATCCCCTATCGCGTGCAGGACTGAGGTGGCAGTAGTTAGCAGGAGACACTCAACAAGCCTCAAAGTTCGCAGTCGGGTTGGTCTATGTTTCCCTTAATTTCAAATTTCCTATGTTCGTAAATATATTCTAAGTAGAAGGAGAAAGCTATTTTAAATAGGCTGATTTTTTTTTTTTTGCTTTTTCTATGCTCTTCAGAATATTCCTACCATATATAAAGTACAGCTTGTTAGCAATAATGTTCATATTTATGTTTAAAATTCTCTCCTGAAGATCTTTATAGTCTCTGCTAGATTATAATTTCACAATGTTCCAAAAACCAACTACAAATGCAGCCTCTGTGAAACCCTGGTCAAAGAACTCACCTACCAAGGAATGCCCAGACTCTTGACCCATGGAAATAGTGAGATAAATGGGTGTAGCTTTAAGCCACTTAAACACACACACACACACACACAAAGTAAATTAAATTTTTTTTTTAATGAGGAGGGAAAAAGAGAGGACTAAAAATACTTATAAAAAAACTAACAAGGACTACTACTTTTCACTCTGGCATCTCCCTTTCTAGTGTCTCTTCAGGTAACCTTACTGATCTAATATTATAATTTTCTTAAATGAACAAGAATAGAAATAGTTCTATTAATAAAAGCAACTTCACGACTTAAATCAACTAAGAAAATAACATAGGCTTTCTAAAAGAATCTAAGGGCCATATGACTTTATCTTACTTTTCAGATGAAGAAGACAAAAGATGGTCATTAGATATGCAGGTTGGATGTTTGGAAAGCAATTTATGAAAATAAAACTTTTGATGGGATACTGTGGGGAAAAAAAGTTTTCTTTTGTTTGTTTTGTTTCAATAGCCTTAGCATTTTATTACAAAACTCTATGGCAAAATATCAAGTCATATTTCCTTTGAGTATTTCTCCCCTTTGTATTCAAAACAGTACATAATTAGCCAAGTTTGTCATACTTCATTTTTTATGAAATCATATTTTTATGTGTTAAAGGAAATCATGATGATTTCTCTAAAGGTTGCAGACACCATCCCTGGTCTCCATTATGATAAACCAATACAGGAATGGTTGTGCTACCTGGTATTTTACCTTAAAGTTCTAAAAATTTCTGTGGCAAGCAGAATAATAGTTCCCCAAAGATGTGCACATCCTAATCTCAGAACCCATGAATATGTTACCCTAAGTGGCAAATGGGACTTTGCAAATACGATTAAGTTAAGGATCTTGTGATGGGGAGACTAGCCTGGATTATCCAGGTGGACTCAATGTAATCAAAAGGGTTATCAAAAGAGGGAGGTGGGGAATCAGAGTGACAGAAGATGGGAAGATGAAGCAGTGGTGGAAGTGACATAGCCATGAGCCAAGGAATGAAGCCCGTCTCTAGAAACCTGAAAATGCAAGGAAATGAATGTTCCCCAACAATGTCCAGAAGGAACACAATTTTGCTGATACCTGTAAGGTCCATTTTGAACTAATGACCTCCAGAAGTGTAAGGTAATAAATTTGTGTTGTTTCAGCTACTAAGTTTGTGATTATTTGTTATAGCAACAATAGGAAACTAATACAATTTCCTTCTAGGGAAAAATGCCAATTTTTTTAAAAAAACAAGGACCACTGTTATCATGAAGGGAAGGAGGGAAAGCAGGGGGGGAACTAAGGTTCAGAAGGAAAGGTTTCTGCCTCCTGGAGGCTCAGCAAAGGAAACATGGGTGTATATATAACATGGGTAATGCATACTGTTTGTATCTTTTATTATAATACATTGATCTGTGATGGCATGAGAAGTCATATGACAGACCAAATGGAGCAACAATCATTAACCTTTTCCATAGTAAACACCCCTTTTACTCCACCTCATGCTCCATCCTTCATAGCTCCAATGATTTGAAGAGTGTGTCATCTCCCAAATGAACTAAACATAATAAATAATAATTGATTTTCCTTTTTAGTAAGTATAAGACACACTGCATTGTCAGTCAGATATATGCTGATCAACATAAAATTCAGAGTAATATAACTTCAGCCAAAAACTTAATATTCTGGCCAACTTTATTTGGGATGTTTCTGGAACACAGAAAAGGGTTCTGATCCCAAAGGTTTCAAAGTACTCTGATATGTAAACAATGTCACAGAGCAATACTATTACCTTTTAGTGAACTGCATACTTTCCATAGGAACTGGTTTCCTACCACCCCCGCCAACTGCTTTTTCCGAATTGCTGAATAAGAAAGCTTTTACTTTGATGAATAACGCATGTATACACTTAGCACTGGGTCTGACCCTGGATCATCATTCAATCAATGTTTGTCCATTTTTCCCACCTTTACCCTTACTGACTTTTCCATCTTCAGAAAAAAAATACTACAGCAAGGGCTTATCTATACCAAGGATGACAAGTCTAGTAATGCAACTAAAACACTTCCTTTAAGCCATTTCAGAAATTTCAAATTCCTAAACTCCAAAAAGGAGCTGTCAGCACCAGAAATATTGTTCTGATACATTTTATTATTTCTCAAAATAATTCACAACATCCATCAGAAGTATATTTGAGCTCTGACACGGCTAAAACATCTACCAGAGAGGAGAAAGAGATGGCAAACTGGGAAAAGCCGCAAAGGAAAAACATCAGTCTCTGAACTTCCAGGGTACACTGTTCCTCAACAAGGTTTGTAGATAAAATAGCTCAATGCATTAAAATATCACTACTTGTAACTTAAAGCTTCTAGAAATTACACAGAGATTTCTCATAATTTCAGTAGGTCTCTTAAGTTTAAGAACCTCCATTTTACTTAGTGAAATTATATACAACGGCATACATTGATTAGTTATAATTAGGAAAAAAGTAATTTATTAGGCCTCTTCATCCTTGTTTGAACTTAGGGAGTTTTAATAACAAAATGTCTCTAACTATATAATCAGAAACACTTTCTTTAAAAATTCAATTATTTAAAGGCAACATTAGAAAATAGCTTAGTATAAGCAAAAGGACAGGAAATATTTATGTACTTTATTAAAATGTATAAAAAATTAACAGGTACTACAATAACATTTATAGAGGCACTCTGCAAGGGTTGGGTTAATGTTGCAATGAACAAAATGGACACTGTCCTTGCCTTCAATGTTTACTGGCCATTGTTAGTTCTTTTCTTATGAACTGCCTATTGAAGTCTGTGGTCTGTTTTCCTACTGAAGAGAGAATAGCTTTTCTTGTTGATTTATATAAGCATTCATATATTAAGGATAGTAACATTTCGTCATAAATAAAACTCAAATAAAATCCAAACAATTATTGAAACAAGTCATAAAATAATTCTGAACCATGAGTAATTTACTTAAAATTTATCATAGCTACTACTGCCTCACATTCAAGAATATCTGTAACCTCAACAGGCAGTATGGCAAGCTGGTTAAGAGCATAGGCTCTAGAAACAGATGGCCTGGTTTAGAATCCCAGCTCTGCCGTTTTCAAACCGTAACTTCAGGTAAGTTATTTAACCACTATGTGATTCAACTATAGCAACTGCAAAATAAGGATACTTTAAGTACCTAGTTCAAGTCATTGCTTTGAGGATGACATAATTCACAGAAAACACTTATACTATGCTTGGAAGGCAGTGTACATGTTCTGTAAGTGTTACCTGTTTTCAGTAGTATGCTAGAGCCAACTCATAACAACTTGAGAGTGGACTGTTGAATTTTCACAATTGTGTTAGCCAATTGTTAAGCAAAGCCTTCATTAAAAATTAAATTACATCAGCCTTCAATTAAATAAATTACACCAACAACAAAGATAATAAATATTCAAAACTCATCACTTAACTAATTTCTTTACATTTGCTATTATCTTTACACGAGTTTGTTTACATCTAGTCCATCTGTATAGTGGAAATATTGTATGATATAGATATGCTACTGCATATCTCTTCCCAACTCTGCACGCAGTGACATCAACTTGGTCACCCGAAATCAGCCATAGTAAAAGTATTCACACCAGAAAATGAAAAACTGCTATAAAATCAAGAGTTTTTCCCCAAATAGCTGGTTGCCAAATACTTACCAGTACATTACTGCCTATTATTATAGTGATTATTACAAGTTATCTCTAATTTCTTTTACTTTTAGTTTCTTTTTCACAGAAAAAAAAAAGGATGACAAATCTAAATGTTAGTTATCTTTACTTCTTCTCCCTATACGTTGCTGTGTATACAAACTTGACTGCCAAGCTGAGGTTCCCTTTCAAAAATGTGTCCCTAAAGGACCACATACCTTTGCCTACAATTACACCAGACAGAGGCCTTGCCTTTCCAAACTGCCAAGGCCCAACAGATTCAGTATTCTTTTAAAATAACACGGCTAATCTGCCATGCTTCAATATGGAGGCCACCTTAAGGAGATAAAAGCTAAGTGCCAAACTGTCATCAGATACAGTCCACACATCTCTTAAAATTGTTTTGACCTTCTGACATTACTTAGCAACTCAAGTCAATATCAAACAGGCCCACAGTCACTCTAGCTGAAACACAAATATTAACTTTCAAAATAATGGTCAGGTACTCCAATTACTCACTGCATGTCTTCTGTTGGGATCTAGTGCAATACATGGCATAAATAATGTGTTCAAAGGGATCAGCTAAGTACTTCGATTCATGTCAAATTCGTGGCAATGTTTACACAGCACAGAATGAAGCTTGCAAGGAAGCAAGCTGGCTGGGCCCTCAAGACTCACCCTATGTGTTCAGGACCAGGAGGTAGAAGTATACTGCATATGTCTGGGGGCTTAAAGAGTACAAGGACTTTCTCTGGGCAGCATGATTAAGTGGAAAAAGCATTAAACCAGAAATGAGAATAACTGGGCTCCAGCTCCAACTCTAGTACTAACTAGTTCTATGAGCTGAATATCTCTGAACCTAATTCTTCTCAGAAATAAAATGCAGGAGCTAAATTATACAATCTTGGCATTATGATTCTGCCCTATTATCATTCAGAATAAATGTACTGTCACTACAAAAAGAATCTTTCCTCTCTGACTGCCCTATGAAAACAGTTTTACTAAACTGATCCAAATTTAAATATCACATAGGAACATTCACATTAGTAGGAAAATATAGAAATCTGACCTATCATGTCTTAATTATCCAGCTATGACCCAACTTTAATATTTTTAGGGTTAGCTTAACACAAAGGCAAATACATGAACTCAGACTAGACTTTTTTCCCTGCTATACCATCACCAAGCTCAGTCCAGAGCTTCCATCCAAGTCTTCCATCAAAGACTTTCATCAAAGTCTTTAATATGCACTTTATCCACGTTTATTAAGAGAGATGTGGATAGAGAGTATATTAAAGACTTTGCGGATTATAAGCCCACAACATTTCTATAGTCTATCTAATTCTAAAGAAAATTCATGCAAATTTTATGTACATGTGAATTTTATTTAAAGAGAAAAGGAGGACATTCTACCTCTGAGCATGATACTGACAGAGACGGGATTTATTCTCCACTGTAAATAACTAAATATACAGACACAAATTTATGAAATCACAGTTTTGGGGCAATAAACAACACGCAGCACAGGGGAGTGTCATCTCTGAGAAAAGAGAAATAGACAAGGTGAGTCCTACTATTACCCTCAGCTTACTGCCTGGAGAGTTTCCAGGATATGGTACAGGAAGAAGAAACCAGGGAGGGGATGGGACGCAGGGGGAGGCAGCAGTTCTCCCTCAGGTGAAGAGACAGTTCATCTGAGGAGGTCAAGACAACTAGAATTTGCAGAGCAGAGAACCAAAAGAGACTGCACAAAAGCAAATCCCAGAGATCTGCAAGGGGTTGCATTCTTACCTGAGTACCATGTATATGTGTGTAAAGAAACTGTATGAAGCCAGGTGAAGAACCATCAGAAAGGAGTAGGCAGAATCAAGAGTATTGCCTCTGAAGTAAAAAGTAAAAGTTCACAGCAACAAAAATTTCCCAGATCCTCAAATAAATCATTAAAATGATAGAATAGGTAACATTAAATTTCCTGTTACCTGAAGTTGCTATATATGTGCTGACCCTAGCAGTATACCTCTAGACCTTTTATATTTAGAGGTTCTAGAACTATATACAGCCACTTTAAAAAAAAAGCTACACTATTATTTATTTATTTTTATTTTATTTTATTTATTTATTTTTTTTTTGAGAAGGAGTCTCGTTCTGTCACCCAGGCTGGAGTGCAGTGGCGCAATCTTGGCTCACTGCAACCTCCGAATCCCGTGTTCAAGGAGAATCCTCCTGCCTCAGCCTCCCGAGTAGCTGGGACTACAGGTGCCCGCTACCAAGCCTGGCTAATTTTTTTTGTATTTTTAGTAGAGACATGATTTCACCACGTTGGCCAGGCTGGTGTCCAACTCCTGGCCTCAAGTGATCCACCTGCCTCGACCTCCCAAAGTGCTGGGATTACAGGTGGTGAGCCTACACTATCTCTAAAGTAAACAAAGAACACCCTGGGACAACACTATTCTCTGAGTTCCCAACAAATTTCTAAGTAAGTCTGTCCGTGAATTTTGCCATTGTTGTCTAAAGGCACACTCCTATTCTGAGCCTCCCCTCAGTATTTTTGTTCCACATGTTCCAGCACTATGTTACTTTTATCTAAATTGCATCTTTTCTCTCTAGAATTTTGTCCTTCACTATGGCAACAGTTCATTTTGCCTATCTTCCACGTAAAGAAATTATGTAGCATGAAATAAGGAAATGTGTATAATTTTTTTTTGTTTTTTTTGAGACAGAGTCTCGCTCTATTGGCAGGCTGGAGTGCAGTGCCGCAATCTCAGCTCACTGCAATCTCCGCCTCCCGGATTCAAGCAATTCTCCTGCCTCAGCCTCCCTAGTAGCTGGGACTACAGGTGCACGCCACCACACCCAGCTCATTTTTGTATTTTTATTAGAGACGGGGTTTCAACATGTTGGCCAGGATGGTCTCGATCTCTTGACCTTGTGATCCGCCCACCTCGGCCTTCCAAAGTGCTGGGATTACAGGGGTGAGCCACCACACCTGGCCTGTATAATTCTTGAAAATTACAAAACTTACTTCAAACTTCATCTGCTTGGCAGTTTTTAAATTGCTGGGAGAAAATTAGTGAAGGTAGTGTACTTGACTGGAACTATTATCTAGAGTTAGCTTGGTTAAGAAACTGAATTCAGAAAATCTTAAAAGCCCAAAACCTGCAGTAGAAATTCATTCAACCTTTTTAGAAAAAATAATTATTGAGTATTTACAATATGCCAAGCACCATGATAAGCAGCAGAAGTATTAAAAAGACTTACATAAAAAATATCCTCTGCCTCTGCCTCTGCCTCTCCCCACGGTCTCCCTCTCCCTCTCTTTCCACGGTCTCCCTCTGATGCCGAGTCGAAGCTGGACTGTACTGCTGCCATCTCGGCTCACTGCAACCTCCCTGCCTGATTCTCCTGCCTCAGCCTGCCGAGTGCCTGCGATTGCAGGCGCGCGCCGCCACGCCTGACTGGTTTTCGTATTTTTTTGGTGGAGACAGGGTTTCGCTTTGTTGGCCGGGCTGGTCTCCAGCTCCTAACCGCGAGTGATCCGCCAGCCTCGGCCTCTCGAGGTGCCGGGATTGCAGACGGAGTCTCGTTCACTCAGTGCTCAATGGTACCCAGGCTGGAATGCAGTGGCGTGATCTCGGCTCGCTACAACCACCTCCCAGCCGCCTGCCTTGGCCTCCCAAAGAGCCGAGATTGCAGCCTCTGCCCGGCTGCCACCCCGTCTGGGAAGTGAGGAGCGTCTCTGCCTGGCTGCCCATCGTCTGGGATGTGAGGAGACCCTCTCCCTGGCTGCCCAGTCTGGAAAGTGAGGAGCGTCTCTGCCCGGCCACCATCCCATCTAGGAAATGAGGAGCGTCTCTGCCCGGCCGCCCATCGTCTGAGATGTGGGAAGCGCCTCTGCCCCGCTGCCCCGTCTGGGATGTGAGGAGCGCCTCTGACCGGCCGCGACCCCGTCTGGGAGGTGAGGAGCGTCTGTGCCCAGCCGCCCCATCTGAGAAGTGAGGAGACCCTCTGCCTGGCAACCACCCCGTCTGAGAAGTGAGGAGTCCCTCCGCCCGGCAGCTGCCCCGTCTGAGAAGTGAGGAGCCCCTCCGTCCGGCAGCCGCCCCGTCTGAGAAGTGAGGAGCGTCTCCGCCCCGCAGCCACCCCGTCCGGGAGGGAGGTGGGGGGGTCAGCCCCCCGCCCGGCCAGCCGCCCCGTCCGGGAGGTGAGGGGTGCCTCTGCCCGGCCGCCCCTACTGGGAAGTGAGGAGCCCCTCTGCCCGGCCACCACCTGGTCTGGGAGGTGTACCCAACAGCTCATTGAGAACGGGCCATGATGACAATGGCGGTTTTGTGGAATAGAAAGGGCGGAAAGGTGGGGAAAAGATTGAGAAATCGGATGGTTGCCGTGTCTGTGTAGAAAGAAGTAGACATGGGAGACTTTTCATTTTGTTCTGTACTAAGAAAAATTCTTCTGCCTTGGGATCCTGTTGATCTGTGACCTTACCCCCAACCCTGTGCTCTCTGAAACATGTGCTGTGTCCACTCAGGGTTAAATGGATTAAGGGCGGTGCAAGATGTGCTTTGTTAAACAGATGCTTGAAGGCAGCATGCTCGTTAAGAGTCATCACCACTCCCTAATCTCAAGTACCCAGGGACACAAACACTGCAGAAGGCCGCAGGGTCCTCTGCCTAGGAAAACCAGAGACCTTTGTTCACTTGTTTATCTGCTGACCTTCCCTCCACTATTGTCCTATGACCCTGCCAAATCCCCCTCTCTGGGAAACACCCAAGAATGATCAATAAATACTAAAAAAAAAAAAAAAAAAAAAAAATTTCTGTAGTTTTCTAACTTGCTTTTGCAAATATCAAAAGTATTCTATCTTCTGTTTTTATAAACAAATATGCAACTTGCTTTTCTCTAATCTCCCTACTATTTCCATATCATCTCTTAGTATCAGGTATTTCCTGACAACTGTGGGGTTAATTTCTATTACAATTCGCAGAAAAAGAAGTTGTACTATATAGGACTAAAACTTCTTGATCCCTACTGTCAGATAATTAAAACTGTGAAACAAGATAATGGGTACAGAACACACTGGGCTCACCAGGTAAAGGGTTTAAGAAAGTGGCTCTTAGAGTACTTCATTTGTACTGCATATACAGCACCTTAATTGTCCTGTGACAAACCATGCTGGTTTTCCCCAACAGACTGAGATCTCCTAAAGGAAAGCAACATCATCTTTTTTCATCTTTGTATATGTCATGGCACTCAATAACACTATATATAATTTATTAAATAAATGAATGAAAAAAGTAAAGTTAGATAAGAAACAAAACAAACGGATCCTTTGGCTTAGGATGGCCCTTCTTAGGGACCAATATTACACATGTCTGAATTATGCAAGGCAGTGTCTTCTCATCCCACTGTACTTTGCCTAGAAAGACAGCCTGCAAGTGTATGATCAAATCAGACACTGAAAATAATAGCTAGGGCCATAATGGCCCACCTCAGCCATAAATGACCACACAAACAATAAGTCTATAAATTGTTTATGAAAGTACCAGATGGTCTATTAAGTCAATGTCACTTAATACCCACAATGTTGCTTATAAATTATACCTGTCAGAATCACATGGAAGAAGCTTTTCTCAAAAACTGGCAATATTTTATATGCATGAAAATATTTAATAATTTTATTATTTTAAACTTTCTACTTTATTTGTGGTGGTATTTATATTTATTATAGAAGTAATAAATATGTTTTAAAATGTCAAATTCAGAGATGAAAAGAAAACTTGTTCTTGAGAGCTAACCACTCTTAAGTTTGGTTTCTCTATTTTCATAGCTCTCTCTGTTTGCATATAGAATTTTTTTCTTTTTTTACAAGAAAGCCAAACACATAATCATGTGCCTTTTAATTTTCCTTTAAACTACATGGCAGAGATATTAGAAGTCAATATTTAGAGATTTAATTCATATTACTTATTAGTTGCTTAACATTTGAATATCAAAATTTATTCAACTATTCCCTATTCCTGGTCATTCAGGATGTTTCCAGTATTCTGCTATTACAAACAATGTCACGATAAATATCTTTGCACTTAAATTCTACCCACAGGAAAGATTCTGAAATACTGCTGGGTCAAGGAGTAGATGTGTCTTCAGCAGCATCCTTTCTCCAAAGACAGTAACAAGTCACATTCTCAAAAGCAGTGCACGAGAGCACTGTTTCCCCATGTTCTTGCCAGTGCTGGATGTTATAATAAGTGCTTTTAGAAGACTGTAACAAGAAAAGTAGTTTCTAACTTTAAAAAAACTACTCCTAGTTTTTTAAAAAATCCTTTAAATCTCTCTTAGGCTTGCCCACTGTCAAAAATGTATCTCCGATTAACTAATGGCCTGTGCTATAGAAATTCACTTGTCAGTTCCAAACGACCAACTTATAACACATTTTCTCTTAAAAATGCTGTTTAAGTAAAGGTTAGGTCATCCAGGCTAATGTACAACTACATTTTTAATTTAAAAAATGGTAAAACAGGGCCGGGCGCGGTGGCTCTCGCCTGTAATCCCAGCACTTTGGGAGGCCGAGGCGGGTGGATCACCAGGTCAAGAGTTTGAGACCAGCCTGACCAACATGGTGAAACCCCGTCTCTACTAAAAATACAAAAATAAGCCAGGCGTGGTGGTGTGTGCCTGCAATCCCAGCTACTCAGGAAGCTGAGAATCACTTGAACCCAGAAGGCGGAGGTTGCAGTCACCTGAGATCGTGCCACTGCACTCCAGCCTGGGCAACAGAGTGAGACTCCGTCTCAAAAAAAAAAAAAAAAAAAAAGGTAAAACAATAGCAACAATATTATCAATGTAAAACATATATTGACATTTTGTAGTCAATCTAGAATAAAAATTGAATATAGAACGGTGGAGCTATAAAAAGTATATTTAATAAACTGTAGGCATGTTTATATTAGAATCACACTTTCCAAATCACATCCTTCCCAACCATGCATTTACCTGCTGTTAGCATAGAGGGAACTGAGGACACCAGGACAGCCAGAAGAAATAGAACTAAGCAGGGGCGGAAGAGTTGGGGGGAATGTAAAATATATGTGTGGAGACCCAAATGATAAGAAACGGAGTTGGGCTACCATTCATCTAAAAGCTTCTGTCTCCCAAACTCTCAGAAACAGCAGGAGATACATTCCCTTTCCCTTTTTCACTGTACTTTTCCTTCTTTGTACCCCACCCCCACACACATACACAGAGACCCACCATATGCCCATTTGAGGTGAGATCAAATCAAACCTTTCATGCCTTCCACTGATGCTCCTACTCTCTAGCTGTGTTAGAACTGATGCATGTAGCATCACATTCTCCTTTATTCACTCCTGATCCAGAGCACATGGGAAGGATCCAGATCCAGCATACTCTCAAAATGCAGGCCATGGGGAGGGGTGATGGCTGAGGTGGTCAGTGGCCTAGATCTGCCTCCCCGGAGCCTGGATCTTATAGTTAACTAGGAAACAGCCAGAGAGCAACACACTAATCCAAGAGCAGCAGCCAAATTTTCATCCAACTCTTCAAGGTGGGAAATATTTTAGTTCCATGTTATAATGCCGATTTATATTAGTCTGAATATATTTCTTAAAGCCCCAGAACACTGATAGCCTGCTGCATGCAATGTACTATCACCAACATAATGCAAGGCCCTAAAATACAGAAACATCAATGGTAACACTGAAACCTCAGCATTCCTCTTATTGCATGTAAAGAATAACACTGATATCACTACTTCTGTCTTTGCTATTGCTTCACTTTTTCCACTCATTTCTTCTAGATTCTTGCCCTTACTTTTCATTAACTTGGATATAGCCAGTGAAAGCAGCTTCTATACACCAGTAAGAAACAAAGGAGACTGAGCAATGTGAAGAACTAATAATCAGGAGACCTTAGTTTAGAGCTTGCTTTTTCCTTTACTGACCCTCCTTTTCTGGACTTTAGTTTTCTTGAGGATAAAATGAAATAAGTGAAAATCAGCATACTCAATGTTTACATCTTTTCCCTACAGGCAATGGTAATTCTCAAAGGCTGGGCAGGTGGGAGAGCAGAATCAGGGTTACAAACAGAACTACCCAAGAGTAGTTCTATAGTTCTGTACCCTATATTATCCTATAGTTCTGTTAATGGGGAGGAGGGGAAGGGTAGAATAAGAGAAGGGAAAAACAAATCTAGAAAGCTTCACTAATCCCCCAGAATGAAGCCACTTCAAAGCTGAAGACCACAGTCCCTAGTCTTGAAGCTGTAGTTCCCCCAAGACTCAGAACACTGGTTTAAAAATCTTGGAGAAAGAAATGGCCAACCAGAAATAGCTTGTTCAAGTTCACTGCTAAAGTGGAATTAAAAGTACTATGAAAAAAATCTTCCATTAACTGGAAATGGAAAAAGGAGCCTTGGAGGGGACAACATTTAGGCCTTTCCTGAAAACTGCATGTATATGGTGATCACTTAGCCAAACACAAAAGAAATACTGACCTAGACATGCAAGAACAACACATAGTGACAAAATAGGTAACTTTAAAACTTCTCAAAAGAGGCCATTTGCACACACTTAAAGTTTACATATCATTAATACATGTAATGAGAGTAAAAACACTTTTAAAAGTGTGAGTTTCTTCCAAAGTTTGACTTGGCAATGTTACAGATAAATCTAATGCCCCAAAGTACTCCTTGATTGAATACCATTAATAAATAATACAGTCTTGAAGCCTAGCACAAGTAATGAAATACAAATGCAATAAATGATTGCAAACTATATCAAAAGGCTGGAAGGCATTTTAAAAGGGTTTTCAAATGGAATCAATAGTAGTTTCTACAAAAAATTAAAACCATGAATGTGGTGATCATTTCCAAAATAATAAATGAGATGTATGCCATAAACAATGGAAAGTATGTCAGAAAATGATGTCAAAAGTAACCAGATCATATCAGTATGAAGTGATACATTCAAAACTCTTTTTAAAAATATAAAAGACCATTAATTTTTTTATGTCTAGCACCCCAAGAATCTAAAATAGTTGCTGGCACACAAGAAACACTCAAGAAATAAATAAATAATGAAGTAATTAATTAAGGCAGGTATAACAGGATGATAAAGAACCTTGGCAATCATTCATTTTCATGTATAAGCCATCCAAAACTAGCTACTTAGCATGAGTTAGGAATGAAAATCAGGTCTCCTCAGTACTAGTAGTTGCTTCCTTTATTGTTGAATTTCTAAAATTCATAGTGATTAGAATTTCTTAATTGGATATATAACTCAAGAATCTACTTAATCATGAACTAGGCACTATCTTATAAATATTTAATTGCTAATTGGTTTATGTCACCCATATGACTTCTTTCTTATCTTGAAAAACTGTGTTTCTGAAGCTTGTAATTACATGGAAAAATACCAATGTAATAATATTAACCAAAAACTGTCAGGATACAAAACTGCTTAAATGTTTCATCAGACTGTTTACCACACATTGTGCATTGTCATGAAAATGGTTTGAAATGATATTTCATGGCATTAAAAAATGCTGTGATATATTAAGTGCATCTGCAGGATATGGAACTGTACACGCAGTAGTCCCAATTTTTAAATGTTATATATTATGGAGAAAAAAGAAATGGAAAAGGACATATGTCATAAAATTAACGTATATAGGTAATTGAATTACAGATTTTTACTCATTTTGTCTACTTTTGTCCACTTCTTTATTTTCCAAAAATGTTACCAAGTATATGTCATAAGTTTTCTTTCCATATTTTCCCCAAGTACTTACATGGTTCCTCCTTTGTCACTGAGTACTACAGAAATTACATCTTTAGTCAACAGGATAGTTTTTCTGTCTAAATGTACAACCCTCTAATTTTAAGAGCCACTTCAATTAACAACGAAAGCAAGAGATAATAATGGAGTTTTTCCCTCAAGTAACTAAATCCTCTACAGTCAGCAACAGAACTTTTCACCAAAGTTTATGGACGTGGTAGCCCAAAACCACATTAAACAAAAGGTAAGCCATACTTCTTCCTAACTATGGACTGTAATTCCAGAACAACAGCAATATTCAACTGCTGTTTACTTAAACAGAGACTATTACTTCTCACCACATATATTACCTATAGTCCACATTATTAATGATAACTTTGACTGCATATAAGGATGAGCCACAATTACCTACAGTATGGTGTTCTCTAGACTGGCTATCAGAAGACCAGAATTCTAGCCCCAGTCCACCACCTAGTCAATGCAATCATGGAAGCCTGATTTCCTTGCCTATAAAATAAGGGCACTGGCACTTATGTTACCCATCTCAGAGAATTGTTATAAGAATCAAATTGTATCATATATGTAAAAAAAAGTATAAAGTGCTAAAATTATTATGATCATCAATCTAATTGAGAGTTTCCTACACCATATTAAGAGTGTCACATCCAATCTTTACATTTGCTGAGCCATGGCTAAAACTTATTTCTCAGTACTAAACCCTCAGGTTTCATAACATATGTATGATAAAGCAGAGTTCTTAAAAATGGAGGATAAAATCTTCAACTCAACACCGGTTATGTATAAGCAAAATCTATCTTGTTTATATTAAAGTAGTAATTCAATTTTGTGATAATACTTTTCCTAGAATGCAAAAGGTGAAATGCAAGGTCAGATTGTCCAAATGACATGGTAAAACCAAGAAAAATCTCTGTCTGCACCATCCACCCACACATAACACAAAGCCTCTCCCTTCCCCAGCTCCCACTGAAATTCTGCCTTCCTTCAAATGCCAGCCCTGCTTGTGAAACCCCTGGATGCTCGTATCACTCCTCTTGTGTAGCACTCACATATAATGAGTGTAGCTGGTCCACTTTCGTCACCAAACTCTGCTCTTTGAGAGGCTACAAACCTGTGTTCCTCTTCCTTCTGTAGGCCCTGATTCCTTAGCATATTTTAATGTATAGGATCAATAAGTATTTGGAATTAAACCACATGTTCCAAACTGGTGAAGATCTGCTTCTCCCGGTTCTAAATCCTTCATCTCTTCCCAGTTTTTCCAGGGAAAGACTGAGTACAAAATACGATGGGTATGAGGGAATAGAGAATATACTAGATGGTAATGTGTTCACTTGAAGCATATGATCAATTAATTTCTGACTAGAAATATGAGAAAGGTTGGGAACAATGCTGCTTGAATGCTTTCAAAAAATGCTAATTATAAAAGTATTTCATTCCATTTACAGTATTTTACTTCTACTGAAGCACAAATTTAAATTTCTATATAGTTTTCTAAATGGAAAGGGATATATAAGTACAGGTCTTTTTCCACAAGAAAACTAAAGCATCCTTGCATCTTGCTTTCTGTAATTTAGAATCCTTCAGTCCTGCTTTAGACCTTCCAAAAAGGTTCAAAGAAAAAGTATAAAGACTACACATTATCTATAGTAGTTAAATTGTTAGAGCTTCTGAGATTGTTTAAAGGACACTGACATATTTTGGCCAAATCCCATCCTGAATTTCCAGGTGTTGTGGGAGGGACCCAGTGGGAGGTAATCGAATCATGGGGGCAAGTCTTTTCCATGTTGTTCTTGTGAGTACTAGTAACTAGAACTTACTAGTTCTAGTAAGTCTCACGAGATTCTGATGGTTTTAAAAACAGGAGTTCCCCTGCACAAGTTCTTTCTCTTTGTCTGCTGCCATCCATGTAAGACGTGACTTGCCCCTCCTTGCCCTTCCTTGCCTTCCACCATGATTGTGAGGCTTCCCCAGCCATGTGGAACTGTAGGAACTGTAAGTCCAACCTCTTTATTTTGTAAATTGCCCAGTCTCTGGTATGTCTTTATCAGCAGTATGAAAACAGACTAATGCAGAGATAGTCAAATAACACTGCAAAAAAAAAAAAATGCCTCTATAGCACAAACTATTGCTTCAAGAGGTATAAAATTCATATTATATGCAAAATCAAACTCTTAATTTGAATCACTCCGCTTTTTATCTACTAAGTATTTTCAATATTCTTTTTTTGTTTTTGAGACAGAGTTTTGCTCTTATCGCCCAGGCTGGAGTGCAATGGCATGATCTCAGCTCACTGCAACCTCGGCCTCCCAGGTTCAAGTGATTCTCCTGCCGCAGCCTCCTGAGTAGCTGGGATTACAGGTGTCCACCACCACATCCAGCTAATTTTTGTATTTTTAGTAAAGATGGGGTTTCACATGTTGGCCAGGCTGGTCTCGAACTACTGACCTCAGGAGATCCACCTGCCTTGGCCTTCCAAAGTGCTGAGATTACAGGCATGAGCTACCATGCCCTGACTTATTTTCAACATTATCTAGTTTCTGTTACACAAATAAGGTTATCACAAGATCGCAAGACGAACAACCAAGTACTCCTTTAATCACTCTCTTTTTTCTAGCAAAGGCAGTCAATAGTGTTCCAGAATTCTAAACATTTAGGAACTACGACTCTTCTAAAATATGTTAACAGAAAAAAAGCAAATAATCTTGCTGTAACTCAACTCATGTTTTTAAAATCACATGTAATCATTTACGTGAAAGCACTGTCTTAACTCTAAGAGGCAACAGTGTGAAACTGTGTTTGTGGATACTGTATACATATAGCACTACATCCAGGCCATAATCAAATTACCATAACAAAACTTTCTCACTAACTACTTTCTTACTTACAAACTTTCCAACTCTACTTCTGATTACATTTTAAAAGAAGTAATTCAATATCCTAAGAGTTTTTAACTTTCACATGTTTTACAGGACATGGACTACTAATTTCAGTGTATGCTTAAAATAGAACAGTTCGACTAATTTTAGACTCAAGTGTTATAAAGCATCATAGCTGCCAACCAACTGGATACCTGAATTGCAGCTACAACAGCATATTAGATACACCAAAGCAAACTGTCAGATTGCTGAACTCAGAGTCACCACATACAACTCTATGAAGCAGATACAATAAATAACACACATAGCTAAAACAAAATAGTACTTAAGAATGCTATGACCATATAAAAGGAAATAATCAGGTCCTTATTTATTTAAATAATAGCTATAATATGCAGTGGCTCAAAGGTGTCAAAAGGAGGTAATGGTATAAAAAGGTTACTGATCATTTGCAAAACATATCTGATAAAGGACTGGTATCCAAAATATACAAAAAACTCCAAAACTCAACAATAAAAAAAAAAAAATTTAAAGTGGGCAAAAGGGCCAGACATGATGGCTCATACCTGTAAATCCCAGCACTTTAGAAAGCCAAGGCAGGAGGATCACTAGAGCCCAGGAATTCAAGACCAGCCTGGGCAACATAGCAAGACCCTGTCTCTATATAACATAAAAATATTAGCCCAACATGGTGGCACATGCCTGTAGTCCCAGATACTTGGGAGGCTGAGGCAGGAGGAGCTGCTGAGACACAAGTTCATGGTTACAGTGAGTTATGATTTTATCACTGCATCCAGTCTGGGTGACAGAGTGAGACCATGTCTCAAAATAAAAAATGCTTAAAAAGCGGGCAAAAGATCTGAACAGACACCTCACGAAAGGAAATACACAGATGACAAGCATATAAAAAGATACCAGCCAGGTGCGGTGGCTCATGCCTGTAATCCCAGCACTTTGGGAGGCCAAGGCGGGCAGATCACAAGGTCAGGAGTTTGAAACCAGCCTAACCAATATGGTGAAACTCCATCTCTACTAAAAATACAAAAATTAGCCAGGCGTGGTGGCGGATGCCTGTAATCCCAGCTACTCAGGAGGCTGAGGCAGGGGAATCACTTAAACCCAGGAGGCAGAGGTTGCAGTGAGCCAAGATCGTGCCTCTGCACTCCAGCCTGAGTGACAGTGCGAGACTCCAACTCCAAAAAAAAAAAGATATTTACATGATATGTCATTTAGGGAACTGCAAATTAAAACAATGAAATACCACCACGCACCTATCTGAAAGGCTAAAATACAAAACAGTGACAATACCAAATGCTGATAGGATGTGTAGCAACAGGAACTCTCATTCATTGCTGGTGGAAATGAAAAACAGTACACCCACTTTGGAAGTCAAGTTAGACAAGTTTCTCACAAAGCTAAACGTACCATACAATCTAGCAATCATACTCCTTTACACAAATGACTTGAAAACATGTCCACACAAAAATCTGCACTCAACTGTTTAGAGCAGTTGTATTCATAACTGTCAACCCTTAGGAGCAACCAAGATGTCCTTCAGTCGGTGAATGGATAAGTAAACTTGGTACTTCCAGACAATGAACTTAGCAATAAAAAGAGATGAGCTATCAAGCTATGAAAAGACATGGAGGAACTTTAAATGCATATTGCTAAGTAAAAGAAGCTAGTCAGAAAAGTCTATATACTGCAGGATTCCAACTATATGACATTCTGTAAAAACATAAAATATAGAGAGAGCAAAACGATCAGTGGTTGTCAGGGGTTCTGGAGCTGGAGAGGAACAAATAGGTCAAACACAGAGGATTTGGGAGCAGTGAAACTCTTCTGTATGATATTACAATAATAGACACATGATATTATGCATTTGTCAAAACCTATATAGAACTGTACAACAAAGGAAACCCTAATGTAAACTATTAATCTTGTAATCAACTACGTAATTGATGAATCAATTTATCAATATTGGTTCATCAATTCCAACAAATGTACCACACCAGTACCGATATAAATATGAGAAACTATGGGGGAGGAAGAGGGAGTATATGGGAACTATGTAGTTTCTGCTCAATTTTGCTATAAACCTAAAACTGCTCTAAAAAATAATGTGTGCATTTTTTAAAAGACTACTGGTGTAGGAAGAGCCACAGTACTTGAGTTCTTAGATCTACCTAATTCATTGACTACCTACATAATCTCTACTGCTCAGAATATTCCATATGCCCTATTTTATCCCGCCTTTATTAACCCAGTGTCTATCTACCTCACTAGACAAGTAGTAGTATTTCACACCAAAATCAAGAAAATACATCATTACACTGGCATGCCCAGCATGGAAAACCATAGCACTGAATACAGGGGCACTAGAACAATAGTATGTTTGTATAATATCTTTAATACCAGGGTTCACTGGGAAATATTTTCACCCACTAGAGTAAAATCAAGACTTTGTCAACGCTCTTTGACAATTCTTTCCAGGAAACATTTCAGGCATGTATCAAAGCAGTCACATTCATTGGTAACATTTACAAAAACAGTTCTTTTCAAAATCTTCTCGACCCAAATACACACTGGAAATGCTCATGTTAAAATTTTATTGTCTTTTTATAACTAATCATTAGAATTGATAATACAACTAAGACACAACAGTTTGACTTCCAAAATCTAATATTTGAATAAAAGTAATATCTATAAATGTATAAACTATTAACTTTAATTTCATGCATTTAACATATCTGAGAAAGTTGTAGTATTAATCAAAATCAGAATCTTAATAAATATATTTTCATAACTATTTCTGCAGTATCTCCCAGTCAATATAATGACACTAAAAATATATAGTTTAGGCCAAATATACATTTGATGTTCAAATGCCATTTCTACCACTATAGCTATGCGACTCTTTAAACTTACATATATACATAACATATATGTATTTCATATGCAATACCCAGCATCATGCCAGGCATATGAGTAGGTTGACATATAAATGGTAGTTACTGTTTTGCAATTTTAAATTAAAATTTAAGGCTTAATGCTCAAATTGTAGGGTAGCCGAGAACTTAAATGAACATAAAACCACTTAACTTTTTATACACCAAACCAAACTAACTCTACATATTTGCTGAAGTTTATGTAGAAAATAAACAAAGGGGCCGGGCGCGGTGGCTCACGCTTGTAATCCCAGCACTTTGGGAGGCCGAGGCGGGCGGATCACGAGGTCAGGAGATCGAGACCATCCTGGCTAACACGGTGAAACCCCGTCTCTACTAAAAATACAAAAAAATTAGCCGGGCGTGATGGCGGGCGCCTGTAGTCCCAGCTACTCGGGAGGCTGAGGCAGGAGAATGGCGTGAACCCGGGAGGCGGAGCTTGCAGTGAGCCAAGATTGCGCCACTGCACTCCCGCCTGGGCCACAGAGAGAGACTCCATCTCAAAAAAAAAAAAAGAAAGAAAAAAAGAAAATAAACAAAGAAAAAATTAAGATTTTTGAAATAAAAACAAATATTAAAAATTATTGAAATATATTGAAAGTTTTTTCACCATATATATTTACCTTTTAAAAGGATATGAATTCAATTATTTTATTTGCTTATGGAAAATAGATCCACTGCTCTAAGATGCTACTAATCATGCTCAGAGGATTCACAACAAACAGACTGATAAGGTATTACTTAAAGCGCTCTACATTAAATAGAGCATTCCAGTTTTCTAGGGCACACTACTTGCTGTATTTCCAAGGTCAAGCAAAATAGCTTTCGTTCCATTTAACTACCAAGAAAGGTCTAACTGTGATTAATAATAAAAATGTTTTAAAAACACCTTTTCTAATAAATACATACTACAAGTTTTTTAAAAACTTAAAAAGGAAACATTTCAAACTTTTTTGGACATAACTTCAACAACAAAAGTTGCTGCACCCGCCTCCTGTCCCCACATGCAGAACCAACTAATCGGCCATCCTGACAATTTCTGAAATTTCTCTTGAATCAGCCTTCCATTCCAACCACTATAATTTTACAGTACCCACCTAACCTGTTTCCCTGCCTGAGTCTTCCCTTCCACTCAGTCCTCCGCGCTGCTGCCAGAGTGCTCTTTCTAATATCTATCTAACTTCCTGCTGGGGATCATAAAGGGTCACCCTCACTGCCTAAAGAATAGGCACTCAAGATTGCTTTCAATCTGGTACAGCATAACCCTCCATCATTCATCCATATCCATCTTCCTACAAATTCTAACCAATCCTTTCCCTGAAACCTGCGGTGCACTTCAGCCAACGATCAAAATGATTTTGGCAATTATGTCAATGAAATGGAACAGTCATGCTAGTTTCTCCTCTTGGAGTTTTCCTCCCTGGTACTTTTCACCTTCTCACAGGGTGAAATCCCATTTGACCCCAAATACAAAGCTTTTCCCCAGCCTAAGCAGAATTATTTGCTTCTTCTTTTGGGAGAGATGAAGCAAGTCAGAAAACAAAAGCAAACAAAATTGCATTAAAGGACAAGCAGAAAAAAAAAATGAATAAGAAGGGGTCTCATTTGATCACTTACTGAAACAATGACATACTTCAGCAAATAATTACCTGAAATTCCTCCTTGGACATAGGTAGAATGTAATCCCTGAAATATTAAGAGCTAAGAAATGGACACAGAAGTCTTTCCTGTTTTTTATTCAAAGCCATTATAGAGAGACTTCCATGAAACAGAAGCATCTGTGTTTAGTTAATATGAAATAACAAACATTCGAAACTACAAATCATCTTTTCTTCCCAATTAGTCCACCAGGTCACATGATTTGGGTGTGTTCTTGTGCACTTTTATACTCAGTTGTGGAACTAAAACAGAAATGAACATGACAGCCTAGATATTCCATCTTGTTATCACCTCTATAGCTTCAGATATTTTCATAATCTCCAATTGCATGAAGATGCTTTGGTCAAATATTCCAGCTCCCCACAGAGCCAGGATCCTGAGGCACATATGACCCAACGGCAGAAATACAAGCACTTCTTTGTCAGACTACAAGATAGCAGTAAGACAATAAATTGTTTTCACCACCTGTCCTTACACTGATTACCTAAAAAGTTATTGAGCCAGAAAACAAGCATCTCCAAATTGTTCAAATACAAAACAAACAAACAACAACAAAAAAAAAACCTAGAAGTTTTAAAAAGCATAAGCCTTCTTTTTAAAGTCTCTGGGCTAAATAAATGTTGAGATAACTCTCTAAGAACAAAAGAAACTGAAAAGAGCATCAGTAGAAGTTTAAAATTAAATTCACTAACAATACCTAATAATTTCCCACATTTCTGAACTCATATACACTCCTTATTGTGTGAGGCAATAAACACAATTTAATCGTAATTATTTGGTGAGAATGACTTTTCAAACCCATGTTGTAACATAAAACATTCAAATGCGTCATTTTGAAAATACTAAGAAACCTCATGGTGCTCTCAGATCTTCTTCAAACTTTAGTGAAGTCAAATATATTGTGTGATGATTGTTAATATGTATCCAAATTTTAAGTTCCCAATTTTAGCACACTTTGCCCTCCATGTGCCAGACACTGCTGATTGCAAAACCAGTTGCCATTCTTTCCTTATTCTTTACAAACAAAACTTCAATTTTGTTCAGGGCACTAAATGAAGCCGGCTTAAAAATCTACATTTCCTAGTCTACCTGCAGATAGAGATGGCCCCTGGAACAGCTGTCCCCTGGAATGGAGATATAAGGGCTGGAAGAGGAGCAGCCATCTTGTGATCACAAAACAACCACAAGATACACTATAAATAGCCACACAGAAATAGAGGAGTCTGAGTCCCTACTGGCAAATGGGGGTACCCTACAACCCAGTTTTGCCTATTTAGGACTTCTCAGTACCTAAGAAAAAGAAAACACCTATTTGGCTAAGCAGTATCATTTGTTTTCTGTTACAAACAGTCAAACATAATCTTAACTAACACTCAGCAAATTCAACCTGTTTCACTTTTAAAAGAAAACAAAAATCCCAGACTTATACTATTATGACTAGCTATAATATTATCATGATGCAGCACAGTTAAAGTTCATTTATTATATAACTATTAACCTATGAACAGAGCATGAGCAGAAGAAATTTGAAATCAAGTTTTTTCAGAATCCTGGAAGCCAAATGAAAACCACTGAGCTAGATCATTACATGCTGCAGAGAAATTCCCTGAAACCTGTATACTCCAATTTTCAATTCAAGGGAGTGTCAGAGCCGATTTACAGAGTAAAATGACAGAATTTTTACTAATCACCTATCAATAAAGGCAATAAACCCGAACTGAAAATGAAAATTATGGTAATCTTCGTTCCTTTTGTCACCATGCACATAAGCAGATTTTATAGCCCTAATGAGAGAAGAAACTAAAGCAATTATACAAGGTATTTGTAAAAAACAGAGAAAACTTTGCCTATTGCCTAAACAGCAGTTTGCAGGGGGTGAGGGGGTGGAGTGGGGTTAGTGATATTACAGGTAAGTAACCAAAACGACCATTCCATGCAGCTTTCATAGAGAATGATAAATGCAACACTTTCATTACGGTTGTCTAGGTACAACGGATTTACTTCCAGATCAATAGAAAAATAACCCTTTTGGTGGAACAAAATAATGTAACATTTTAAAATTACATCTATAAGGTATAGAATGAAATGTATTGAATTCACATTATCTCATTTTCTCACTTAACATCATACTACAAAGTAACAATGTGTTGGGAAAACAAATATTCCAATGATAAACTCAAAAAGCAGAATTTCATAAGATGAGAACTAATTAATCATTTATAATAACAGCATATGGGTTAGTTTCCTTACACTTAAGAAAAAAAATAAGATACTACTGTATCTTTTAAGCTAAGCTACTAAGAATGTTTTGTATTACACGGTATATACACTGGATAATTTACTATAGATATAAAAGAAAGCCATTCTGATGTAGACAATTTCTAGCCTAAACAATAATAAAGAATTATGTTTTACTCAAAAATAAATGCCTTTATTCAGCCGAAGTTTGGTATCAGCTGAAGAAATATGTTTTTTTAATCAGATGTCCCTGAATATTCCATGAATATATTTTACAAGTAACAGGACTCGAATATGAATCAGAACACTGCACCCTTCTTTGTAGCAAATAGCTCTTTCTGTGTTATTCTAATTCAGCAAACAGTTGCCTATTTTTGCTCAGAAGTAATGGACCAAAACAAGATACAAGAATAGACTGACTACACCATAAATAATTAGCGCTCACTCTCCACTTTTCTTGTTTTTCTACAGAGTCTGATTTGAACTCCTCTCAAGGCTGTCTGAAGACTAGACCTAACAAAACTCTCGACTTCTAAATCTAATGCTCATAATTCCTAACATTATAGATTATTACAATTCTACATTTCTGACAACAGGCAGATTTTGAATTGGTTCCAGCTGACTCCACCACTTACACTACTCAACAGCTGAGGCATATGATAACTTGGCAACCTGATAATATTCTAGATGAATGCAAACTCATTCTGTAACCAAGGAACTCTGTCAGAAATAAAATCAAAATGACTTCCCTTTAAGTTTAAATGAGAACATAAAATGTTTTGAACAATGCATGATTTCAGAAAGTGAGCAACCGTACTCTGAACGTTTAGTGAACTGACACTCCCTATTCAAAGCCTACAATTCTTTTCTGATTAGATCAGTCCCCACAGCAAGTCACCAGGATAATAAGCAGTGTAGTGAAGTCATCATACTGGATACTGATGGGAAATCATAACTGGCTTCAAAACACATCGGGAAACAATGAGTTTTCCAGGTCTCCAGCTTTTCATGGAATACACTGCCCAATACT
Source organism: Homo sapiens (assembly GCF_000001405.40). Classification (NCBI taxonomy): domain Eukaryota; kingdom Metazoa; phylum Chordata; class Mammalia; order Primates; family Hominidae; genus Homo; species Homo sapiens. The sequence continues at coordinate 56,841,276 of NC_000006.12, forward strand.
CTTACTTTCCTTTCCATGACTAAATGAAACATAGCACAGCTATAAAGCCCAAGTACAAATTGATGAACTAAGCATTTTAAAAACCTTAAGTAAAAATGAGGAAAACTCCCATCATTTTTTCAGTGACGTCTGAACAATATGTTTGAAAATGTATCTGTTTAAGGGCAATACTGATTGTTGTACACTGGCCTTCAGATCTTTAATTTCCTTTTATTTCCAAAGGCAAAGACAAGCTTTTAAACAATGCCTACTTCTTTTAGACAAAGTCAAATAAGCACTCGTTTTCAGTCACCTGAAATCACCCACGTGTCACTTAAGTAAAACTTCATGTGACAAAAATTCATTCAGCTATAATTTTTTTCAAAAGTATAAAATGTATCTACTTTAGAACTTTCAGATTTTTTTATTTCTGACTGTATAGAGCACAGATGTATTTCTTCAATAAGGTTTGTTGGTCTATATTGCAATATTTCTCCTTTTCAAAGCTCTGGAAACAACTAATTACAAACCTTACTTTAAAATGGAGTGATGCAGGTAAACATGAGTATATTACCCACCCACCCACATACACACACACACACACACAAATGTCACAAATGTGCTTTAGCCTAAAATATCACTGCACTTGCTCAGTGGCAGTATTATACACAATAAGAGTCTTGGCACAAAGGAATTCTCATTGTACTGTTTACAAAATTCTACAAGGATTGCAAGAATTTCGGTTATAAAACATATCCTACAAAGAGAGAAAACAATTGTGAGTGTATTTGGGCTTTTTGGGGCTTTGGAATTTTATTGTTTAGTTCAATTTTTTTTTATTTCTACTTTCTACTAATAGAAAAACTACATGCATCATTAACCATATAATACCACTGAAATTACTGACATTGAGTTACCAAACCCAAAGCAAATATTCAAAAGATATAAAACCATCTGAATCCTACCTATGAAATGGGTCACTATTCACTATAAATACTTTAAACCTCTGTGAGCTGCTCTTGAGTTCGGAGTGTTTTGGGAGCCACAATAAAAAGATGGTATACACACACTTAAAAATACATTTCCAGACACAAAAACACTTAAAAAATGGACAGCTGCAATTTGTATTTCATCATTATATTCAACTATGAAGTCCAAGTAAACATTATACTAAAACATAAATATCAGATTGGCATAGAATTTCCTGAACATAAAGGATGGGCAGAAAAAAATCTCAAAATACATTCTTTACATTTAAATTTACAACAAACTCACTAAAGTCTTTTATCCATCACGCTATAAAATAATTTTTACAATATATCAGAGTAAGTATATAGTCACAAACTTTATCAAATAAGAAAGATCATTTTAAGGAAAATGATCTAGTGATGCTGAACCTTTTCTACAGGGCTAACCAATACCCTAGCCAAGCAGCAGCAGCAATGCCTTAGTAATCCCATAGAGAATAATCGGTATCCACCCTCCCAGGAAGAATTATGATTACGCGTAGTGCTTAAGAGCTTTTACAAGGGAGAGAAAACGCAATGTGCTTCTTGGAAACAACCCCCTTCCCCCCTCTCTACCGCTCATCTAAGGGCGTCTCCGGACTGTCGCCCACCCCACCATCCTCCCTGCGCTGGGGGTACTAAATCCCGTGCAAAAAGACCTGGTCCATTCCCAAGACTGGTCCAGACACCTGTTTACTCGTGCCCAAGGAGTGGTGGCTCTGATTAAGGAAAGGCAGCGGTTGCCTCTCTGATCAGTGCCAAGCTCCGCAGCCCCAGGGCAGGGACCACATACCTTTGTACCTCTCCAGGACATCCTCGTAGGCCTGGAGATACTCCTGCTCCTCCACGTACAGGTAAGCAGCAGGGGAGAGGTAACCCGCCATGCCGAAGTTTATCTAAGCGATGACTGACAAATTCCCCTCTCCCCCTCGTAACCCCCGGACAGTATCGCAGTCAGCAAGACACAGCCTTGGGAACTGGAAAAGAGGAAGGAGCAGCACGCTGGGGAGAAGCACGGAAGCCGAAGACGCAGAGCGGGGGCGCAGGGGGCTGCCGGCGCCAGGGCCGGCAAAGGAAACGCCCAGGCCTCCGGGCAGGCCGATGGTGGGCCGCCCGGCTCCGGGAGCCCGAGTCCCTCTCGGGTTTCAGCAGCGGCAAATCTCAGCGAGCCCAGGGGCGGCGACGAGCAGCGCCACGCCAAGCGGAGGAGCGGGGCGTGCGGCGAGGGCGGGCGGGGGCCGGCGGGCGCCCGGACCCTCTGCGGCCGCGCTGACCGCTCTGCTGGCCCTGCACGAGGCGCGTGCTTCGGGCCGGGCCGAGGCCGCGGCAGCGGTGCGGGAGGACCGGCGCGCTGCCTTCACCGGGGATGCTGCGCGGCGCATCTGCGGCATTTCCTGGCCGCCGCGCCGCAGACACTCGCCCGCGCCGGGGAGAGAGGGAGGGAGGAGGGTGGAGGGTGGAGGGTGGAGAGTGGAGGGTGGAGGGTGGAGGGTGGAGGGCGGAGGGCGGAAGGGAGGGGGCGAGCGCGGCGGTCAGCGCCCCGGCTGGCTCAGCTCCGGCCCCGGCGCCTCTCGGCCCCTCCCTCCCAGGCAGAGCCACGCGCCCCAGGCCCCCTCCCCAGGCCCGCCCACCCTGGTGGACCGTGCGGCCAAGCACGCCCACCCCCGGACACTGGCTGCCCGGTCCCGGATCCCCAAGGGCGACGTTTCTATTTGGGATCCACAACAGGTGCCTGAGAAACAAAGCCGCAGATCGCTCCACCGCTGTGCGCAGCCCCCTGCTGAGGGGCCAGCGGCTCTCCCTGGGTAAGGGATGATCGGGGGGAGGGTTGGAAATACTTTCTTCCACCCATCTTTTTGGCGTGGGAGGATTCAGGTCACTCTGTGACAGCACAGGGCAAGGAGGGCACGGGGGTCCGCGTCTAGGGGACATCCCGGGGACAGGGTGAGGAGGCCTCTGCAGGTGGCCCCGCGCATCAGCGCCTGACAGCCGGGCCGCGCCTGCGCCTGAGCTCCCGGCCGCCGCGAGGCTGCCGAGTACCAGCCTGCGGTCCCTCCCTTCTGCCCCCCAGAGCCCACAGGCGCATCTGCTGCTGGGCTCCGCGGCGGGCCTATAGGTTCACAACTGCCCCATATTTATCACCTCCCTCCTGCTCTCTCCTTATTATTCATTCTACATAGTACTAGTATCCATTAAACTGAGTAAAATGGATACAGTTCCCTTAAATTAGATATATGTGTATCATATACTAAAGTGGGTGAGTTTAAGCGTCCATTGGAGGAACCAACTGATACCCAGGCATGTAAATGGATGTGTTTAAGAGTAATGACTGGCCGGGCGCGGTGTCTCACGCCTGTAATCCCAGCACTTTGGGAGGCCGAGGCGGGTGGATCACGAGGTCAGGAGTTCAAGACCAGCCTGGCCAAAATGGTGAAATCCCGTCTCTACTAAAAATACAAAATTTAGCCGGGCGTGGTGGCGGGTACCTATAATCCCAGCTACTCGGGAGGTTGAGGCAGAGAACTGCTTGAACCCGGGAGGTGGAGGTTGCAGTGAGCCGAGATCACGCCACCGTATTCCAGCCTGGGCGACAGAGCAAGACTCCGTCTCAAAAAAAAAAAAAACAGTGAAGTCAGGCTGCTGTACATAGAATCTTCACTCCTTACTGTGTCACATGGGCAAGTTACTTATCCTCTCTGAGACTCTCTTCATCAGTAAAACAGCGATAGTAGTGCCTAACTCATAAAGTTGTATAGTAAATGAAGTTTAGAATAATGTCTGGTGTTATATAAGGATTAGCTGCTGCACCTACTACTTTATTTAGGAGGTGGGGTCTCACTCTGTCATCCAGGCTGGAGTACAGTGACAGGATGATACCTCATTGCTACTGCTATTATTAGATAAATCAGCTGATTGTTGACAGTCTGACCTATGTCAACTTCACGTCTTGTCTAAATCTTCCTTCCCTATTTCCTCCTTTCACATATACTGACCTTTTGCCCTCCATGATTTTTTATTTCTTTGTTAGCGTTGGGTGTTGTGAACTATGGACCATTTTCCATTAATGCTTAGATAGGGATGAGTTCCTCTTGAAAGAAAAAATTGTGTACTCGTGGGAAAAAAAAACTGACTTGAGATAGAACTGGAGCACTCCTCAGCAATTGGCCTACTTCTGTTACTCCAAACAAAGCAAGACCACATCTCTTTTTTCTATCCTGACCACTGGTTTATAATCTGAGTTTGAACCACTGTCCCAGTAAGTCTTTAAGGTTACTAGAGTTTTCTTACAGCTCGATATGCATTTGTATGCACATTAGTTCATAAAGTAACAACCAGGCATCATATGGGACACCTTCTTGAAATAAAAGGGTTAGCAATTAAGTCCCTGAAAGTCATTCATTTACAGACCACACATGTATAGACATAGGTCTCTCAAAAATGTCTCCTTTACAATGAGTAAGGTCATTGAAGGCACGTCTGAGCCTTCATCAGAGACTGACACCCAGTAGCACCCAGTTTTATGAATATAGTCAGCACACAGTAATTTTAATCATCCATTTAAGGAACCAGTCAAAATGAGCAGAAGCAACATTTGGGATTGTTTTTAAAAACAGCCTTTACCCCATGCATTCTTGGAAGGGTAACATTGGGTCAATATGCTAATAATAATAGTGTATTCCATAGAGAAGAGGCAAAAGCGTAGCAGTAAATAGCTTGGACTTTGGAGTAAAGACTGCCTGAATTCAGATCCTAGCTCTACTACTTCTTGACACTACAACCTTGGCAAAGTTTTTCTTCCTTTCTCAGCAGATTCTGAACTGAAAATGGAGAAAATCATAGTACCTACTTCATGGGGTTCTTGGGAGGTCTAAATAGGATACCATATTAAGTGCTTAGAAGAACATCTGGCCATGGGTAAGCTATCATTTATAAAGCATTTGATGTGCCAAGGAGGTAGCAGAATTGTTTGCATTCACTATTATATTTAATCACCACAACCATGACCCTTTGATAAGGAAACTGAGGCTAAGATAAGTTTGGTAAATTGTCCAAGTAAACACAACTAGTCATGGACAGAGAAGGAATTAAAACCAAGTCTGCCTGAGTTCAAAGTCTGATTCTCCTTTGATCCTTCAATTCCAACTTCGAAGAATTTGGATAGGACAAAAATCCTTTTCTTAAAATAGCATTATCACTGACAAACCATGTAACTTTACAGGTAGTTTATGACTGAAAAACCCAACTTACAATATCCTGTAGCTAACAACAGCAGATCTGTATTGCTCATATGTAAAAAGCATTTATACAATGGGTGTTTAAAAGCCCCTTTCCTTATATTTCATTGTTTTATTCTCACATTGACCCTAGGAGATAAGAAGTAAACATACTATAGTCTCAGATTTTAATATGATGAAACCACAACAGATACAAAAGCACTAAAGACTAAAAATGTGAAGTTGGGCCAGGCACAGTGGCTCACGCCTGTAATACTAGTACTTTGGGAGGCCAAGGTGGGCAGATTGCTTGAGCCCAGGAGTTCGAAACTAGCCTGCACAACATGGTGGAAGCCTGTCTCTACAAAAATACAAAAATTAGCCAGGCATGATGGCACACACCTTTAGTCCCAGCTACCTGGGAGGCTATGGTGGGAGGATCGCTTGAGCCCGGGAGGTAGAGGTTGCAGTGAGCTGAGATCACACCACTGCAATCCAGCTTGAGAAAGAGAGGAAGACCCTGTCTCAAAAAAAAAAAAAAAAAAAAAAAAGTGAAGTTGGCCAGGCCCTGTGGCTCACTCCTATAATCCCAACACTTTGGGAGGCCCAGGCAGAAAAGATCACTTGAGCCCAGGAGTTCGAGTCCAGCCTGGGCAACACAATGAGAACCCATCTCTATAAAAAAAAATTTTTAATAAGCCAAGCATGGTGGTACACACCTGTAGTCCTAGCTACTCAGGAGGCTGAAGTGGGAGGATCCCTTGAGTCCAGGACTTAGAGGTGGCAGTGAGCTGTGATCATGCTAGTGCACTCCACCCTGGGCAACAGAGCAAACCCTCAACTCATAAATAAATTTTTAAATAAACAAATAAATAATAAGAAGTGTTAAGACATGTGACGCCTTCACTAATATGACTTTCCAAACCGTAAACCTGATTATGCCATTCCATTGCTTAAAAATCTTTCAATGGTTCCCTAGCACTTACAACATAAATAGTCCAGTTGCCTCAGGATTGTACACAAACATCTTTACAGTTTCTGTCTTTCCCTTCCAAATCCCACACTTAGCAACACACTTTACTTGCAGTTCCCATTTACACCCATCTCCCTACCTTTGTTCTTGTAGTTCCATCCCTCTAAAGTGGGCTTCCCTTTCACCCTAATTCCATCAAGCTCTTTAAATCTCAATTCAAGTGGCACTTCCTCTCAGAAACCTTTCAGGAACCTCCCATGCCTCCCTTCTCCCCTCAGGTTAATTACACTGTCCTCTGGGTTCTTTTAATTTTAGGTGCTTATAGCCATCTCAACTAATCCCTGTAACAACTAATAATTACCGCGTTGTAACTGTTTAACAACACATCCATTTATCATATTAGACTATGACCTTTATTTTCCAGCTTATTCTTTTTTATTTTACTGATACATGATATTTTATATATTAATGAGGGCACCATACTGCAAGTATTTTTTACATGCATAGAATGTGTAACGATCAAGTCAGAGTATCTGAGGTATCCACCACCTTAAGCATTTATCATTTCTATGTATTGGTAATATTTCAAGTCCTTCCTTCTAGCTATTTTGAAATATACAATATATTATTGCTAACTATAGATATCCTACTCTGCTATGGAATATTAGGACTCATTTCTTTTAACTGTAAGTTTGTGTCCATTCACCAATCTCTTTTGAAACTATGACTTTTTAAAGGCAGAACTGTATGCTAATCTTCATTTTATTGCAGGGGCTCAATAAGTAGTTGCTAAATGTGGGTGAATTAAGGTATCCCACAGACCACATAGTCTTTTTGACTCAATAGACACTTTCACAATCAATTCTATTTTTAGGACCTTAAAAACAAATGAAAATACTAAACTCTCAGCTCTTTTATTACTAAGTAATGACCACTATAGACATCCTCACACCATTTCTGAACTTCACCTCATTTCCTAAAAAGGGTGAATTTCAGGGAGGGGGTAAGTTTCAGGAAGAGTATGAAAATATATAACAAAATTAGAAGTTGAATTTTCAATTGTATGTTTTCATAGTATCTACAGCACCAAATTCCATTAGATAACCTGTACCCTCATCCTCACACTGGGTGATGAGTGGCCAGTTTAACACATAATATATCTAAATTTCATAATTTAGCCACATTATAAGTTAAACAGATATTTATGGACTGGCCCCCCAAGTCTATCCTCCATGTATGATTATTGTTTATGATTTGCCTAGCAAAAAGCTAATTTACCAATATTTATTTAAAATACAATCATAGGCCAGGTGTGGTGGCTCACGCCTGTAATCCTAGCACTTTGGGAGGCTGAGGTGGGTGGATCACTTGAGGTACGGAGTTCGAGACCAGCCTGGCCAACATGGTGAAACCCCATCTCTACTAAAAATACAAAAAAAAAATTAGCTGGGCATGGTGGTGCATGCCTGTGGTCCCAGCTACTTGGGAGGCTGAGGCAGGAGAAAACTTGAACCCAAGAGGCGGAGGTTGCAGTGAGCCAAGATTATGCCACTGCACTCCAGTCTGGGTGACAGAGAGAGAATCTGTCTCAAAATAAATAAATTAATTAAATTAAATTAAATCATATGCTTCCCTACTGTTTGTTGTTTCATTTTATTTTTTTCTGCTTTTGAAGAATTCATGCAATTTTTTTTTTTTTTTTTTTTTGAGACAGAGTCTTGCTCTGTTGCCAGGCTGGAGTGCAGTGGCAAGATCTCAGCTCACTGCAACATCTGCCTCCTGGGTTCAAGCAATTCTCCTGCCTCAGCCTCTAGAGTAACTGGGACTACAGGCACACGCCACCACGCCCAGCTAATTTTTGTATTTTTAGTAGAGACGGGGTTTCACCACATTGACCAGGATGGTCTCGATCTCTTGACCTCATGATCCGCCCACGGGGGCCTCCCAAAGTGCTGGGATTACAGGCATGAGCCACGACACCTGGCCTGTAAATTCTAAAGAATGGAATTTTGAGATCCCCAGTGCATCACCTGCCACCAACTTCACAGCTATCCCTACAAACTCAGTGAACATTTTACAATTAACAAGCGATGGCCCCTGCATCAATGACTCCACAGTCTACTAATAGCATCAGCACCTTCATGTACACTGCATCCCATTAGAACATAGAGTTCTTCAATATCTTCCCCACCTGCAGTGTACAATGATGGTTAGTACTACCAATTTCTCATGACTTCCTGCCCAGTAGAGTTTTTCCCAATTTATCTAATTTCATTCCCCCTAACAAACACCTGCCCTGTCTTTCTGTCATAACTCCCTCCTTCATTACTGAAAGCAAAATATCCATCTCTGCCACTACTATCAAAACTCTCAGCCCAGAAGCACCTTCTACCTTCCAAAAAATACATAGAACAGGTATCCCATTTTGATGCCCTAAGTGGGCCATCAGCCCCCAGTAACTTCTCACTCACACCCTCCTTTCATCTATCTTCCCTTTCTGCTGAGTCAAACATCTGGTATGGGCAGTGTCATCTGTATAGGCATTCATTTCGCTGGAGCCTCAGACCTGCGGGAAAGTTCTCAACAGGGCAAGGAGGCAGGCCTCAGTGACTAAACATTTTCTGGTCTGCCTTGACTCTCCAAGTCTACCCCTGCTCACTCTCAGTCTCCATCCTCCCTCCACCTCCCCTTTCTCACTCCACCCCTTGCTCTTCAAAGGCCTGGGTGAGACCAGCCAGCATCTCACAGCGGAAGCCAGAAGAAGCTCAAGGCTGTTGCCCCAGAAACCCTGACTAGAGAATGGCTGGCTAGGCACTGTTTGTTTTTCCCGTAATCAGAAAATCCCACTGGGGGGACAAAAAGGGGGTTCTCAGCTGCCTTGATGGCCGGAATCTGGGCTGGTCCCCTCCAGCCCCCTTGGAGGAAGAGAAAGTACCAACTTTGCAATACAGTATAGGAGGCAAAAAAAAAAAAAAAAAACAACTGTGGAAAGGGACCCCCAGAGTTAAGAGTGGAAGAGAGGGAAGGAAAGGAAGCCTGAACCACTGGATGCAGAAACAAACTTAAAGAACACCTGGCCTTCTGCCTTTGCAAGAAAGTCCCCAAGGACACATTCCATCCTGCCCTGTTACCATTTCCAAGAAAGAAAGAAAAAAAAAATATTGAGGGAAGAAAGGAACAACACCCCTGGAAGCACCTCTCATGCACAGGACACATACACACAAACCACGCAGGGGTTGGAAGGTTGATTTCCACAGTGTTCTCAGCTTTCAGCTGGGTAAAACAAGCCATCACTTCTGGTTCAGCTTTTAGGGCCAATGCAAGGGAACACCGGGTAACACAGAACAGAAACATTGGCACATCTCATGTATTAATTAATCAGGAAGGCGTGATGGCCAAACCCTCAAAAGCACTAAGGACAGAAAGCTGCTATGGATACAATGATGCAGACAGAGATGCTACATTTAAAGAAAAACAACATCCAAGTTGCTGGAATATGCTTTGCAATCCTGGGTACCAAAAACCATGGATCTTCTCAATCTGCGTAGCTCAGTGCCCCTGGGCAAAAATGAAAATAAAGGCTGCTCACTTCCAGCTTCCCGCAAATATACTAGCAATCACTGGAGCTAATACTTTCAGAATGTTATGGTAACTAATGCAGTAATTAGGAAAGTTTAGTGCAAATGTCTGTAAATATTTCCTTGCATTTCAAAGGAATCGATTCGTCCAACCAGAAGGCAGGGCCAAACAGCTTAGTCACCAGCAGGCAGGGCAAATGGCTCTATCGGTAAAACAAGGCATAAAGTAAACATGGTCATCATCCTCCCCCACCTTGAGCACAGATTCCTGCCCAGTGCATCAGCTCCCGCTATGGCCCCCCAGGAGGTAGATGGGCGAATTTCCGCAACTCTCTTCCCCCACTCCATCCCCTTCCCCAGATGCTCTTACCTGCTATCCGAAGCACTGCCCTCTCGGCAGGGTCCAGCACTGAGCCCCCTTGAATCTTTCTTTTCGATCTCTCATGTTTAGGCAAATTCCAGGGTAAGGTGTCTCCCGGAGCTGGGGATGCGGAGCCAGATTTCTGGCTGAAATCATCCTCATCGGAAAAATCCGCAGAGGAAGACATAGAGCAGCGATAGGACGCGTTCCCGGAACTCTACAGAGAATGACACAGAAAAAGCATTAACAGCAAAATACTCACATATGCTCAATGATTTAAACATCTCCCCCACCAACCACCGCCGCCCTCCCTGCCCCCAAACTGGGTCTGGCATATCCTGCACCATCCTCGGAGCTGAGGGAATATGCAGAAACCAAAAAAATAAAACCCGGAGCTCACCATCTTTTCTTGGCCAAGTCTCCAATCGTAAAAACAATACACAGGCAGTTTCAATACATGAAGATTTGCACGGAAGAAGTGTGTGGCCTGTGGTCCGGCCACCAGCTCACAAATGACTGGCCCAACAATGAAGCCAGAATCAACAGCCTTCCTGTTACAAACCTATAGTATTTGGCTCCCCCACCAGGACAGTAGAAATATTTTCCATTACTAGCCTGCTGCTTAATTCATCAATGCAACTAACTCGAAGTTTCGAAAACAAAGCACAAATGCAGGATGTTGAGTCCCAACTCCTTTCCGCTTCAAGTCACCTCACCACTGGAGACTCCGTTCTGACCAGTTTTAAGCCCCTGTCCTCTTTATTTAATTTTCTTCATGAGACTGAAGCAGGTTCCCAGAAAAGAGCAAGGAGGGAGGAAGGGCTGATTCTGAGAAGAGCCTTTTCTTAAGACTGGGAGAACACAAAAGACTGTTTTCAGAAGCCTATGGCAGCACCAATAAACAAACATCTGAACTCGGTTTAGAGTTCTCAAGATAATTTAAACTTCCAGCAAAGTAACAGCTGCCAATAATGTAAATGAGAATGATGCTGCGCAGTGACAGGAAACAGAGCTCTTCTCAGCTCCTGGTCATTACACAGTGAAATGAGAAACAGGATGCTTTTGCCAAAGCACTTTGCCTGAAGGTTAGTCCTCCCTTCATCTAGCTGGAGCAAATCTGTAGGGTCATGTCTTGCATAAAAGTGTTAATATCTTCCATAGAGGGAAAAGGCACAAGATGTTATTCCTTCCTTCTTTGTTGGGTTGTGTTTGTGATTATTTACAGAGCCACTGGCTTACTAAGGAAACAAGGATGTTGACTATCTCTGCTGCAAAATTATAAACATAACGACATATCAAAAGGAAGTCTTGACTTTCCTACTGAGAATTCTACTTCGCTGAGACTCATGGTAAAGATGCAAAACTGGTATAACTCGAATTCCTGAAATGTAACTTGCAGCCATGGATTCCTAAGAAGCAAGTTACAGGCAGAAATCAGTGAGGCATGCTCCAATTTGAGCAAAAACACTGGGCTTCCCACAAAAGCAGTGGCAACTGCAGCACAAACAGGCTGTGTGAGCCACATCCCAAAACACTCACCCTAGGTACGTGAAATAAACTCTAATTGCATCAGGACTACCAACCTTACCTCAATCTGTTTAGGCCTGTGGCTATGCATGGTCAACACCATTATTTTATTTTATTTATTTTTCTTTTTTGTGGGCACATAGTAGGTGTAAACCCCATTATTTTAGAAGTTCACGTAATATTTCCCACAAAGTGAGGTATGTAAGACGTAGCTCTCTATTCTTTCCCCCCAAAAAAGCTGTCTTCCATTTTATTTTACATAAAATTTCATCATCTTGGCTAATTTATTTATTTACAGTCTGTATATTTTTCTAATGACAATAAGGCATTAGGCAAACTTGAGGCAAAAAGTAAATAAAATTGATTTTCTGTATTGTAGCTACAATCCATAGGGAGTTGTGAGTGGCATTAGGTCAGTCACAGCATGCTATTATCAACCCAGTTTATTTTCCATGCTTTTCTGAAAATCCATCTTGAGCTTTCTGAGATTTTGTTTTTGGCTGGCTCTGCATAAAAGGGTGACATTCTTAAAGACTTTTAAGAGGGTATTGGGTTTCTTTGGCTGCTTTCTATCTTCCTAAAAATGGCTTCCTATCTGTCCTTATTTAAGGTCATCCTTTATCTGTGAGATTATATTTCTTGTTACCTGTACTATTTTAGTGAGGATAGTAATTTGATTATTTATCTTTACAGACAGACTTGGAGAATAACTGTTAAAGAACTGCTCCTTTCCAAAAACCACTGGTTATTGATTTTTGTAGAGTAAATTTTTTTAATGGCCTGAGTCTCAGCTGATTGAACAACGAAATGTGATTTATGCCACGACATAAACACCATTAATCACTCATAGCCAGATGGGAACAGTTACCACCCATGGACCCATGGGTGTTGACTGGTGCAGCCTCTAATCTGGTAGTGTCATTGGTAAACAGATAAGAGAGAAAAAGAGGAAAAGACAATCAACAACACTTCTTTCAACAATATATCATAGGAAAATATGGACCCCACACACACACACAAACTGAGGGAAATCATACATATTTATATGTGGCAAAGTCTCTCCCAGGCTACATGATCCAAGTGTTTTAACAATTAAAGTATCGGATTTTTTCCCACAAAAATTTTCATGAATACTTTTTAAAAATATAAGGTAAACTATATAAAAGTAGGCCCATTTGAACCCTGAAAATTGGAAACAGATTTAAATGGAGCTGCTTTAAAGTGGATTGATCCTAAAGAAAACCTATTATATTCTTTATTGATTTGAAATGACTTGCCAAATCATGTTACTATCTTGGGGGCTAGAAAAGAGTGCGGAACTACAGTTCCCTTTTGTTTTAAGAAAAGCAAATATGTTCTCTCACCCAAAGGCCAGAGCCTAACCTTTGATGTGGGGCTTAGAAAGGTAGGACAAAGGAAGAGGGCTCCTGTAATCAACAAAAGCCCCAGGTTCCTATCTAGTATTCTACTATTGTTGCCTAAGGTTTGATTCCTATTAAAATACAAATTCGGTAGCTAGGTCCATCAATAGGAGACTGTTTAAATATAGTTATATGGATACCATAGTCTACTCTATAGCAATTAAACAAAAATGTTACTGATCTACACTTAGTAAAGAAGAAATAATTCATAAAGAATGATTTCTTAAAATATGTGCGTGTGCATGTACATGTAATAGTTACCCATATGTAAGTAGCGATTATCTTTGGGTGATGACTAAGATTCTGAATGAATTTAATTTTATTCCTTATAATATTTTAATCCAATACAAGCACATAAAAAGATTACCAAAAGTAAAAAGATTTTATGTCAAGGGTCAGAGAAAATATGGACAACTCTGTGAAGAAGTAACTAAGTCAGTGTTTTTAACATTTCTGGGCTCATAGGCACCCCTGAAAAGTTAATGAAACCTCTTTCCAGAATAAAGTACAAGAGTCAATACATGCAAACTTTGCATATCATTTTATGGGATTAACTGACCCACTGACCCCAGGTTAAGACCCCAATTCACACCATCATTTGTCATCCCCATTTGGCATGTATGCTGAAAACAAGAGATACATGAAAGAGCTGTGGAGTAACCATACCAACAAGGGGGCAGAGTAATTAGGGTAGTGAAGATAAAGCTGGCCTACGTCATAATACTTTTTAACAGTTGGCCTTTTTCATAAATGACCATGAGCCACTTCTGGACTGATACTGAATCTCTGCAAACAAAAAAGCACTAGATAGTTACAAGCCAAAAACCCAGTACAGTAAATCCTCACTTAAAATCATCAATAGGTTCTTGGAAACTGCTGCTTTAAGTCAAAGGACATATAATAAAACCAATTTTACATAGACTAATTAATATAAATGAGAGTTAAGTTCCTACAACAAATAATATTTCTGGGCATAAAAATATCACCAAACTTCTAAATAAAGACCAAAACACTTCTAATATTAAACACTGCAATCAACGTGAGCTATACATACATTTACGGAAGATTAATAAAAACAAATAAGATAATTATTTACCCAATTTTTGGTGAATCAGTAAATGACAGCAGTCATCGGGGTGGGGGGTTAAATCAAGGAATAAATGTTTGCAAAGTGAAAAATATAAGGAGTACCTCCTACTGCCATGCAGTTCAAAGCCAATCACAAATATGGCAGACCCACTGAGTACCTTCATACCACATTGTTTATTGTCATGCATTTGTAGGATTATTGTAGACCTTACAAATTTTTATTTTATAATAATTTGCATTTATTCATGCATTCCTTTTCCAACCTGCTTATTACAGTTCAGGATCAAGGGTGAACCCATCCCAGCAGCTCAAGGCACAAGGCAGGAACCACACCTGGACAGGACACCATCCCATGGCAGGGTACACTCATAATCTATGCCCACAGTCACTCAGAATGGGACCAATTAACCTAATGTGCACTTCCTTGGAATGTGGGAGCAAACTGCAGCATCCACAGAAAACCCACACTGGCATGGGGAGAAAGTGTGAACTCCACTGACAGTGGCCCCAGCCAGGAATTCATTTTTTTTTCTCATCAACATTATTAACAAAAACACATTGAACAAAACAACATTATTCAAGGACCTACTATATTGTGTCTTCTACAACCTAGTTATTAAAGCAGTTTTAACAATTGAATTAGATCACCAAAAGCTTTAAAATGACTTTCCTGATAGCCCATTCATTCGCATGGTATAAAGACAACCCAAATCTCCTAAAGCCAGGATAATTACATAATGCAACATTTTTAGAAGGGGAACTGAACAATAACTTCTTTAACTGAAACCCCGGTGGGGGATCTGAGATAAGTACAATGGAACTGCCTAAATTGGATGCCGCCCAGCCTTAGCACCCTGATCTGTAGGAAAGTGCCAAGAAATTGTCTTGGCAATAGGCATTCTCTACAGGCAACGGAGAAAAGTGCAGAGACAAGGGTTTGCAAAGTAGCCAAAAGTTTAAAATCCCAGAGGCTGAAAAGTAAACTTTCATAAACCCACATACCCACATATTTATAACTTAAGCACATTTCTGTATGTGTATTTCAAAATATTCACCAAAAAAAACCCAAAAATAGAAAGCACACAAGGAAACAGACAAATCCTGATTGTGAAGCATTCTACAAGACAATTGTCCTAGATCCTTCAAAAAGGTCAATGACATGAAACATACACACTCAAAAAGGAGGAATTGTTCTAGATTTAAAAGGACAAAAGAGACACAACCAATTCATGAACCTTGGTTGGATTCTGGGTTGATTCTTTTTCAAAAGCTAAAAAGACATTTTGGGGCAACTGGGGAAATCTGAACATGGAACTGGGTTGTTTATTAGACAATATTAGGAAATTATTGTTAGTTTTCTAAGGTGCAATAATAGTATTGTGGTTATGCAGGAAAGTGTCCTTATCCATAGAAGATGCAGGCTGAGGAAACCCAAGATGTCTGCACTTATTTTTATTGTTTCAATAAAAACAAGGAAAAGTATTAAATGTGATAATAGGCTAACAATAAGTATTCATTGGTCTACTCTTTCAACTTTTCTATAAATCTGAATATTTTCAAAATGAAGAATTGAGGGGAAATAGCAAGGTCTTTTTTTTTTTTTACGAGACAAGGTCTTGCTCCATTGCCCAGGCTGGAGTGCAGAGACATGATCATAGCTCACTGCAGCCTCGAACTCCTGGGCTCAAGAGATCCTCCCACCTCAACCTCTCGAGTAGCTGGGTCTACAGGCACATGCTACCACACCGGGCTAATTTTATTTTTTAATATTTTTATAGAGATGGGGTCTCACTATGTTGACCAGGCTGCTCGCAAACTCCTGGCCTCAAGCAATCTTTCTGCCTTGGCATCTCAAAGTACTGGGATAACAAGCATGAGCCATTGCGCACAGCCCATAGCAAGGTCTTTTGTGGTGTGTTTAAGTGTTGCTTAGTTTATTCCTGTGCTCACAAAATCAACAGGTGCAGGTTGCAAGGACAAAGTGATAGTTTTGATCTAAGAAATTTCTCGTACCATTTCTTCACAAACACTTAGAGAAGCACTAGAAGCAGTGGCCTGTGTAAAGAAGTCACCAAAGAAAGATGACCTGCTTGCCTTAGTCCTAAGCATAATTTTAGACAGAAAAATATAAAAGAAATTCCTCTGCTATTCATTTATTAATAATGTACAATACAGTGAACACAACATAGGTTCAGCATCACATAATTTTGATATTTTATATAAACAAAAACAGAAAATTTTTTCTCCAAAATTAGGAAAATCAAAGATACAATTTTCTTTAAAATTCCCTTAGGTAGGTAGGTACAAATATTAACTTCCTCGATGTTGTATCAAAATATATGGTATGGCCCAAGACTATCCTTATATGACTAGTTTTTTATTTAGAAATAAGTTTAAAAGCAAGAGCACATTATCTGATTTTAGAGATCCCAAGGAAAACAAGCTCTACCACAAATAAATAGATGTAGAAGAAAACAATTAAGGAAAATGTGCTTAACTCCTTGAAGAAAAAATGAGATATGGTAAATTTGGGGCACCTTGTGCTTGCTTTAGTTAATAATTTTCAAAACTTGTTGAACAATTAAGGTATGAAATCTTTTATCAAATAAACAGCTCTCAGTTAAGTCTTACCTGGAAACCACCTTTAGGTAGTAAGTGTGGAAGAGGGGGTCTAGTGGTGAGGCCATTAGCTGGCTCTCACTCTCTTCTGTTAGGGGAGATATGCAGGAACCCTTAACTCCAAGAGGCAGAAGAGCCTGGGTGGAGGTGAGAGGAAGGGGGATCAGAGGGAGAGGAAGCAGGAAGGTTACTGCTAAGTTCTGACTCAAGGGAAGCAGTTTCAGGCAGAGTTAAGGAAGTCAAAGGTTTCTTTCTAGGTAGAGAAGCCCAGTTCATCAGCCTATGAAAGAACACTGGAATTTAGAACACAAACTCTAGGGTGTAATGATTGTACACTGGTTAGTGTTACTTAGTACTGTATTTCTAAGGAAACCAAGCTTGCTGATGGGACAGAAGAGGGAGACAATTTTCAATGTCATTTTCCTCTAACTGTATGGTCTCTCTCACAGGTATACAAGGTAAGTATCAAAGATTTGTTTCCTTCTGTTTTTAAGACTGTATAGTATTCCATTGTGTATATATGCCACATTCATTCATTCAACTGCTAATGAACACTAAGGTTGATTTCATATCTTGACTATCATGAATAATGCTGCAATGACTATGGGAGTGCAGATACCTCTTCAACATGTTAATTTCAGTTCCCAATAGGGATATCACTTTGAATCCTAGACAATCAAGGCTCAGCACTAAGACATTCTGCAAAACTTCTTCCTTTCTTTCAGTTTAGTATATTCTATCCAGATGCCTAATTTATTGGGTGATTATAATTTAAGCATTTTCACTGACTATCTTATTTAATACTCACTGAAATCCAATAAGAAAAAGGATGTTTAGGGATATTAAGTAACTTGTCCACAGTCATTCTGTCAGTACAAGGTGCAGCCAGGATTTCCATATAGGTCCTTTTGACATGAAAGCCTGTGCTCTTGACCACATGGTACTAAGTGCCCTAAAATGTGGTCCTTGGCACTAGGGGAACATATACTCACAGCCCTAAAGATTACCATATATTTGGGGATCCCAAAAAGACTAGACTTGTACTGGGTTCAGTACTAGGCCCAAAGCATGGAAATGACAGGTATCAGTTCACAACAAAGAAAAACCATTCAAAATGTACAACTACAGTACTCCCAGACTGCTTTGTGTATAGTGAGCACTCTCCTATTCCAAGGGACCAAGCCTTCACTTACTCTGTGGTCTCTTTCCACTCAAAGATTCTTGGGTCCTATGTGCTCCCACACCTCCATAAATCTCCCCAAACAGATTACAAATAAAATAAGAACTATGCAAAGTATCGAAATACAAAATTTTTCTAAAAAATGTAAAAAAAATTTTCAAAAAATTTCAGACATCTTTTTTTTGCAAGTCCACCTAAACCCAATCATATGAAAATTATAGAAATAGAGACATCAGAACTAGTTTACATTTGAGTATCTACAAATAGTCTTTCCAACCAAAGGAAGAACATTTTAAATAACTTGCCTAAAGGAAAAGCAAACAGATCTCTAAAAATAGCCCCACAAAACAAATGCATTAGGAAGACAAACTCAAATACTGAAAACATATATTTAACTAGAAAATACTTAATCTTATATTTTAAATGGATTTTTGTTTATGTCAGTTAATTAAAAATATGTCTTAAGTACCTATAGGCTTCTTTCTTAGAAGGGCCTGAAATCTAACTGGGAGAGCAGAAGTGACAAAATCGCCAATTTATAATTAAATATCAATCATCTTATCATCACTTATTAGGCTTAAAAATATGTCTTTTAGTGGAATAGTATAAATACATACATAAAAATATGGCTCATAGTAGAAAGTTGATAAGGAGAGAGAGGCTAAATCAAGTCGAGCCTCCGCAGTCCCTTCAGAAGCCAGATTGGAGATGCAGTTCCCCAGCTCCCTCACTTCACTCTTCCAAGAGTATCCTATCCAAAACTATTCACTGCTGATAGCACCATCATTGTAGATGCACTGTGGCTGGCCTACTCATTTTTAAAAACAAATTAACAGCAAACATGTAAATACTGGAAAATTTTCACATAAAAATTCAGATGTGGAATACTGGCCCTAGTGGTTTCCCCTTTAAAGAAAGGACACGTAAAGGACCTGTGCTTTCCAGTCTGACACAGTCCTTGCATGTATGATACCTGGCCCCTGGTGACATATGACTTTGGAGCCCCTGGCATGAAGTAAGTGATGGATGACATTGCTGTATTCAGAGAGTAAAGGAAAAGGTAGAGGAGGAGAGGTAGGGATCGTGGTAATTGATAGACTGGGGATGAAATTTTTAAAAATAAGAAAACTGGAGAAGAGGGGATAAAACAAAACAGAAAGCTTTCAAAATATTTCAATTAAATGGACAACAAACAAAAATAGATAGTTCCATGTTTCTACTGACATCCAAGTGTTCACTTCATTCTGCTGTATCCCCAAATACCCTGGTTAACATTTCCAATGCCCAGGAAATGGAAGAAAGCTGTATGACTCATGTAAATGCTGGCTCAGGCTCCCGACGAATCTAGCTGGACCCACCCACCCATCACTACTGCTAATGACTCCCTGCTGGTTTTTGCTCCCGTACCTACCCTTGGTCAACAGGTAGGAAGCATTAGTAAATTTTAGCTATTAGGTGATGTTGTCTATTCACACTTGTTTGATCCAGGGGTAGATGACTAAGCCAATATAATTGTCACTTCAGGAAATATGAAACAACAGAGACACAGAAACTAGAAGTTATTGCAACTGTGTCACCTTAATAACAGCTCTCAGGATACAAAGTCCATGAGTTCCGTATCTATCCTTCCCAAGCTTGGTTGTTAAACCTCCTTTGAGATGTCCCTGTATCTTTCCAATACATATCTTTCTGTAATTCAGAAGGTTTTTTTCTTTTAAATTCATTGTCTCCATTACTGGAGACAACAAAAACTTAGACAAACATGTTAGTGTTAAAAAAAAAAGCAATTATAGATATTCAGTTCTTCTCTATTGACACATAAGCAAAGTTATGTCTTTATATCTTCTTTATGCTTCCATTTTCATTACCTGTCTTCATTAATGAGACTTCAGAAAATTGCTTTTGATAATAGCTTTTACACACTTACTCTTTCACTACAAACAGTAGACACTTAAGTGAAATAATTACTTTTTCATTAAAAACAAAAACTTTTATTACTGCACAGAAGCAAAGTCTATGAAACTTTAAGTGCCTGGCACTCCCACTGCCCTCTTCTGAGGAAAGCAGGGCTGTTCCATGTACATTCAGTGAAAACAATTCTGCTGCTACCTTAAGCTGCACCCAATCGGAACCAGGGATCAGTGCCTGATCCCTCTGAGCTGGCTTGGTGGAAAACTCTGCTCAGGTGGGATGCTTCATATTGCATGGTAGCAAACCAATCCAACCACAGCCTCCTCTCAAGAATAAATGCTAAGTTCATTCCAAATGTCCTTAACAATATTTGGGTTTTCCCTGACATTTGTTGCACATCCTCCTCTTAGAACACCTGAGATCCATCTGGAACAACTGTGTGGCTCAAAGCCCCCGTATCTGCACTAAAGGCCCCAGTAGATTTCATTTTATCTCTCTTTCCTGAGGTGATCTGGACCTGTCCCTTCCTTGCTTTACCCCTAGAGGAAGCTATATGGCAGGACGGGAAGCAGAAACAGCCTGCAAGAATACCTGACTTTTATTTTCCACAAGCCTGAATCTTTTGAGGTGGGCATAACCTGGAGGCACAAATGTTCCCTCCCATTCCCTGACACCGTGGTATGCATCTTACAGGACCCCAGAACCTTAACACAATTCTGAGGTGGAAGAAATGGGGAACACCAGGCCTGGCCTCATGGAGACCGGGGAGTCAGAACCTGAGGTGAGTTGAAAAAAAGACAAGGGAACACCTCTTACCCCAGAGTGTACAGACTGAGATTCAAACTCACCGTGTGGGTAGCAGCTGTTTCTTATGTACTTCAGAATCCCAGGTCTTAGGAGGGGGCCCCTGATGAATAATGTCTGTTGGGTGAATTTATTGGCTTGGCAGCTTGGCTTCAGCAGCTTGGTCAAATGTGAGTAGAAATTCAGAAAGAAAGCTCTGCCACAACCAAGGCTAAAAATGCCCCAAGTGTCTATCTGTCTGTCTCTCTCTCGCACACACACATACACAGAGCCCACCAACGGGATCAGCACAGCAGCTACTTCCTTCCTCCAGCATCCTTTCTCATTTTAAGGCTGCTTTGAATTATTCTAGATCCAGGGAAGAAGGGAATGTATTTCCTTTCTTGCTTGTTGCCACCTTATTCCAAATCAGGTAAGAAAAGATAGTGTTTGAGGGGGGAAGATGTTAGGACCTTTGAGTTATCCAACCAGTCTCCCAGAATGAGAAGTGAGAAAAGCACAAGGTGCCTTGAGAGCATCAAGTGGAAGTGGCAGCAGAGGCGTCTGGAAAGCAGGTGGTGGATGAAGATCACAGCAGGGCTTGCATGTGACACTGGGGCCCAGACTTCATCTTCATCTTCATCTTCATCTTCATCCAGTAGGAGCTGGATTGTTGCTGAAGGGTTATAAGTAGTTTGCCCGTATAGCTGTGTGACTCATGGACTGAAGAGGGATCACACTCAGACAAGATTAGTGAGCAGTTACTGTAATGGTCCAGCAATAAATGATGAGAGCCTGAACTAAATCATTGAAATTGGGGGGGAATGGAGAGGATGAATTTGAGAAACATTTAGAGACTGGAAAAAAGAAGGCTGGAGGAAGGTAGGGCTGAGGCTGCTAGGGTAAGAAGTGAAACTAGCTTACTATGCAGGAATGAGAAGAAGGTCAGAAGTCAAGCAAAACTGTAATAGTGGGGAGACAGAGAATAGCAGTAGGAAAATGAGTGGGTCCCAGTCAAGTCATACAAGGAGAGCTCAAGATGATGAGGTTCTTTTTGATAAGCCTCCTAATTTGTGGTGACTCAAACTGGTTTAAGATACAAGGCTGGCTAGACACCAACTTCCAAGAGACCTGCATTTTCTTCCAACTATAGCTCTGGCTCCTGGAGCTGCTGCGAGTGAGTGGTGGAAACCTGCCCCCTTAGAGAAGCTGCAGCTGATCAGCATCATGCAAGGGACTGCTGAGATGGTAGCATGCTGGTAATGAAGTGTTATGGAGCCACTCCATCCTTTATTCATCCTTTTCCTCATACACACAGAGAGCAAAGGTGTATAAACCATCTTGTTCATTGTCCCCTTTCACACAGGAGTTGTTTTGGGGAACATAATAGTCACGCCATTTACACATATTTCTTATAACATTTTATGAGCCATGATATTCTACTTAAAAGCACAAAAATAACAATATCCCTATTTCTTCTGACTTCCAATTGTCTGTAAGTAATAATTGTTCCCACTGCATTTATGAAGTAAATTCACTCATTCTTTCACAGTGCCCATCACAGGGCAGTTAGAATCCTGTGCTACAGCTGTGCAGCCCACACCCCTCTCCTCCTTAGTCATCATGTACACTTAGGATCTGTGTGAATTCCAATCCCCTGACCTTCCTCCCCTTCACAGCTGCCCTCCTGACCCTGAAATATTGCTTGGGTGTTTTTTCTCCTCCCTTTCTCAACCGGGGATTTCCAAGCCAGCCTAATAGCTTCCTCCAACAATAATAAAGCAAAGAAGAATTTTTAAAAATGTGTATCTGTGTCCATAAAACAATATGATGAATTCTATCACAAAAAACAAGCACACCATAGAACATATGACTATATGTTCCTTTGTGCCATCCTTCACTCTCTTCCTCAACTGGCCTTGTGTTTTTGTCCACAGCACAGGAACCAGCTACAGAATTTGCAAGTGGAGAATCCAGGTACCTTTAAAAGTCTATTTAGTGAAAATCTCTGGCTATTGATGTGACGGTTAATTTTATGTGCCAACTTGGCTAGGCCATGGTACCCAGTTTTTCATAAAAGATCAGTCTAGATGTTGTGAAGGTATATTTTTAAATGTGATTAACATTTTATTCAGTGGACTTCAAGTAAAGCAGATTATCCTCCATATAGTGGGTGGGCCTTCTCCAATCAGGCCTTAAGAGCAAAGACCATGGTTTCTCAAAGAAAGAATTTTCCTCAAGACTGCAACATAGAGACCTTGCCTGAGTTTCCAGCCTGATACCCTGAAGAATTTGGACTCAAGACTGCAATATCAGCTCTTTCCTGAATTTCTAGCCTGCTGGCCTGCCCTACAGATTTTAGATCTCCCAGCCCAATTGCATGAGCTAATTCCTTAAAATAAATAAATCTCTGTGTGTGTATGTGTGCTGTAACTAATATATCCTATTGGTCTGTTTCTCTGGAGAACCCTAACTAACACAATTGTCTACCATATTACTGCATAAAAGACTTATGACTCACCTTTACTACATTTCAGGGAAGTAGAAACACCTGCCATAATTCACATTTTACAGTTTTATGGAAAGTAGGCAGGACTTTCACCAAGCTGAGTTAGGAAGCCAGAGTGCTTCACCCAGCCCCATAATTAACTACCCATACTACTACACAAGAAAATTACTTAACATCTTTAACTTGCTCGTATTCTAAACGTGAATAATCATACCTACTTCACTAGATATTAGTATTAAAATGAAATAATGTATGTAAATCCTGTAATATGATGCCTGCTCAGCACATACTACTCAATACATTTCCATAGCATTTTATTATAAAATAAAAAGATAAAACAAAAACTAGATATCGAGTACTTAGAATTGCAGTGATTATAGCTATATGACCAAAAATATATCATTTTGAGGACTTGAAAAAAATATCTACCTCCCTTCACATCACCTGCATGCTGTTGCCTAAATTTCCAGTAACAGATACATTCTTTTGGTTTAAAGCTTTTTATTTCTAATCAAACTACCCATGGATGAAAAATATTAAGTGGCACAGTATCAGTCATTTATGCTTCAGTATGAATAAGGCCACCAGACTATGTCCTGCAGAAGTGTTTTGATAAAACGAAAAGGGAACACTGAGGCTCCTAGAAGTAGATAAGCTGCCTAGATCACAATTTTTCCTGGAGCCATTTCTGACAATCACAGAGACAGAGATTCAAGGAGTCAAATGAGTCTGTCCTAACAGAAACAGCCTAGCCCAATTCAGAACACCATTCAAAAGAAATATGGCCTGGAACACTTTAATTGTGACAATCTACCTCCCTGCTTCCCTAGTTTTCTGTGTGTGTGTGTGTGTGTGTGTGTGTGTGTGTGTCTGTATGTGTGTGTGTGTAAGAGAGACAGAGAGAGAGAGAGCATCTTGCTCTGTCATCTAGGCTGAAGTGTGGTGGTAAAATCACAGCTCACTGTGTGGTGGTGAGATCCCAGCTCATGGCAACCTTGACCTTCCAGGCTCAAGCACTCCTCCCACCTCAGCCTCCCAAGTAGCTAGACTACATGTGTGCCACCACACCTGGCTAATTTTTTTGTTTTTTGAAGAGATGGGGGAAGAGTGGCCAGGGAATTGTCTCACTGTGTTGCTCAGGCTGGTCTGGAACTCCTGGGCTCAAGCAATCCTCCTGCCTCAGCCTTCCAAAGTGCTGGGATTACAGGCATGAGCCACCATGCTCAGCCTTGCTTCCCTAGTTGAAAGTAAAAGCTCATTACTGCTCTGTTGAGTCATAGGGACAGATGGCGTTACCTTCTCACCTGCCTTCCTGATTCTCTAGGTAGAATATAATCTTTGATGGGATCTGATGGAGTCTGAAAATCTGCTACCAAAAACTGCTGCCACAATGTCTGAAATGTTCCCATTAGAGCATTTCTAAGGCACAGGGAGATTTTGAGTTTTATCATCTTCTAAAACACAAAGATAGCTAAATTCAACTGGATTACTAAAATGATATACATAAAGTACATATAGGCATTCAATAAATTAGAGCTATGTTTTTTTTTTGTTTTTGTTTTTTTGTTTGTTTGTTTTGAGATGGAGTCTCACTCTGTTGCCCAGGCTGGAGTGCAGAGTGTAGTGGCGCAATCTCGGCTCACTGCAACCTCTGCCTCCTGGGTTCAAGCAATTCTCCTGCCTCAGCCTCCCGAGTAGCTGGGGCTACAGGTGCATGCCACCACACCCGGCTAATTTTTTTGTATTTTTAGTAGAGATGGGCCAACTCACTATGTTGGCCAGGCTAGTCTCGAACACCTGACTGCAGATGATCCACCCACTGGGGCCTCCCAAAGTGCTGGGATTACAGGCATGAGCCACCATGCCCAGCCAGAGCTATGTTGTTCTTATTCCAAGTCACATTCACCTCTTGCCTGAACAATTATTGGAAAATATCTTCCAACTGATCTTGCTTGCCTCCTTGTCCTCAACGATCTATTCTCCATACAGAAGCTAGATCCAGTCTTCAAAGACCTAAGTCAGAGTACATCATGCCTGTGCTCAAAACCCTCCTGTGGCTTTCCACTTCACTCAGGATAAAATCCAAAGCCTGCACCATGACTTACAAGGCCTCCTGATGTGCTGTTAGGTCTCTGCTCAAATGTCAACCTTTTAAAGAAAGTTCTTCCCCTAAAAGCCTTATGTAACTTTACCCTCCTCACCAATTACTCTATGCCCCTTATCCTGCTTCACTTTCCCCCACAGCACTTATTACCATCTGAAACATTATGTATTTACTTGTTAATCTGCTTGTTGTCTGTCTCCTCCACCAGAAAGTAAGCCCTTTGTTTCATTCATGCTGTGTCCCCAGTTCCTAGCATGGTGGCAAACCCATAGCAGGTGCTCAGAAAATATTTGTGAAATGGGAAAATGAACAGTAAAAGAATTTTGCAAAAGCACCCATACTAACTAGCACACAGTTTGTATGTACTCAACGAGTTCCAATTTCCTGCAATAAATATTAGTTTTTTCTTATTTATCTTTATTTCTTATTTATCTTATTTATCATCGCCTGCAATACTTGCCCTGAAGCTTGTTACAGAACAACAGATTTAAAGCACAACATAGTCTCACAACCCACAGTTAAACCCTCCTAACCATAAATCAGAAATGGGATTGCTCTCAGCAAGCTAACTGGGGGGATAACAGAGAACCGAGGCTAGACCTGGCCCTGCAGTCTGGCAGAGCTCTGTGCCTCCTGACCCAGCTTCACTACTTATTAGCTATAGGACTTTGGACAAACTACTTAAACTTTCTAAGCTTTGGCTTTCTTATTTATAAAGAATATCTACCTCTTAGGGTTGCTATATTAAATGACCTAATGCCCATTGCCAAGCACAGAGCCTGACTCATAGGAAGTGCTTAAGAAATGCCCACTACTGTTAATATTGTTGGTCAGCATCAATAAAAATGCTGTTGATATGAAATGTCTGTCTTTATAACTTCATTTCTTTTACAGTCTCATTTATGGTTATCTCTGGAGTTATAGGGAGCTGATAAAGTTCCAAAAGAGTTTTTAAAAGATTTAAAAACAGGAAATAATGATAGTCATTTATTTATAAAAAGCAGGGCTTGGCTGGATGCGGAGGCTCATGCCTGTAATCCCAGCACTTTGGGAGGCCAAGGTGGGCGGATCACGAGGTCAGGAGATCAAGACCATCCTGGCCAACATGGTGAAACCCCGTCTCTACTAAAAATACAAAAATCAGTGTATTTTGAGGTATGGTGGTGCACAGCCGTAGTGCCAGCTATTCGGGAGGCTGAGGCTGAGGCAGGAGAATCACTTGAACCCGGGTGGCAGAGGATGCAGTGAGCCGAGACCGCGCCACTGCACTCCAGTCTGGCGACAGAGCGAGACTCCGTCTCAAAAAAAAAAAAAATAGTAGGGCTCTCATTTCAGAAAAAACTATTTTTCACTTCCCTAGTATCCTGAAACGTCTGCATCTCAGACTTCTTGATTCTTCTGCTTTAATAAACAGACGGGTGTGCCTGGAGTCATGGTGATTACCCGTGTTCTAGAAATAAACTTCAGAAAGCTGTGTTGCCTCTTTAATACTCCCATAAATTCCAAATATTATTATGTAGTTTTTTTAAAAAACATTAAATGTCTGGGTTTTCTAAATCAATTTTAAACATGGGGGGTGTCAGTTCATTTTACAAAACATGCAAGTAGAAATAATTATTTTTAATTTGTAAGTATAAACAATTTTAAATGCTTAGCTAAACATGGCATATAAACAGGAAAACAATGCAGCGTTGAAGAGAGTGTTCTCAACTATGAGGTCTTGTTTCCAATCGTGGTTCTGATAGTTCAGCATCTCAGGTCACTGTTCTGGGCCTTATTTCCTTAAAACAACAACTCAGGCTGGATGACTTTTGATGTTCCTAAATTGTCCACAAATCCATCATCTCTAAAGCTTTTTTGATATACAAATTCCATACCTTTAATGTTTCATTTTCAAACTTCTAAAGAGCCTCTTTATATAGTTACCCTGAACTAAGTTTAAATGCTAATGAGTCAGAGATATTGTGTATTGAGTAGCACATGTAAGAAAACAGAAAATACCCTCTCCCAATGCCACAACTCACCGTCCTCTCAAAAAAAAGAAGTGTATTTTGGACTACAACATTTTTTTAGAATGTTGTTAACTACCAAAAACAAAAATAAAAACCAATGATAAAATAAATCAACAATAAAATAAAATAATTTGACAATCACAACTGCTATTTAACAATTTTTATCTGATTTTATCACAAAAATATTCCATGAACATTTTCTCTATTGGAGTTTTAGGTTCAACTCCAAATTATAACAAAACATGGTGCAATTAGGAAGTTGATTTGGCCTAACAGAAATGACAAATATGTACTGAAATTTGAGAGTTGAAATAAGTGAGTCACTACAGCACTTCTCAATACCCTATGTAAACATGAATTCTACCCTCTGTGGGAAATGAAGGTCCTTTGTCATCTGCTTTAAGACCAAGAGATAAGAAACAATTGGCTAAATGTACTGCACAGCCCTACATAGAAATGAAATTATACTAAAAATAAGGACTAAAAGCTATGCCTTGGCAGACGATGGCTACTGTACTTTGATAATGATGTACAGATTTTTTAAAAAACTTTTGGTGGCTCTAGGTATGGATGCTAGAACTTTGGGGTACATATGGCTCTGATCTGAGGGGACCTATTTTGGGGAGTCTAGTCATACAAAAACAAGGCAAGGGTTTCTCAGATATATTGCAGACTTGACTTCCTAACAAACCTTCCTGCTGTACAGTAGCTAAAAATGCTGGATAAAATATTTTTAAATGAATCAGCAAAGGGGCAGGAAAATAAGAAAAATTCTTAGAGGCTAGAGCAATAGAAAAGCAAAAGCACAAATACAGAAATGTTAGGCTGATTCCCTCTCATCTAAAGTTTCACTTGACAAACAGGAGACAGAAGAGTAGGACGACCTGCTCAGGGGACAGAAGACAAAGCCAAAGGAGTCTCAGTGAAAAACACAAAAATAGAAACAAACAAATAAAGCCAGGGAAGCATGAACTAGGAAAACCAAAGAAAAATACCCTGAGATTGCAAGGACACTTGCCCATGTCAAGCTTGTGGCTGGACAGAGAAGAAAAAAAAAAAAAACTTCATAACCACAAGCTGATTCTCATGTGTATTTTATGGCCCAAGTTCACACAATCTATGCAGTATGAAAAACTCTGAAACTGAGATTTTATTTTTATTTATTTTTTTGAGACAGGGAATCGCTCTGTCACCAAGGCTGAAGTGCAGTGGTACAATCTCAGCCTCAACCTCCCAGGCTGAAACGAGCCTCCCACCTCAGCCTCCCGAGTAGCCGAGACTACAGGCAGGCGCCATCATGCCCAGTTAATTTTTTTGATTTTTAGTAGAGACGATGTCTTGTTATGTTGCCCAGGCTAGTCTTGAACTCCTGAGCTCAAGCAATCCACCTGCCTCGGCCTCCTAAAGTGCTGGGATTACAGGCATGAGCCACCCGCACCCAGCTGAGATTTTTTTTTTTAGATTTCCCTGGCAAAACTAACAGAATATCCACTCTAGAGAAATGTACTTTCAAGCCTAGCCTCTAAAATTACCACAGATAAAGTTCAGTCAAAAATGAGCTCGTGGTGAGACAGGACTAGCTGGATTTCCTAGGCCAACTAAGAATCCCTAAGCCTAGCTGGGAAGGTGACCACATCCACCTTTAAACACGGGGCTTGCAACTTAGCTCATACCCAACCAATCAGGTAGTAAAGAGAGCTCACTAAAATGCTAATTAGGCAAAAACAGGAGGTAAGGAAATAGCCAATCATCTATCGCCTGAGAGCACAAGGGGAGGGACAATGATCGGGATATAAACCCAGGCACTCGAGCCAGCAAAGGCAACCCCCTTTGGGTTCCCTCCCATTTTATGGGAGCCCTATTTTCACTCTATTAAATCTTGCAACTGCAAAAAAAAAAAAAAAAAAAAAAAGAGCTCATGGTAAAAAGTCACAAAGCAGCCAGGCACAGTGGCTCACGCCTGTAATCCCAGCATTTTGGGAGACCGAGGTGGGCAGATCACCTGAGGTCAGGCGTTCAAGATCAGCCTGGTCAATATGGTGAAACCCTGTCTCTACTAAAAATACAAAAATTAGCCGGGCATGGTGGCAGGCACCTGTAATCCCAGCTACTCGGGAGGCTGAGGCAGGAGAATCACTTGAACCCGGGAGGTAGAGGTTGCAGTGAGCCGAGATCATGCCATTACACTCCATCCTGGGCAACAAGAAAGTCACAAAGCATACAATGAAACAAGGCCCCACTGGTGAAACTATAGAAACAACAGACACAAATCCATAGGCAAAAACTTCAGGTATGTTAATTATCAGATATTACATATAAAATAAACATATTTTATATATTTAAATAAAGGGAAAAGAGTATCAAAAGTAGGAGTTAGGAATAAGAGACTGTCAAAAATACCAAGCAATGAAAATATAATAATATAAATTAAAATTCAGTGAACAAAGAATATGTATATATAAAGAACCCACTCAAATCAGTAAAAAACATACAAACAACCAAAGAAGAAAAATAGCAAATGAAATGGACAGACATTTTGCAGAAGAGAAAACATATATGGCTAATAAACATACAAAAAGATATAAACATATGAAAAAATGTGTGGGGCTCTTCCTCTTCCCCTAAGTGGCCTGAGGTAGTCTGTGAAAATGGTTCACTATTTACTTGACCCAGAGAACCACACAAAGTCATGCAAATCAAGAGGTTCAAATCTTCGTGTTCACTTTAAGAACACTCGTGAAACTGCCCAGGACACCAAGGGTATGCATATACGAAAAGCCACGAAGTATCTGAAAGATGTCACTTTACAGAAACAGTGTGTACCATTCCAACGTTACAATGCTGGAGTTGGCAGGTGTGCCCAGGCCAAGCAGTGAGGCCGGACACAAGGTCGGTGGCCCAAAAAGAGTGCTGAATTTTTGCTGCACATGCTTAAAAATGCAGAGAGTGATGCTGAACTTAAGGGCTTAGAGGTAGATTCTCTGGTCATTGAGCATATCCAAATAAACAAAGCACCTAAGACACACTGCTGGACCTACAGAGCTCATGGTTGGATTAACCCATACATGAGCTCTCTCTGCCACATCGAGATGATCCTTACTGAAAAGGAACAAATTGTTCCTAAACCAGAAGAGGGGGTTGCCTAGAAGAAAAAGATATCCCAGAAGAAACTGAAGAAACAAAAACTTACAGCACAGGAGTAAATTCAGCGTTAAAATAAATACAATTAAAAGTAAAAAAAAAAAAAAAAAAAGAAAAAGAAAAGAGGTGTGGCATCATTAACAATCAGGGTAAAGCAAATCAAGCCCACAATGGGGTTAACAGATTGCATGTATTCAACTGGAAAAAAAAATTAAGTCTAATATTACTATGTGTTGAAAAGAACGTGGCTCCTCATGCTCGCTTAGACGTGGCTGAGGAAAGTATAAATGGGTGCAGGTATTTTGAAAAAGAGTTTGGCATTATCTCCTGAAGTTGAACTTTCATGTATGTCCAGCGATTCTACTAAGAATTGATCCAGTAATTCCACTAAGCATATACACAAGAAAAACTGCACATGAACAGTAAGAGGCATGTACAAGAAAATGCACAGTGGCACTCATACAGTAAAGGCCTGAAAACAAATGTCCCACTTACAGGAGAGCAAATGAGCAAACTGTGGTATAGTCATACAAAAGTTGAAACAAATAAACTATAGTGAACAATATTATTAGCAATACTATTAGCAATAGCATATTAAGTGAAAAAAGGTAGTTTCAAATAATTACATAAAGTATGATAACATTTTTTATTAAGTTAAAAGTAACTAAAATTTTAAAATTAAAATTTTTTAAGCTAGGCGCAGTGGCTCATACCTGTAGTCACAGCTACTCAAGAGGATGAGGTGGAGGAATCACTTGAGCCCAGGAGTTTGAGGCTGCAGTGAGCTATGATGGCACCACTGCACTCTAGCCTGGGCAACAGAGTAAGACTCCACCTCTAAGAAAACAAATAAATAAAATAAAAAATTTAAACTTTTTAGGAATAAATAGACTAGCAATAAAACTCTGTGAACAGGGAAACAAGAGAATGATGAAATGTGTTTCAGAATGATGGTTATCTTGAGTAAGAACACTCAGGCCAATGGAAAAAGAGACCATATCATTAGACATAGGTTACTACCAAGATCTTAGCTTTTGTTTTGAGTGGGGGTGTATAGGTATTTATCAGATAGATAGAAAGATAGAGTAATTTAAAAATAAATAGGTATGGAAGTGCAGAATCTCTTCAATACACTGATTCCCCCCCCCCTTTTTTTTTTTTTCGGATATATACCCAGCAGTGGGAACTACTATATGCTAGATCATATAGTAGTTCTATTTTTAGTTTTTTGAGGAACCTCCATATTTTGTTTTCCACAATGGCTGTACTAAACTTACATTCCTACCAATGAGCATTCTCCTTTCCCTGAATACCTGCTAGCATCTGTTATTTTCTTTTTGATAACAGACATTTTAACCAGGGTGCGATGATATCCCATTGTAGTTTTAATTTGCATTTCCTTGACAATTAGTGATGTTGAGCATCTTTTCATATACCTGTTCGTCATTTGTATGTCTTCTTTAGGGAAATATCTATTTAGATCTTTTGCCCATTTTTTAATCAGATTATTTGTCTTTTTGCTCTTGAGTTGTTTGAGTTCCTCACATAATCTGGTTATTAATCACTTGTCAGATGAATAGCTGGCAAATATTTTTTTCCCATTCTGTGGGCTGTCTCTTCTCTTTGTTGATTGTTTCCTCTGAAGCTTTTTAGCTTGATGTGATCCCACTTGTCAATTTGCTTTGGTTTCCTGTGCTTTTGAGGTCTTACTGAAGAAATCTTTGCCTAGACCAATGTACTGAGGCATTTCAATAGCAAGATATGAAATCAACCTAAGTGTCCATCAATGGATGAAATTATAAGGAAATTGTGAGATATATATATATACACAAAGGAATATTATTCAGTCATAAAGAAGAATGAAATTCTGTCATTTACAGCAACATAGACGGAACTGGAAGGCATTATGTTAAGTGCAGTAAGCCAAGCACAAAGAGAAAAATATTGCCTGTTCTCACTCATGTTGGAGTTAAAATAGTGGATCTCATGAAGATAGAGAATTGAAAGGTGTTTACCAGAAGCTGGGAAGGTTGGGCGGAGAGGGGAGATGAAGAGAGGTTGGTTAATGAGCACAAAAATACACTCAGAAGGAACAAGATCTAGTGTTTGACAGCAATATAGGATAGCTGTGGTTAATACTTTATTGTATAGCTCTAAATAACTAGAAGAGGTTTGGAATGTCTCCCAGCACAAAAGAATGATAAATGTTTGAGGTGATGAATATCCCAATTGTGATCTGACCATTACACACTATGCTTGTATCAAAGCACCACATGTAAGCCAGCTTCAGTGGTGCATAACTATAGTCCTACTACTTGGGAGACTGAGGTGGGAGGATCACTAGAACCTAGGAATACAAGGCTGTAGTATACTTTACACCTGTGAATAACCACTGCACTCCAGCCTGGGCAACACAGAGAGACCCTGTCTCTTAAAAAACACAAAACAAAAAAACCATGTACCCCATAAATATGTACAACTATTAGTATCCATAAAAATTAAAAACAAAGTTGCCTCTGGTGGGTCACACCTGTAATCCCAACACTTTGGGAGGCCAGGGTGAGAGGATCACTTGAGCCCCGGAGTTCAAGGCTGCAGAGAGCTATGAGTGCACCACTTCTCTCCTGCCTGGGCATCACAGCGAGATCCCATCTCTTAAAAAAAATCAATAGATAAAACTTAAATTTATATAAATTAAATAAACAACTGAAAGTGGCACATGAGCCAATGGGTGTCATGAATTCACCATCTTACTTTCTTTTCATCCCTCTTATCACCACCTAAAACCACTGTCAATCATAACTACATTTGTAGTTCATTTAATAGCTCACAAAACTTGTCAAAAATATTATCTCATTTAATCCCTGCAACAATCTTATGAAACGTGCATTGCTATCATTCTCATTCTACATAAGGGAAAACTATGGCTAAAAGAGATAAGTGACTGTTCCAGTTTAAATCCAGTTCTTAAACTCCAAATTCTGCATTCTTTCCCACATGAGCCTGAAAAATATCTATCCGTTCTAATCGCTCCACATGCATCTCAAATCATGTGATATTTAAGAGATCTCGAAGAAATAATAAAATTAGCACCAAATCACCAAAAGTAGATGCCAAAACTAACACCCTTGAAAGGTGAGATTCCTCAGACTACTGGATCCCTTTCTCAGCCACCTAAACAAGGTCATATTAAAGGCCTGGTTATCTTTACTAATACCATCTTCAATCGCACACAAACACATAACCTTCTAACAACTCCTGACTGAGCTTCTATTTGGAACCTAAGCCACAGATGTTTTTTGTTTTTTTGTTTGTTTTGAGATGGAGTCTCGCTCTGTCGCCCAGGCTGAAGTGCAGTGGCGCGATCTCCGCTCACTGCAAGCTCCGCCTCCCAGGTTCACCCCATTCTCCTGCCTCAGCCTCCCGAGTAGCTGGGACTACAGGCGCCCGCCACCACGCCCGGCTAATTTTTTTGTATTTTTAATAGAGACGGGGTTTCACCATGTTAGCCAGGATGGTCTCGATCTCCTGGCCTCGTGATCCGCCCGCCTCAGCCTCCCAAAGTGCTGGGATTACAGGCATGAGCCACCATGCCCCGCCTGCCAGAGATGTTTTAAGATGCTCACAGGGCCCTGAGCCACTCTTTTACAGGTCTCATCACATTAGACATATACTCAGACACATTCAATACATTTTCCATTAAATGCTTGAAAGGGCTTTTATTATTTGAAAAATATATTTTGTTAAAAGTTATTTTTGTGTAATTTTAAATTTCACTTATGCACAATTATACAAAAGTTGAATTGCAACTGGGCAGTTGAAATAATGACTAGTCATTTAATTAAAGATTGTTTTTAAAGTTAAGTTCCAAGCTTCTTATTTTGGAATCAATAACATGTATTTAGGTCCCAGTGATCTCAAAAAGCCTTTGAAGAGCTCATGGACCCTAAGGACAGACCAGAGTGTCTAATGGACACACCATCAGGCCAGGAGCAAAGGCTACAGATTATTGGTGTCAATGGTAGAGGGCTGTCTGTGGCTACCCCTGGCTCCATCCCTAGAGCTGCTGGAATCTTAGCACAGGTGAACTTATCCACCACACCACTTCTCCCTACCATACTTGTATACTACCCCCAAATTCAAGCCCCATGGGCAACTCTTTTCTCAAAAACTATCATCCTTTTGCTACTCTGTAGCTGCTCCACTGCTGCCCGCCTAGTCAACTCTTTTCTAGGTGCCCTTTGAAACCTTCATTTAATTGTCAGGAAGCTCTAACTCCTCACGAAAGTGCCATCTCCACTGCTTGCCTTACCTTAATCATTCCACGTTGTATTTGTTAAGTGCCTGCTCTCTATACCTCTGCACCTCTCCAGCAGAGGCTTCTGCTTCTCCTGCATGTCTCATCGAAATCCCGGAGGGAAACATCATCCAATGCCGCTCTCTTCCTTTCCCTGAATTGTCACTGTCTGACCTCTGGTCACACTCCCTCATTTGCTGAGGACTTTGGAACCTGACTCATTGCTTCTTCTTCACTTTGAGTGTAGTCATCTGGGAAGATTTCCACATTCAATGTGGATGGGCCAGCCAACACCTCAGCCACAAAAGTTCCTAGCCTCCTGAGTTCAAATAATCTTTATCTTCTCTCTTCTTCTCCCAGCATGCCATGGCCCCATTCTGGATGATCACATCACCTGGTACTGAACCAACTCTGAGACCTCTCACTGTAATCCAAAAATGTGACCTCCAATTTTTGGCTCTCCAGCTCTCTCACTCCTCTTCAAGCTAATCCAGACCTCTAATGCTCTGTTCCTGGACTGCCGTTAAGATTTCCTGTTCTTCTTCATCAAGCCTCATGATGCATCATTTCAAGCATTCTCTTGACATCAATATCCCAGCTGCCTCCTTTAGAGCTATCAAGTCCACCCTCTATCTTGGATCAGTTGAAACATTCACCTTAACTCCCAATTCTAAATGGCTGAAATGTGCTTTGAAAACACTACTCAATGAAGCAGCTTAATCCCTCGACAAATGTCCAACCATCTAACATCAACTGGGTTCTCAGCACTGTTTTTCTTTAACAACTTCTAACTATCCCCAAATGTATCCATTTCTACTCTTACCCTCACCTGCACTCTGTCCAGGCCCAGGAAAGGCCCCCTTTCATCTCCCTAAAATATCTCAAATGTCTCCCATCTTATGAAAGACCTTTCTGAATCCTATATCCTCCCCAGCTTACTGCCTAAATTCCTGTCTCTTCTTAGGCAAACTCCTTTAAAGGGTAATTTATAAAGGTTATTTCCATGTCTGTATCTCCTAGTCATTTTTTCCCCATTCATTTTTAAATTGACTTGTATTTGTATCAAAGTAAAATGTGCCTATAAGAAGCAAATAATGCTAAAAAAACATTTGGCCTAAAAGGCTCTTACCTAGATACCTGGCTCTGATCAAATGTCACCTTATCAAAGAATGTTCCCTGACTGTGCAATGTAAACCCATCATCCCACCCCAACACTATCTTCCCCCTTACCTGAAGCATTTTTCTTCATACCATTTACCACCTCCTAGCATAATATAAATTTAGTTATTTGGCCGGGCTCAGTGGCTCACGCCTGTAATCCCAGCACTTTGTGGGGGCCGAGGTGGGCAGATTACTTGAGGTCAGGAGTTCAAGACAAGCCTGACCAACATGGTGAAACCCTGTCTCTACTAAAAAATACAAAAAATTAGCCGGGCATGGTGGCAGGCACCTGTAATCCCAGCTACCTGGGAGGCAGAGGCAGGAGAATCACTTGAACCCAGGAGGCGGAGGTTGCAGTGAGCAAAGATTGTGCCGCTGTACTCCAGCCTGGGTGACAGAGTGAGACTCCATCTGAAAATAAATATATAAATAAATTTAGTTATTTGTTTTTATTTTTATGGGATCTGTGGCACAGAGCAAACAATAAATATGTGTGGAATTAATGAAAATCTATTCTAACAGGATATCAAATTGGAACATTTTTAATTAGTTTCAACTGATATCCCATAGGCTGGGAACAACACAATAAATGCCACTATCCCCCAGTCCTAAAGGAAAGTGTTGGAACAGTGCAACTCAAAATATGCCCATGGACAAATACCAGTCTGAGAACTGTTTTTATTGGTTTGCTATAAGATAAATACAGAAATTGGAAGTATTTAGAGACTTTTAGAATAATTTGACATTGCTTTGGAAGTACAACTGGTCAACAGACTTGTCTTGTTGAACAGACTGTTTCAGGTGCTGTTGAACTCACATAATACATCACCAGTGTGATGTGAACTGAAGACCAGTCATGCAATAAAGGGCCAGGTATAGACCTGTAATGAATTGGAAGTTAAAAAAAAAAATCTTTCCCACAAATGTACGCAATGCCCTGTGCTAAACCATCTGTGACAACCACGTTAGGACAGTGTGACACAGATTAGAGCAACATGAGCCCATCACCACTCTAAGAGGGTAGACAAAGCCAGAAACCAAGAGGAGAGATTGTTTTGTAGAAAGCTATTTATGTCTTGAGCATTTCCTCCTAGAAGAGAGGTTGGTGTGCATATCCTATGCCTTAAACCAAGGGAGAGGGCTTCAAGGAGACACCTTGAAGGGTAAAACATGTCTCCCCTGGAGTTTAAGGAACATGTGACTAGAATATGACTCTCACCAAAAGACTCTAAAGGTGAAGACTGTGGCTGGAATAAAAGGCATGCTTGGCACTGAGCTGCCCCTCCGTGGCACATGCTTTTGGGAGATCTGTCATGGACCCAGGGACAGAGGGAGCTAGTTTAAGCTCCTATTCAAAGGGATCCTATCCAAGAGGAATTTGTGGATGGAAGGAGGGACCAAACAGATGGGGTGAAGCATCAGAAGCTCAGAGGACCAAGGCAGGAATACACAAGCAAAGAAAAATCTTTTCCCAGATGAAAGGAAATACAACACATTCAGAGGACACAAACTGCCAGGTCATAACTATAAGGGCTGTGCAAAACTAGGCCCTTGTCCCCTAATCCCCTCTCTCCTTGGCCAATCCTAGAGCAGTCAAAAACAACAACAGGAGAAAATGAGGAGAGAAGAGAGGGAAAAAACCAACCACGTCTTTTGCCACTGCAGCCTGAATCTCTGTCAAGCTGAGAGAAGGCAAAAAATATTAACGTTGAATATGAAGTTGTAATAATTCATGAGGCTAGACTGGAGTTATATTATTATTAGACGAAGCAAAAATCTTTAATGCTTGACAGTGACCCAAGGGCTTTCCATTATCTAAGAATCACCAGTAAAGTTGTGGCACCTGCCTTGAGTTTTTCCTTAGGAGTAGAGAGTGAGTTAAATGGTAATTAGTGAGAAAGAACAAATTTGATTTCTCTTTGCACTCGAATCAATAAATAGATTATACACAAAAAAATGTGGTCCCCTGGCTCTTCTTCCCACCTTCTCAGACACAACCACTTTCAACTTTCTACGTATCTTACTGCATTTATCTTAATAGTTCCGGCCAGGCGCGGTGGCTCATGCCTGTAATCCCAGCACTTTGGGAGGCCAAGGCAGGTGGATCACAAGGTCAGGAGATCGAGACCATCCTGGCTAACACGGTGAAACCCCCGTCTCTACTAAAAAATACAAAAAAATTAGCCAGGAGCGGTGGCAGGCGCCTGTAGTCCCAGCTACTCAGGAGGCTGAGGCAGGAGAATGGCAGGAACCCGGGAGGTGGAGTTTGCAGTGAGCAGAGATCACGCCACTGCACTCCACCCTGGGAGACAGAGCGAGACTTCGTCTCGGAAAAAAAAAAAAATAGTTCCAAGTAACATGCATATAGTGGTATGTCTAGGTTTATTAATTATAGTTATTATCTATTCAGTCCCTATTAAGATAGATAAAGAATTATACCTTTCTTACAGAATTTTTGCATACATCCATATTCAGTGATATTATGGTTAATTCCATCTTATATCATTCACTCCTTAATTAAGTAGTATACCATGATTAAATTTTCTTGCTTCCTCAAATCTATAAATAGATTAATCCACACAATAACACTCACTATAAAGTTATGACCCCCATTCTAAACTGGAGGAACCTGAGCCACAGAGAAATTAAGTAACTCACTTGCCCAAAGGCACTGAGCTGGTAAGTGCTGAAACCAGAATTTAAACTCACATTAGGCTGTATAGTTCCAGAATGCACACTCTTAGCCCCTCCATGATAGTGCTTATGTTTGCTAAAAGGTTTAAGTCATAGCTCAAGCAA
Source organism: Homo sapiens (assembly GCF_000001405.40). NCBI lineage: Eukaryota > Metazoa > Chordata > Mammalia > Primates > Hominidae > Homo > Homo sapiens. The sequence goes on from NC_000006.12 coordinate 56,879,941, forward strand.
AATTAAACTGGGCCTAGCCCATTACTAAAGTAGGTGCTATTGTAGCATATGATAAAGACATTTTTAAAATTTCTATTCCCACAATGAATAGGTACCTTTCAAAAGAGTATCCAGAAAGGTACTTTGGATATGTAACATACAACCCAACTTGTTAATTCATCACAATAACTGAATGTATGATTTTCCTTTTATCCATTCTTCACCCTGACTTCTCACCTTACAATTTTCTCTTAGCTAAAGTTAAGCGATAACTCTTCAGAAAAATAGTCTAGAGATTCATTATTAAAAATATATTGAAATCTTACAATTCTCTGGTGCTAAGGTTTAGAACACAAAATACAGTCTCTTTCCTCTAAAATGATGTAATTCTTCTCATTACTAAAGTCAGAATAAGAGATAGAACTACAATGAAGAAATTACTTCGGAGAAACCATTTTAGTACGTTTCTTAGAAAGCAGTATATTAGGCCAGGCGCAGTGGCCCATGCCTGTAATCCCAGCACTTTGGGAAGCCAAGGTGGGCAGATCGCTTGAGGTCAGGAGTTCGAGACCAGACTGGCCAACATGGTAAAACCCTGTCTCTACTAAAAATACAAAAATTAGCCGGGCGTGGTACACACACCTGTTATCCCAGCTACTTGGGAGCCTGAGGCAGGAGAATTGCATGAACCCAGGAGGTGGAGGTTGCAGTGAGCCAAGATCACACCACTGCACTCCAGCCTGGATGACAGAGTGAGACTCCGTCTCAAAAAAAAGAAAAAAGAAAAAAAAAAAAAAGAAAGCAGTGCTGTTCTGTTTTTCAACTTATCTGGTTCCATAATTAGTGAAAGAGATATTTTAAAACATTGATTAATGAAATACTTAATATAGTCCCTAGTAATATAAAATACTGTCTTTCTTTTTTTTTTTTTTTTTTTTTTTTTTTTGAGACAGAGTCTTTGCTCTGTTGCCAGGCTAGAGTGCAGCGGCACAATCTCGGCTCACTGAAAGCTCCGCCTCCTGGGTTCATGCCATTCTCCTGGCTTAGCCTCCCGAGTAGCTGGGACTACAGTCGCCCACCACCACGCCCGGCTAATTTTTTGTATTTTTTTAGTAGAGACGGGGTTTCACCGTGTTAGCCAGGATGGTCTCGATCTCCTGACCTCATGATCCACCCGCCTCGGTCTCCCGAAGTGCTGGGATTACAGGCATGAGCCACCACGCCCAGCATAAAATACCATCTTTCTCAAAGTTATATATACCTAAAGAAATAAGGCCAGGCACGGTGGCTCACATCTGTAATCCCAGCACTTTGGGAGGCCGATGGGGGCAGATCACGAGGTCAGGATTTCAAGACCAACCTGGCCAACATAGTGAAACCGCATCTCTACTAAAAATACAAAAATTAGCCGGGCTTGGTGAGACATGCCTGTAGTCCCAGCTACTCAAGAGGCTGAGGCAAGAGAATCACTTGAACCCGGGAGACAGAGGTTGCAGTGAGCCAAGACCATGCCATTACACTCCGGCCTGGGTGACAGAGTGAGACTCATCTCAAAAAACAACAACAACAAAGAAATAAAAGAACAAGTGAAAATTAGAATATAAAACAAGTAACTGATAAAAGAATCAGACAATGCCTGACATCCAACTGACTGATCTTCCCACCCCATTTCCCATCTTCAAACTCAAAAGTTTATTTTTATGTTTTTAAAAAACCCAAATTTTTAAGAGCAAGCCATAGGCCACAGAATTCTAAAATTCTCCAACCATATTCAGCCTTTTACTCCTAAAAACAGGAAATAGTACAACTCAAAAGATCAACAATCTGAAAATTTAATCCAAGTGATATCTCTTTATTGGTAAAAAAAAAAATCACAATTTCTATAATTTGCCATCAGTGGAAGAATTCAAGCCTGACTAACTCATTCACATTTTATTAAATGGGTGGCTAATATTCAATTTCATAGAGACCAAAAAAAGCACCAAACAAAGGGAGAGGGCAGCGCGTGCACAAGAAACTTGGCTAATGATTTTTCAGACACCTCTCAGTTAAAACTCCAAAAGCTGAATGAACACAGAAATCCACTTTAAAGTATATGTTCAGGTCGAATGTATAATTTTTGCCCTTCTGAACTCCTGGGACAAACGTTTATGCTCAATAATGTTTAACCTTCTTGAAATGCAGAAGGAGAAAAGGCTCAAAGCAATATGTCAGAACTGATTATCATAGTTCAAGAGAAATGGTTGTCCTGATGGCCAAGAAAAATAGGCTCATTTTCAACATGAATGCTGGCCACTTAAAAATAATTATTTTCCTGTGGCTGCAAATTATGAAAATTAGTAGCATGAAAGCACATGTCCTGTAAGGACCCCATTGCTTCTGAAAGATATCCACATCCAGCTATCCAGTTTTGGAGAAAGTAAATGGGTTATTTTTATTGTGTTTGGCAAAGTAGCTAAAAATTATACTCCATTCTCAATTAACAATGCCTATTTATAATAGGGCTAATATATAAATAAAATTCACAGATAATTCTAAAGCATCCTAACTAATGATAGTTTCAAACTTTCTTAATTAAGCTATGAACAGAGTTAGAAATGTATAAATCACTGGCTTGCCTCCCTATTTAGCAACAGAAAATTAAAAGTATAAGCAGCAAAATGAAAGCAAATAATCTACCACTGAAAAGCTATCTCCTGAGCAGAGAGTCACATAATGGCATGTAATGCCAATATTAAAGATTAACTCAAATCAATTAAGCAACTCAATATCTTGCATTTTAGCCATCATCAAAATTTCATGAGCTCTGTGAAAAGATATATGTGTAATTTGCTGGAATAAAATCATACTAAAATGGAAGAATTCTATTTACTAAGAAAAAATTGTTAGACCAGCTATCGTTTAAATTTCAGCAAGACAAAAGTCAAGCAATGTGATAGCATGTTGCTTTTTTCTTTTCCCCCCCAAGACAGAGTCTCGCTCTGTCACCCAGGCTGGAATGAGGTGGCATGATCTCAGCTCACTGCAACCTCTGCCTGCCAGGTTCAAGCTGATCCTCCTGCCTCAACCTCCCAAGTAGCTGGAATTACAGGTGCGTGCCACCACACCCAGCTGGTTTTTATATTTTTAGTAGAGATGGGGTTTCACCATGTTGGCCAGGCTGGTCTCAAACTCCTGACCTCAGGTGATCCACCCACCTTGGCCTCCCAAAGTGCTGGGATTACAGGTGTGAGCCACCACGCCAGGCCCATGTTGCCTTTAAGGTCAGTTTTGTTTCAATGATGATTCTAGTCTCAGATCAATAAATCAGCAAAGAACAAAAACAGTAGTCTTGCGGGAAAAAAATCTGCTCTAGATTTTAAAACAGAAGAATATGCCTATATAATTCCTTGTCTATTTTATATTATTTGTTTAAGTTTTAAATAATAAGCACATTTTATACACCATTCACTAATATGGTCTGTCAAATGTTCTAAGTAAAAAGACAACAAATAAGCAAATAGTTCTTTGTTAAAAGAAAACAAGAAGTAAAAAGAAATCAGGAGATGGCCATAAGAACAATTTCCCACCTTCTGCCTTTCTAAAAACCTTTTAATAATAAATATCTAAAATCTCAAAATGTTATTAACAAAAATTTAGGCTTACTCTACGGAAAACAAAAGTGTTGATGATGCAAACTTCAAGTAAAGGTTTGTTTCTTTCTCTAATGTCTTAAACCTTTCATTATGGAAAATTTTATGCTTATACAACAAAGTAAAACTATAGAGAACTGCCATTTACATGCCCAGCTTGAACAATCACCATCTCCTGGTCAGTGCTATTTCAACTATACCCCTATCCACATTTTCTCCCCTACCCCACCAGATGATTTTAAAGCCAATATGAGGGATTTTATTTCATTATTAAATATTTTAGTATGCATCTCTAAAAGATAATAATTATTTTTAATAAAATAAAAATACCATTATCAATCTAAAATATTTTTATAAGTTTCTTAATATCATTAAATATCCAAGCCTGGGCAACAAAGCAAGACCATGTTTCTTCAAAAAAATTAAAAAATTAGCCAGGCTTGGTGGCACACACCTGTAGTCTCACCTTCTCAGGAGACAGAGGCAGGAGGATTACCTGAGTTCAGGAGGTTGACGATGCAGTGAGCTGTGATTGTGCCACTGCACTCGAGCCTGGGTGGCAGAGTGAGAACTTATCTCAAAAAAAAAAAAATTCATTGTTCAAATTTCCCCCACTTTCTCTTTTTTTTATATTCGGTTTATTCACCCAAATAAGGCATACATGTTACATTTGGTTGGTAGGTCTTTTAAGTCTCTTTTCTTGTATAGACTATCACTCCCACATTTTTTCTTATAATTTGTCAAAGAAATTAGGGGTATTTGTTCTAGAGTTTCCCACACCTCAACTTAGCTAAATCCTAAATGTATCTTCACTATCTTCACCTTATCATTTAACATATTCCTCTGTCACCTGTATTTTATGTAAATCTATAATTAGAACTAGCAGTTTGATCTGATTTAGGTTCAATTTTTAGCAAGAATACTTTATAAGTATTTTTGTATACTTTCATCAGGAGACGCATATGTGTGGTTGTCTCTCATGTATTAGCAGTCATTGATGATCAGTGTCTAGGTTCGTTATTTTATTAGGGCTTGCAAGGTGGTAAAATTGTAATTTCATCATTCCTTCTTCCTTCAACAGCAGTAGGAGCCTCTCCAAGTTTACTCCTGGTGCTGACATGATCCCAGTAGTCTTTGATGCTTCCTTGCTTTCGAGTTTGACAAGATGTGCCAAGCTCATTTTTTTTTTCTTTTTGAGATGGAGTCTCACTCTGTTGCCCAGGCTGGAGTGCAATGGCGCGATCTCGGCTCAATGCAAGCTCCGCCTCCCAGGTTCACACCATTCTCCTGCCTCAGCCTCCCAGGTAGCTGAGACTACAGGCACGTGCCACCACGCCAGGCTAATTTTTTTTGTATATTTAGTAGAGACGGGGTTTCACCATGTTAGCCAGGATGGTCTCGATCTCCTGACCTCATGATCCGCCCACCTCGGCCTCCCAAAGTGCTGGGATTACAGGCGTGAGCTGTGAAGCTCATTCTATATTTTCTGTTTCAGGTCTGGAATCAGCCATTTATCCAACAAGTTTGTGATTGATGGTTTCTATGAGTGTCCTGGCTGCATCCCTTCCACCTGGCCAATGGACTCACATACAGGCTACTGTGAGGGTTGGCTGCTAATGGCTCATAGCCGCCCTCCCCTTCAGGGACTCCCCTAACCTAAAGCTTCCTCACACCCCCAGCCCTAGCAGCCCATAACCAATGACTGACTGAGGTGAAGGACAAAAGGCTTGGCTTCAAGTTGAGACTAACTCTGCGTACAATTCATGTGCCAGGGTTCAATATTCAGAAGTGGAATAGTTGGCTCATATGATAATGCTATTTTTTAATTTTTGAAGACCTACCATACTGTTTTCTATAGCAGTTGAACCATTTTACATTCCCACCAAGAGTGCACAAGGGTATATAAACTTAATTTTAACAACATATTTGCTTAGGTATCTGCTTTGGTTTGAATGTTGTATCCCACCCAAAATTCATGTGTTGAAATTTAATCCCCAATATGACAGTATTAAGAGGAGGGGCTTTTTGGAAGTGATTATGTCATGGGGGCTCACCATCATGAATGGGTTAATGCCACTACAAAAAAGGCTTCAAAGAGCTCCCTTGCTCTCTCTTGCTGTCTTTGCCTTCTGCCTTCCACCAGGTGAGGATGCAGAAACAAGGTGTCATCGCTGAGGAACAACACCTCACCCAATACCAAACCTGCTGATGCCTTGGTCTTGAACTTTCTAGGTTCCAGAAGAGTGAGAAAATAAATTTCTATTATTTATAAATTACCCAGTCTCAGGTATTCTCTTATAGCAACACAGATGGACTAAGACAGTGTCTGATCCCCATCGATCTTAGTAATACTGAGCTGCATGTAGCAAGGGTCAATGTAGATTAGCCAGTGGTATTACCCAGTATCAGAGTTGATTATCTAATTTACCAATTCATAATTGAATAGGGTGTGTGGAGGAGCAGCATGGGCTTGATAGTATTAGACCAAAGTGGACTTGCCAATACACAGGTAGCCTAGGGTGGCCAACACAGATAATGCAGGCTGTGAGCAGACTCTCAAAGATGTAAAGCTACTCCCTGGGAATGAGTCACATTGGGATACTGAATAATTCCTCCAGTCAAATGGAATCTATATTCTTCTCCCTGGAAGTTCTCACCCAATTCTCTAAGCATTGTCAGAGATAAAGACTAAATAAACATAGGATAAACACAGGAGACAACAGACTGCAAGGATGAGAGAGGTCTGCTTCTAACTGACCTTATGAACTTAAGCCAATCACCTACTCACTGAGGTTTAGTTTTGTCAAACTGGATCAATAATATATGCCATACCCAACACACAGGGTGTTTGTTCAGGAGATAATGAATATGAGCAGTCTTTGAAAGTATGAAGTGCTACTTAACTACGAAGTACTACTCCAAAGCTATAATTTTCCTGAAACAGCCAGGCATGGTGGCTCACGCCTGTAATCCCAGCATTTTGGGAGGCCGAGGCGGGCAGATCACCTGAGGTTAGGAGTTCGAGACCACCCTGACCAACATGGAGAAACCCCGTCTCTACTAAAAATACAAAATTAGCTGGGTGTGGTGGCACATGCCTGTAATCCCAGCTGCTCGGGAGGCTGAGGCAGGAGAATTGCTTGAACCCAGGAGGTGGAGTTTGCGGTGAGCCGGAGATCGTGCCATTGCACTCCAGCCTAGGCAATGAGAGTGAAACTCAGTCTCAAAAAAAAAAAAAAAAAAAAAATTCCTGAAACATTACTGTCATTTCTAGAACTGAATTCTCATCTCCCAAAGCACAAACTAAATTTTGTTCAATTTCCATAGATTGATTTTTTTGAAACACAATCATCATCTCAGAACTAAAATAAATAAATAAAGAGAGAGAGACAGAAAATATTGAGAGAAATCAGACCCTTATCACTCACTTGGAGGTGGTTTAGAAGAGTAAAACAAAAATGATGTTTGGAAAAATTAAGAATTAGACTTAGGAGAAAAGTTCAGAGAGATAGAACCATGAGCCTAGAAAAGAAACAATTTATTGATTTTCAAGTACAATTAACTTGCTGCTAATTAGCACTATTTAATGGTAGGAGATTGTATCACTAAAAGTACTGAAGCAGAGAGGAATCTAGCATTACAAAAACTGTTAAGTCAGATGAGCTCTAAGATCCCCTCAAGCTTTAACATTCTTTGATTCACAAAGACTGAGAGTGACACGGTAGCAGGTGGCTATGCTTCATCCTCTCCACAGAGGATACCACAATAAGAAATGGTCTTAAATTGTAAGGCATGGGATTTAGGGCAAAGATCAAGGAGTTGTTTCAGGCAGAGATGGCTGTTAAATTCCAAACAGAATTCTGAGGTAAGCTATGGCTGTGTCCTTTAAAATAAAGGAAGCTATACCCATCTTACCAGAGCAATTTAAGGATTTCTTTGGTTAGAGGTGAAATAATAAACTAGACCATCTTTGAAGGGGCTTTCTTTTCAGTCCTTTGATCCATAGTTGTCCATGAAAATTTTCAAAGTGTAAGTGACTATCTAAATGTTTTCTTTAAGTTTCCTTGGTTTGGAGATTAAAGAATTTAAGGTTTTTTTTATTTAAGACAACAGGTTGTCATCACATACAAGAAAGACATAGAAAGAATGGCAAGAGGTCTTGCTTCAGTCAAAATACTGACCTCAAAAAAGAATCATGAGTTATGAACACATGCTTATTTTTCTCCAAGCAGAACACATGAATCCCTTTACCAAGTTAATCTTGGTTTCATGAGTTGTTTATAGAGACTAAACTGTTCATTCAATACAGTCTACCTACCTTGCACATTCTTGTGCCCCTGTGCATTAATTATTCCAATACCTTACTGTAATTTATTATAGCAAGCCTATAATAAATGAAATCTTTTTTTTTTTTTTTTGAGATGGAGTCTCGCTCTGTTACCAGGCTGGAGTGCAGCAGTGCGATCTCGGCTCACTGCAACCTCTGCCTCCCGGGTTCAAGCGATTCTCCTGCCTCAGCCTCCCAAGTAGCTGAGACTACAGGCACGTGCCACCATGCCCAGCTAAGTTTTGTATTTTTAGTAGAGACGGGTTTCACCATGTTGGCTGGGATGGTCTCAATCTCTTGACCTCGTGATCCGCCCGCCTCAGCCTCCCAGTGTGCTGGGATTACAGACGTGAACCACCACACCTGGCCATAAATGAAATCTTTTATAAAATTCTATTAATTATGAACCTAAAAAGGGAGGTACAGCAATATGTAGCAAAGACTCAGTACATTGAATGGGTGTCATTCAAAAAAATTCTTTTCAGATAATTAGCAAAAGAAATTTGACTTTATTAATCAATTCATTCTCCAGAATTCCAAAGGGGAAAAGGAAACAAATGTTTCCTCTAAGAGCTTTGGATTTGCTAGTTAATTAGCCAAAGTAAGGTATGAGTTGTACAGTTATGCCTTCCACAAAAGGGGAAATATCCTAAGGTTATGCACATAGAGCTGCCTGGTCCTACATATTTGAAAAGGAAAGGGAAAAGGAAGACCATTTTAATAATCTAAGCAGGAAAGGAACACAGAAACACCCTGCTATATTTTCAAGAGATCAAGGATATATGCTTAAGTCTTTCCTACACTCCAAAAAGTTCCCAACTACAAATATGACAAAATCTGGTTAATTTAATTATTACAAATTAAAGCTATATAATGTTCCAAAATATACTGCAGCCTTACAAAAACCTAAGCTGTAATCAGAAAAACAGAAAATTTCCCCAAGACTGAAAAACAGAAACCCACAACAGAAGGAAAAGAAGGGTGAGGTCAAGGAAGTGGTGGTTTAGTTGGGGAGAGTTCAGGGAAGGGAAAATCTAATGAGTACATCTGGGACTTCATTTCCTGCTATTTTCTCTAGTCTCTACCTGAGTGGCCTTTTCTTGGCCTAAAATGAATAGCCTTAAATCAAAGTCAAGAGCTACCTAGACCCATGTCTGCTTAAGGCATTTATATTTCTGAGTGAAGAGTTGGAAGTTATAAGCGATCCTCAGTCCTCTTCCCAAACTCTCATCACTGGCAGACTCCAAGGCTCAGACCTCAAGTGTCTTCTCTTCTCTATCAAATTCATTTTCGGAGTCATCCCACCCAGTCTTATAGATTTAATAACATCTATGTACAAATAATTCTCACATCTTCCATGAAATCCAGACACAAGAATATCTAATAGTTATTTCAAACTTCACATATCCAAATCAGAAAATTTTCTTTCCAATCCTCAATCCAAACCTGCTTCTTCCTTTGTGCTTACCATTTCAGAAAAGAGGATCACCCAATCACCTGTGTTAGGCCCATATGTCCTCCAACTCCTCAGTCAAAACTGTCAGGTTCAAAAATCCCATTGCTTGATGGTGGTGGGAGCCCAAAAGTAAGAAAACAGGTGCTCAGAGGCTAAGATTTTGCCAGCAGGGAGAACAAGCTGCAGCTTTGGCAATAACCTGGGAACACTAGCAATTTTTAATTATACTTTTTCAGCTCAGTGAGAAAGTCTCAAAGATTCTAAGTCACCAGGAAATGCAGGCAATGCTGTTGCAGTGTGCAAAAAACTGGAATCAGTGAAATGTAACAGGAGTAGAGTCAGTATGTTTGATTATTTCCTGATGCTCTAAAACTGTTATTTCCCCATACCCACCCCCAATCTCAAACACATAAATACTTTTTGGGTCTGAAAGTTGTACATTAACAGGTTCATGTGAGCAGGCAGTAGGGCAAAATTACTCTTGCTTACTTCTTGCTACCTCCTAGGTGCCCTGCCACAGAAAGAGGGGGCCAATTTTGCCAATAAAATGATGGCAAAAATGATGTTTGAGGTTTACCTATGGTTTTCAATACCATTTTAAAGATAGGTTTTAATTGATGTAATAGTTTAAAAACACAAAGATTTCATCCATATCTACCATCTATGCAGTTAGAAAAATGAGACTCAAAGTAATTAAAATACTTCAGGAAGGCTGATGAGGATAAATGTCTAGCACTAGAATTGTAATCATGGGGAGTTCTCCATTCCTTACTCAAAAACGGCTCAAGCCAAGAGTGCCTAGGTTTAAATGTTAACTCCATGATCTACCAGCTGTATGACCTTGACACATTTCCTCCCTGGAAAGTGAGCACCGACTCCAGAGAATCGCTGAGAAGATAAAATGAGAGAAAAACAGAGAAGAGTGCAGAGAACAATGCCCATGTATTGTCAATGAGGTAAACATGCAGTAATGCAAGAGTTCTTATGATGATGATGATGATGTTTAAAAATCCTGGGATTCAGAAACAAAACAAAATGCTTTGTAATGTGAAAATACTAAGGAATAAATGGAGATCTGGATCTAATTATCTTTTCTGTTTCAAGATGGTAAAAAAAATTCCTAAGCATCCTAGTGACATATCTTAATATACAGTATAAATCCAAATACATATGTACTGAGAGGAAATCAGGATAAATTTTTAGTTTATCCACTTTTAGAAACATCTAAAACAAGGAGTAAAATAAAAAATCTAGATATTATTAAGTTTTTATTAGTGATCCCCATTACAAATTCTTATAGGTATATTTGCATATAGCTTACAAATCCAGAATAAGTAAATAGGTTAAAACAGCTAAGGATGCTAAAGTATTTGCATTTCACATAACACTTCAAGAGGATGGTCTGACTGAAAGTAGCTAAAACTGCACAGTCACGCTTTCTGACTCATCTCCTTTGCAGTTACTTCTGTTTTCAGTCTTTCTCACTCATGGGCCTATTTCTTATTTAGATTGCCACTAGAAATGCCTTGAGTGCTTCATATAAAGTCATTCAAGTAATCCTGAATCACCATAACTGATTTATTTTTACTCCATCTCCAAGCTATAATCAGAGTTGCTTTCATGGCAACACGTCATAACACTGATTTTCTCCAAATGTGTACGTTTAGAAAAGACACAGGCTTTAGACGCATGTTGAATAGGGTGGCTCTAGCAGGCACTACTGGCTGCACCTAACCAAATCCAGAAGAGGACACAAAGCCTCAGTTCAAGCTCATATATGGCATTAAAAGCAGGGAAATGTCGGCAGAGGCCAAAAGGTTCTAGAAGCCTGCACAGGAATTGTGTGAGACAAGGAGCCAACAGCCTTCTCACTACCAACTCTGACAACGTCCAGTCTCTCAGACAACTGACAGGAGATGCAGTAAGACACCCTGAAGACCTCTCCCAGCTGGATGTGGTGGCTCATGCCTATAATCCCAGCACTTTGGGAGGCCGAGGTGTTCTCTTGAGCCCAGGAGTTCAAGACCAACCAGGACAACACAGACAGACTCCACCTCTACAAAAAAAAAGTTAAAATTAGCCAGGCATGAGGCGTGGTAGCGGGCACCTGTAGTCCCAGCTACCCAGAAGGCTGAGGCAGGAGAATGGCGTGAACCGGGAGGTGGAGCTTGCAGTGAGCCGAGATTGAGCCACTGCACTCCAGCCTGGGCGACAGAGTGAGACTCCGTCTCAAAAAAAAAAAAAAAAAAAAAAATTAGCCAGGCATGCTGGCACCTGCCTATAGTCTAAGCTACTCAGGAGGCTGAGATGGGAAGGTTGAGCCCAAGAGGTTGAGGCTGCAGTGAGCCGTGATTGCGCGACTGCACTCCAGCCTGGGTGACAGAGCAAAACCCTGTCTCAAAAAAAAGAAAACTCCTCGGTGGAGCTTGCAGTGAGCTGAGATCGCACCACTGCACTCCAGCCTGGGCAAGAGAGCAAGACTCCGTCTCAAAAAAAAACACTCCTCAGAATGGTTTTTTGCCCATGCAACTGAGTAATCTCCACTGCTATTTGCTGCCCTCTAATCTCCCTCTCTTCCAACAGATCCTTCAGGAGAGAGGGTGAGGCCATCCTCAGATTCCCCACCAGCAGTCATCAGCAGATGTCAGCAGAACACCATGGGTTAGGCCCAAATTCAGGCCCTAATCACCTCACTGCTAGGCTGCCACAGCTACCTAACTGTCCTGCTCTCCTGATGTACCCTGCACATGTTTAATCCTCCTAAAATCATGCTATGATCACACTACTCACCTATTACAGTGTCTTCAGAAGCACAGAAAAGAAAGCTTAAACCAGTGGTTGTCTGAAATGTATGTTGGCCCCTAACTATTTTTTCCAGCTTTATCTTGTATTTCTCTCATATAAATCCCCACATCCAGTCAGTTCTCAGCACTTTTGCTTACTCCACTTCCCGGACCCAGCATCTGCTACCCAGCCAATTCCTATCCCTTTTTTTTTTTTTTTTTTTCAGACAGTGTCTTGCTCTGTCACTCAGGCTGGAGTACAGCAGCATGATCATGGCTTACTGCAGCCTGGAACTCCGGGCTCAAGTGATTCTCCCACCTCAGCCTCTCAAGTAGCTGGGACTACAGGCGTGCACCACCATGACTGGCTAATTTGTTTTTAATTTTTAGTAGAGATAGGGTCTCCCTATGTTGCCCAGGCTGGTTTCAAACTCTTGAGCTCAAGTGATCCTCCCACCTCAGCCTCCCAAAGTACTGGGATTCCAGGTGTGAGCCGCCACGCCCAGCACTACCCATATTTTAAAGCCCAACTCAATCCCAACTTTTCCATAAAGTAATTATGCCTTAACCAACCTATTTAGGGGTGGGGGTCCCCTCTTTGTTCTCTGAATTCCTATAATGCTTACTAATTGTACCAGTCATCATTAGCTATCTTTCATATATCATTCACTCAGTCAATAGTATTCACTCAGATGCCAAATGCCAAACGCCAGATGCCAGGAGATATTCTAGAACCCTTGATATGGGCCTCAAAGAATTCATGGTCTAGGGGAGGAGGAATAAAAGGAAGAAACTACTATTTATTGTTTATTCTATGCAGGTCTTTCCATATGTCAGCTCAGTTCATCCTCATGACTCTATATGGTAGCTATTGTTATCACTTTATTTATTTTTTATTTTTCCAGAAGTTATTGAGGTACAGGTGGTATTTGGTTACATGAGTAAGTTCTTTAGTGGTGATTTGTGAGATTTTGGTGCACCCATCACCCAAGCAGTATACATTGTACCATACTGTTGGCTTTTATCCCTCGCCCTCCTCATACTCTTCCTCCCAAGTCCCCACAGTCCATTTTATCATTCTTACGACTTTGAGTCCTCATAGCTTAGCTCCCACATGTCAGTGAGAACATATGATGTTTGGTTTTCCATTCCTGAGTTACTTCACTTAGAATAATAGTCTCCAATCTCATCCAGGTCACTGCAAATTCTGTTAATTCATTCCTTTTTATGGCTGAGTAGTATTCCATCGTATAGATACACCACAGTTTCTTTATCCACTCGTTGATTGATGGGCATTTGGGTTGGTCCCACAATTTTGGAATTGTGAATTGTACTGCTATAAACACACGTGTACAAGTATATTTTTCATATAATGACTTCTTTTCCTCTGGGTAGATACCCAGTAGTGGGATTGCTGGATCAAATGGTAGTCCTACTTTTAGTTCTTTTTTTTTTTTTTTTTTTTTTTTTATTTTTTTTTATTTTTTATTTTTTATTTTTATTGATCATTCTTGGGTGTTTCTCGCAGAGGGGGATTTGGCAGGGTCATAGGACAATAGTGGAGGGAAGGTCAGCAGATAAACAAGTGAACAAAGGTCTCTGGTTTTCCTAGGCAGAGGACCCTGCGGCCTTCCGCAGCGTTTGTGTCCCTGGGTACTTAAGATTAGGGAGTGGTGATGACTCTCAACGAGCATGCTGCCCTCAAGCATCTGTTCAACAAAGCACATCTTGCACCGCCCTTAATCCATCTAACCCTGAGTGGACACAGCACATGTCTCAGAGAGCACAGGGTTGGGGATAAGGTCACAGATCAACAGGATCCCAAGGCAGAAGAATTTTTCTTAGTACAGAACAAAATGAAAAGTCTCCCATGTCTACTTCTATCCACACAGACCCAGCAACCATCCGATTTCTCAATTTTTTCCCCACCCTTCCCGCCTTTCTATTCCACAAAACCGCCATTGTCATCATGGCCCATCCCCAATGAGCCGCTGGGCACACCTCCCAGACGGGGTCGTGGCCGGGCAGAGGGGCTCCTCACTTCCCAGTAGGGGCGGCCCGGCAGAAGTGCCCCTCACCTCCCAGATGGGGCGGCTGGCCGGGCGGGGGGCTGACCCCCCCACCGCCCTCCCGGACGGGGCGGCTGGCCAGGCAGAGGGGCTCCTCACTTCCCAGTAGGGGCGGCCGGGCAGAGGCGCCCCTCACCTCCTGGATAGGGCGGCTGGCCGGGCAGGGGGGCTGTTCCCCCCACCTCCCTCCCGGACGGGGCGGCTGGCCGGGCAGAGGGGTCCTCACTTCCCAGTAGGGGCGGCCGGGCAGAGGCGCCCCTCACCTCCCGGACGGGGCGGCTGGCCAGGCAGGGGGCTGATCCCCCCACCTCCCTCCCGGACGGGGCGGCTGGCCGGGCGGGGGGCTGACCCCCCCCACCTCCCTCCTGGACGGGGCGGCTGGCCGGGCAGAGGGGTCCTCACTTCCCAGTAGGGGCGGCCGGGCAGAGGCGCCCCTCACCTCCCGGACGGGGCGGCTGGCCAGGCATGGGGCTGATCCCCCCACCTCCCTCCCGGACGGGGCGGCTGGCCGGGCGGGGGGCTGACCCCCCCCACCTCCCTCCCGGACGGGGCGGCTGGCCGGGCAGGGGGCTGACCCCCCCTCCCCCCTCCCGGACGAGGCGGCTGGCCGGGCGGGGGGCTGACCCCCCCACCTCCCTCCCGGATGGGGCGGCTGGCCAGGCGGGGGGCTGACCCCCCCACCTCCCTCCTGGGCGGGGCGGCTGGCCGGGCAGAGGGGCTCCTCACTTCCCAGTAGGGGCGGCCGGGCAGAGGCGCCCCTCACCTCCCGGACGGGGCGGCTGGCCAGGCGGGGGGCTGACCCCCCTACCTCCCTCCCGGACTGGGCGGCTGGCCGGGCGGGGGGTTGACCCCCCACCTCCCTCCTGGACGGGGCGACTGGCCGGGCAGAGGGGCTCCTCACTTCCCAGTAGGGGCGGCCGGGCAGAGGAGCCCCTCACCTCCCGGACGGGGAGGCTGGCCGGGCGGGGGGCTGACCCCCCCCACCTCCCTCCCGGACGGGGTGGCTGCCGGGCGGAGACGCTCCTCACTTCCCAGACGGGGTGGTTGCCAGACGGAGGGGCTCCTCACTTCTCAGACGGGGCGGTTGCCAG
Source organism: Homo sapiens (assembly GCF_000001405.40). Lineage (NCBI taxonomy): Eukaryota > Metazoa > Chordata > Mammalia > Primates > Hominidae > Homo > Homo sapiens. Next base: position 56,895,278 of record NC_000006.12, read on the forward strand.
GCAGAGGGTTTCCTCACTTCTCAGACGGAGCGGCCGGGCAGAGACACTCCTCACCTCCCAGACAGGGTTGCGGCCCAGCAGAGGCGCTCCTCACATCCCAGACAGGGCGGTGGGGCAGAGGTGCTCCCCACATCTCAGACGATGGGCGGCCGGGCAGAGACGCTCCTCACTTCCTAGATGGGATGGCGGCGGGGAAGAGGCGCTTCTCGCTTCCTAGATGGGATGGCGGCCGGGCAGAGACGCTCCTCACTTTCCACACTGGGCAGCCAGGCAGAGGGGCTCCTCACATCCCAGACGATGGGTGGCCAAGCAGAGACGCTCCTCACTTCCCAGACGGGGTGGCGGCCGGGCAGAGGCTGCAATCTCGGCTCTTTGGGAGGCCAAGGCAGGCGGCTGGGAGGTGGTTGTAGCGAGCCGAGATCACGCCACTGCACTCCAGCCTGGGCACCATTGAGCACTGAGTGAACGAGACTCCATCTGCAATCCCGGCACCTCGGGAGGCCGAGGCTGGCGGATCACTCGCGGTTAGGAGCTGGAGACCAGCCCGGCCAACACAGCGAAACCCCATCTCCACCAAAAAAAAACGAAAACCAGTCAGGCGTGGCGGCGCGCGCCTGCAATCGCAGGCACTCGGCAGGCTGAGGCAGGAGAATCAGGCAGGGAGGTTGCAGTGAGCCGAGATGGCAGCAGTACCGTCCAGCTTTGGCTCGGCATGAGAGGGAGAGGGAGACGGGAGAGGGAGAGGGAGACGGGAGAGGGAGAGGGAGACGGGAGAGGGAGAGGGAGACGGGAGAGGGAGAGGGAGACGGGAGAGGGAGAGGGAGACGGGAGAGGGAGAGGGAGACGGGAGAGGGAGAGGGAGACGGGAGAGCCTACTTTTAGTTCTTTAAGGAATCTCCACACTGTTTTCCATAGTGGCTGATATGGTTTGGCTGTGTCCCCACCCAAATCTCAACTTGAATTGTATCTCCCAGAATTCCCACGTGTTGTGGGATGGACCCAGTGGGAGGTAATTCAATCATGGGGGTCGGTCTTCCCCATGCTATTCTCATGATAGTGAATAAGTCTCATGAGATCTGATGGGTTTATCAGGGGTTTCTGCTTTTGCTTCTTCCTTATTTTCTCTTGCCACCACCATGTTAAGAAGTGCCTTTCACCTCCCACGATTCTGAGGCCTCCCCAGCCATGTGGAACTGTAAGTCCAATTAAACCTCTTTTTCTTCCCAGTCTCAGGTATGTCTTTATCAGCAGCATGAAAACAAACTAATACAGTGGCTGTACTAGTTTACATTCCCACCAGCAGTGTAGAAGTGTTCCCTGATCACCACATCCACGCCAACATCAACCATTTTTTAATATTTTGATTATGGCCATTCTTGCAGGAGTGAGGTGGTATCACCTTGCGGTTTTGATTTGCATTTGCCTGATCATTAGTGAAGTTGAGCATTTTCTCCTATGTCTGTTGGCCATTTGTATATCATTGTCTTTTGAGAACTGTCTATTCATGTCCTTAGCCCACTTTCTGATGGGACTGTTTGTTTTTTTCTTGCTGATTTGTTTGAGTTCATTGTAGATTCTGGATATTAGTCCTTTGTCAGATGTATAGATTGTGCAGATTCTCTCCCACTTTGTGGGCTGTCTCTTTACTCTGATGACTGTTCCTTTTGTCATGCAAAAGCTCTTTAGTTTAATTAAGCCCCAACTATTTATCTTTGTTTTTACTGCATTTGCTTTTGGGTTCTCAGTCATGAAATCTTTGCCTAAGCCAATGTCTAGAAGGGTTTTTCCAATGTTATTTCTATAATTTTTATAGTATCAGGTCTTAGGTTTAAGTCCTTAATCTATCTTGAGTTGATTTTTGTATAAGGTGAGAGATGAGGATCGGTTTCATTCTCCTACATGTGGCTAGCCCAAACTTTTCTATTTGTTGAGAAGGGTGTCCTTTCCCTTATTATCACTTTATAATAAGGAAACTGATTCTCAGAGAATTGAAATATCTTGGCAAAGAATACTAAGTGGTTTTTTTTTGGGGGGGGGGTTGTTTTTATTTATTTATTTATTTATTTATTTTTGAGACGTAGTCTCACTCTATTGCCAAGGCTGGAGTGCAATGGCACGATCTTGGCTCCCTGCAACCTCCACCTCCTGGTTCAAGCGATTATCCTGCTTCCACCTCCCGAGTAGCTGGGATTACAGGCGTGTGCCACCACACCTGGCTAATTTTTGTACTTTTAGTAGAGAAGGGGTTTTGCCATGTTGGCTAGGCTGGTCTCAAACTCCTGGCCTCAAGTGTTTTGCCCACCTTGGTATCCCAAGGTGCTGGGATTACAGGAGTGAGCCACCATGCTCGGCCACCAGGTAGGTATGTTTTTATTCTCTGCTGTCACTGTAACCCTCTCAGATTGTCTGTCCATCTCTTCCTTGCTCAGTCCCTGGGAGACTGATGGCTGTGATCTGCATCACCCAAGTTCCTTTGCCCTCCAGCTTCTAGGTAGGTTGGGTCAACAGGAGATACCACTGAGAGCACGAGCTAAGAGAGCAGTATATTTATTCGCCCTGCTCCCTCCTGACTCACTAGGTTCTGGCAGTAGCTGCAACCCTCAGGCACCATCCTTGTGGAAGGGCTCTTCCATGGCTCCAGCTCTTCCTACCAGGATCAATTAAGACCAATGCCCTCTGCTGCCCCTTAGACCAGGAGTTGAAGGTAAGTAGGCTCCACCTATAGGCTGATGAAGCACCTTAGCCCTGCCCACATTTCTGTAAATAGTGCCTTCATTAAACTCTCTTCAGTTAAATCCTCTTAGTGTGCTGTTTCCTGCAGATACACAGAGCAGGATTTGAACCCACGTGAGTCTTACTGCAGAGACCTCCTTTTTTGCTGGGGTAGCTGCTATGTTGGAGGTTTGTACCTAGTGCTGAGAATCAAAACTAAGGGCACCTCACTCTGATAGGAAGGATCAGAAAAGACTTCACCTGACCTATCCGAGCATGAGTCAGTCTCAAAAGATGAACTGAAGTTTACCAGGCAAACAAAGAATAAGGAAAAACATTCAAGGGCAAAGTAGACAGCAGGTTCAAAGTCACAGAGGCATAAAGACTATGTCTTATTAACCAAGGCAGTTATGTAGAGGGCTTGTGAGAGAATAATGATGGTTGAGAGTTTCTAAACTTTAATGATAGTCACTTACTTCTCAATCCTGATCCACATGGGGAGATTAGAAGAAGCAAAGAATTAGCTAGACTCCTGGCAAGAGAAACAATTCACCTATTCCCTACCTTCAACTGATGCCTATTACACAAAATAAGTTCAAATATTTAGCATAATGTACAAGCCCTTTCTAATCTGGCCTCTACCCAACCCACCAGTCTGATGTGCCAGCACCACCTCAAGCTGTTCACTGAGAATGCCATACCCTCCCACATCTCTGTGCTTTTATATATGTTTTTCTCATGCAGAAGATACCTACTTCTACTTTGTACTTGGTAAATTCCTCCTTATCTCTCAGGACTCATCTCAGGTGTCTGCTTATCTGTAAATATTTCTGGAGATCCAAGATGATTCCATAATGCCTTGTGTATAACTCTAGAACAGTACTTTCAAAGCACAGAACATGCATTATAATTGCTTGTTTTCATGTCTGTTGATTGACTCGACTGTGATTTCCTAGTGACCAGGTACTACAGGAAAGTAACAGATGGTAGAGGTACATGCTTGGGTTCTGGAGGCAGGCCACCTAGATCCAAATCCTAAACTCTACCCCAAACAACTAGATAACCTGAGGCAAGTTATGTATCCTCTCTGGGGCTCAGTTTCATTATCCATAAAATGGGAATCATAACATCTACCTCATAGAATTGTTAAATAAGTGACATAAAATAATGCCTGTTACACATTTAGCCCTCAGTAACTGTTAGTTAACACATATCTGTATGTCCCTTATTTTCTACATAAAATGCATGTTTGTTGAATGAGTAAATTTTCCTACCATTTCATATTTCTCTGCATAGATACCAAATTCTACTTAGCCTTTGTTTTATTGAATCATGAAAAATAAACCCTCATTTCTAAATATGTACTTTTTTTTCAATTGGTTATGATAAACAGATCCTTTTCTGTAAAGGAATTTAACTTCTTTCCATTGTTGTTGGCCTGGTTACTGAGTCAGACATTCTCTTGGCCTTCGCACAGTCTCCACATGTGCCTGCCACACAGTTACCCCCACAGAAGGGCAGTTCTGTTTCAATAATTTACAAAGACATTTTCAAGCCAAATCTTGATGGCTCCCCTATGTTGGCACAAGAAACAACAACAGGCTCCCCACAGCATAGAGATGAGCCATACAGACACTTTTTTCTAATGCCAAAGCAAATAAAATTATTGCAGTCATAAAATTACTTTACAAGTTTTAAAATGGCATTTTCTAAGCCCCAGCCTTGGTAAAAAGCCCATGAGCCAGAACCAAGGAAAGAAAAATCAGAGCACACAGAACAACGTGCTCAGGATGTGAGAAGGGGATGAAGACCAGCTCCTAGTTGAGCCCTGAGTTTCTGAAGAAAGGTGGCATTGTGGCCAACAGGGCACCAGGTTAGAAAAAGACAATGGTGCTGCCTTATAACAATATAAAGGCCACACCTGAGAAGGCCAGGACACTTAGAGTTACCCTAGGCTGGGTGTGGAGGGACGCACAGGCCTCACTGGCTCAAGAGCCTCCAGGAGGAGTTCAGCCACTGCTACTGCCCAAGACTCCAGCCCCACCTTCCTTCACTGCTTCTCCTATCCTGACACTGGTTTTGTTGTCATCCTCTTCATCAGTTCTCTCATTACCACACCTAGATTTGTTGACTCTATGTCCCCATCCTCATTCTAGAACTCCAGCTTCAGCAGGGCTGGGAGTTCACCAGCTTTCATATCAGCTGCCTGACAGTGACTAACTCTTGCTTTTTTGTCAACTATCTATCCATCCTAGAACATTCTATGAAACCCTATTCCTTGCTGAAACTCATATGAGTACGCTGCCACTTGTTGGGAATAACAACAACCTAATTATTCAAAGTTAATCTGATAATGTTTTTAAACTAAAAGAACAACCACATGATTTGACAGTGAATTTAATATTTTTATAAAAGACAGTTCTCTACTTACAGGCCTCCTGATTGAAGCACCTTGAACAGAGTGATAAAATTCTGGCTGGACTCGGCTGCTCTTCTTGATTCTTCGTTTCCTCACTGAAGTTTCTTGCTCACTCTGATGGTGAACTTCCACCACGGGCTTCACTTCTTCCAGACGGGCAGCTGCGGCCGCTGCAACTCGTCTTCTAAGATGCCGAGGGCTTGCTCTGAATCCCTGTGGCAGAAAACACAACCAAGCAAATCCAGATTTGTATTGAGTTAGTCTGGAAGTTCTCCATGGCTAGTTATACAAAGAGCTCCAAAAGTCACTATATTCAGTGAGATCACGTGCACTCCCAAAGTGAGCATGGAGGAGGCTTAACGTGCAAGTTAAGTTTTCCCCACAAGTGTTCTTTAAAGCACCCCAGTATTTCAGGGCCCAGAGTTATTCTACATTAAGAAGTGTTCTTAATTGAGTAAAGCCAGTCCAAAAAAAAAAAAAAAAGGAGGGAAAAAAAGCAGGTGGGCACACTGCTTGACTGAAGCATCAGGGAGACTGTGAAGAAGGGCGTTTCCATTTTGGCCTGAAGTAGAGTGTAGGGAGCGGGACAGGATATCATTCCAGGGTAAAGTGCCACTTTACATTCCTGAGAGAGACTCTTTCTGAGGAAGGAAAGAGCAGGAATGCCAATCATCACTGCAAAACACCACAAAGTGAGGGTTCCAAACTCAAATGGAAGCAACGAGGTGGCACAAAGGGTATGGGTTTGGGCGTCAGATGGGCCCGGGTCCAAATGCTGACTTCTTAATTACAGCTACACAATGTATTAAATATTTCTGAGTCCAACTGTTCTAACCTACAAAATGTATAACATTCCACTCACAGGGCTTTTAAGTTTTAAATAACATAAATATAAGTAAAATTCCAGCTGGGCACAATGGCTCACGCCTGTAATCCCAGCACTTTGGGAGGCCAAGGCGGGTGGATCACCTGAGGTCAGGAGTTGGAGACCAGCCTGGCCAACATGGCGAAACCCTGTCTCTACTAAAAATCAAAAATTAGCTGGTCATGCTGGTGGACGCCAGTAATCCCAGCTACTTGGGAGGCTGAGGCAGGAGAACTGCTTGAACCTGGGAGGCAGAGGTTGCAGTGAGCCAAGATCATGCCACTGCACTCCAGCCCAGGTGACAGAGTGAGACTCCATCTAAAAAATAAAATAAAATAAGATAAAAAATATATATATGTGTGTGTGTGTATCTGTGTGTGTGTGTTTCTGTGTGTGTATATATATATACATGTAAAATTCTAAGCATGGTATCTGACACATAGGAAGTGCTTAATAAAATTGTCATTTTCCTCTTCTTTAGAGCAAGATGAGTATAAGGACAACTCAGACAACGGAAACATGTCAGCTAAGTCATATTATGCAACTGAGAACATGCAATTTTGGAAAATATCAATAATTACATAAAATAGTCTTGGTCCTCATGGCTTACAATTTACTGGAGAGCAGAAGGAGAAATCTAACATAGAGTTCATAAACACATGGGAATGTGTAATGAAGGGTTAAAGTGGTTAAAGTAGTAGACTCTCAGCGCTAGCAGATCTCAGAGAAGGAAATCAATGAATGAAGCTGAGTATAGTTACATTTGGCTTAGTTGAGTGGGTGGCATTTGAAGAATGAATTGAATTTATATTGAAGACAAAGGAAACAACATAAGAAATGAATGAATAATACATAGATGATAGACAGATGGGTGGAGTATTTACAACAATAAGAAACGTTATTTGATAATGTGCTGGTATGAGGGTACAAGCTAAATATGGTGGGAAACTAGTGAGAGATAAACACTAAATGATCCAAGAAGGGCTTCTTTCAGTTTGTGTGTCTTCTGAATTTTTGAAGATGTATAAAAGGCTTAAAGTCTGCAGTAAATGCATAAAAAATGAGGAGTAAGAATTTCAGAGAGATGAACAGTATGAGAAAAGGCATAATAATGATTCTGTGGGATTCTGAAAGATAAATGTGTACAGTGGGATTCTCACTGAGGGAGCCGGAAGATGGGCTACTGTCCAATTATGGAGAGCCTGTACACCAGGCTGAAGGATATGAAGAAAGAGATAATTTTTAAAAAAGGAGGGGGTTAACCCCAGAGTCAAAAGTAGCAATGAGGTCAACAGAAATCGGTAAGGAGAAAATGCAAATGGATTTGGCAAAACCGAGGTCATTGTTTGGGCTCTCCTAATCCATCCGCAAATACTTTAGTCTTGTTCCCATCCCGCCCCTGCGTGCAAGCTCAGCTGGTCCTCTTCAACCGAAAATAGTCCCAGAACATCCCCACCACTCCCACGTAACTCAGGAGGTACTACAGCAGCTGCTGGAGAAGAGGATTAAGGAGAAGAGGGAACTGGGCCAAATGCTGAACCAAATTCTAGGGCAGTTTAGACCACACACATCAAAACCAACAACCATACAGGCTGCTTTTTATGCAGCTTCCTGGACATTCCCCATCCACCCACCCGCCCCCTCCACCCTCTACACACACACATTCATTCTCTCTCTCTCTCTCTCTGTCTTTCCTTCTCAATCTCATTTTTTAACAAGCTTCTCTGATAATTTTTCTACACTTTGAAGACTAAGAATCTCTAGGAACCAGAGTTTAGTTTGACCACTAGATGGCATTATCTCCCATAGCCCTGCATTCTAATTCAGAAATTTGGTGTTCTGGTAGAATGAACAAAATATTTGATGATATAGTAGCTTCTGTAATAGTGGAGTAAGTTCAGTACATTTCTTTGGTAAGAATGTAGATTCTCTTATGAGTAATAAGCAACCAGATTTTGCTTAACTGGTATTATTACCAATAGTCCTCAGTGGACTACAAATTCTAGAAACACTTAGGGAGAAAAACTGCATAAAACTTCGCTAAAGTAACCAAATGACAGAGATTAAAACATGCTGTCACAGCCATTCTGCAAAACAATAACTCAGTGAATTCACATCCCTGTATCTACCCTAGAGAAATTCTACCAAGAGTGCCCAGTAAGATATTCAATGCAGAATTATTTATGATATAAAAAAATTTTTTTGAGACAGAATCTTGCTCTGTCACCCAGGCTGGAGTGCAGTGGTGTGATCTCAGCTCACTGCAACCTCTGCCTGCTGGGTTCAAGCGATTCTCCTGCCTCAGCCTCCTGAGTAGCTGGGATTACAGGTGTGCACCACCATGCCCGGCTAATTTTTGTATTTTTAGTACAGATGGGGTTTCACCATGTTGGCCAGGCTGGTCTCAAACTCCTGACCTCATGATCTGCCCAGCTCAGCTTCCCAAAGTGCTGGGATTACAGGTGTAAGCCATCGCATGCGGCCAAAAATTCTAAACCACTTAAATCAGTCTTTCCTAAACTTCAGGCATCTTCATTCCACCTTAACATTTTTTCTCCAGATCTGAGCACTGCCTCAGTTATTTCTTTTATACCCAAATTTACTTGTACTATTTTAAAATAACTATTTATAAGCACTGTGGTATACTACACAGACTCTGCAGCCACTATCTGGGTTCTAATACTGCCTTTGTCACTTCCTAGTTGTATGATCTTGAATAGTTACTTAATTATTTCCTCACCTATAAAATAAGGATTAAAATAGTAATTCATAGGGTTGCTGAAAAGAATAAAGTAATGGAGGTAAAGTACTTCAAAGAGTACCTAGCACGTAGTAGTACAGAAACATTCACTATAATTACTATGGATATTACTTGTGTGAATAAAATATAGTCTTGAACACAATAGTGTATTATTCATACTATCTAAAAAAGAAATCAGGTGGAAATAGGAAAATGAGTCACATTGCTGGTGTGCCTTGAAGACAGACACATGTGAGGTACCGATCATTAGGAGAGAGTTCTTTGTTACTCTCCAGTGAGTCAAACTACCTGGGTTCAAATATAATACCAGCTCTATTACTTACTAGGTGTGTGGTCTTGGCTAAATTACTTCTCTGTGCCTTGCTTCTTCTTTAATTTGTCAAATGCATATAACAATACGTCTCTCTTGTAGAGTAATGGGGTGTTTAAATGAGATAATCCACATTACGTACTCAGAACAGTACACAGCATAGAAAAAATACTTAATACATTATTATCATTATTATTACTGCTTCACTTCCTGGATCTGGCAGCAGCAATTTACACATCAGCAGCTCACAGCTATGATTACAAACACTATAAACAACGATGACCGTTCACCTTTATTTCCCTAAATAACTGTAAGGAATTACAGCTCCTTGATTTATGACACTTTCTTCTCCTAAGTAATATTAAAAAAAAGCCATGTCTTTTAACAGAGGAAATTTTAGCTTGAAACAGTAGGTGGTGCTATAAGTTCTTCCAGGTGTTAATAAGAGTTACTCTTTTTCTTTTGAGACCGAGTCTAGCTCTGTCGCTAGGCTGGAGTGCAGTGGCGCAATATCGGCTCACTGCAACCGCCGCCTCCCGGGTTCAAGTGATTCTCCTGCCTCAGCCTCCTGAGTAGCTGGGATTACAAGCATGTGCCACCATGCCCAGCTAATTTTTGTATTTTTAGTAGAGATGGGGTTTCACCACATTGGCCAGTATGGTCTTGATCTCCTGACCTCATGATCTGCCCACCTCGGCCTCCCAAAGTCCTGGGATTACAGGCGTGAGCCACCATGCCCGGCCAATAAGAGTTACTCTTCAACCATTAGGTGATGGACACTTGGAAGCCTGTCAGTAGTGGACTTCTATCATTTTTAGGACACCCCAAATTATCAGCCCCTTTTGGATAATCATTTCCCAAGATGTGCACTCGTGTGTGTGTGTGTGTGTTTGTGTGGTGTGTATGTGCATGTGTGAGGAACATTTATCATGAGATCTGCTCTCTTCAACCTTTAAGTGCACAATACAGTATTGTTAACTCTGGGTACAATGTTGTATAGCAGATCTTTAGAACTCATTCAGCTGGCGTAACGGAAACTTTATACCCATTGAATAGCAACTTCCTATCTCTCCTTCCCTCCAGCCCCTGGCAACTACCATTCTACTCTTTGATTTTATTAATTCAACTAATTTAGATACTTTATATAAATGGAATCATTCAGTATTTGTCTTTCTGTGACTGAGTTATTGCACCTAACATAATGTTCTCCAGGTTCATTCATACTGTTGCATATGCCAGGATTTCCTTCATTTTTTAAGGCTGAGTACTATTCCATTGTATGCATATATTGCGTTTTCTTTTTCTCTACTTTTTTTTTTTTTTAGACAGAGTCTTGCTTTGTCACCCAGGCTGAAGTGCAATGGCACAATCTCGGCTCACTGCAACCTCCACCTCCCGGGCTCAAGCAATTCTCCTGCCTCAGCCTCCCAAGTAGATGGGATTACAGGCACAGGCCACCGCACCCAGCTAATTTTTATATTTTTAGTAGAGATGGGGTTTCACCTTGTTGCCCAGGCTGGTCTTGAACTCCTGACCTCAGGTGATCCACCCATCTCGGCCTTCCAAAGTGCTGGGATTACAGGTGTAAGCCACCACACCCAGCCTATATTGCACTTTCTTTATCCACTCATCTCTCCACGGACATTTAGATTGTTTCCATATCTTGGCTACTGTGAAAAATGCTGCAATGAACATAGGAGCATATATAACTCTTCAAGATCCTGATTCCAACCCCTTTGTACATATAGCCAGAAGTGTGATTGTTGGATCATATGGTAATTCTAGTTTTAACTTTTTGAGAAACCACCATACTGTTTTGCATAGCGGCTACACCAGTTTACATTCCCACCTACAGTGTACAAGGGTTCCAATTTCTCCATAGCCTTCTGATACCAGAGTTAAGAAGAAATTACTAGGCAGATACTCAGGGTACAAAAGTCCTCAGTCAGATTTTCCCTTTAACGAAAAGCAGCCCCAAATCATTTTCTAACAAAGAACAGCCTGTAAAGTCAAGCTGCAGACATAGACAAGCAAGCTGAGAGCTTTCACAGGTGGATGCCTGCAGGAAAGAACTACCTGGGACTAGACGTGTTCAAAATGATGGCTCCATCTTCCCTTCTCTGCCAGCCACGTGTACAGTAAGAAGAAGACAAAATGGTGCTGGCCAAGGGAAGAGTCATTAGCATAATAATATTAGGGTGGGGTAATCAGCCCTCCAGGCCCGCTATGTAGACGTCACACCTGATCAAATCAATCTGTGAGCCCTACAAAAATCAGATACCACCTCCTCAAGCTGGACTATAAAATTCGGGGCATCCACTGCCTGCCAGCCTTTTCCTCTCAGAAGTCCCCTCTCTCTCACTAGAGAGAGAGATGTTTTTCTTTCTCTTTCTTTTGCCTATTAAACCTCTGCCCCTAAACTCCTCAAGTGTGTCCCTGTCCTAAATTTTCTTGGTGCAAGACAACGAACCCCGGGTATTTACCCCAGATAATGTAGCCGCTTCATTTCCTCATCAACAAACACTTATCTTGTGGCTTATTGATGACAACCATCCTAACAGATGTGAGGTGATAGCTCACTGTAGCTTTTATTTGCATTTCCCAATGATGAGTAATGTCTTCATACATAGTTACACCAAGATGCTCCAGAGCCCACTCTAGATCTTCCCTCTTAATAATAACCCAGTACATCTCATGGGTAAGCCCATAACCAAGACTCAGTGAATTCAAATTTCTCTGCTTGGACTGTGAATATTACATGGAGGCAAGTAAAGACTGAAAAAAATCAGGAGTTCATTAGTTCCAATGGCTACACCAAAGACCTTCTGAAGCTGCCTGGTTTTGTTTGTTCTAACCAGACATCCAGTCTTGATTGTGAGTTCCACAATCTAGTTGTATTAAATTCTCTATTGGCTTAAGTCAGACAGTCAGGTCCTGTTACCTACAAACAAAAATCTGTAACGCACACAATTTTTGTTAAAGCTTGCAAGTGGTTAGCTATTTTCCTTGGAGGTTGAATTCTCAGACAACCAGGCTGTTTGGTTGTGTATGTGTAGATGGGCATAAAAAGGGAGGAAATATTAATAGCAATAATTTACTTAGCGCCATTTAGGCACTTAGCCTATATACACCCTGCAGAAACAAGCAAACAGGCTTTTCAGGGTTAAGTAATCTGCTTAAAGGCAAAAAGTTGCAATTAGAAAAGCCCAGATTAGAACCCAGGTTTATCTAACTCCAACCAGTGCCCTTCAACATTCTGCTCTTATGTAAAGAGATTATAAGGCAGTAATGCATTCAGAATTAATCTTCTACATGTATCCACAGGACTGGAAGTGCTCAGGAATATATGTTGACTGATTAAAACAAGAAAAGATCTATTAACAATTTAGATGAATGAGGCAGAAATTGGAAAAAAAAATAACATTTTTAGGTAAGCATTATTGTTTTATAAGGTCAAACTACTGTCAAGTTTACTGATTACGCATCTGGAAAGAGGAAAAATTAACACGTTGACCCACTGAGCATTGCTATAGAATTACTTTTCAGCCTGGGCAACATGGTCAAACTCCGTCTCCACCAGCCGGGCGTGGTGGCACACGCCTATAATCCCAGCTATTTGGAAGGCTGAGGCACAAGAATTGCTTGAGCCCAGGGGCGGAGGTTGCAGTGAGCCAAGATTGCACCACTGCACTCCAGCCTGGGAGGCGGAGTGAGACTTCGTCAAAACAAAAAAAGAAAATACATATATATATATACACACACACACACACACATATATACACACATATATGTATATATAATGTTACTTTTGTGTTATACAAGATATAAATTTACCATATGTAAATATTATAAAGCTCAATAAGCTGCTACTTATAAAGTCTATAATGCTCCATTAAAAAATCAAAAGATTCCCTTCATCCTAGGCTAGAAATAAAGTGTATCGTAGAAGCTCTTTGATCCATGGATAAAATTTGAGAGAGATGAAGAGGGCAGTCAACGAACTTGGATGCAGAAAAAATATGCCTTGATTTTCAATAACTTATAATTGAAATTTAAAATATGGTTCAATTATGAATGTAGGCCATAAACCTGGTATCATCAACAGTACCTGTGACTTTTGCCACCAAAAGTCATCATAGATTTAAATATTAAGTTGTAGTGCCTGCAGATCTCTTGAAATACTATTTATACTTGTTACTTCAAAATCACAGTAGTTAGTAAATGTGCCACTGTCAGAGGCGTTTGAACCAGAGCAACTCCACCTTAAACAGGAGCTAGGTAAAATGAGGCTGAGACCTACTGGGCTGCATTCCCAGACGGTTAAAGCATTCTAAGTCACAGGATGAGATAGGAGGTTGGCACAAGATACGGGTCGTAAAGACCTTCCTGATAAAACAGGTTGCAGCAAAGAAGCTGGCTAAAACCCACCAAAACCAATATGGCAATGAGAGTGACCTACAGTCGTCCTCACTGCTACACTCCGCCCACCGCCATGACAGTTTACAGATCCCATGGCAAGGTCAGGTAGTTACCCTATATGGTCTAAAAGGGGGATGCATGAATAATCCACCCCTTGTTTAGCATATAATCAAGAAATAAGCATAAAAATGTGTAACCAGTAGCCCTCTGGGCTGCCCTGTCTATGGAATAGCCATTCTTCTATTCCTTTACTTTCTTAATAAACTTACTTTCATTTTACTCTATGGACTCACCCTGAATTCTTTCTTGTGGGAGATCCAAGAACCCTCTCTGGGGGTCTCAATCAGGACTCCTTTCCTGTAACACCACTAGATCTTGTTATTCAACGCATTAATTAAAAAGTACCTATGCTGCTGTCAAAAATATTTCTAATAACTTATATTTCAATGTAATTGGTTTCTTTCATAGTTCTGTCTTTTATCCATGTTTGCCTTTTTTTGTTGGTCACAAGCTAGGCTACGTTTCCCAGCCTCCCCTGCAGTTAGATAAGGCCATGTGACTGAGCTCTAGCCAATGAAATGTGTATATATGTAAGCCATTTCTGGACCTAGCATATAAACACTTCCCACAGCCACTTCTCCATGCTCTTCTCCTCTTTTGGCCAGCATGACCTTTGAAGCAACCATGCTTCCAGCAGCCCAAGTCCCTGAATAACTACATGAAAGAGGCCACTCTACCAACCTGTTTACCCACACCTGTACCTTTAAATAAACAACAAACAGATTTGTATTTTGTTTGAGCCAATGAGTATATATTTGCTATAGGAGTTTGCACTACCCTGACTCACTGGTTCTCAAACTTTATCAAGCATCAGAACCACCTTGAAGGCTCATTAAAATACAGACTTCTGGGCCACACCCTCGGAGTTTCTGATTCATTAAGTCTGGGATAGGGCTAAGAATCTGCATTCCTAACAAATCCTCCAGTGATGCTGATGCCACCATCATGTGAGTACAGTCTGAGAAACCAAAGGTCCTGCCCCTTACTGTGTGGTGAATGAGTAGTTTTGGTCTTAATAATACTGTATCCCATCGTGCTATATGCAGGGGGACCCTCAGGATTAGAGCAATTTAACTGTTTGTTGTTTTAATAACCCTATATTAAAAGATTGGTCCTGGAAGTCACTTTGTCAGCCGGGAAAAAAAATAATGTATCTAGAAGATACCGTTCTGTTTTCAGAGAGAATGTATTCCCTGGCAAGTAAAGGAAAGTGGGGCAAAATATTACCTTTTTAAAATCTTTTCTAATAACTAGTCATTGTTTGGTATAGAACATTGGTCCCTGGAGTTATGATGACAACAAAGAGTCTGTTTTGGAAAAGTCTAGGGAACTGCACATTTCTTTTTATTTATTATTTTATAGAGATGAGGTCTCGCTCAGTTGCCCAGGCTAGAGAACAGTGGTGTGATCATAGCTCACTGTAGCCTAGAACTCCTGGGCTCAAGTGATCCCCCTTCTTCAGCCTCCTGAGCAGCTGGGAATACCTGTATGCACCACTACATCCACTTAATATTTTAAAGAGACAAGGTCTCACATGTTGCCCAGGCTGGTCTCAAACTCCTGGCCTCAAGAATCCTCCCACCTGAGCCTCCCAAAGTGCTGGGATTATAGGCATGAGCCACTGTGCCTAGCTGAATTGTACATTTATTTTATTTTATTTTATTTTATTTATTCATTTTGAGATGGAGTCTCACTCCAGCACCCAGGCTGGAGTACAGTGGCATGCTGTCAGCTCACTGCAACCTCCACCACCTGGGTTCAAGCAATTCTTCTGCCTCAGCCTCCCAAGTAGCTGGGATTACAGGCATATACCACCACACCTGGCTAATTTTTGTATTTTTAGTAGAGACAGGGTTTCACCATGTTGGCCAGGCTAGTCTCGAACTCCTGACCTCAAATGATCCACCCACCTCGGCCTCCCAAAGTGCTGGGATTACAAGCATGAGCCCCCGTGCTCGGCCTGTACATTTATTTTAGATAAACTTTCACAGGTTAGTAATACAGTGTTTATTTCATATTGACTGATATTATATCAACTGCTTATTAGTTCCTGCTGGTAAGAAGCACTGATTTAAACAATCAGAGAGCCTTAATGTTTTCTAAATTGCAAATGAACTACAACTTAGGTGCAGTTTTGTAAATGAAAATATTTTAAAATCTCTTAATAATGTCAAACATTCCCTTCTTAAACAAAAGGCTCCACCCACAGTCCCTGCTGCCTGAGGAAGCATGTTTTGTACTGTAGCCTCACACCCCTCCAGTTATGGTTGCTGGTTCTTGACACTTAGGCTGTGTCTATCAGAGTTTTTGCTTTGAGAGTCTGAGAAAAACTGAGAGCCTGGGCTGCTTAGCATAGAGGCTGCAAGGGAGGAAGGGAAGGAGGAAGGGAGGGAATTAATTCTATAGATCAGTGCTTCTCAAACTTTAATATGTACATGGATCACCTGGAAATCCTATTAAAATGCAGATTCTAATGCAGTGGGTCTGAGTGGGGCCTGAGAGTCTGCTTTTCTAACAGGCTTCCAGGGTATTCTGATGCTGCTGGTCTGCAGACCAAACTTTGAGTAACAAGGATGTAGAAGGATTCATGGAAACTGTGTGCCTCTGGTATAGGCTGAGGCTATCAGGGGCCAGAAATCATAAGTGAAAAGGGCAAAAGGAAAAGAAGCAGCTAGTGGAGTGGAATGGAGTCATTCCTACGGCATCTCGCTACTGCAGGGAGTGAGGCCTTTAATCTGTAACCAACTTCCAGTTCTATCCATGTAAAGCCAGACCCTCGTATGGATCTTTTTCTTTGATTTCCATTAAATTATACATACAACATGCCTTAAAATATAGTATGTCTCTGATTCTGCATCCAAATGAGCCTAAGACACTAAACACAGTCTTGGATGCGGGTGGGGAAAAGACTAAACAAAGACTACGAGGTTGAAGCTACTTGAGATACAGCATCTTCTCCTTTAAAGAGCTTAAAGTGCTTTTTAATTATAAATGTTAGATTAGCCCAAGCAGGGATCATAGTGTACACTCAGAAAAAAACTACATTTTCTTTCCTGGTCGACCTCTGAAATCCACAATGAGGGGTTCCTTTTCTCTCAATACTACATAAGATTTTGTGTAGATCTATAATTTTTCTGGTCATTCTCAGATAATTAAAAAGTCTCCCAACCACTTCTAGTCACAAAAGCATACCATTCCAATGAGGTCACATCACTCCTTTTGGTTTCCTCCTAGATGGGGTTTAAAGTGACTCCAGGCTCTTTCTCCCAAGACAGCTGTAAGAAATATTCATGTATCCTTTGCCCCAACAAATTCTGGGAGAGCAGGCTGTTTCCAGTGCAGCCCTTTCTGCTCATTCCATCATTAGAACAGTGGTCCAGCCACAGTCTCTGGCCCTTTGGAATTATTATGGAGTCTTGGGGTCGGGCGCAGCACACTGCTAAGACATTCCCCAGTCTCTAATCCTGACCTGTCTAACAGAGTAGCTACCAGCCACATATTTTTATTTAAATTTTAATTAATTAAAATTAAATTAAAATTTCAACTTCTCAAGCATGCTAGCCATATTCTAAGTACTCAATATCATATGTGGCTAGTAGAGACCCTATTGGATAATACAGATAAAACATTTGTGTTCTCACAGAAAGTTCTACTGAACAGCACTTCTTTAACCTCTCACAGATGAAACCTTAGCCTTTATCCATATACCTAAAATCGGTGATGGCTGACTATAACTATCAGCATAGACTAACGGCTACAGCAAGCAACACCAAAACCTCAGGAGCTTAACACAATAAAAGTTTATGCCTCGCTCATGTCACGCATAGATCAGCAAGTGGGGGTGGTGCTCTGCTCCACAGAGTCATTTAGAACACCAGGCACCTTCCATCTATGGCTTTTTAGGTTCTCAATATCCTCTCCACTCTGCTGGATTATGGAAACTAGGGCCAGGATTGTGTGCATGGTTTCAGTACATCAGACCTGTAAATGGCACACATCATTTCTTACGTTTCATTAACTAGAACCCAGTTACAAGGTCATCACCAAGTTGCAAGGGAAGCTAAAAAATTAGTTATGTGCCAAGAATAAGAGAACACAGACATTGGTGAGCAAAACACAGTCTACCACAGAGCTGGTGGCAAAATCAAATTTATAGCTACCTCCTACATAGGGCTCTACTCCTCTCTCTGGCAATGTGAGCCTTTCTGACTACAACTATTGGGGCCTCAAACAAAACTAAGACAAAAAGAGCTCCATTGACACATCTTATTACATAGCCAAACAGAATCTGAGTCCCATTTATCTAACACTTTTCCAGCATTGTTCAGCTCCTAACTACATTCAACTCTCTTTAATTCTTTACAGCTCCATAAACAACAATTATTTCTACTTATCAAGCATTTCCTATGTGCCAAATACTATGCATGCATTATCTCACTATTTCTTGTAATATTCCTAGTAGGTAAATACTTTTTCAATGCCCATTTTACAGATAAGGAAATGGACACTTAGAAGTTTGCCTAATACTTTGTAAGTATCTGCTCGAGGACTGAAACTCAGCAACCTGATATGTGCTCTCCACCAAAGGTCAGCAAACTATCACTCTTCGGACAAACTGACCCACCATCTGTTTTTGCAAAGTTTCATTGGAACACAGCCATGTCCATTCATTTACATATTGTCTATGGCTACTTCTCTGCCACAAACACAGAGTTAAGTAGCTGCAACAGAGATCATATGACCTGCAAAGTCAAAAATACTGTACTTATTATCTGGCCCTTTACAGAAAAATGTGGCCAACCCCTGCTCTATAGCACCCTGTAGGGCCTTGAGCACTCTGTTTCTAACACAGACTGAAAAATAATTTTGACTTGATGTTTTGGTCTGCTAATCTGTACTCTCAGTCAACAACCTAGTCTATGAAATATAAGGTCAGCCTAATTTCCCTCTGGCAGCCGTGTCTACTCCATCTGTTTGTAGTTTCTAGGCAGATCAAACAGCATCTGTTATGTTATTTCATCAAACACATAGATGATGCAGTTGGATTATTTTCCTAATCTGATGATTTTTTTTATATTTAGACTGCAACTACCAGGCAAAAGTCTGCACAAATTTTATCAACCCTACTGCAATCCTTTATCCTTCCCATCTCCAGCTTTGGTTTTTAGGGATAAAGTCATTAGCCACTGAATGACAGCAGACTTTTATGAACAGTGGCTGTTCAGTAAGCCAGGGTTTATTCTGTTGAAATTGCCCTACACTCTTATTTTTTCTTAGACTGAATTCATCAACTTCATGTTTTGTACCAAAATGAACCATAAAAAGAAAATAAATATGCTTGGCTTTCAGGCATATTTATGGAACCAACAATGCATCCATATTAAGTATGGAACCAACAATGCACCCATATTAAGTAAGGAACCAACATTGCATCCATATTAAAATTAAAAGAGGGTAGAAATTACACTATATTCAAAACTACAACTAGTCTGGATAATGTGGGGCATACCCCACATTTTCCCCCATTCCTTGGGCCAGTTGCTGAGAGGGTGGCAGCATGGCTTTTAGCTGGGAATTGCCCTCCAGCCTAAGAGCTAGCTGTCACATCCCGTCCCCCAGGCCAAATGCTGGTCAACAGGGAAGGGCTAGTGATTGCTTCAACTAGGGACAACTCTGAAACTTCCTGTGGGATCTTGGGGCCATTGGCATATGCAACATAATTCCTCCGTGGCCCAATCCTGCTTCCCTCACTATTTTAGGGTGTTTTTCCCGAGGGCACTCCCCAATAAATCTCCTGCATAGAGTCTCCATCTCAAAGTCTATTTTTCTGGGAAGCTGACCTGAAACAAACAGTCTGATTTCCTGAACAGTGCCATCAATAACTTACGAACCATATTTAACATTCAATGACAAGAAAGATCCAGCAACAAAGAGCTTCTAGAGGACAGAAAACTCATCAATACAAAAAATGAGAGTAATGGCAAAACACTGGGCAATATACACATCAAAAACAGGTAACAGTAACCATATGAAAAAGCAAAGTGGGAATAGACAAGAGTTCTAGAGAGAAACAAGCTCCATTCAAAGCTAAGGAAGGCAAATGAGGAAGGCTGACTGAGAAACAGGAGCAGCAGTCAGTGCAATCTGCTCTTGCGGCAGCCAGAGCTCAGCTTCTCTCAGCAACGGGCCCACAGCCCCGGGCACAGACAGTCATGCGCAATGACAGACTCTATAAATAGCTGTGCCACCAGCAAATCATAACCCAGCCTTCATAATTATAGACCAAGGGATTTTATAGATGATTCTTTAAATGTGAGCACAATCTGTTTGCATGCAGCCTTTTCTGAGATACTACTCACAGACATTATCACTAGTGACCATGTCTACAAATAAAAAGAGTCACGGTTTAAAAATATGTATATCTAAGATAACGTCCTTCTCAAGACAAGAACTTAGGAAATATAAAATAAAAAAGCATGTTTTATGGGGCATTTACAACTTCCCAACTGCAAATTCTGAGAAGCCAAATAGCACCCAAACAGCAAGATTTCTGAAGTGGTAAATGTTCACACTAAGCAAAGGCCAGGAACACTAATCATAAGAAGACAGCCTAGAGAGGTGTGGTGAGAAAAGAAAATGGGCCACAAAAAGAGCACAGGAAGGAAAGTCAACTGAGATAGATGAGGTTGTGCAGCCCACTGAGTGTGCAGCACAAAATACGGGGGTGGAGAGTGAAGACAGGGACAGAAAAAAAGGTAAGAAACAAGATGAAAAAAAGAAAGGAAAAAAACGTGCTAATTTGCAATAAGTCACAGCAAAGTCCTAACTGAGTCTATTTCAAGGGCATCCTTAAGTGACTTTTAATACCACTACAAAATCAGTCTTTGGAGACAAAAGTCAATGTATCAGGCAGTACATCAGAAATCACTCAAGACACAAGAGAGGACAAGAAGACAGAATAAAGACCTAAATGTATATGCAAACTGAACTGTTAATACTTTACGCAAGGGAAGAATGAGTGGTTAAACTAATCTTACAACGATAGCCATATCAATAGCAACCCCAACAAACTATTCTCCAGTAATATCTTTGTCTTCAGATACAATGTAATCCTAACACCTTCTTTGAGAATTTCCTGCATTGAAGCCAACCCTATCATGACTGAGGCAGGCTAAGCCATAAGGCAGATGGGAAGATGGCAGATAGTTTAGACGGTTCAGATAGTTCATATAGTTCAGACTAGCTCAGATGGCAGATAGGTGATAGGGAGGAAGTAACAAGACAAGTCGGCTAAGCGTCATGAATATGTACAGGCAAGAGCTCATACATCAGCACAGCCATGAGAGGATCCATGAATCAAATCCTCAAAGCCAGGCAGAGAAGAGCCATAGGACACTAGGTGATTAGTTCAAGCACAGCAGGACCTGGACAGCCATAAGAGGTAGAAGCCCTAAGACCCCTGAGTGTCCTGTTGTTGCACACACCCTCCCCAGAGTTCCTGAACCTCCCCCAGGATCTAGAAACTACAAAGTATTGGACCTTCAGTTGGCAACTCTTCTGACTGCTCAGTGCCCACTTTCTACTGGTTGTTAAATATTTTGAGCATCACTCCTGCCAGTGCCCGAACTTAACAAAAGCTATTCAAGACCTGGGTGCAGTGGTTCATGCCTGTAATCCCAGCACTTTGGGAGGCCAAGGCGAGCAGATCGCTTGAGCCCAGGAGTTCGAGACTAGCCTGGGCAACATAGTGAGACCCTGTCTCTACCAAAAATACAAAAAATTAGCTGGGTATGGTGGCGCACACCTGTAGCCCCAGCTATCTGGGAGGCTGAGGTGGGGGGATCTCCTGAGCCTGGGGGGTCGAGCTGTAGTAAGCCATGATGGGGCCACTGTACTCCAGCCCTGAGACAAGATCTTCTCTCTCTCTCTATCTCTCTCTCTCTCTCTCTCTCTCTCACACACACACACACACACACACACACACACACACACACACACACAGAGAGACAGAGAGAGAAAAGCTATTCAGGCTTTTGGGCTGGAGTTCCAGGCAGGATTTCAAGTCCCAAAGGTGAGCTACATTACTAAGGTAGGGAAGCAGCATTCACTGGGCCCCCATGAAATGGATGCTTGCCAAGACTCGCCATCAAGCCCCAGGCATGCTAAAAAAAAAAAAAAAAAAAAAAAAAAAAAAGACAGGCAGAGGCTCCTAACACACACTGCTCGGACCAGGTATTTCTCAGAAACAGCAATAGCCCACTGAGGATACACACAGCAGAAAGGACTGACCACTCCTGCCCACTGTCTGGGGGCTGAACCTTTGCCCTTGCATAGATCAAATGTGTATTTGGTCTGTGTTCAAGTCTTAAATGCTTTTTCTGGCAGCACATTCTCTCTCAAAAATCTGCTTACTCTGAAGACACACTTAGCAAGAAAGGAGAAAAAATATTTTCATGACCTAAAATCTTCTGATAATTTATGCTGAGTAAAGACAGAGAAAAAGCAGAAGGGAAAGCCAACAGGAGCAGGTTTTAAACAAAGATGGTTAATCAAAGGTTTGTGAGAAATGCTTGTGGCTAGTCCATTTTGTGGTGGCTACAGCATTTTTTACTGTTCATTTCTGCTCTGTCTTTGACAATGCATTACATGGATATCTGCATAAACTGTGCATAAGAAGTCACCTTGTATTGACTCCTTTTCCTAAGATGATGTTACTGAATCCAGATCAGTAGCTAAAAGCTTTGAAGAGATTTTTGTTACCTTCTCTTGCCCCTCTTGCAGTTATTTAGGCAAGAGCTATGAACTTTTTAACCTGAATCATATTATTCCTGTTGACTTTTCCCAGTAGACTGATTTAAAAGAAGTTTATTTCAATGTGGCTTTTTAAATAGCACTTACCACAGTTTGACTTATCATGGATATGAAGGGGAGGGACAGCTTCTTTTTCATCTTTGTGTCCTTCATTGCTCCTACTTATGTTTGGGCACAAAATAGACTCTCAATATGCTTTGGGTTTGATTTTTCCTTTTTAAAGATCTACTTGTGTGAAAATTTCAGAAAAAAACAAATTAGAAACTAAATCCACCTAAAATTGCAACCCTTTTTTGAACCCTATAAATAAGTGTGAATGTCCCTGTTTTGAATCTTCAAATACATCCCTCTAGAGTAATCACTGTGATGTTAGTTCCTATCATCTTGACTTCTCCTATAAAAATAATTCAACAAAAATGGGATCTTGTTTTATATATATGTTTTCTACATTGCTCTTTTTATGACATTTCAGGTTCAGGTGTACATTCTTTTTTTTTTCTTTTTTTTTTTGAGACAGAGTCTTGCTTTGTCACCCAAGCTGGAATGTGGTGGCATGATCTTGGCTCACTGCAACCTCCACCTCCCGGGTTCAAGTGATTCTCCTGCCTCAACCTCCTGAGTAGTTAGGATAACAGGCACGTGCCACCACTTCCAGCTAATTTTTGTATTTTTAGTAGAGACAGGGTTTCGCCATGTTGGTCAGGCTAGTCCCAAACTCCCGACCTCAAGAGATCCACCCACCTCAGCCTCCCAAAATGCTGGGATTACAGGCATGAGCCACCACACCCTCTTTTTTACAACTGAATAATTTTCTAGTTTATGCACGTACCATACTTAACTATTTTCCTACTGACTAGAATTCGGACATTTTAATTTTTTTCCAGTATAAACAGTGGAATAAACAAAATATCTTCAACTAAATCTTCTTTACTTAGAAGTGGTATTTCCAGTCCGTAGGAAAAAGTTTGAGAGATACTACAGGTACCAACTTTGTCTCTAAAAATGTACCAAATTACATTTCTAGCAACACTATGAAAGTGCCTTTTTAATTCTATTATCTCCATCAACACTGGATAATATAAATCTTTATATCTGTTGCCTATGTGATGGACAAAAGGCATTTTGGCATGCACCTGTAATCCCAGCTACTTGGGAGACTGAGGCAGGAGAATTGCTTAACCCGGGCGACAGAGGTTGCAGTGAGCTGAGATCGCACACTCCTGCACTCCAGCCTGGGTGACGGAGTGAGTTTGAATTTGCGTTATTTATTAGTAAAGTTAAAAATCTTTGTATATTTTTATAAGCCATTTTTTTCTCTGAATTGTCTGAATTTTTAAATTATTTTTTATATTTTTATAAGCCATTTTTTTCTCCGAATTATTTTCTTCTCTGAATTGTCTGTTCACATGCTTTGCTCATTTTTGTACAACTTATATGTATTTCTTATTGATTTGAGAAGTTTTTTATATAATATGAATAAAATAATTTACTATATATGCAGCAAGTATTTTTGCCTAGGTTGCAATCTGTCTTTTCATTTTGTTGTACATAAGTTTAGAATTCTTTTATTCAAAACTGCCAATCTTTTCCTTTATGACTTTTAAATGTTTGTCCTAGAAAGCTTTTCCCAACTGCAAAATTATAAAACATTCTCCTATACCTTCTATTTTTTTAAATCCTGTAAATGTACACTTATAATCCATCTGGAATTAATCATATGTACATTTTAATCCATCTGAAATTAATTTTTAAGTATAGTGTGAGAGACACAACTAATTTTATTTCCTGCCAAGTGGGTAACATCATCTACTTAACTATCCTTTCTCCAATGAATTTATTGTATTCATTTTTTAATTTCCTAAATATGTTAACTTTTTATTACAGAAAATTCCAAAATATAAAAAGATTTTAAAAAGAACCCTAAGTACCTATCACCCAACTTTAACAACCATTAGTGCCTCTCTATTGATTCCAAATGCCCATCTTTATTATTTACTAAACTCCTACATAAATTTGGATATATATATTTGGGCCAGGCAAGGTGGCTTACACCTGTAATCCCAGCACTTTGGGAGGCCAAGGCAGGCATATCACTTGAGCCCAGGAGTTTGAGGGCAGCCTGGCCAATATGGTGAAACCCCATCTCTACTAAAAATACAATAATTAGCCAGGCATTTTGGCATGCACCTGTAATCCCAGCTACTTGGGAGACTGAGGCAGAAGAATTGCTTAACCCGGAGACAGAGGTTGCAGTGAGTTGAGAGCCCACCATTGCACTCCTGCACTCCAGCCTGGGTGACGCAGTGAGACTCTGTCTCCGGGAAAAAAGAAGGATATATATATCTAAACACTCTGCTCTGCACCACTTCAATCAATGTGGTTATTTTTACAGCAATTATATAAACACATAAAAATTTTGATAAAAACAACAAATATATAGACTGTTTACACTGCATTGCAATGAGATAAAAAGTGTAGTAAGATACAGGCTAGCTACTGTAACAAAGAGATCCAAAAGTACAGCTATTAAAATAAGATCCAGTAACCAAGGGATCTAAGAACCCAAGATCCTACTCTATCACTGCTCAGCCTTCCCCTCCAATATTACTTGCCCACAGGGTTGAAGCTAGTTTACCACCACAATTCCTTCCCAGGCATGAGAAGAAAGGGGCTATAGGAGGCAAGCTGATTCTTTTAAGGGCTTGACCTGGAATGTGTATATATCACCTCTACTTATATCCAATCGGCCATAACTTAGCCATAGAGTCACACACATCTGCATGAAAGGCTGGGAAATGAAGTCTCTAGCTCGCTCACCATGCGCCCAGCTACAACCAGGACATTTCTATTACAAAAAGAAAAGAATAATTCTTGGTAGAAATTCATAGTCTCTACTACAGTGAGCAACCGTTAAAAATTTTTTGGATCACGGAGTTTCATTGGTTGTCTATAAAAAGTACTTCAAAGCACTGCCAAATTTAAAAGCAAATTATGCAGCTTTATTTTATAGAAAGACAAGAGTTCCAAAATTACTAACTTTCAGTAATAGCAAGATGCCATCAACAGCGGTTTTTCTTTTTCTTTCTTTCTTCCTTTTTTTTTTTTTTTTTTTGAGACAAGGTCTTGCTCTGTCACCCAGGCTGGAGTGCAGTAGCACTATCACCACTCACTGCAGCCTCGACCTCCTGGGATCAAGTGATTCTCCTGCCTCAGCCTCCGGAGTAGCTGTGACCACAGGAACACACAACCACGCCCAGCTAATTTTTTTTTTTTTTTTTTTTTTTTTTTTCACAGAGACAGGGTTTCCCTACGTTGCCCAGGTTGATCTGGAACTCCTAGGCTCAAGAGATCTTCCCACCTTGACCTCCCAAAGTGCTGGGATTACAGGCATGAGCCACCACGCCCAATAGAGCAGCAGACATTTTTAAACAAATAAATCAAACAAATAAAGGTGATATTTGAACAATGAATGAGAAAGGAACTGCTCTTTTAAATTTCTGGAACAGAAAGAGCGTTTCAAAAATATGAATTTGAATATATTTCTACTAACATGTGATTCTGTTCCTCCCAAAGAATATAGGTTTATTATCTAGAAAAGCTCTAATTTTGCAGATTTTAAAATCTGAAAATAGAGTTTTCTAATATGTTTTAAAGCCAACTAAATGCAGATCTTCAGTGAGTTCTGTAATCATTTGTTAAAAGTAGAAATATCAACACCTTCAGATTATAAGAAAATCAGTTGACATCAAGAAAGATGAAAATTTGCTAGTAAATTTTATTTTTAAATAACTTTGCATAATCTATGGATGAACTTGAAAAACAAATATCGTGATTAGTAAGAGCAGTTATCAATGCATTTCTTCCATTTGAATCTTTTTTTGAGATAGCAATGACTAAAATCAAATATCAAAATAAACTGACTTTAAAACCAGACATTGAATTACTAATTCACATAGTGTTAAAGATTTTTTAAAATAATGAAGCACATTTAACTGCATTTTTCTCATGTTGAAATCTGTTTTACATAATATATTAGAATAGGTGTATATGTATATGTATATAATTGATACGTAAATACATATACATATTGAGTGTGCATGCTCAAATTTATTTCACTGGTGGGGGTGCAATCAAAACTGTGAAGACTACCGGCAGAAAAGGATCTTTTTGTTATTTCGTATATTTATCTCCAACATATAAAAAAGGAAGAAAAATCTAAATGGACTATAACCATAGAAGATACAAAAGAGGATAGGAGAAAGATCTAACATGAAAAAAGGTTCTAGGCACAAAGACTTTGCACACATAGCCCCCATTAAATGCTAAACACACAGCACTGAATTATTATTATATTGCTGTTTACGAAATTATTTCCTTAAATACATACATATATACGTATGTATCCTTTCTCCATATATATATATCATTAAAATATATAAGTTCCTATTCCCATTGACTATTAAAATCTCTGTTTTCCCATGCACTGATTCAGTTAGCACTCCCATTTCCAGAAGCATACTGCTTATGTTAAAAAGGGCTATGTGTGTACAGTCAAGTTCTATCTAACCTACAACAGGTCATTCCTATATTTTTCAAATTATTCTAAGAAATAGAAAAAGATAAAAATTTTCTCATCAGGCCAGCCCATGGAGCTGCAGCCGCCCTTCGTTCCCTCCTCACCTTCCCTACCAACATCATGGTCCAGGTCCTGCTTTGATTTACTTTGGGCAATGTGGTTGGAATGTAACTGGCTCAGAACTATGGCATACTATACAAAACCTGGCTAAAAAACTTGAAATTAAAAAGGACTTGGATGCCAAGAAGGTTGGAGCCTAGTTCATGAGGCACTGTCTTATAGATACACTGATTCTACTCTCTTGAGGGTCTCCTTTACCATCTGAACCAAAAGCTTTTGTTTGCATCTCTAGCCTCAGTGACCTTCTTCTTTGCTAAACCCTCTGTTTTTTTTGCCTTAGAGCAAGCAAAATGGGGCCCCAATTTGAGAACTACCCTTACATTTCTGGTATTCTCACCTCTTCCATATCCTCCTTCCAGCTGCATGAATGGTTCTAAGACTGGAATTATGGTGCTAGATTAGCAAATATGACTTTTAATGAGTAGTTTCTTCTTTATTGTTTGGAATTTCTACTACCTTTTGTCAAAAGAAAAATGGATGAGCTTTGTACAGCTGGTCAGATACAAATAATGCTGATTTCACAGTTTAGCAATTATAATGGGTGCTTGTTAAACATTACTAAATTTTATTGTTTCAAAGTAATTAAAATTAATATTAAGAAGCTAAAAATAACTCTAGATTCATGTAAAGATCCTAGCACAATCTAAAAACAAAACTTGATAAACTCAAGGAAATAAAGTATACATCAATCTAACATATAAGTTTTAAAGTCCTAAATAAAATCTTGCCAGAACTATCAAAGTGAGTTAAAATAATAATATTCCAAGACTAAATAAAGTTGATTCCAAGAAATCATGGCTGATTCAATAGGGAACTCATTACTGTAATTCACTACAGTTATAAATTAAAGGAGAAATAATTATATCAATAGGTACCTCAAAAATTCCCTTAAATTTTTAAAATTCAATTAAGTTCAGGAGAAATTATTGATTTTAAAATTGAGTAAAATAAGAATAGAAGGAAACTGCCTGAATATTAAAAAGATTACCTACCAGGAAGTTTTATTTGGGACTTGTTGATTTTTTTCCTTAGCTTAGACAGAGACAGTGATCAGAAAGTACTTATTTGGGAATTTTGATTTTTTTCCCTGGATTAGATGGAGAGAGTGGATGCTGGTAAACCGGCTCACTGGCAAAAAAAAAAAAAAAAAAAAAAAAATCCTGATGTAGGGTGTATTAGTCTGAGTTCCCCAGAGAAACAAAACAGATAAGGAACTGGCTCAGGCAATTTGGAGGCTGGTTAATTCAAATCTACAGGATGGGCCAGTGGTTCAGGAGATGCAAGTAAAGCCAATGTTTTAGTCCAAAAGCCATTGAGCAGGAAGATCCAATGTTCCAGTTGAAATCTGAAGGCACTCAAGTGTAAAATTCTCTCTTACTCAGGGGAAGGT
Source organism: Homo sapiens (assembly GCF_000001405.40). NCBI lineage: Eukaryota > Metazoa > Chordata > Mammalia > Primates > Hominidae > Homo > Homo sapiens. The sequence goes on from NC_000006.12 coordinate 56,923,721, forward strand.
CAGTCTTTTTGTTTTATTAAGGCCTTCATCTGATTGGATGAGGCCCACCCACATTATGGAAGGCAGTCTACTCAAATCCACCAGTTTAAATGTTAATCTCATCCAAAAACACCTTCCCTATGGCCAGGCATGGTGGCTCATGCCTGTAATCCCAACACTTTGGGAGGCTGAGGCGGGAGGATCACTTTAGGTCAGGAGTTTGAGACCAGCCAGGCCTACATGGCAAAATCCTATCTCTACTAAAGATACAAAAATTCACAGGGTATGGTGGTACATGCCTGTAGTCACAGCTACTTAGGAGGCTGAGGCAATTGAATCGCTTGAGCCTGGGAGGCGGAGGTTGCAGTGAGCCGAGATCACGCCACTGCTCTCCAGCCCGGGCGATAGAGCAAGCCACCATCTCAAAAAAAAACCCTCCCAGAAACACCTAGAATAAATGTCTGACCAAGTACCTGGGTACCCCATGGCCCAGCCAAGTTGACACATAAAATTAACCATCACATAGTGCTTGCCAAAATTCATGGTATAAACACTCCCATCATGGCCATGATATCACTGAACGCAGAGTTGGAACGATAAACATAAAACTGGCTCTCCCTAGCTGATATAGCTCCCTATCAGATAGCTCTCCCTGGAGAGCCAGTTATATGCATATTGATCCCCAGCTCCAGCTCACCAATGGATGGAGACTGATGTTATATATTTTTTAATATTTATATTTGTGTTTATCTGTATGTATATACATACACACACAGTTCAGCTTTTCTGTGTTCAAAGATAGCCTGAGGACAGGTTTAATATGCTTAAACAAGAAAATCTGAGAGCATGGTGTCTTGCCGATACAAGCAATTATATTGGTTTCTTCTCAGCTTTGGTCATCTTCGATTTCTACTAATATTCTCTTATGGTGAAGGAAATTTTACCAAGGCAATAAATTAAACACAGAAAGAGAGCTAGTTTTTTTTTGGTACTGGAAACATACAAAGCCATCATTTCTAATTTTCAAACATATATGTCACTTATTTTAACTTAATCACAAGAAGCCCATACTTCTTATGATTAAGTTAAAATAAGTGACATATGTGTTTGAATAAGTGACTCTCCATCCACAGTGCAGGAGAGATCTCTCATTTCACCCTATGTTGTGTCCCCTAAAATGTTCCTAAGTAACTTCTCATTCACAGTAAAAATTCAAAATAGGCTTAATTAGAGGCCACTTTCCTGTGCTATGGAAATTTACTTAATCCAGCTTATTCCTTTTATAATTAGAACACCTGTAACAAAGGACTGAAAAGTACATTACCAACAGCATAGTAGGAAAGAGATGGGGAGGAGGGGGACACTGAGTTCTATATGTGGTCATTTGAGTTTAAAGAAAAATCCATATCACAAATGCTTGCTTTAATAAAAGTATTTCTTTAATTTAATAAGATAGGAGGAAGAGGATCAGGACATTCCATCTCATGCCAAACTTTGATGGAACTGGCTAACATCACACTAGTGTTGTTTTTTTTCATAGGGATTAAAAATCATCTATTTGAGCATCTCCATGGTCAGTCCATTTAAAAAGCTTTCTTAGCATAATAATGCTAGGCCAATCAATTATTTTTAAAAAACATACAGTCGAAATAACATTAATAGGGAGCATATGACTTTTCTCACCTAGACCCTATGGAGATTGGCAAAGCCAGCAGTCAGGAGTTAAAGCACACTCTGCCCCTGGCAGAGATGGCAGAAACAGGGAAAAGAGATAGGCACCCACATTGACTTACAGGTAAAAACTGGCCTTCTTATATATCTACATTTTGAGTGGGAAAAGGGATCACAATGTTTATACAGTTCAGAATAATTTTGGTGGCTAAAGCAGTTCCAAAGAATTCTAAATTCCTCTCTTTGTCTTCCGAACACAGCTTGCCGATTAGAATTTTTCCAGCAGCTCAAGATGGGAAAACATTCAAGCTAAACATAATCCCAAGTTCTCTTTATATTTATCCTTTCCAAGTGGAAGCATCATGGAAATAGGTTTTATTTCCCTCAACCCCCTCAATTTAATCCTCTGCTTTCAGGTCATCTTATCTCCCAATGAATCTATTTTTAGCATCCCTTATTAATCCCTTTGATTCCCTTATCTCTACTATCATCATTTCCTGAAGCAGAACATAATTTCCTGATGCAGGAAAAATAAACCAAAATTTCCCGATCCAAAAGCTAAATTACTATAAAGCTACCAGAGGATTTTAGACTTTCATAGTCTTGAAACTGTCTTTCTGACTTATTCTGATATATGCCTTCGAGTAAGCAGATGTAGAAAGTGTGTTGCCAGAAAAGCATCCACAATGTGAACATAAATCAAATATAAATTAAGTTCACTCTGAATGAAACACTATGTTTACTTTTCATATAGTACAGGTGGATTTAAAAAAAAAACCTTTTTAGCATCTGGAACATGTCTGGAGCATGGTACTAAAAGTTCCTACAGAGTCCATTTACCCATTTGCCACTCATCTTTCTTTCTCTCCACTTTTTGTTGGGTCTCATTTATTCAGTAATTCAACGAATATATTTTGAAACCTACTATATATACAGCAGTGAGCTAAGCATTGGAAACAAAAGAGAATAAACATGGAATGCACCCTCAGCAGCAACCAGCCTGGTGAAGGAGACAGACTTATAAGTAAACAATGCAATAATGGTAACATGATAGAAGTAAGCTCAGGAGACCGTAAGGGGAAATTGAGGAGGGGGTCAGTTCCTGAGGGGAAGGAGGAACCACTGTGTGAGGGAAGCCAAGGCCATCGCTTCAAAAACCAGTGAGGATTCAACAGGGACAAAGTCAAGGAAAGACCTGCTGGTCAGAGAGAGGAGGATGCATGAAGGCACTGAAAAGAAATGATGAGCCAGGCAGCTAGCGATGAGTTCACAATAACAGGTGTTATTCCACCTTTTCCTTTACTCACACTAAAGGTAGTTAAGTGGCGACCCTCTTTTTATTAAGAGGAAGACTGAAGGCTCTCTAAGGTTCCTGAGTGTAGAGCTTATTAAATCGTGTAACTAAGTCAATGGGAGGATATGCTCTCCTCAAACTGGTACGCTTATGCTTCACCTCAGGAATACATGTACTTGAAGAACTTAGAAGGAAGAAGGGACACAAAACATACAGCACCAGGACCCAAGATTCTGCCAAGAGCATATTCATAATTCTATGAAAATGCAAATATTTATATGCAGAGTCATACCTCCAAAAACAGTATCAGTAGGTAACTTCAGCAGAGACTGGCAACAGCATAGGAGGGAAAAGAGCAGGTAAGAGGGAGAATTAATTAGATGCATATGTACAATAATTAAAGGATAAAAAGGGCACCAGAGACATGCTGCCTGTTTCACAGTTTGATCTAAACTAATGCTGGTAGCCAAAAAAGCTTTTTTTTTAACTAGCTCAGCTAATGCAGAACACACAAACATCATTTTATCTATTAGTCATTTCTGGATTCATTTAATGAAATAAGTTTCCCATTATATGATACCAAACTAGTACCCAACCCAGAGTCTCATAAGGCAATGCTACCAAATCTTAAAAAATAAAAACAAGACAAAACAACAACAAAAGCCTGGAAATGTTAATGTTAAATGCTATCTGAATTTTTCCAGAGATTAGCAAAAATGTGGGAGATCCAAAGGTTTTATAAAGCAAATATAACATTGAAATAAAAGCCTGACATGGATTTCCCTGAAAGAGAAAAATTAAGACCAATCTCAGATATAAATATTAATACAAAAATCCTAATTACAATATCAGCAAGTAGAATCAGTAGTGCATTAAAAGAATACAATATGATGAAGGGAGATTTGTTACAGAAATTCTAGAAGTGTCTAGAAGTGTCTAGGGTTAGAAAAGTTCCTATTATATTTCACAGGTCTAAAAAGAAAAACCATACAATCACCCCCTTTGACGAAGAGAAAAAAATTAGAAAAAAATGAGCAACTGATCTTGACAAAAATGTTCAATAAAATAGGAATGCATGAGTCATTCAGGATTGGGTCCTTTCAGGAAAACAGAAAGCACATTAGATATTTCAACAGGAGGGATTTAAAAAAGAGAATTGTTTAAACAGGTACTAGAGGACTAGAACAGCAAAACTAGGACACTGAGCAACCTGCAGACCATAAATGCAAGGAAGCAGCTACCACCTCCAGTTTGAGGGGTTCCAAAGGATGAGATTAAGTTACAAGATCATGGGAGCTCAAAGGAAGGGCCCCACAAAGCTGGGGCTCAGACCTGTGAGAAGGGGGCACTGCTCAGCTGCTCAGCTGCTGTTAGTTCTTTAGGAGCTCAGAGGAGGGAAGTGCATCTGAGTTGGGGCTTATACCTCTGAGGTGGGAGCACTGCCTAGCTGCTGCTGGTACCTACAAGGCGGAGTGATGAGGCTGGCTCTGGCAATCTAGAAAAATAAATACATAAAGCTGAGGTGAGATACCCCTACTGGGGCACCTCTGACAGGAAGAGCAAGAGAGACAGGGAGTGCTTCTCCCCACTTCCCCTTTCCAAGCTCCCTTTAGTACCTCGTATTGGCAGAGCCCACCAGAAAGTGCTATCATTTTCCAAACCCCCTCCAGTGCCCCCTATTGACGCAGCCCACTGTGCTATCAAAGGAGTCCCAGCCCCAACACCAGAGAGTATAGAATAGAAAGGTGAGGTGAAGCTGGAAGACCAAGAGTAAATGACCAGCAAAGATTTATCTCAACCCAAAAGCCCACTTATGCTAATTAAGGAAACATCAGAGACTTTCCCAATAAAGTCAGAAACAAGAAAAAGGTACTCACTCTTATTTCTATTATTTAACATTTTGCTGGATGTCCTAGCCGATACAATTATACAAGAGAAATAAATAAAATGCAAAAGTTGGAAAAGAGGATATACAATAATCACTATTTGCGGATGATATGTTATTACACTTGGAAAACCCAAGAGATTCTACTATAATAAAATCCACTACAAACAGTAAGATAAGTTAGCAGATTATAAGATTAAGATAATGAAACCAATAGCTTCACTTACAGAAACTACAAACGGAAGACATAATGTAAAAAAGACCTGTTTTTAATCACAACCAAAATAAAATACTAGATATACTTTTACAAGAAATATGGAAGAAATACATGAAAAAAACTCTGCCAAAAAAGAAGAGTTGAACTAACAGAAAAGTATACCTACTGATAGGAAAACTAAAAATCATAAATATTCCATTTATCCTTTAATAAAATTCACATTTAACATGTTCAACAAAAATACTGATTTTTTTTCCTTTGGAATTAGACAACCCAATTCTAATATTCACATAGGAATAAAAAGAATACAACTAAAAGAGTATACCAATAAGGGAGGACTAGAACATATTATGAAGCTTTGATAATTAAAATAAACCATTGTAAATGGCCATGTGATCATATTTACCAAAATCAAAATATGTAAATATTTGATTCCATAATTCTCCTTCTGGGAATTTATCCCACAGATAACATTTGCACACATGTAAAAGGCTAAGGTTTTACATTTCAGCATTGATTGTAATAATGAAAGATTAGAAAAATCCCAAATACATTAATAGGCGGATGATTAGCTAAATTATGTTCATGCGTTCAATAGAATACTATGCACCTACAAAAAGAAGTATTTCTCTATGGAAAGCTCTTCAAGATACATTGAGTGAATAAAACAAGATGCAAAACAGTGTATACAATATACTACTATCCATATAAAAAGGGTAAAATAAAATATATTTTTATTTCCTTGTGTATGGAAAAATAATGAAAGGATTTAAGAGAAACTAAGAATAGTCATTACTTAGATTTCCTCTTCCAGAAATAAAAAACAAGAATGAGATAAAGAATTCTCACTGATATACTTTTATATGCTTTGATTTTTGAATCACGTAAATGTTTTACCTTCTCAAAAATCAAACAAATAAAAACAATAACAGCAAAGGCTGCCACACTAAATTTTTAATCCCCCAATTTACCCTTTAATTCTATACAAAACATATATAAAATGTTAATAAACCCAATTTACCTTTAATTCTATATAAAACGTATAGAAAACTTTCAGATAAATGCAGGCATAGCCAAAGAAGAGAAGAAAAGAAGCATCAAGAGAAGAAAAGAGCATCAACACTAAATTCAATGAATGATTCATTTCTTATCTGATCACCCATCACTGTAAGATAAAGGAAATGAAAAGAGAACTCCTCAAAGGTAGAGACAAGTCTTATTCAACTTGATTGTATTCCATTTAAGTTTCTGACAGAAGCTCCTCTCAGTTGGGTTAATAAGACCAAGCCCTTCAGAACTAATGGCACAAAGTGAGCTAGCCTCCAGGATCTGGTAATTGTGTATGGGTAAGGACACCAAAAGGTAAGGAAGGTGATGATGGTTTGCAGACCTCTGGCCTCATCTTGTAGCACTCAGTGCCTAGCCAACAGGCCTATGCCGTATCTTGGTTTTTCAGGGCCCTAACTTTGGGATCTACTAAAGTAGTTGCAGCAAAGCTATTACCTAGATTCCAGTTGTTGAAAAGATCTAAGGCAAGAATTAATGACTTCGAAGAAGGGACAGCTTGAAGGAAACCCAGGCATTTTTCCTAACCTTTTATCAGCAGCCTGTCTTGTGTGTAAAATGTTTTCTTGAAAACACACAAAAAAATGAAATGTGTAGGAATCTCATGAGAAACTGGATTTCAGGGCCCAAAAACTAAAATATAGGATTAAAAATCTTTAGTTATATCTTCCTTTTTGTATACAATATTCAATGATAGATTTCCAGAATTCCATACAGTTCCTTGCTTTTGCTTCTTTTCCTACCAATAAAACAGATTCTAGACGGGCTTTAATTCAGAGAGTATCCACTTGAAGCTAAGAATTTCTTCTTTCTGGCTCACCTGATTTTTTATATCTTTATCTGAAGTGAATTGCTATATAAGACCTAATTTCCCATCACCAGCATTATCAGTAATTTTTCTAGTGTTCATTCATTTATATAAGAAAGATATGAAAAAGCAATAAAATATTCAAATAATTGCACAAATGCTGCTGAACAAAGACAGCAATGTTGCTGAAACTGGTTACAGGCAGGCAGCTCTCAGAATATTCCTTTGTCACGATTGCATGACAAAATCCAAAACCCTTGCATGAAAACATGTTTAGGATGTCATTAATATACAATGTGAAAGAGAAGGTTATATACACAGTCAGAAATTTGAACACGAAATCAATCACTTATATTGTGGAATTCAAAATCAAAACACTTCCTGCTGCCTCACTGTCAGTCATTTATAGCCTGGCATAAATTAGGTTGATGTGATAATCTCCTAATTATATCTAGCTGCATTCCTCAGTAAAGAAATGGCATTTTGATTGGAGTTGAGGGTAGAAGTTTGGGAAAGAAAGGCAAAGGGTATTTTGGAAGCTCAGGGGCTGATATGGTTTGGCTCTGTGTCCCCAAAGAGTGCTGTGGCTTCAGAGGGTTCAAGTCCCAAGACTTGGCAGCTTCCATGTGGTATTGAGCCTGCGAGTGCACAGAAGTCAAGAATTTGGGTTTGTGAATCTCCGCCTAGATTTCAGAAGATGTATGGAAATGCCTGGATGCCCAGACAGAAGTTTGCTGCAGGGGCAGGGCACTCATGGAGAACCTCTGCTAGGGCAGTGCAGAAGAGAAATGTGAGGTCAGAGCCCCCACATAGAGTCCCTACTGGGGCACTGCCTAGTGGAGCTGTGACAAGAGGGCCACCGACCTCCAGACCCCAGAATGGTAGATCCACCAACCGCTTACACTGTTGGCCTGGAAAAGCTGCAGACACTCAACACTAGCCTGTGAAAGCAGCCAGGAGGGAGGCTGTACCCTTCAAAGCCACAGGGGTGGAGCTGCCCAAGAACATGGGAACCCACCTCTTGCATCAGTGTGACCTGGATGTGAGACCTGGAGTCACAGAAGATCATTTCGGAGCTTTAAAATTTGACTGCCCTGCTGGATTTTGGACTTGCATGGGCCTTTGTAACCACTTTGTTTTGGCCAATTCCTCCCATTTGGAACTGCTGTATTTACCCAATACCTGTAACCCCATTGTATCTAAGAAGTAACTAGCTTGCTTTTGATTCTACAGGCTCATAGGCAGAAGAGATTTGCCTTGTCTCAGATGAGACTTTGGACTTTCGGGTTAATGCTGAAATGAGTTAAGACTTTGGGGGACTGCTGGGAAGGCATGATTGGTTTTGAAATGTGAGGACAGGATTGGTTTTGAAACGTGAGGACATGAGATTAGGAGGGGCCAGGGGCTGAATGATATGGTTTGGCTCTGTGTCCCCACCCGAATCTCATCTTGAATTGTACTCCCATAATTCCCATGTGTTGTGGGAAGGATCCAGTGGGAGATAATTTGAATCATGGGGGTGGTTTCCCCCAGACTGTTCTCGTGGTAGTAAATAAGCTTCAGGAGATCTGATGGTTTTATGGGGGGTTTCTGCTTTTGCTTCTCTCTCATTTTCTCTTGCCACCAACATGTAAGAAGTGCCTTTTGCTTCCCGCCATGATTCTGAGGCCTCCCCAGCCATGTGAACTTTAAATCCAATTAAACCTCTTTTTCTTCCAGAAAAAGTCTTCCAAACCTAGTCTCAAGTTTGTCTTTATCAGCAGAATGGAAGTGGACTAATAGAGGGGCATTTAAGGGAAGAGCAATTCCTTGACCAGGGTATTCTGGAAAGCCACAGAACAGGCATAGGAGGAACAGGCAGCCGGGAGGCAAGAGAAGGGTGGGAGAGAAGGAGGAGGGAAAACAGCTGAACTGAAGTTCAACTACTCTGTATTTTCTCAAATATGCCTGGTAACTCTAGTTTACTCACTTAATTCCATTCCTATATACATCAAATATTTAGCCAACATCAAATATTCAACAAATAGTAAGTGCCTATTCCATGCCAGATGCCACACAAGGCTATGGATACAAGATAAAAATTACATACCACCTGCCTTGGTGTGTAAATCCCCATATCTGGTGCCCTCATCCAGTCCCAGAGTGAGATGGAGCAGGGACACTTCTTAGGGGTCTGTGGGTCCCAAGCATAGAAATAATAGAAAATCCTGAGTTCCTTCAAGGGAATTTCCAGGTACCTAGGTCTCCCTGAGAAATAAATGAGCAACTAGATAAGCAAGAAGGTAATAGTAGCTTAAAACAATCTCCCAGGAAGTTAAAATAATACAATGTTTGGTTCTCTATAGAAAGTAAAGATAAAATCTTAACATATGTTCCTGAGTTGTTTTTCAGAAACCCAGACCCCCACCGAACAGCATGTAGACCTCAGATAGGAGGAACTGAGGACTGATCTCTGACCACTTCTCTTTGCTGTAAATTTCTTCCTGATGGTCCTGAAAGAAGTCACACCAGAAACCAGAGCTAACAATCTTTTCTGCTGACCCAGATCTTAAACAAAGCTTCCCTTCCTTAACCAATTGCAAAACAGAAAATCTTTTAATCTACCTATGACCTGCCCCCACTTCAAGATATCCCACCCTTTGTAGGCCAAACCAATGTGTAACCTCTGCATATTGATTTATGATTTTGTCTGTAACTTCTGCTTTCCTAAAACTTAACCATGCCTTTAAGAACTCGACTTGCAAGCCATTGAGGAGATCAGGTCTTTCAGCATAAGCTGCACTATTCTCCTTGCTTGGCACCCTGCAAATAAATGCCCTCCTTTCTTCCACTGCAAACCTCAGTGTGGATGTTTGGCCTTACCGTGCCAGGTGAGCAGGCCCCAGTTAGTTCAGTTCAATAACAAGAGGGGAGAATGTCCAGGAAGACTAAGGGAAGAATGTGAGATAAAGAAAGGAAGAAAATGATGTTTAATCCTCATTTTTAAGTAGAAATGGGAGTTTGCAACAACAACAAAAAAGTAGAATAGAGGGGTTCCAGCATGAGCAATGGCATGAAAACAGAATGGGGTAGGGAACCAAGCAGCTGGGTCTTGTTTGAGTTTAAGGTGTGCATTAGAGGTATGTGGGAGCTGATACCAAGAAAGGGTGTACTTATCCTGTAAGCAACGGGAAGCCATTAAGCAAAGAAAAGCCATTAAGCAAAAGGAGTGGAAGATCAGATCTTATTTCAGATAGCTTACTCTGCCAACAGTATCATAAAAAGTGAACTGAAACCCAAAGCCAAGGAAACCAGATAACAGGCTTTTGTAAGAGCCAATTCCTACATTGTCTCTGGCTTAAGGGCTTTTACATTTGTCACTATTACATTTTGTTTTATTTTATATACATATATATATTTTTTATTTTTTAGAGATGGGGATCTCACCATGCTGCTCAGGCTGGTCACAAACTCCTGGCTTCTAAAAATCTTCCCATCTCAGCCTCCTAAGTAGAACATTTTATTTAATTAGATGCTACTCATCTTTCTAGCGATTGCCTTCACCAGGTGACTGCAATTTATCCTCAAACAGGGACACTTTTTAAGATGGGATGCTAAAACAACAGACTTAAACTCAAATTCTCCCCCTCCTCAGCCCCTACCAAAGGGCTAATAGAATCTGCCCATCACTGGGGGTTGTTAGCATAACACATACTTGACCCTCAAAAAATGGCAACTGTTGCTTTTCTACTTAGTTTTTATTTTTTTAATTTGGAAAGCTAACAATAATAAATCACTTTTGTTATGGTCTGGGCTTATAAATTCCAGCACACTGCCTGGAAATGCGTTAGCTCAAGAGGGGGACAGTTTACTAATTTGTCAATCATCAGCCCACTAGTGCACTTTTATATACATATAAAATATACATATTATATATTATATTATATATATATATATATATATATATATATCGTGAGAGAGAGAGAAGGAGGGGAGAGAGAGAGAGAGAATATGACATGGAGAGAGAGAATTAAGGCACACTAATGTCTCCATCACCAAAATGGAGAGATCATTGGTTTTGTGAACTATCTCAGATTGGCTGCCCTCTGACATTAAGGATGCCTCTAGGCTGACCCTTCCAATAACTTCCAACTCTCAGTTTAACATATACTCAGAAAACACAAAATAATTTTAATATTATTCTTAAAAAAAATTAGGAAGCTATATATTCTTTAAAAAATATTGTAACATATTCCAAAGCCAAATATTGATGTCCACTAAAAGAGTTTACTAGTGTTTCTTTGAGCAACTTAGGTAAAAAAGAGTTAACTAAATATATCTAAAAAGAAATTTCTTGTTAGCTTCATGGATGATTCCCATACTGTCACCCTATCAATTGGCAGTATCTCCGTTTTCCTAAGCTACACACACTACTTCAGCTTTAATTAAAAGGCCCGTTGCCATAGTTTCTCGGCGAACAGCTCAAGGCATGCTTGAGTCCATTATTAACTGAAGTTTCTAGAGAAATTGTAATATAGCAGTAGCCAGCCAAAATTTCCCAATTTTATCTCCCACCCAGAACAGCTGATGATTCAGACATACAGCTAGGTAATCCAAATATTTCAAGAGAGTCTAAACAATTAAGAATGTATTTGGGATTCACTTTGGGATGCCCCACAACCGTTTTTAAAACAAGAGGCAGTCACACTCTAGATCAGTCTGAAATGCTCGCAACTGCCTGCTGCCTGCTGCGTGCAGCTCACTGCAGAGTGGGCAGTAGCAGGAATATACTATTTAATGTTCTTTTAATGATTCTTCAAAGTTGGTCAGTTAGTTATTTAAAACTTGTTAATGGTCTACTGCTTAATTACTTCTTAATGTGAAATTTCTACTCTTTGTAAACTCATCAGTAAATATGAAGTGATACATATTGTTTTCTTTAAAATCTGCAAGTAGTTCTTTAACCTCAATCTATTTTATGTACAGAAGTTGGAGACAAATGCAGAAAATATAAAGAATAATGAGATTGCCGGGCACGGTAGCTCACACCTGTAATCCCAGCACTTTGGGAGGCCAAAGTGGGCGGATCACGAGGTCAAGAGATCGAGACCATCCTGGCCAACATGGTGAAAACCCGTCTCTACTAAAATACAAAAATTAGCTGGGCATGGTGGTGCGTGCCTGTAGTCCCAGCTACTCAGGAGGCTGAGGCAGGAGAATTGCTTGAACCCGGGAGGCAGAGGTTGCAGTGAGCCGAGATCACACCACTGCACTCCAGCCTGGTGACAGAACGAGACTCTGTCTCAAAAAGAGAAAAAAGAAAAACAAAAAGAATAATGAGATTGGACCAAAAAAATAAGAAAAGAAACTTTTCCAAAATGAATAATCTATTGATGTTTGATTCCTAAAAAATTTGTATAATGGTAAAATAAATGGAATCTTCAGTATTTCATGAGTTATATGTAGCAATACACATCTCTACCAGCATCATCTTACCAACTGTCAAAATCCTACAAGATTTTCTAAAGGGTAAATAAATAAAAAGAGAAAAGTAACAAGCTTGAAGTGGATGGAGGACAGACTAGTTAAAGTCAGTTCGTGTTCCCATTTACAATAAAGTAGAATAAGCATGTCTCTCATTGAACGCAGCTGTAAAACTGAATAGAATGCATTGAGCAGCTACTTGAGGATTCTGAAACGTAAACAGCAGCAGGCCAATTGAAGTAAAAAGGCCAAAATTCAAAGTATATGAAAACCAGTGGTGAGTTTGCCATTTTTGACCTCCATTATTCTCCAGACCGAATGCAATGCAGCAGTGCAGCCTGAAACCCAGAAATGGGTACTGATGTTCAGATACAGAGCTCCAGAAAAAGTGCCCTAATTCTGGGTAGCGAGGTGAGAAGGACAATTCTTAAGACTCAGAGAAAGTACAGAAATCACTCATTTTTTTTTCTTTTCTCACAGCCCCTAAACAATACCACAGGCAGGGCAAACTCCTATTCCTTTACGTTTGGTTTTTATCTTCCTTCCTGGATGCAAGTGCGGTCACAGAAGTGTGCAACAGGACAGGATAACAAAAGCCCCAACTTTTTGGCTAGACAAACAAAAAGGGAATCCGAAAGTACTATCAACCATACAGAATTAAAAAGAGCAGAAGAGAATACCAGAAACAACTTTAGGCCAACAAACTAGATAACTTAGATGAAATGAACCATTTAGAAAGGCAAAAATTACCAAAGTGACTCAAGAAGAAAAGTAATCTGAATAGGCACATAAAAGTAAAGAAGTGGAATTAACAACTTAAAATTATCTTCCCACAGAGAAAACACCAGCTCCAAATGGGTTCACTGGTGAAATATTCCAAATATTTTTAAAAAACTAATACCAGCAATTTACAAACTCAAAAAACACAGAAAAACTAAAACTATATGTAAGAACCAAAACTAAATTGCCTTGAAAAAAAAGCAGCAGGAAACTTATTTTATTATCTTGGATGAGGCAAACAATTCCTAGAAATGACACCAAAGTATAATCCATAAAGAAAAATAATTGATAAATTGGACTTATTAAAATTTTTTAACTTTGCACTTAAAAAGACACCATTAAGTAAATGAAAAGAGAAACCACAGACCATAAAAATAGGCAAACTATGTATCTATTAAAGAATTTGTATCCAGAATGTATAAAGAACTCTTAAAATTCAATAAGAAAAAAAAATCAATTTTACAATGGACAAAAGATTTGAACACTTCACCAGAGAAGATATATGAATAGCTAAAAAGCATGTGAAAAGATGCTCAACATCATTAGTCTTTAGGGAAATGCAAATCAAACCTCGGAGCTATCACTACATATCCAATAGAATAGCTATAGTAAAAAAGACAGTAACAAGTATTGCCAAGGATGTCAAGATACTGGACCCCACATACACTGCTGATGAGAATATTAAATTGTACAGCCATTTAAAAAAACAACTGGAGAATTTCTTTAAAAATTAAACTTACCATACAACCTAGCAATTTTACTCCTAGGTATCTGCCCAAGAGAAATGAAAATATATGTCCACACAATGGTTTTAAGCACATATTCACAGCGGTGCTATTTGTAATAGCTAATCATTAGGGAGAAGCGCCAATGTCCATCAATGGTAAATGGATAAATCAAGTATGGTATATTCACAGAATGAAATACTATTCAGCAATAAAAATGAACAAACTACTGATACATACTACAACATGGACAAATCTCAAAAACCTTAAGCTACATGAAAGAAGCCAGATGTGAAAGACTACATATTATATGATTCTACTTATATGCAATGTCCAGGAGAGGCACTATCTATAGATACTGAAAGCAGCATGGGGTTAGGGATTGGAACAGAGATTGACTGCAAACAGGCATGAGAAATCTTTTGGGGATGACGAAAAATATTCTAAAACTAGAAATTACACCTCTCTCTCTCTTTCTCTCTCTCTCTCTCTCTCTCTCTCTATATATATATATATATATATATGTTTAAAAAAAAATTTTTTTGAGATAGATTCTTGCTCTGTTGCCTATGCTGGAATGCAGTGGCATGATCATAGCTCACTGCAGCCTCAAACTCCTGGGCTCAAGTGATCCTCCTTATCTCAGCTTCCTGAGTAACTGGGACAACAGGTGCATACCATCATGCCCAGCTAATTTTTTTATTTTTTGTTTCACTATGTTGCCCAGACTGGTCTTGAACTCCTGTCCTCAAGCAACCCTCCCGTCTCAGCCTCCCAAAGCACTGGGATTACAAGTATGAGCCACAGCACCCAGTCTGAAATTTTTGAAAAACTAAGTTGGGCCTAAAAACGTCTGGTAGAAGTAATTTCCATACATATGAAAGCCAAGAAATTGGAAAAGACTGTCCAGGGAAAAAAACAGAAAAAGCTTACCATGAGTACTTTAGGGATAGCAGACAGTAGCAAACCAAAAATAAATCAAAAGATTACCTACGGTAGATTGCAAAAATGGCCACAATACTATGTAACTCCTCCTATCAGGACTCTTCTCTACCCACTGTGACTTGCTTTGGCCAAAACAATGTGTCAGCAGAGGCACTGTACAAGCCCAGATTCCAGACTTCAAGAGGCCTCATGCACTTCCACTCTTGCTGCTTTTGGAACCCAAACCTAACCACATGTGAACCAGCCTGAGTTGGCTTACTGGAAGAGGAGAGACCATGCAGAGGAAAACCATGAGTCAGCCAGAGCTCATCAAAGATACCTGGGTGACTTCCAGCTGTGATGAGCCAAGCCTGACTCAGACCAGACCAAGTGCCCAACTGGGCACAGCCCAGATCACCAACCCACGGAATTGTGAGATAAATGATTAATGTCTAAGTTACTAAGTTTTAAATGGTTACAAAGAAGCAGCTAATTGATACACTACAAAGGGGCAGTGATGACTGCTAGACAGCATAATGAATCAAATGGTTGAGTTTTGTGAAGTTGTCCAATAAGGATATGCCTCCCAGGCACAAGAACAGAAAAGCAGTCACCAAGTCTGAGAGTTGGCAAAGTCACTGTGGCAGAAGGACTAATTAATTGCATGAGTGAAGTGAGAATAACAAAGTTTCTCAAAACTGTTGGTCCAAGGGTCTATAGTGAGCAGACTGCCAAGTGACATTAAATAAGAAGGTAATGACAGACTGACCCCCAAAGAAGATTTTGGTCCTGACGAAGGTAAGAAGGAAACTCATTAAGAGCTCACAATAAGGTCCAGAGACAGAAGCAGGTATGATCAGAGAAGGACATGGCAGAATTCAAGATCTTGGTATGAGAGTAGTTCTAAGGCATGATACAATATGCACAAGGAGGAAGGATGGTTGGATGAATGGATGGATACGTGAATGAACAGATGGGGGGATAGATAAATAAAGAGCTACAGATAAACATAAATCGATAAGAAAAATTACTTACATAAAGATTAGAAAGTTCCCCTTATATCTAGGCTTTCCTTCTAAATTTTCTGCTGTCCTTTTAAGTTGGTCAAACCATTTTCACTGTTTTTGCATTTTTTTATTTCTTTTTTATATTTATTTTATTTTTATAGATGTCTATAGATTACTCTTCCAATAAAAATTATATAAATAAGCAGCCGGGCGTGGTGGCTCACGCCTGTAATCCCAGCACTTTGGGAGGCCGAGGCGGCTGGATCACTTGAGGTCAGGAGTTCAAGACCAGCCTGGCCAACATGATGAAACCCTGTCTCTACTAAAACTACAAAAAATTAGCCAGGTGTGGTGGCGGGCACCTGTAATCCCACCTACTCAGGAGGCTCAGGCAGGAGAATCGCTTGAACCAGGGAGGTGGAGGTTGCAGTGAGCCGAGATCGTGCCACTGCACTCCAGCCTGCGTGACAGAGCAAGACTCCGTCTCAAAAAAAAAAATTTTATATAAATAAGTCTAGCAGAAGTGGAATAAAAAAAAGTTTCAATCATACTATCAAAAATGTCATAGTCTTAAATATACTGTCAGGTAATGTTTTATACACTCAAAATGACAGAAACTTCTTAAAGTAAAATAAATTCCACATTACCCCCATACACACACACACACACACACACACACACACACACACACACACACATATATACATATATACACACACACATTTTTATGCAATATATTTTTATGGATATATATAAAAATATGTACATATATATTTCTTAACCAACTTCACTGAGATACAAGGTACATAAAATAAATTGCACCCATCTAAAGCAGCAATTCTCAAAATGTGGTCCATAAACCTCTGGACCACAAGACTCTTTTAGGAATCCACAAAGTAATTTCATAATAATAAGCCATCTTAGTTTTACATTTTTGTAGCAATGTTAATATTATATTTTTCAAAAAAAATCCATTTAATCTAATTTGTCACTTCTGTGGGCATCAAGTTGTACAGTATATTCTCTTATCCTTTTTTTTTTCTTTTTATTTACTTTATTTTGAGACAGGGTCTTGCTGTCACCCAGGGCGGAGTGCAGTGGCGCAATCACAGCTCACTACAACCTTGACCTCCTGGGCTCAAGAGATCCTCCCACCTCAGCCTCTGGAGTAGCTGGGACTGCAGGCGCAAGCCACCGTGCCTGGCTTTTTTTTTTCTTTTTTTTCTCTTTTTGGAGAGTTGGGATCTCATTGTGTTGCCAAGACTGGTCTTGAACTCCTGGGCTCAAGTGATCCTCCCCCGTCAGCCTCCCAAAATGCTGAGATTAGAGGCATGAGCCACTGCAACCAGTTTTCTTACCCTTCTAATGTCTGTGGGTTCCATAGTTATACCCTCTCTTTCATTTGTCATACCAGTGATTTGATCAGTCTAGCTACAAGTTTATAAACTTTGTTCATCTAAGAGTCTAATTTGGTTTTCTCTTCTCAATTATATCCATGTTTGCTCTTACCTTTATTATGTCCTTCTTTCTACTTATTTTGTGTTTAGTTTGCTTTTCCCCCCAACACCCTCTCCAACTTCTCAAGGTTGAAGCTTTGTTAATTGATTTTAGACTTTCCTTCTTTTCTAAGATAAGCAGTTAAAGCTATATGTTTCCCTCTGAGCACTGCTTTGGCTGCACCCCACAATTTTGAGATACTGTGTTTTCATTATCATTTAGTTTAAAATATTTTTAAATTTCCTTTATGGTTTCCTTATTGATACATGAATTATTTAGAAGAATGTTATTTAATTTATAAATATTTGAGATTTTCTTGGAGATATTACTGATTCCTATATAATCTGTATTATTTCAATCCTTTAAATTAATTGTGACTTGTATTCTGACCCAGAATATAGTCTGTCTTCGTGAATGAGTCATGTAAGTATGGTGTTTCTTTACAAATATTTATTTATTCATTTTAAGACAGGGTCTCACTCTGTCACCCAGGCTGCAGTGCAATGGTGCTATCATGGTTCACCACAACTTCACCCACTTAGACTTAATCAATCATCCCACCTTAGCCTCCCAAGTAGTTGGGACTACAGTGCATGCCACTAAGCTTGGCTAATTTTTGTATTTTTGGAGAGACAGGGATTTGTCATGTTGCCCAGGCTGGTCTCAAACTCCTGGGCTCAAATGATCCTACTACCTCGGCCTCCCAAAGTGTTATCATTATAGGCATGAGCCACCGTGCCTGGCCAATGAGTGTGGTGTTTCTAGAAGTATCAGTTAGGTCAAGATAGTTGGTAGAGTTGTTTAGCTCTTTACCTACGTTTTTACTGATTTTCTGTGTGGATGTTCTATCAATTGCTGAAAGAGGTATGCTTATAAACTCTGTTGATCACCAACTATGATTACAGCATTGTCTAATTCCGCCTTTACTTTTGAAATGTTTATGTCATACCTTTTGAGGTTAGGTTTATATTAGTTAGATACACATTTATGATAATGTCTTCCAGAATGATTGGTCCTTTCATCATTGCGGAACATCCCTCTTTGTCTCTGTTAATACCATTTGCCTTGATTATCTACTTTACCTAATATTAATATAGCCACTCTAATCTTCTTATGATTATTGTTTGCATCATTTATATTTTCTCCATCCATTCACTTTCAGTCTATGTCTTTATACTTAAAGTGAATTTCTTGTAAATAGCATATAGTTAGGCCCTGCTATTTATTGATTCTGTTCATCTATGTCTCATAATTGGAGTGTTTGGCCCATTAATATTTAATGTAATTATTGATATTATTAGATTTAGGTCTATTATTTTATTATTTATTTTCAATCTGTCTCTCCTGGTTTTTCGTTCCTGTGTTCCCTTTTTCTTGCCTTCTTCAGGTCATTTGGATATGTTTTAGAAGTTCTAGTTGGGTTTATCTCTTGGGTTTCCTTTTTTTAATTAGTTGCTCTGAGAGTTAAAATATGCATCCTTAACTTTTCATTCTACCTAAGTTAATATGCCACTTCACATAAAATGTAGAAACTTTGCAAATGTATAGGAATTCCATTACTCCCCTGCCATTCTTTACACTAAAGGTGTCAAACATCTATATATTTTATACACCCCACAGGACAATGTTATAATTTGTGCTTTATATTTACTCTAATATTTGCCATTTCTCTTTTTTTTTTTTTTTTTTTTTTTTTAAGAGATAGGGCCTTGCTCTGCTGCCCAGGCTAGAGTGCAGTGGTATGATCACGGCTCACTGTAGCTTCGAACTCCTGGGCTTAAAAGCAGTCAGCCGCCTCAGCCTCCCAAGTAGTTAGGACTATAGGAGCACATCACCATGCCCGACAAAATTTTTAAATTATTTTTTGTATAGACAAGGTTTTGCTATATTGCCCAGGCCGGTCTCGAATTCCTGAGCTCAAGCAATTCTCCCGCATCTGCCTCCCAAAGTGCTGGGATTACAGGCATGAGCTACCATATCCGGTCCAATATTTGCCATTTCTGACGCTCTTTATTCAAATATACCACCACATTTCTCAAAATCAGTTAAACAGATTACCAAAGCACAGCATTTGGCTCTCATTTGGCATTAATGCATAAATTATACATAAAAATTGCCTCAAATCTTTCCTTTTAAGCTTATGACAGTTAAAGCAATACCACTTGGCACTAATGTGACTGTAAGTAAAACACAAATTCAGGAACTGGAATTGGATGACAGTACTGGTTATAAGGTAAAATGGTTACGAAATAATTCAGAATTATTTTTAGATTACAAATTGAAATACAAACATTAAATATCAAACTTTGATTTAAAACTCTCAAAGGATGAAAGTCCTTTAAATTAAAAAAAAAAAAGTCAGGGATATTTTCAACTCATTTTCTTTTTCTTTTTCTTTTTTTTTTTTTTGAGATAGATTTTCACTCTTGTTGCCCAGGCTGGAGTGCAATGGCACGATCTCAGCTCAGCTCACCGTAACCTCCACCTCCCAGGCTCAAGTGACTCTCCCACCTCAGCCTCCCAAGTAGCTGGGATTACAGGGGGCCCGCCACCACACCTGGCTGATTTTGTATTTTTAGTAGAGAAGGGGTTTCTCTATGTTGGTCAGGCTGATCTCAAACTCCCAACCTCAGGTGATTTGCCCTCCTCGGCCTCCCAAAGTGCTGGGATTACAGGCATGAGCCACCGCGCCCAGCCAATTTCAACTCATTTTCTAAAGTGTCTGATCTGTGTATCCATGAAGTAAACACAGGGTAAGACATAAGTAAGGTATAACTATATGTCTAAAATAAAATACGGGGCCAGGCAGAGTGGCTCACGCATGTAATCCCAGCACTTTGGGAGACCAAAGTGGGTGGATCACTTGAAGTCAGGAGTTTGAGACCAACCTGGCCAACATGGTGAAATCTTGTCTCTACTAAAAATATAAAAATTAGCTGGGCGTGGTGGTGAGTGCCTGTAATCCCAGCTACTCGGGCAGCTGAGGCAGGAGAATCACTTGAACCCAGGAGGCAGAGGTTGCAGTGAGCTGAGATCACGCCACTGTACTCCAGCCTGGGCAACAGAGAGAGACCCTGTCTCAAATAAATAAATAAAAATAAGATACAATATGAAAAGTATCTGTCTCTTTCCCCTTAAGGAAAAGAGGGATACAGGATATTTGGGGAAGTTAGCAAATTCATGAGAATTGAGAATGAAACTGACTTGTAGAAAACTTCAAATATTCATTCATTCATCCAACATTTACTGAGCTTCACTATGTGTCAGATTCTAAACTAAGAACTGGGGTTTTAGACTGCCTTTAAGAGTCTCACAATAACAAAAAAAAAACACTAAATTGTTACTACGAGGCGGGAGTCATGAAAGTTTCCCTAAGGAGATAACTTATGAACTGGACTTTCAAGAAAGAGCAAGAGTTACCCTTTTTTTTTGTTTTGAGTATTTTTGTTTTTGTTGGAGGTGTATGAGAAAAGAGAGGAAAGAAATAGAAAGAGGCTTTCTTAGTTGGAAATAACATGGACAAAAACAATAATCCTAAAAGATCATGGTCTGTTTGAAGAATTATAAGAAGTGTGGACAAATGGTAGACTCGACCTATCACAGGACATCAGTACAAGGAACCCTTTGACATTATACTAAGAATGAACTTTATGATCTTGAAAGAAGTGGGAAGCTACTGAAGGATTTTAAGTAGGGGAGAAATATGCATTCCCCAACTCTTTCTCCCTTGCCTACCTCTACTACAGACACTAGAAAAGATAAAACCTCACATCCCAAGCCTCCTTTATAGTGACAGATGGCCTGTGACAGTTCTGGCCAGTGAAGGGTAAGCAGAAATCTAACTGAAAAGTCTTCTGGCAAATATTCAGATTTTCTGATAAATAACCATGGCTGGCTCTGCCCCTTCCCTTCCTTCCTTCCTTGAATTTAGACACCATATCTGTAACTGTGCCAACCATTCTCCAACCACAAGAGAATGACAAGATTATCCCAAATATACTGAAAATGACATGGTAGAACTGCTCAAGCAAAGCCTGTGGCCATCTCTAGCCTTCTTGTTATGAGAGAATAGAAATCCCTGTTTATTAATAACCCATTTTAAGTTGGGTTTTCTATTACTTAAATCTGAATGTCTCCATAACTTATAGAAGTTTTAATAATTAATTTGTATTTTCAAATGATCTTTATTAAATTGGTGTGGATGAGTTGGGGAAGGGGATGCAGAGAGACTTGTCCAGAGGCTTATTATAGGGCTTGAACCAAAGAAACAGCAATGGGAATACAACGAAAGGCAGAGTCCAGAGATATTTAAAAGAGAAGACAGATGGGACAGGATGGATGAGGGAGCCATCTATTCTATCTTCTATATTCCTAGTTTGAAAAACTGCAGGGGTTTGGGGACTGGATGTGAGAATATTGCCATTCTCCAAAATAGATGCATAAGATGTGGTAAAAGACTGATGATTCAGTTTTGCACATGTTCAGTTTGAGATGCCAATGGGACATCTATGGGAAAATGAGGAAAAAGCAGGTGACTCTGAACCTAGAGATCAAAAGTGAGGTCTAAATTTGATAGGCAGATTTCAGAGTAACCATGATATGGGGATAAACTAAAACAGTGAGTATGGTGAGATCCCACAAGTAAAATCTAAATAAGCAAAAATGAGGCCCAGCAAACCTATTGCCAGAAAGTAGTGCTTGGTTGGGCAGCACATATATGAAAATTGGAAAGATACAGAGAAGATTAGCATGGCCCCTGCACAAGGATGAAACACTGAAATATAAATTTGTGAAGCATTCCATATTTAAAAAAAAAAAAGAATGAAGATTAGTGGCTGCCTATAGGTAAAGGATGAAGGAAGGAGGGGAATAGGGAATAATTGCTAATGGGTATAGGTTTATTTTGGGGGTGATGAAAATGTTCTAAAATTAAATTGTGATGATGGTTGCACAACCTTGTGAATATACCAAAAACCACTTAATTATACACTTAAATGGGTGAACTGTATGGTACGTAAATTATATCTCAATAAAGCTGTTTTCTTCTTTTAAGTAGGCCCAAGACAGGGAATATCAAGTTATAAGTAGGAAGAGGATTCAGTGCAGAAACAGAGAGAGCCAGGGCCAGAAAGGGGCAGGGGATTAAGAGGGTGTTGTCTAGAAACCAGGAAGGAAATATCAAGAAGGAATCAGTGGCCAATAGTATCAAATACTGGATAGATCAACTAAATTAAAGACTGAAACAATCAATATATCAATTTGGAAATCATTGGTGACCTAAGTGTGAGTGGTTCTAAATAGTAGCAGCAGAAGCCAGATTAAATTGAGGAATAAGTGAGAGGTGAGGAATAGAAGGTAACAAAGAAGCTTTTTCAGGAAACTTTTCTTGTCAAGAGAAGAGTTGGTGACATAGGGAGGTTTTGTGCTGTTGCTGTTATTTCCAATAGGAAGCACATATGATGTTTATAGGTAAGGGAAAGGAGCCAGCAGAGAAGGAGCAATTGAGGATAAAGAAGGAGGGGATGACTAATAGAATATCCCCCAAGATGGGAAGAAAAGAATTCACAACATAAGCATAAAATATCAGTGTGGACGACAGATGAATTTTTCATTGGACTGGGAAGGAAGGCTAAGATGCCAGTTAGTTCGTAGGTGCAATAAGTTTAAGGAGCTATTACTTGATACATTAATTGTGAGTCAGGAGATAAAAAGTCACTGGCTGAAGGTAAGGGAGTAGGCCTGAGGATTTCATAGGAGGGTAAACATTTAGGAATAATTATTATAGGAGAGAAATTTTAAAGGAAGAAGTTGAAAAGTTGCTACATACATTTCAAATACTTTCAAAAACTTTAATGTATTTCAGTCAATAAAAAGGTCTTTTACATAATGAATTACCTGCAAATTTATTATACTTCATATTAAAATTTGTAATGACCACACTAAACACATGAGCAAGTTCCCATAAATCCCTGGAGAGATGGTGTCTGCAGTCAGAATATAACCCAATGATGCTGATCCTTGGACCTCAAAAATATGGTACCCATCAAAAACTCAGCCTCGGGGTCACCAGAAAGGCCCCCAACTGGCCATTTTCCAAGGCCCTCTGCAGCAGAGGCCATAACTCTTTGTTCTCCCTGGGTGAAAGAAGAGTGATTGGACGGTTTTGTTATAGTTGCTGGAAAAGAAATCAAATGGTGATTTTTTGCTACTCTCTCTTTTTTTTTTTTTTTTTCTGAGACAGAATCTTGCTCTTTCACCAGGCTGGAGTGCAGTGGCACGATCTTGGCTCACTGCAACCTCCACCTCCCAGGTTCAAACGATTCTTCTGCCTCAGCCTCCCGAGTAGCTAGGACTACAGGCGTGCGCCACCACACCCAGCTAATTTTTGTATTTTAGTAAAGACGGGGTTTCACCATGTTGACCAGGATGTTCTCCATCTCCTGATCTTGTGATTCACCCACCTCAGCCTCCCAAAGTTCTGGAATTACAGGCGTGAGCCACCACGCCCAGCCTGCTTCTCTTAAGAGGACTCACAGCAGATGCCCTCCTAAAGTGTTCAAATAAAATAATGTTATGTCAAAGCCTTTTGTCAACTGTCATGTAGTATACACGAATCATTTTTATTATAGCTGACACTTATGTCTACTTCCAGCACTATATTCCTTTATGCAATCTCAAGAGTCCCTTTCTCTAACCATACTGGTGTACACCAAGCTCTGAAAACAGGCATGTGCTTTCCTAAATCTTGTCTATCCTCATGCCCTTATACCAACCTGGGATTTTGCTCTCATTTCTCTGAATCTACTCAGGTACAGTGGACCCCACTTATCCACCACAGATCCATTCCAAGACCCCAGTGGATGCCTTAAACCATGAATAGTACTAAACCCTATACATACTATGTTTTTTTCCTATACAAACACACCTATGATAAAGTGTAATTTAATTAAGTAAATCTGATGCAACACATTGCCATCAATCAGAATATGTTTTCTATTCATGTCTTCCACCCACATATTTAATGTCTTTTCCATCCTAACTAAGCACTCATCATGCCCTGTGGCCATAACTTTTACAGTTTAAAGTGTGACAGCAAAACTATCAGGAATTTCTTTTTCCTTCTTCACAATTTCACAGATAGAAGATTCATTCTTGTGGTATATCTCAGAAGCTTCAGCATACGATTTTTTTTTCCTTTCCTTACTAAGTCAAGAAGTTTTACCTTTTCACTTTAAGGAAGCATTTTGTGGCTTCTCTTTGGCATATCTGAATTGCCAGCATCACTACTCTTGCACTATGGGGCCATTATTAAGTAAAATAAGGGTGACTTGAACACAAGTGTGGCAATACAGTTGACGGTAAACCTGATAACTGAGATGGCCAGAGTATAAAGTATGTATTTGCTAGACTAAGGGATGATTCACATGTTGGGCAGGACAAAGTGGGATTGGAGCAGGGCAGCTCAGGGTTCCATCGGGCTACTCAGAGTGGCACGCAATTTCAAACTTATGAATCCTTTATTTCTGTAATTTTCCACTCAATATTTTCACACCACAGTTGGCCACGGGTAACTGAAGCCATGAAAAGCAAAACCACACAGAAGAGGGGACTACTGTACTTACCATACAACCTTCAGGCTTCAGCATAAATATCACTCCTCTTGGAAGGCTTCTCTAACCACTTGAGCTAGAAGCAACCATTTCACCAGAACTATTCCAACCATTCCTTTTCTATACATAATTTGTTACTTGGTATTTACGCTAATGATGCTTTTTTCTTTACCTGCCTTAAGCACCTAGAAGACAGGAATCATGTTTTCATGGTGCCTCTACAGCATGACACTTTGTATGTAGTAGATACTTGGCCTATTACTTCTGGAAGGGGATCAGAGATCATTCTCACATTACCAGTCATAATACAAAATCTAAGTATCAGTGACAAAAGAGACTTGACCAAGGTGACACAGTTAGTTTGTGGCAGAGCTAGAACCCAAAACCAGAATTTTGAACTCATATTCTTATAATCCTTACATTATGCCAATAATTATTGTTATTACCCTAGTTCCATTTTGCCATCCAGATCTCAAAGAGAGTCATTCTTGAGCCTTAAGATTACATAAAGATGCAAACTTCTCTGGAAAATATTTTGTTTCAATTCTAATCTAGATGAATTTAATTGGCTTGGATGCATGAAAAAAAGTGAGAGTTTTTGTTTGTTTGTTTTTGTTGTTTTGTTTTTGTGTTTTGTCACCATGTAGCTAAAGTCAGCGTTAATTATATGGTAGTGTTGACTCTGGTATGATAAACTCTGTGAATAGGATTAATTTGTCTTTTTTACATATGTATTGGCTGTACACTTTTACACAGCAGCCTCCGATGCTCTCATTGCATTTGTGATTCATAGTTGGAAACGGCACAGCAGTTCAGTTAGCATAACAGAAAAAACCAGTAACTATAAAATTTCAGCACTGACATTGGGAGTGACCTAGAAGGAACTGTCAAGGGCAGGGGCTCCATCTCTAACCCTTTGTTAGCCCTATTGTCTAACACAGTACTTTGGACAGAAAGAGAAAATAAATGTGTTTATTTGAAAAATAATTGGGTGACACTCAGTGAATACTACATCATGTGCACACTTACAACTTATGGCTGATTTAATTAGTGTAAATTAATTTAGACCTAAAACGTAACTCTAGACAAATTATTTATTTATAAAGATAACCTAATTATAAAGGATTTCTCAATAATAAACTATCACTTTCCCTAATCCACTAAATTAGGTAATTCTTAATGAAAGATGAAAATTTAATGAGATGCTGTGAAATGTGGTTATTTTGCTGGCCATTCTCCAATGATTTGGTACAGGGACACTTGAGGAACATAATGAGGACAACAGGGCTTAGGTGGACCATTGTTTCATTTAGGATAACTTACATAATCACTGGAAAAAAACTAAAGGATTTGCCAGTTCAGTATTATAAGAAATGTCAACTAAAAACTCAATTTCTTTCAGTGAAAATTTTGGGCATATTATTCTCTGGGCTGTGAGTGACACAATTCAACACCAGAGGACAGACAATACGTAGCCAGATAATTCTTGTGTTACTCAGTCCTTATCTTGTTATGTGAGTCTTTGGGAACTGCTTAACTCTTTTGGTTCCTTTGCCTGAAACAGGAAATAGAGATATTTACTCAAAAATTGGTAGATATAGAACACACTCTTCTCCTTCCTTATGTCAGACAAGGCTTCCCTTATTCCACTGAGCTCATGAATAGGGATTATTTACCACTATTCACTCTGGATATTCTCAAAGGGCATTATAATAGTCTCCATTCTACTGAAGTACTCCCAAGACCCTTTCTTATAATCTAATGGTACCTCAATTACCCATATCACTTTCTGAAATTTCCTTAAAATCAGGATTGTCACAGCCTGACTTTCACCACAGGAATCTAGGGTAACAGTTTACCATTATTTAAAGTCACAGCATAAAGCATTATAAATCCTCAGGAAAAGTACACTTCTTAGATAACAGGATTCTAGAAACCAGAATGAACGCTTGGTTTCTAGACTGTCTTGCTACATCAATGTGAAATCACTTCTCTTCATTAGCTGTTTAGCATAACAAGAACAAAAACACTGTGTAAGTGTTTAATATGCATACATAAAACACATATTTCTGTCTATTACTGAAATGAAGTTACACTGTTCAGGCCTTGCTAGCTGCATTAATTATTTCACATTCTCATATGCTATTTATGAACATTTAGAAGACTACTAAAAAGCTAGTAAAGTTTGCAAGTATGTGAAAATAAAAAGGGTTGGCAGTTATGGTTCCAAAACTTATTATAAACATCTATATTACTTATTTCTAGCTTCATGAGGAAGAAACTGAAAAAATGTGTTTATTATATACTTAGTGAGGAGAAAATAGCTGGAGCTCCTCAGATGAGGAAGGTGGCTTTTTTCCCTACTGCAGAACTTTCCCAAAGCAAACTGAGTCCTGGTGCGATGATTTTTTCTCTAGGAGTATTTCTCTGACTACCTGAAAAGGAACCGGCTAAAACTTCCTGTGCAATTGGACTCCTTCCTGGGCGTGTGGGTACCAGAAGCAATACATTCTGCCAAGTAGAGCATCAAAGTACTCACTGAACTTCTTCATCTGTACAAGGGCTAGCCCAAAGCTTTTTCATGGTTCAAAGTGAGTCAGCAGATCCTAAACTCATTTTCCTCCTTTGACCATGGTAGAAATGCTGAAAGTGAGTTAATCTACTTACTGAGAATGGAAGGAGAAACAGAAAGTACTAAATTCTTAGTTCAATATGACTATGATTTGTCAGAAATCAAAATATTTTCTTGAATAATTATTTTGCAGCAGCTACTACTAAAAAGCAACAAGAATATTCATTATGCTACACAAATTCTATTTTTTAAAATATGTTTAAAACCAAGTAAATTCAGAGGTATTTCTCAAAGAGAAAATCTTGCAGAAAATGGCATCTTGATAGAAAAGAGAAAAGAAAAATATTCCCTATGTTTTCCTTAAGGGAAAATATTTCATTTATGTAAGCAAAGTAGTGATGAAACATGACATTCTTTTGCAACACAGTCCCATAATTTTCACTTATAAATGGCATTCTTTGAGTGGTTTATCAAAACAGCTTGCTGATGGGTAGCCCATCAACAAATTAAACTAATATTGCATTTAAATTTTTCAGAAAAAAATTCAAACCGAATCCATTTTGTTTCAATTTGTGACTTACATTTTTAGCACAAACTCCAGGGCAATTTTTAAAAGCCTGCAAAGATCCAGTAAGAGTTGAGATTTAGCAAATGTTGAATTCTGAGCGATGTCCTGAGAATGTGCATTTTTCTTTTCTGCCCAACTCTGAGTTCTATTTGCCCAGTTTCAGGAACTAGCACCCACTAGGAGATTTTTTTTTTCATTCATTCATTCAATAAATATTTATTAATAACCCACTGTATACAAGGCACTGAGCCAAATAGTGGGGATACAGCCCTAAACAAGAAAGATATGGTCCTGCCCTCAAGGAGCTCACAGTCTAGTAGACAAGGCAAATACCACACAAAGATGTCAAACTGTACCAGGAATCTTATGAAGTGAGTTAAGGCATTAAACAACTACCCCCAGCTTTCCTAACCAAATGCAAGCTCAGAACAAAAATATTCAACTGAGAGATAATTAAACAAGACATAGTTGTATCTCATTTTTTGTTTGTGCTTTAGCTGAAATATCTGATGGCTAGTATAATAATCCAAAACAGGATTATTATTCTTGTTCTATCATTTATGTGTGTGGAACTGGGTATCTCTTTTTAAAATCAAAATCTTATATTTTGGTGTTTGCACTCTGTCAATTATTTACTTCTCATCACATCTGAATGGGCTGTTCTATTGAATTAATCTCATATTCAAAAATTGTTGCTTTACGATAGTCCCGGTTTTTGATGTTTTCCATAAACTTTAATTAAGTAATTTAATAAAGACTTGGAAATTTGCAAACATTATCGTTTATTTTTATACATTTTAAAATTCAATTTTACAAAATATAATGATAGCTACCAAATACTGAATACTTATTATGAACTAAGTGGGATTTTTCTTTACACAATTTCTTGTAATTTCCTCCACCCTCCCATAACCCTGCAAGGTACTAATGGCCCTATCTTACAGATGGGTAAATCGAGGCACCGAGATGTATCACACAGCTAGTTAATGTAAAGCCAGGAATGGAACCTCTGATTACCTCACTTATCCTCTCAAGAATCCTAAACTGAATAGAGTTCTCACCTTCCAGGGCTATATACAGTAGAATTACTCTTTGTGCAACATTTTAATGATATTGCAATAATACAGTTAAAGTTTTTAAGCAACTAGAACCCAATAAAACATCTAGGGTGGCATAAAATATCTGATTAACTAATGAAATGAAAGGCAAGATAACTTCAGGTAAATGGAGGGCGTTTAACTATGAAGTCTTTGCCAACATGAGTAAACTGCACCAAGCAGCAACCTCCAAGCCTGGCGGCGTGCAACTTTCCTAAAAAGAGGGGAAATTATCTTAGGATAAGTGGAGGTTGGCCTGAAAACTCCTAAAGAAATCCTAGGTCAAGGAGCGCTTGTGTTTCTTCAGTGGAGCTGGTTCCTGGGTGCAGTGATTAGGAGTTACTTGCCCTAGAGGGATGGTCCACGTTTTGAGAGTGGAGACTAGCACAAGCATTTAAGCACACACTACCATCATCGCTTTGCAAAAATCATCAGATGGTCCCCAATAAAACATGGAGAGCTTTAGGAGAAAACAGAAATGTAAACTTGAAAATCGAAAATGAAATGCATATGGATCAAATTGTTCTGCACTAACCTCTTCGTTTATCCAAGTGAACAACCAGAGTCAACTGACAGCACCCAGAAAACACTTCCACCAGCAAAATATAAACTGTAAACTCAAGTGACATCCACCCTGTGGCTAAGTTTTTTAAGGTCTGCAGCACTTTTAGGGTTTGCCTTTTCCCCTCTTGTACAACAGCTCCACTACACAAGAAATTTGCTAAAACCGTTCGCTGGGCACTAATATGAAATCACTTAAAAGGAAACATGCCACTTTCGGCTAGGGGACAGCATGTTCGTCATTCAGTGTCCTACTGGTTTCTTAACACGCATATAATTAATATTGGTACTCAGGAAAGAGAACTTCTTCTGACCTTGAGCGTGCGCGCTAAATAAATTACCTCAGAACGAAAGTGGTGCGATCTCAAAACAGCATCTGGGGAGAAAAGAGATAAATGAGACTTCATTTAACTCCTTGTTCTTCACCTACCGAGTGACTCATGACTTACCTGGGAGACCAGGGTTGGGAAAGCACATCGCAGACTCCTGGAATTCGGTGGGACATCCTGGGGGAGGGAGGAGGAGTCCTGGGGCCATCGGTCTCTACGTGATTTCTCCGCGAGAAGTTTGCATGAAAGTTCTGGGGGAGTTGGGGAGCCCCGAAGTTTCCATGCCTTACTTTCTTACCCCTACGCTCCAGCGAAGGATGCGTGAAGGCGAGGCTGGCGCAGCCCCGGACTACGCTCAAATTACCCTTAAGGCTTTAGCAAACTGACTAAAAATTTGAGTTCTTTCCTCCCCTCCCTGCCCTCGGCATCGCCGTGGTTATTCAAACCTGGGAGACTGGAGGGCGGAGGTGACGGCAAAAAGGGCAAGGGGCGTTAAAGAAACGCACTCAGCCTGGGGAGTGGGCAATGATGGGGCTAGGGGCAGCCGAGGAGAAGGGAGCGAGCCGCGCTTCACTCTCCAAATCGGCTTAATTGTTCCTGGTAGCCCGCAGAAACCCGTCGCGGCGTGTCTTACCTCGGCTTCTTGAACGACCCGAGAAGACCGATTTCATCGGATGCCTCCCTTTCTGGAGCTTGCGGTGCCAGCAGCAGAAGAAGACGATGGTGGCGATGGTGCCCAGCAGAAGCAACAAGAGGAAGAGGGCACATTGGATGCTGTAGGGTCTCAGCAAGACGAGGAAAGCCGCGGCGATCATGGTGCGGGCGAGGCGAGGGCGACTCGACGGCGGGGCTGGAGGGCGGCGGCACAGGCACCCGCGCTGGGCGCACGCCGGGACGGCGGGCACGGGTGAGCGCGGCTCAGCGCGTCATGCCTGGCGCTCGCGGCCCCGCGCCCAGCCCAATGGCTGCGCACCCCGCGCCAGCCGCGCTACGCGAGTGATCCAGGGCTGCGGGGAGCGCTTGCCATGACTCAGCAGACAGCGACGAGGCTGCGACTCGGCGGCTGGGATCCTCTCCCCTCCCTCCCCAGGCGCCCCCGCCCCCGTCCGTGCGCAGCCCCCGGGCGCAGCCCCGCCGGGGACGCGGCGAGTGGGGAGGAGCAGCGCCGCCGCCGCGGCCGCCCGGGCCCCGCGCATCGTCCTGCGGCCGCCGCCGACCTCAGCATCCCAGAAGCCGGGCGCACGTGGGTCGGGGCGGGGACGCGGCGCTCAGGCTGCAGCCGCGGCAGCCTGCGGGGGGCGGGAATGGGGCGCCGCGGCGGGGGCTCGGCTGATGACATCACGGCCAGGCTGCGGCAGCGCGGGCGCGCGGACATGGCTGCGGCGGTTTCGGCGGCGTCCGCGGGCTGCACCCGGGCCTGAGAGCCCAGCGCCCTCCCGCGGGGCCGCCCGCCAGTCCGCGCCGTCCGCGGGTGCATTGGCCGGGTGCCTCTAGCTTCCCGGACACCCGGAGCTTCCGCCTATCCAGCCTCCCTCGGCCAAATTGCTGCGGAGCCCGTCGTCAGGGGGCGCCAAGGAGCCAGGGGGAAAACCGAGAGGCGCTGACAGGAGCCTCCCGGCGGTGCTACCCTCCACCTCCCACCTCCCTGCGCCCCGCCCCGAGGTTGGGGCTTTGAAGAATGCAGCCGGGTGAGCTATTGCTTGTGGGGGTTTCCTCGCACTCTGAAGCGCGAGCGCCGGGAAGGGCCTTCCCTGGGAATTGGGATACTCCAGGAACGGGAGGCCCACTCCTCTCCAAGCCTCTCTAAACTAGGAGCGCTCCGGGGTAGTACGCTCTGGTCGGCAGAGGTGAACTCTTCCACCCCAAACTTGGTGCTTATCTCGCAGCTAAGAATTGGGCACTTTCGATCTTCTTGTATCCCTGGGTTTGCCCTAAAACCCTGACTCATTTAGTGCATTTGAAGGGCAAGGCGATTTCAGATTTAGGGACCTGGCAGATGAAGTAAGTTGGTACTTGGCTTATAAACATTTGGGGGAGAAATTTTTTAGGGAGTGTGAGGCAATAGTGATCTCTCACACTTGCAGGCACACTCTGTCTCCCCTTTGTCCCCTCCCCACGTTTCTTCATAACCAGCAAAAAGTATATGGCAGTTGGTGGCCAGGGGATTTAACACTGATGCAATGCCAGCACGGAAGGTATAGCGAGAGCGCTGCAGTGTGCCTTTCTGCGGACGGCCACGGCCACCTGGCCAGGAAGCGGCTGCTGCAGCAGTCATTCTGCGGCATCTTGCGGCCTTGGCGGGCGGTGCTGTGCCGCGTTCTGCTGCCCCCAAGGCAATGCTGGCTTTCCCTGTGTGGGGCTGGATTGTTTGTTTCATTTACTCGCATAAGAAAACTTTAATTATAGTGACAAGGTAACACTTGACTGCATTTGCGGAGTTTCTTATAACAACTGTATTAGCCTCTTTTTTGGAATATTTAATAGACTGAAGAAATTGTGTCATAAAAATTTATAAAAATTTGAAAAGCAGGTAAATAATTGGGAGGAATAAAAGTTTTATTTGCTTGTAGTGATCTCAAAATCAGTGTTGTTTTCCAACTATACAAAACCGTACAGCTCTGCATGAAAGCTTAATCATTGATGTCCTTAAAGCCAGTAACATATTACCGTGTGTAAGTATTAAACCTAAAAAGGCATTGGTTAATGCAGTCTCTTAGTGCCAGATTCATAAGCATGGAAAACAACAGATACGTTTTGTTTACAGCTGGTTTCCTTAAACAAAATAAACATTCGAATTGTTGACATGTTGCATCTCATTCATTCAGTTGTTTTGGATTGAACTCAGAAGGGCCCTTGCTTGGAGACACTGCATAAGGTGGGAATTTTGAATGGCAGCATGTAGGCTGCACTGAATTCCAGGATAGGCTTCATGGGTCTCTAGCACTCAGAGTGGGTGACAGGTAGCACTACATCATGTGCATATGGCTAAAGGTTTCTTGATACCGCAGCCCACTGCAGTGAGAAACTATTCAACAATTATGCAGAGGTTATTGAAGAAAATCCTGAGAGTTTGCAATGTGTGGCACATCAGGAAAGGAAGAATTCTCCACCGCATTGACTCAACAATGGCATGGTGGAGTAATTTTAAACAACAAAACTGAACTAACCGTGTGCAGACATTGGGGGAAATAACTAACAGAATTTTGGAAGGTCATCTTTATGCTTCTCATTGACTGAAATTTGTAAGTGAGCTGAAATAGCCTACGTATCCTTGAACAGAAACATGTCAAAGACACACAGAATAGTATTCAAATTGCCCCAAACGCTATATTTTTTTAACAACAAAAAGCAACTAAATAGCTATTATGGTTTTCTGAGCTATGACTTTAGCACAACTGTTATCATCCTGCGTCTTGCTGCAGCCATTTATAAGTTTCAAGTGCACACAAGAACATCATTTATCTCTCTTGGCAGGCAAATGCTTAACTGCCATGCAATAGGATTATAGATATTTCTTTTTAGATGCATTCATTTCTGTTCTTTCCATCAGTTGTCTTAAAGATACTAATAATAAACAAACCAAATCCTTGAAAGAATTTAGTATTTAGTTCCATTGTTATTTTCTGATTTGTTTGTTGCTAATTTATCATTTTTTCCAAATAACAGCATACATAGTATTAATTGCTTCTGTCTGTGTGTTTATGTGGTGCCTAATGCATTGCGGAATTCAATAAATACTAAATCAGCCAAGCAGTGCTTTTTGGAAGTTAATTTAGTAGAAATTATACCTTGCCTTCCTGGTAGGTTTTTGCTTTAAAAAAAGAATAATTGACATTGTATAAAAGTCACACACAAAAAAAATTGTTAAGTTTGAGGATAGGGATGGAGGGGGAGAGCCATGGCCCAAATCTTTCATACAAAAAAATGAAAATTCATAATGGAAAAGTATGTATAATTTGTTGACTTTTTTTATGAGAGTAAGTTATCATTGTCACCCAAAAGAAGACAAAATAGTTGGGAAAGATAGCTAAGAGAGTTTGATACCACGTATGTAGAAGATGGTCCATTATATAGCCCTTCTTCCCTTTAGATTCTCAACCAAATTGGGAATAGACACAAGGAACCATAAGGAAATTAAAATATTGTGTTAACTCTATTCAAGATAAAGTCAGATTGAAGAACACAGCTTAGCCTCAAAGCCAAAATGGGGCATCTTATTCCTTTTTTCTTACTTGGCATGCTCACCCAGTCCACAGCTGAAAAATGACAGGCCTCCCCAGCATTAGGGCAGGAAGGAACCCAACCTGTTCAAATTCCGGCATAAACACCAAAGGCAAAGGGAAGCCTGACACTTTATAATCCATAAGGCGTTCAGCATGTGTGAGCAAGAGACAGGCCCATGTGTGAGAAGGGAATTTTATACATCACTCCTGCCCACTAATGGGTAGTAGGCCCTCCTGAGTTTTTCCATCACTAAGTCTTTTCATTCCCAAAAGATAGCAGTGAGTAAGGTGCTTTAAAAAGGCGGCAGAAACATCTTCCTCAGTACTTTCTTAGAGGCAGAAAGTTGTGGCACAAGTTCCTAATGTATGGATCAAGAAGAAACATCAGAAAGAAGAAAAGTTTCCACCCTAAGCTGTGTAACAACCAGTTGAGAAAAAGGGAGGAACTGAAGATAACTCAGGTTTTGAGCTAGGGTAGAGGAATAATTTGGAAGGAGAAGATAACAAACTGCATTTTAGACCCACTGAGATGGAAGCCTCAGAAGGACATCATTGTGAAAATATCCAGCAAGCCCATGGAAATGTGGAGAGGTCAGAACCAAAAACAGATAGGGAGTCATCAACATTGTAGTTGGAGTAATGGAAATAGAGGAAATGACTAAGGAATAGATGCTAAAGAGCATCCCAGAATCAGAACTTTGGAGACGGCTTCCATTTCTGGCCTGGAGGATAGCAAAGTGGTCGAAGCCAAGTAGGGAGTGTTCCAATTTAGTGGCTTTCTGGAACAGATGCACAAATGGGAGTCTAAGGAGGGCAAGGACTGAGGACTGGTGACTAGGAGACCTCCGGAAACCTTTCAGAGAACTGATTCATCATGGCAGGAGAGGCTAAAACCAGACATTAATGAGTTGAGGGGGGAATGAAGATGAGAAAGAGGAGAGGGTTGTTGTCTACAATCTTTGCAGAAATTTAACTCTAAAGGGGATGAGTAGAAAAGCAATTAAATCCTGAATAAAGGCCAATGGTGATTATTTTGTCAGGCTAGGGATATTTGAACAAGTTTCTAGGGAATTTGGGAGATGGAGCCAGAAGAGGGAGAGAAATAATTAAAGAGAAGGGAGAAGAGGACATTCTCCTGGGGATTTGTGATTTAGCAATTTTGAGTCCCCCCAACAGACTAGCTCTTTCTGGTCTCAGGTTGCTTTAGACTCTGCAGAGTGAAAATTGAGCCTGACTAGTTAGGATGGCTCCATGCCCATGGTTTCTTCCCCATCTAATCTGGCTACTAGTACTCAGACTTGAAAAATGACTTTTAGGGAAAGATAAGGAATGTCTTGGAATGTAGCCTAGGTTGTCTGTGATTATTACCAATTTATCTGGAAGTGAGTAAATTACCCAGTTGGTAATCACACAAGGACATTACATTGAAATATTACCCCTTGAAAACAAGAAGCTTAGGTAAGAATGGCTCTAGCAATAAATTATTAGAAATAAAGCATATTGATTTTGGCCTGGTAACTTCCTTGCTTCTAGGTGAAGTGTTTTACATGTGCTTGTATTAAAAGGTAAAGGAGCTATATCATCTGGAAGAACCTACTTCATCTAAAATAAATTTGGAGGTGATTTCCAGCCACCAGAACCAGGGAAACCATCATGTGGATAGATTACTATTTTCTTTTTAATATTTGAGTTTTTGAAAGGAAAATAATTGTAACTTGCAGTAATATCAAATATTATTTTCAGCAAATATTCCCTGGTAAAGGGCTTTATTTTACCGTAATAAAAACTTTTAAAATAACTTAAAACTACTGAGAAAATATTGCAAATGGAATTATTTCAGATTGTTGTTTTAACATTTTAGCTATTGTAGAGCCTAATTAGGTTTTGTTGTTCTATGGGTTACCACACTGCCGAAGCCATGATAATTCCAGGAGTATGTGAGGGGAGTTCTTTTTGGGTGTGTGAGCATT
The DNA here is from genome assembly GCF_000001405.40 of Homo sapiens. Taxonomy (NCBI): domain Eukaryota; kingdom Metazoa; phylum Chordata; class Mammalia; order Primates; family Hominidae; genus Homo; species Homo sapiens. The sequence continues at coordinate 56,959,966 of NC_000006.12, forward strand.
ACAGACTTTTCAAAAAAGTCAGCTGAGTTTGGGAGCTTAAAAACATCAATATAATTGAATTCGTCTACTATATAATGCTTTGCAGACAGTTTTTGGAAAGTAATCATTTATTATCCACAAGCAAATAGAATTTATTTATATAGTTTCCACATTGAGTGTGGGATTAGTCATGCCACAAAATACTGAGTCATTTGGCCAGAAAATTTACTCATAGTTGTATGAACTGCCAATGGAAAATTTGAGAACTGTTCATAAATCAAATTATAAAGCTCTTAGAGTTATAAATCGCTGAGCAATATCGTTCATTATTATTCCGATGGTATAAAATATTTCCACCATTTCTAAGAATGGGCAATTTACAAAGCAAGTTTGAAAGCTGAAGATATTGCCTTCTAGATCCAAGATGAAATTTGCCATATAAGTTATAAACATTCTACATCTGAAACTTCTACACTTCTTAAGTAAAAAGATAAAAAAGTAAGGTAGGAGCTTTATTATTGCATAGCAAATGTTACAAGATGAATAAAATTTTGGTTATTATCTACAAATTAAGTTCTAGGTTGTGATGATAATAAAACTACAGCAACATTGAATAGCTAGAGTTCCCCTATTTCTTACAATAATTCTTTGTCATTTAGGACTTTTGCATTAAATATTTTGTGCTAATAGAGTTGTATGCTAATGCATCAATGCACTCATAGCCTGAAAAAATATTGTCACTAGGAGAGCAGAAGTACTAAATGTACCAAGGAGAGCAGAAAATTGTGATGAGCAACTGATGATTAGTAAAAGATGTATTAATAATATATAGTTCCAGAGATTATTGATACCTCAATGTAAGGACATCCCATGAATCTAGGAAGAGAAAGAAAAGTACATCTTTAAAATGTTTTTGTAGCCACAAATACTTTATGGAGTAAAACAGGGCAACAAACAGCAAACACACAAATTGGAATATAGTAGAGTTTATATTTCAAAGAAGAAAGCCATTAACCTAAAGCCTGTTCTTGCCAGTCCTATCTCTACTGTAGAAGTTCAAACTGGAATTCATGAGTAGGTTTCTAGAGACCTGAAATTACATGTAAAAACTTGTGTCTCATTTTGAGGACATGATCCATACCTTTCATTAGATTCTTAATGAGCTCTCCCCCAACTCCCACAATGAGAATCATCAGAATCATGCAAATCCACATAGGTACTGAGGCTTCTGAACTCGTATAAGTCATTTGATCCATCAACAATGGCAGCACCTGGGTACCCCTGAGACTGTAAGAAGTGTCTTGGGGACTATCCGTCCATGGTTAGCAAAGGAAACTTTCTGTTCTAAACTATAAAAGTTTAGATAAGTCTCCCAAGTGCAGGTGAGTGCTGCCACCCAAAGACTAAATGGAGATGATGTGCTGGGAGTTAATTTGTCCTCTAGCATCTTTAAACATATTGGGAGGGAGACAAATGAGTCACCTAAGGTAACTCCCACTGGGATGTCAGTTGTAACCCTAAGAGGAGAAAAGACTGTGTTAACAATCTAGGACCACTTCCATAGACTTCTGTTATGGAAAGAAGGGATAAATTGATTCCTAAGCTGCCTTCATGCCAATTAACTACCCAATTTATAGCTAGATGTTTGAATGGATAAGCCCATTCCAAGCCAATAGGACTAGTCCTAAAAGGTAGTCTTGGGTTCACAGTCTGCAAAAATTGCTATAGTCTTAAGGCCTAAAAGAGGGACAAAAGGAATTAGTATTAGGTTCCCAGAAACAACTCACAGACATTCTGGTAAATAAAGCCACCACTCTTCCTAAATCCTTCCCCAAGCCCACATTCAACAGTCTACTGTGGAGTCTGCAGACCTGGTAATTGGTGCCCTCAATCCCACCAGGGTGATTCTGCACTCTGGTGGGAAGACTGCCCATCCAGCTGTTCAGCTTCACCTACTCGTTGTTTCTAGCGTCCCACCAGGAGTGGAATGCTATGGTTTAAATTTTTACTTCTGCAAAAACTCATGTAGAAATTAGATTATTGTTGTGACAGTATTGGCAGGTGGGACCTTTGAGAGGTGATTAGACCATGAGGGCTCTGCCCTCATGAATGGATTAATGCTGTTACTTTAGGAGTGGATTTGTTATAAAAGAGCTAGTTCAGCCTCCTCTCTCTCTTTCTCTCTCTCATCTTCATCTTCCACCATGTGATGACACAGCAAGACAGCAAGACACTCACCAGATGCCAGCACCTTGATATTACTGCAAGCCAGTAAATTTCTGTTCATTATGAATTACTAAGCCTGTGGTATTCTGTTTTAACAGCACAAAACAGACCAAGACACCACTCTTGCCATATTTGTGGACCTCAACTCCCTCTCCACCACCATATTTCCAGGATACTAGGTCTCAATGTCACATCATCATGATCACATATTGTTACAGTATGAAGCTGGTTATTTCATTATGTGACTGTTTCACTCCAGTGGGCAAGTCCAGTTTCCTGACGTATCCCGATCTCTCAGTGTGGCTAGTTCTTTTTGCTCCAAGTTCTGTTCTGATCCTCTAGGGTTTGGTGACATAACATTCATGCATTCCACACAGAAACAGACCTTGGATCAATATGATTTCCTGGGTGCCTCAGACCCCCCTCTGGGCCTAGTGGGCACTGTTCTTTGCACACTTTCAGTCTGTGGTCATTTGTAATGAGGCAGGAATCTACTTAGAGAAGATATTGCAGGATTGTAGTTAATGTATCAGACTTCCTGGTGGTTTGCCATCTGGTGAGCTGTTAAAAGTCTAGGTCTTAGTGCCTAGATTAAGGGGCACCAACAGCACCCTGGGAGTTGATTGGTATGATCATTATTCACCTGTGCCACTTCCCCAGAAGGCATGGAATAACATGCACTGGTCATCCTCATTACTGAATGGCTACCTTGATGTGGACCACCTAGTTATCTGTAGCAACAGCTAGCACTTATTGAGTATCTACTCTCTGCTAAATGCTTTACGTGCATTTACTCATTCAATCCTCACAGCAGCCCTGAGTAGGTACTACTCTTATTCCTATTTTATGGATGGGAATTCCAGGGCTTAGAGATGTAAGGAATTGCCTAAAGACCACACACCTAACAAGCGGCATCAAAATTCTTCAGCACTTCACAAACCACACAAACCATTCCTGTTGCATGTTTTCCATTTGCACTGCCTCCCTGCTTCATTTGCACTGCAGCTCTTCCCCTAAAGGAAATCCTCTCAGTTGGAGCTTGCTGAGCAGCTACTCTTCCTCTCTTCTGACTCTCCTTAGGCTACCCCTACCCAGATTAATGAAGGCCAACCCGACACTCCAGCAGAACGTCAGATGTTTCCTTGTACACAAGAGATGCAGTCCTCTCCTTTAGCCTGTGAGGAATTTACCTAGGCCACACCTACTAATCCAGCAATTTCACAAGACTCTTTGTATTAAAAAATTATAGTTTCACCCTTACCATTTCATTGCCATGTCTCCATCATTATCGCTTGGGTAAATTTGACCCAGCATCTCCAGAAAACTGAAGAAGCTTAGCGGGGCCAAGCTGACTCCTACTTTGGTAAAACGGCTCCATGGGAGACCACCTGGCTGTCCTTTATAAAAGAGAAAGCTATAATAATTTTTTCTTTATATTTTTACAAAAGATTGAGGTTTGTCTAATATAGACTCATAGGCATCAAGGTTAATTAGCTATGTTTATTGAAGCCCTCCCCTGTCCTCAATGCTATAAACTCCCCTCCTACTCTCACATGTTTGACCTAAACTTGTATGGGGGTAATCTGGTTCAGTTTGCTTCAATTAATAATAAAATATTACTATTAATAAATTAATATAATTTATTACTATTAATAAATTAATATAATATAACTAATACAATACTAGTAGTGGTATAATAAAATACTACTATTAAATTAATGTTATAATTACAATATTAATAATATACTTCGTTATAAAATAAAATATTTTTGTAATAATATTGATATAATTATATTGTTAATTAATAATATAAATAATTATTGTTATAAAATAAGATAGTAGTAATTATATTATTACAATTAATATTATAATTAATATTAATTAATTTATATTATTATATACCTGACATATCAACTCATAATGGGGTATTTTATTATTCCCATTTCACAGATGGAGAGACAGAAGCACAGAAAGATTACATGGGTAGTAAGTATTGGAGCTAGGATTATGAATCAGACAGTTTGGCTTTAAAGCCTATGATTGTAAGTACTTATGTGACCTGCTTTGTAAGGGTTTCAGACTGGAAGACTATCTTGAAATAACTACATAGCAAAACTGTACCTCTACCAATAAAAAAGAGTATCTCACTAAGCTTTCTATCTTTTCATAGAAGGACAAGTTTAGTCTTTCCCTCTTTCTGTGAACAGGATGTACATTTGCCCAAGGTTCTGTGTCCTGCTGACTGTTCTAACAACTTCTCTACCATAAAATCAAAGACTGACAACACTGTCCCCAAATGCCATCCCTGCTAAGTCCCCTGTTCCTCTGTCTTTTTGTCTTTTTTTTTTTGAGATGGGGGCTTGCCCTGTTGCCCACGCTGGAGTGCAGTGGCCTGATCATAGCTTACTATAGCCTCCATCTCCCAGGCTCAAGCAATCCTCCTGGCATAACCTCCCAAGTAGCTGAGACTACAAGCAGGCACCACCATACCTGGCTAATTTATTTTATTTTTAGTAGACGAAGTCTCATTATGTTACTCAGGCTGGTAATTCTTGGCTTCAAGCAATCCTCCCACCTCTGTCTCCCAAGTATTGGGATTACAGGTGTGAGCCTCCTCACCTGGCCTCTTCTCAGTCTTTGACACTTCTGAACCTCGACGTTAGGTTGCATACTTTGATCTCACTCTACCCATCTATCCATCCTTGCTTTAATATAGCTTCCTGGGCCTCAGCTGGCTTAAAGAGATTCATCCCATTTCCTTGAGCTTTCTTCTTTGATCAACACTTGCATTCTCCATCCTTAACTGGTTTCTTAGTTCTGACTTGCCCTATGGCTAACCACACCCAAATATGCCAATACACTGAGAGAAGATGGCCTTTTACATTCCTTTTCATTTTGATTACGAGTTTATTGATAGCACTTTCACTCATAAATATATAATAAATGTATTTTTCTAAATGACCTTCATAGGGATAGGGAAATAACTTGATAAAATGTGTAATGTAGCTGATCATTTGTTTTTTTTAAATTTTAATGTTGCTTCAAGGTGGTAAGAAAAAATATCAGAGTAAGGAGAGAAATGATTGGTAACAGGTAAGACGGGAACTCCACTTAAGATGATTTATTAAGTAAATTATCTAAAATATGTGACTCAGCACATTAATTATATTTAGACCTTAACTTTTGATAGTATAAAATTACAAAGTTAATGGAGATAATGGTGAATGGTAACCAGTTATTTCATTAATATATGATATTAGGCCAGGCATGGTGGCTCATACCTGTAACACCAGGACTTGTGTCAAAAAACTGTTTAGAAATATTATTTAGCAAATAGATATGTTGATGTTGTTAGGAGCTAGGATTTTCAGTGAGAGAGAAAAATGCATTATAAAATCAGAGGATCTCTTGAGCCTAGAAGTTCAAGGCTGCAGTAAGCCTTGATAGCGCCGCTGCACTCCAGTCTCTGTGACAAAGCGAGATCCTGTCACACACACAAAAAAATTTATATATATATATATATATATATATATGCGATATTAACATAGTGTATAATGGGATAGATATTTCAAAAAGAAATGATCTCATCTTTTCATATTATAATTGATTAGATTAATATTTGAGAGTTGAATCACTCCTGATTTTTATGCATAAGCATTGATTCTTGGATCAGAATTACATATTACATTTTGTGAATTTGCAAAATTGGTCCAAAAGTTATTAATGTTGTAGAATACATTTACTTAAAGCAAAAAGCATAATAATCTCATTTTGCTCTCAACTTTCAAGATGAATAGAAAGTTCCACATTAATTAAAAAATGTGAAATAGAAAACACTTCACATGACTTATAGTCCTCCTAAAATAGAACTTGTAATTGATTTTACTCCTCTCTAGGCTTAACTCTGAACCTGTGGTTTGTTTTTTGTTTGTTTGTTTGTTTGTTTTTTGAGACCGAGTCTTGCTCTGTCACCCAGGCTGGAGTGCAATGGCATGATCTCGGCTCACTGCAACCTCCATCTTCCGGGTTCAGGCAATTCTCCTGCCTCAGCCTCCAGAGTAGCTGGGGTTACAGGCACTTGCCACCACGCCTGGCTAGTTTTTGTATATTTAGTAGAGATGAAGTTTCACCATGTTGTCCAGGCTGGTCTCGAACTCCTGACCTAAGATGATCCGCCTGCCTCGGCCTCCCAAAGTGCTAGGATTACAGGCGTGAGCCACTGCGCCTGGCCTGTTTTTTTATAAATATGAGGGAAGGCACATAATTATTGGGGGGACAAGTAGTAACACAATAATAGCCAAGAAGAAAATGTTCAGAGGCCCTAGAACCACAGGAAAATTTTAGAGTCCCTCTGAATTTTGCATTTACTTTCTTGTGCAAATTTTCAGATAGTTCTGCCTGTGCCTGCAGGCTTTTTATTGACAATTGATTGGGATAAGTGACACTGTGGAGCAGGTGAAGATTGCCTTCCACTTTTCCCAGCCTCTTATTTCTGTGCTATTACCTCTGTGCTATAGTCTTCTTCGTGAACACATCAACATGAAAGTAAGCCAGCCACACTGTTTAATTTCCGAAAAGACAAAGGCTGGGTCATTTAGCACTTGGTTGTTTTGCCAGGTGAGGAGCAACAGAGGGACTCTGGTACAGATGATGAAGCTAACATGTGGAGCCAGTGATACCAGCAATACTAGGGGTATTGATCCAGTAATACAGATAAGAGCATGCATGAAGAAAAGAGCAAAAAAAATAAACCCCTTTGCCACTGGAAATAGAGCTTGATCAGTGGTAGGATGGATCATGTCAGAACATGGAAATTAGAAATACAAGCCATATCCTATAGAACAGTAATAACCCAGCAAACAAATAGTGTAGATCAGGTACATTGTCAGTATCAGATGTCCATAGGGAGATAGCAGGTGGAAGTATTGGCAACGGAAGGAATCTATCGGCTGGCAACAAATAGACACACAGGCAATCAGGAGGTATGAGGAGCCCTGCCATGTTGTATCAGTCAGAGTTCTGGCAAGAAATAGATGGCCCACTAAAATTAGGATGATTTGAAAAGGCTTTAACTAAGGGACTATTTAAGAAAGTGTGGGCTGAGTATAGGGAAACCATGAGAGATCATGCTGTACCTCAGGGCTAGTCATAGTGGAAATGTTACCAGCCCTGGACCAAAGGGAGAGGAAAGGCATGGTTATTGCAACCTGAAAGGAGAGGGGCACATGAAATCTGAAGTGACCCCACAGGAAGGGAGCCGGGAGGATAAATTCTCCTGACTCGCTGTCCTCCCTCCCTCTGATCTCATGCCTGGACACTCATTGGCTGAAATCAGCTGAACTCAGCTGAAAAGAGAGTTCGGGAGCCCAAACAGGTCAAACTCCAGACTCAGAGAGTGAAATAGAGACAGCTAGGGAAAGGATCTGGAGGGCCAAAGAAAGGGTCTCCTTCTCTAGCATCTAACCAGGACTATAGTCCTAATAAACACTGATGAACAAGCCAAGACTCCAGTCTCTGTGGGAATGGTACTACAGGGCAAACTTAGGCAAGGAGGGCCCTGTAAGGGACTACTTGAAGTGAAAAAAGCAAAAATCTCATTATTGGAATTGACAACCTGCTACAAAGCTGACTTGATGATTAGCTGCTAAGTTCTGGCTTGAGCGTGCTTATGGATTACCAACTAGGAGTGGTTGCCAGGTTCCACCGTGGACCTCAGCTCCCTCATCTGTAAAGTGTGGATAATACTTGTTCCTACCACAAAGGGTGTCTGTGAGGATTAAATGAGTTAGTAGAGGTTAAATGCATAGAATAGCACCTTATATATACTAAATATTCAGTAAATGTTAGCTATGTTTTTATTTTTATTAAGTGAAGGAGGCAGAATTGGAGAGATCCAAGGATGTCATATAGGTCAGTATAGGGAACTAAATTAATTTCTTTTCTAGATAATGGTTACACATATGAAAACACATGATATCACTGCTTATTCATTCAATTAGCTTCAGTGAAAGTACATCCACAAACTCCAGAAAGATAAGAATGTTTTTCTTTCCTTTCCCTTCATGGAAAATATAAAATGATTCAGGTCTATAGCCCCCTCAAGCATAATGCTTCTTTTCTTTTTCTTTCTTTCTTTCTTTTCTTTTTTTTTTTTTTTTTTTTTTTTTTGAGACAGGGTCTCACTCTGTCACCCAGGCTGGAGTGCAGCAACAGGAACACAGCTCACTGCAGCCTCAAACTCCTGGGCTCTCGTGATCCTCCCACCTCAGCCTCCCCAGTAGCTGGGACTGTAGGTGTGCCCCACCATGCCTGGCTAATTTTTTTTTTATTTTTTGTAGAAATGGATTCTCACCATGTTGCTCAGGCTGGTCTTAAATTCCTGGGCTCAAGCAATCCTCCCACCTCAGCCTCCCAAAGCCACAGTGGTGTGAGCCACTGCACTTGGCCCAAACATAACGTTTCTTAGGCTCCTACATAATCTCTAATCCAGTCCAAGTTATGCCATAACAGTTTGGCAGCATTGTCGAACCATCCCGAAGCACACTGACCATTTTTTTAATCATGATATTGCCAGAACAACTTGGAAACTGAAAATATTTATGTCATTTGAAAATGAAGGAAGTGGCCAGGTGCGGTGGCTCACACCTGTAATCCCAGCACTTTAGGAGGCTGAAGTGGGCGGATCACGAGGTCAGGAGCTCAAGACCATCCTGGCTAACACGGTGAAACCCCGTCTCTAATAAAAATAAAAAAAATTAGCCAGCCGTGGTGGCAGGCGCCAGTAATCCTAGCTACTCGGGAGGCTGAGGCAGGAGAATCACTTGAACCCAGGAGGCGGAGGTTGTGTGAGCAGAGATGGCGCCACTGCACTCCAGCCTGGGAGACAGAGTCAGACTCTGTCTCAAAAAAAAAAAGAAAAGAAAATGAAGGAAGTAAAAACAGACAGTAAGTTGAAATGCTGCCTAATGGACCTTAGTAAAACCCAGTAGTTTTCCCTCTAGAAGTCAGAACACTTTGGTGAGAAAGCCATGCATTTGTTTTGCTCAGCAGAGTGCTGTCTGAGGGTTGGAGTGCTCAGAATGCACCCAATCATTTACAGCCATTTCAATCTTGATTTGTCTTCCTCGAGAACATATATAACTAAAAATAAATAATATAGGCATCTCCTTCCTCCGTGCCCTATCTTGCTATGCAGCTGGACTAAAACTAGTAGTCCGTTTTATAGAAATCATTAAGCCAGCCACTGGCTATTTAGAATTATATTGGCACTAGTTTCCCGCCACTTTTGAATTTATTTAGAGGGGAGTCTTCAGTTCATATTCTGACCTGAGTACTATAAGGGGTCTTTTATGTCTATACATTTCAAAACTGATATATGTATAAAGCAATCCAAAACTTTTGAAACCTATGAAAGAGTACTTAGGTTTTGTTGTAGTGCTGTACTTGCCTTTCAAAATTTTAATAGAATTCATAATAGAGAACTTATATTTAAATACAAAGGCAGATGAGACACCTGTATTACATTTTGATATTAATCTAGTTTCCTTAGGTTTGGTGACTTTGTTTTTTTTTTTTAGAATTTCAGAGGTGGCTTTTGAATTCCTGCATTAGGTGTGTCATTGATTTGTTAAAATTAAACATAAATGCATTGAGAATTTATGTTTTGATTTGCTTCCATTAATTACAAAACTCCCCTTTTTCTACGTCTTAATTCCGAGACACTGTGTTTTTCATAATTTGGATGTTGCTTAGGACATTATTTTTCAAACTATGGATTATAATCCATTAATGGGTTGTGAAATCAGTTTAATGTGCTATGACCAGCACTTTTTTTAAATGAAATAAAATAGAGCAGACAGAATAGAAACTGAGACAGTGCATTGCATGTAGTAAGGGTAAATATGTTTCTTAAAATTTTGTTTTAGTTGCATGTGTGTGTGTATTTTCTAGATCAAAATGTATTTTTTACTGTAACAGTCAAAAAAAATTTAAAGCTCTTGGCTTATATTATTCCTCCAACCACATTTTTTTTTTCTTTTTTTGAGACAGAGTCTCACTCTGTCACCCAGGCTGGAGTGCAGTGGCATGATCTCGGCTCTCTACAACCTCCGCCTCCCAGGTTCAAGCCATTCTTATGCCTCAGCCTCCCCAGTAGCTGGGATTACAGGCACGTGCCACCATGCCTGTCTAATTTTTGTTTCACCATGTTGGCCAGGCTTGTCACAAACTCCTGAACTCAGGTGATCTGCCAACCTTGGCCTCCCAAAGTGCTAGGATTACAGGCGTGAACCACCACACACTGCCCCAACCACATATTGTAAGTGTTATCATGGCTGTGTTCATGTTTCATCTCATCTCCTGCAACTATTAGAGAATTAATAAGATGCGTTCTTTTAGTAAGTAAATAAATAAATAAATTGGGGGCAGATAGCCACATAGTGAATTTTTTTACTACCTATCAGAAACTGGTAGTATTTAATATATAGCCATATTCATAATGTTCCTTCTGAATTTGCTAATTGGCAGCTAATATAAACATTGAATCACCTGTTTATGGAATTTATAACATAATATTGACCTGAAATCTACTGGAAAGTAGATATTCTAAATAAGGTCTGATATGTCTATATCTGGTTGGTCTTGAGTGAATTGTGTGTTTGTGAAGAAACTTGAGGATTTGCTCTTTAACCAAATCATATCTGCAGGGGAAAGTTTAATATTAATACAACTAGGGATAATACAAAAACTGTGTTTTTGTAAACTAATTTGTTTTTCTCCAAGTTTTTTGTTGTGGTAAAACACACATAACATAAAATTTACCATTTTAATCATTTTTAACTGTTTGGTTCAGTAACATTAAATACCTTAGTATTATTGTGCAACCATCACTACCATCCATCTCCAGGATACTTTTCATCTTACAAAACTGAACCTCTGTGCTCATTAAACAATAGTTCCTATTCCCTCACTTCCCCTAGCCCCTGGCAATCACCATTCTACTTTCCGTCTCTATGAATTTGACTATTCTGGTACCTCATGTAAATGGAATCATATAATATTGGTATTTTTGGAACTGGCATATTTCACTTAGCATAATGTTCTCAAGGTAAATCCATGTTATAGAACATCAGAATTTCCTTCCTTTTAAAGGTTGAATACTATTACATTATATGTATCTGCCCATTTTGCTTATTTATTCATCTTTCGATGGACATGGGTTGCTTCCTCCTTTTAGCTATTGTGAATAATGCTGCTATGAACATGGTATGCAAGTATCTCTTCAAGACTATGCTTTAATTCTTTTTAGTATATACCCAGGAGTAGAATTGCTGGATCATATGGTAATTTTATTTTTAATTTTTCTAGAAGGTTCCGTGCTGTTTTCCATCAGTGGCTGCACCATCTTACATTACCACCAACAGTGCACAGGGTTCCAGTTCCTCTATATCCTTACCAATACTTATGATTTTGTTTTTTTGTTTGTAGTCATCCTAATGGCTATGAAGTAGTTTCTCCTTGTAGTTTTGATTTGCATTTCCTAATGATTAGTGATGCTGAGCACCTTTTCATGTGATATTGGCCGGCCATTTGTATATCTTCTATGGAAAAAGTCTATTCAAGTCCTTTACTCATTTTTGAATCATTTTTTTGTTAAGTTTTAAGAATTCTGTGCGTTCTGGATATTAATCTCATTAAATTCATGATTTGAAAATATTTTCTCACATTCTATGGGTTGCCTTTTTAACTCTGTTAATAGTGACTTTTGATGCACAAAACTTTAATTTGCATGAAGTCCAATATTCCTGTTTTTTGTTTTATTGCCTATGCCCTTTGGTATCATACCCAAGAAATCTTTGAAAAATCCAGTTGCATAAAGCTTTTGCCATATGTTTTCTTTTTACTTTACTTTACTTTCTTTTTTTTTTTTTTTTTTTTTTTTTTGAGACAGAGTCTTACTCTATCACCCAGGCTGGAATGCAGTGACATGATCTCAGCTCACCGCAACCTCCCCTTCCTGGGTTCAAGCAATTCTCCTGCCTCAGCTTGCTGAATAGCTGCGACTAAAGTCATGCGCCACCAGGCCTGACTAATTTTTGTATTTTTAGTAGAAATGGAGTTTCCCCACTTTGGCCAGGCTGGTCTCGAACCTCTGAGCTCAAGTGGTCTACCCATCTCGGCCTCCCAAAGTGCTGGGATTACAGATGTGAGCCACCGGGCCCAGCCACCGCATGTTTCCTTATAAGAATTTTATAACTAATTTGTTTTTAATGATTTTGCAAGCCTAAATTAATTTTAGCAGGAATTAATAAAGTTTAAAGTAACAAAGTGTAACTCTTGAAAACTAATTATGTACTTTAAAAGGAAAAAGGATTGAAAGGAAGACTTTTACAGTTTTATTTCATACACTGTCTATGTGTGATCTTTCACTTTTATAATGAGCATTACTGCCTTTCAGATAAAAAGAAGATGTATTTCTCAATTATGTCACTTTCTACAGCACTCTAAGCACTTAAGTTCTCAGTAGAAAACTGACACCCCATTTTCCAATAGAAATGTATTAGTAAGCTCAGGCCGCCATAACAAATACCATAGACTGGGTGGCTTAAACAACAAAAATTTGTTTCTCACAATTCTGTAAGTTAGAAAGTACAAGAACAGGCCCAGCAAGGTTCAGTTTCTGGTGAAGGCTCTATTTCTGGCTTACAGGTGGCAGCCTTCTTGCTGTGTCCTCACATGACAAAGAAAGAGAGAGATGTGATAGGATTAGTGGCCCTATAAGATAGACATTTCTCTCTCTCTCTTCTGTGGAGCATTGATCTACGTACAAAGAAATGAAAAATAAAGAACAATCAGAAGTTCTCTACTTTATTGCCCTGGATTTACTGAAAGTGTGGTGATGACGCATTTGACAAAACATAAAACCATAAAGGAGACAGTGGGATATATGTTGAGAGAACCCTTCCTGGAGTAGACAATCTTTTCTTTTGACTGTGGAGAAAAGAGCTCTCCACACATTCTGAATTATCAGCAACCCCAGTGAAGTAAGATTCTGACATCTGTTACCATCACTAAATAGTACTTAATAGGTCCGTGTCAGTTAAACCTGGTGAAACTTAGTTTTATCAAATAATAAATCTGCTGTAGGACCTTAGAGGGTGCATACTGTGTCTCTCAAGTACAAGTAGTGCTCCCTTATCCACGGAAGATGCATTCTAAGACCCCAGTGGATGCCTGAAACAGTGGGTTGTACCGAACTCTATATATACTACATTTTTTCTATACATACCTATGATAATGTTTAATTTATTAATTAGGCACAGTAAAACATTAATAACAATAACTAATAGTAATATAAAACAATTATAATGATATACTGTAATAAAAGTAAGGTGAATGTGGTCTTCCTCTCTCTCAAAATATCTTACTGTACTAAGTATGGTAATGATGTGAGATGATAACTGAGAAGGCTACTCTAGTGTATACAGTGTGGATACGCTGGACAAAGGGACAGCTCACATGCTGGGTAAGTGGTATGGCACAAGCTCTCATCATGCTACTTGGGATGGCATTCTTTTTAAACTTACAATTTTTTTCTTTTTTTGAGACAGGGTCTCATTCTGCCACCCAGGCTGGAGTGCAGTGGCACAATTAGGGCTCTCCACAGCCTCAGCTTCCCAGCTCAGGTGATCCTCCCACCTCAGCCTCCTGAGTAGCTGGGACTACAGGTGCACCACCATGCCCAGCTAGCTTTTTGTATTTTCTGTAGAGATGTGCTTTTGCCATGTTGTCCAGACTGATCTTGCACTTCTGGCCTCAAGTGATCTGCCCACCTCAGCCTCCCAAAGTGCTGGGATTACAGGCATAAGCCATTGCACCCGGCCTAAACTTACAGATTATTTATTTCTGGAATTTCCCATTTAATGTTTTCAGACTGTAGTTCACTGCAGGTAACTGAAACTGAGGAAAGCAAAAGTGTTGGTAAGGGGAGAGTAGAGTACTGTTTTTAATTTGTCGGTAATATGTGCGGTAATGTAAGTCAATGGAGAAAAAGGAATTAAAGCAGATGGCCTGCCCCCCAGAAAAAGAAATGAAGGTGAAATAAAAGAAAGCAGGTGATACCATCTAAACTCCATTTAAATATGATAAATATATGGATCTTTAGGTCAGATTTTCACAAATTATGGTTCATCTGCCTGCCATCTATTATTGTACAGCCTTAAGGTAAGAATGTTTTTTACAGATTTAAGAAGTTTTTAAAAGTCAACATAACATTTTATTATATATAAAACTATATAAACTTGAAGTATCAGTGTTCATAAACAAAGTCTAATTGGAACATCACCACACTTAATGTGTTTATGTATTGCCTATGCTTGTTTTCATACTATGAGAGCAGAGTTAAGTGGTAGTGACAGAGACCATATGGGACAACTTCATTGCTTTAAAGTACTGCTAAGTGGACCACAAATGACAGTGATGCAGCTTTAATAATTGACAGCATTTTGAGTGGCATGCATATTGTCATGCCATGGCATTTTATTTTATTTTATTTTTAATTAGAAAAATTATTTATTTCTGCTCCTTTCATATATCTTATTGTTCAGGAAACAGTTTACATACATATCTCAAGTAATCTACCATCACATACTCTATTTAAAGGCAAAGCAGCCTGGGAACAGTGGCTCACATCTATAATCCCAGCAGTTTGGGAGGCCAAGGCAGGTGGATCACCTGAGGTCAGGAGTTCAAGACCAGCCTGGCCAACCTGGTGAAACCCCATCCCTACAAAAATACAAAATTAGTCGGGCATGATGGCGGGTGCCTGTAATCCAAGCTACTTGGGAGGCTGAGGTGGAGAATCACTTGAACCTGGGAGGTGGAGGCTGCAGGAGCTGAGACCGAGCCATTGCATTCCAGCCTGGGCAACAAAAGCGAAACTGTCTCAAAAAATAATAATAAAACAAAATAAAAAAAATAAAGGCAAAGCACCTTAGGTAAAGCTGATCAGCTGTCCAGAGTTCTCAGCCTATGGAATCTTGCTTCCTGATTTTATGTTAATTTCTGAAAATCAGAAGTGTCATCTCCAAAAAATGTTAAGGGGGTTGTAAAAAATAATCATTCAATATTATAGTTGTAGATATGGAGTATATTTTCTTTAAAAAAATGAAAAACTAAGAAGAAAATGCCTCTCAACATCGTTAGTATATCAATAGGTCAGCAGGGAAAAAAAATACTGTGATAAACTTGTCTCTTTGATATTAAGAAGAAATTCTAGTCCACACTCCAATATACTTCCTGTTTTTTCACTAGGTATTTCTTTTACAGCTGCTCTTCATTCTTTTCCACATTTCATATTAGAGGATTGGTACAGCCTTTAAAACTTCATTGACAGGAGCAAATCCAGTATCCACTTATTTCTTCTCGAAAGCACTCTAGCCCATCAGATAGCCCAGCAGTTTCATTCTCATGAAAACTCTAGCCGTGAAAAAACTCAGTAGGACACACATGAATTTAATGAATAGAAGAAGAAATCTATTGAGTTTTGGGATATTTTGTGCATTCAATTGGTCCAGGATTATGAAACGTAAACCTCCCATTTTAAACAGGAAGCTGGATGCAAGTCCTTCCATAATATATTGTCCATTTACTCTGTAGGCCAAGAAAGCTACTGACCTCTAATGCCTATGTTCATCAGTCATAGAGCCAACACTTGCAGGTTCAACAATAACATCATAAATTATTCCTCCAGTGGTGAGGAAGTAAGACACCAGCACCAGAGCATACACAGTCATGGTCGACGCCATGTGCAGTCATGGTGGCTTCTTCAGCTTCAGGTTGGGACATTCAGGGACATTCAAGCACTAAGAACAGGACACGATACAAAGTCTCCATGTTGGTGACAGCAAGGGCCATTCTCAGCCTCAAGCCCCACATACCACCTGGAAACAATTATTTAATTTATTTTTTATTATCAGTGCATGCCAATCATGCCAAACAAGAAAAGAAGATAAAATTAGTGTTAGTGCTTTTTTTTTTTTTTTTGAGATACAGTCTCGCTCTGTCACCCAGGCTGGAGTGCAGTGGCGCGATCTCGACTCACTGCAAGCTCTGCCTCCCGGGTTCACGCCATTCTCCTTCCTCAGCCTCCCGAGTAGCTGGGACTACAGGCGCCCGCCACCATGCCCGGCTAATTTTTTGTATTTTTAGTGGAGACAATGTTTCACCGTGTTAGCCAGGATGGTCTCGATCTCCTGACCTCAAGATCTGCCCATCTCAGCCTCCCAAAGTGCTGGGATTACAGGCGTGAGTCACCATGCCCAGCCGCGTTAGTGCTTCTAAGGCAGAGTGGAGTGTAGATTATTTTATTACAAAATTAGGTGGCAAAGGACTGTGGGGTTTGTTTGTTTGTTTGAGCCAGAGTCTTGCTCTGTCACTCAGGCTGGAGTGCAGTGGCTCAATCTTGGCTCATTGCAACCTCTGCCTCCTGGGTTCAAGCGATTCCCCTGCCTCAGCCTCCTGAGTAGCTGGGATTACAGGTGCACGTCACCACACCTGGCTAATTTTTGTATTTTTAATACAGATGGGGTTTCACCATGTTGGCCAAGCTGGCCTTGAATTACTGGCCTTAAGTGATCCGCCTGCCTCAGCTTCCCAAAGTGCTGGGATTACAGGCATGAGCACTGCAACTGGTAGATTGTGTTTATTATACAATGACATTACAGTTGTGCTGAAAGAATATCATATATATCAACATTAGCCAACTAAGCACTCATCACAATATTTCCAACTCACAGGAAAATAGCAGTCAGAAAAATTAGGAAATTTAAAATGGACTATCTCATTTTTCATCACAGCAGAATTTCTTCACACAAATTAAAAAATGAAAATTAGTGCAACCAAAATAAATTTCATATGGCTCATTTGTTAGCCAAGAAGGAAAACCATTTACAGATAGTGAAATTATAATAATTGAATTATACTTGACTGCAGTAGTTTACAACTATTAGCCTTTCAGCAAAGATAGTTGCTCAAAGGGTTGGGGACATTGAGAGTGGCACAATAATCAATTAAATAACAAGCAAGTGACTGTCAGTTTTTATTGTTTCTTAATGAGTCAACAGGTTACTGCTCAGTTGTTTTTTATTTGAGAAACAAATGCTGAGTTTAGAGTGACTAACAAATTAGTTTCTATAAATAGCCTTTGTGAAAAAAAACTGTGGGCAAAAATAGTTTCAAAGAAACTGAGAAAATACTAATTGAGTACAACCTGAAGTGGAATCTACTAAGATGTGTTACAAATATATATAGAGCAGAAAAATAATTAGACAAATTTACGGGACTTATGAAAATGTAAAGTGTTTAAAGCCTATGGTTATTCATTTTATTAGTCATCAGCAGGTGCTTTGCAGAAAATAGTTGAACCATTATGTGTATTTTTAAAAAATAGCTTTATTGAAACAGCATTCACAAACCAAGCAATTGACCCATTTAAAGTATATGATTCAGCCAGACACAATGGATCATGCCTGTAATCCCAGCATTTGGAAGGCCAAGGCAGGAAGGTCACTTGAAGCCGGGAGTTTGAAATCAACCTAGACAATACAGTGAGACCCCATCTCTACGAAAAATAAAAAAATTAGCTGGGCATAGTGGCACACGCCTGTAGTCCCAGCTATTAGGGAAGCCAAGACGGGAGGATCACTTGAGTCCAGGAGGTCAAGGCTGAAGTGAGCCAAGATTGCACCACTACACTCCAGCCTGAGTGACAGAGCAAGACCCTATCTCAAAAGAAAGAAAAGGGTGTACAATTCAACCAAGTATGGTGGCTCATACCTGTAATCCTAATGCTTTGGGAGGCCAAAGCAGAAGGATCACTTGAGGCCAGGAGTTCAAGACCAGCCTGGGCAACATACTGAGACCCTGTCTCTACAAAAACAAAAAACAAAAAAAAAAAACTAAAAATTAGACAGGTGTCATGGTGCATGCCTGTAGCCCCAGCTACTCTGGAGACTGAGGCAAGAGGATCCCTTGAGCCCAGGACTTCAAGGCTGCAGTGACTTAGGATCATGCCACTGCACTCCAGCCTGGGTGAGAGAGCAAGACCCTGTCTAAAATAAAATAAAATAAAATAAAATATACAATTAAATGTGGAGGGTTTTTTTTGTATACTCACAGTATTTTGCAACCATCACCACAATTCAATTTTTAAAACATTTTTCCCCTCTAAAAGAAACCCTATGCCAATTTCCTCTCCCCAACCTACTCCTCACCCATAAGAAATCACTTATCTACTTTCTGCCTCTATAAATTTGACTACCCTTCTTCTTCAAGATTGTTTTGGCCATTCTAAGTCTCTTACATTTCCATACAAATTTTAAGATCACCTTGGCAATTTCTGAAAATATCATTTATTATTGAACCAATAATGTCAACAGTGAACATTCATTCTTGTGGACTTGACTATCATCAGTTCCAGGAATCTTTTCATGGAACTTCAAATAGAAGTTGAATATTCTGACTTGCCCTACTACCCAACATTTTGATAGCTTAGCAGTGGCAAAGTTTTACTGCAAATATTTGCACTGGAGCGAAGATTGAAATTTTTGTGAATGAGACTGTTGTTCCATATGCCTATGGAGCACTGAATGGCTTTTGAAATAAGCTTTTGCTGTAGACTTAATAATGTTTCTTAACTGAATTGATTAAGAAATCATAAGACAAAATTATATACAAGACAAGCACTTACAGCAAAACTTACACTGAAGTAAAGTCATTTTAACAACAACTAATTGATGATGCATAAGTAATGTCAAACTGCTTTATTTACTTCCCCTATTGTCAAAAGTTAAAACAAAATGTGAGACTTCATCCCCACTCAGATTTGCAATGGATATATTTTTAAGTTCAAATTACAGTTCCAGCACTGCCTTTCAGATCTCAATGCAAATACAAGACAAATTTCCATATTTCAAAATCCATTTTATTGTGCAATTTGAGGCGCTTCCACCTAACCTTTAATTGGGAGTAATTAGTCTTCAAAGTATGACATGCTAAAAGGCAAATATCAAGAGAAGAATCTAATAAAATTATATGAAAGTCTTCTAAGAAATTAATATGCTCAACTAAAATTATAAGCTCATTTTGGGATGTATGGAGTTTCTTGGTGATGGTTATGCAATAAACATCCTAAAAATCATTGAATTGTACACTTTAAATGGATGTACACACTTTTAAATGGTTAAAACGGTGAATTTATATGTTGTGTAAACTTTATCTCAATTAAGAAAATTGTAACTTCATGGATTAACATCAATATATGCCAGTACCTATCAATGTAAAAGACATTTTCAAAGAGGAAATACGTAAAATCTCATTACAGGTCAGATGAACATTTGCAATTGATTTTGATGATAGGAAACACTAACTCTGAACCCCAATTAAGCAAGATGGTTTTTGTTAATTCCATTCTTTTCATTAGTAAATTTGGCTTACAAAAAGTTGTACTATTATTAGATTTTGAAGTTTTGAAAATTTGAAAATTTGTCTTCTC
Organism: Homo sapiens; assembly: GCF_000001405.40. Taxonomy (NCBI): domain Eukaryota; kingdom Metazoa; phylum Chordata; class Mammalia; order Primates; family Hominidae; genus Homo; species Homo sapiens. Next base: position 56,979,722 of record NC_000006.12, read on the forward strand.
TCTTGCTATGTAAATACCTATATAATATCCTACATTTGGCCTATTGGCTTGCAGTATCTAAAATATTTACTATCCATCCCTTTGCAGAAAAAGTTTGTCAACCCTGTTCTCACAAATAGACTTTTGTATTTACTAGGAGGACAGTTTGTATCTATGGAATGCTGTTAACAGTATATCCTTGGTTAGGGATTGCTTATTGCAAGCATACCTAGAATCTGGATTTATAACTTCCTAGAGAATGTCATGCGAGCTACACAGCTCTGAAATATAAAATGGAGATGCATCACAACTTAAACATTCTCCACTGTGTGAGGTAACCCTCTAAATTAATTTAGAGGCCTCACCTATTATTGTGGACCACAGAGTGCATGATGTGAGAAGGAAGGAGCTAGGAAGCCAGCAGGGATTCCCTGGATCTCTTCCTACTTTGCCTATGCCTCTTGATTGCTTTTTCTTTTGCTTTTGTGGATTTTTTTCTTTTTTGGAGACAGAGGCTCCCTCTTGTTGCCTGGGCTGGAGTGCAGTGGCATGATCTCAGTTCACTACAACTTCCACCTCCCAGGTTCAAGCAATTCTCATGCCTCAGCCTCCAGAGTAGTTGGAACTACAAGCGTGAGCCACCATGCCTGGCTAATTTTTGGTATTTTAGTAGAGATGGGGTTTCACCATGTTGCCTAGGCTGGTCTTGAATTTCTCAGCTCAGGCAATCTGCCCGCCTGGGACTCCCAAAGTGCTAGGGTTACAGGTGTGAGCCACTGCATGTGGCTTGATTGTGCTTCTATCTTTGAAATTATTAGTAAAGATTGATATTAGGCAAGCTGTCTGGTATTTGTGAGTCAGATTTGACAGTATAGTCCTGTGTTAGCTCAAGCACTATTCATGTATTTGAAAGGCTAAAGTAAGTTTTCAAAGAAGAGTCGCAACAAGCATTTTTGACAGGACCATCCAAATATTATTTTATGCTTAGAGTAGATCATAATGGCTTTCACTTAAAATAGGCAAAGAATTATATTTTCTAAAATAGTGACAATGTAATTTGGTAAGGAGCATATGTTACTTTCTGTTCAACAGTCCACATATTTCTTGAAGACATCTAAGTCCTTTCTATAAAGTTTTATTATTTATAATTAAATATTTTTTCATGAAAACAAACCAATATATGCAAGTAGTAAGGATGCTAAGACTTAACATGCTACATCATTTGTAAATAGCAAAAGTTAAATTTCATCATTTAACATCACTCACCACACCCAGCAACTTTTTTGTATTTTTTGTAGCAATGAGGTTTTACCATATTTCCCAGGCTGGTCTTGAACTCCTGGGATCAAGCAATCCTCCCACCTCGGCCTGCCAAAGTGCTGGGATTACAGGTGTGAGCCGTCATGCCCAGCCTGCTTTATCAGATTTTGATAAATGATTATTCCTTAAAATCTTTATGAAAATACTATTGCCCTTGAGATTTTTCCCCCATTTCTTATGGCACAATTCTTCAGTTTGCACCAAGGAAAATCTTGCATTTCAAGACTTAAGAACTTTTAGGGGAAAAAAAACCTTTTAAGAAATTCTTACTGATTTCCCTGGAATATTTTAGTCTTCGGTTCTTATGAAATCTATTATTAACGTCTTTTTCCTAAAGATATATAAGGTCAGTCCTCTGTGATACTGTTTTTATAAATTTGTAATGTTTCTAGTTTCGTAGACTCCTCATAATATAACTGTTTGACAAGAAAAAAACTTATGAAAAAGTGTTACAATATTTGATTTTGTAAATTACAACTCACTGCATATCACATCATGAAAATATGAAATTATTTATGATGCTGATGAAATTAGAAGACTTTTGCATCAAATGAAAATGTGTACTAAATTAATCAGTGGAAGAAAGAATAGGAAACATTAATAAAACTGGTTTATCTGAGTGGCTAGTACCATTATGAAACATACAGTTGTGAATATGTTATGTGTCATGTTTTTGTTTTTGTTTTTAAGGGAAAGCATTAACTTTTGAGCTACGTCCAGAATAGCATCATCTTCATGGGTATTCCCTACTCCTAGGATTTCAGAAAACCTTTGATAACTAATTGAGAAAATGCAGAAGATCGTGCAGACAGATGAAATTACCAATACACAAGCTTTTAGAAAAGGAAAGAGGAAAAGAACAGAGACAATGGACTCAGAAAATGCAAATAGTGACATGGATAAAGGACAGGTTGGTTTTTTGTTACCTTGACTCAACTTTGTTATCTAGCTCAATCATAATTTCATGGTTTCTTTCATAATTTATTAGTGCTTCTCCCTCTTCTATTATTTAATTCTTTTCATTTCTTTATTCAATGGAGAAAATATAATCTTATGTTCTTTTTCTTTTTAAAAATGTTTTGTAGAGACAGGGTCTCCCTGTGTTGCCCAGGCTGGTCTCAAATTCCTAGGCTTAAGTGATCCTCCCACGTCAGCCTCTCAAAGTGCTGGGATTACAGGTATAAGCCACTGCACCATCTTATGTTCTCTTTTTAATGTTGAACAGTTGAGTTAGAAACATACTCAACAATTGACCTGCTTCTATTGTTCAAACTTTCCTTAATAGTCTGAGAAATTAAAGATCAGCAAACTGTCAGAAAATATTTTTTCCTCTCCCCAAATACTGAAGAAATTGGAATGCCTCATCTGTAAGACATACTGTTTGTTTTTCTTTTTAGACCCCAGTTTGTGGCCCATCCTTATCACTGGTTTGGTCAGGGTGCCTTTCCTATTTTTATTTATTCATTTGTTCCTTTTAAATCTGAATTCCCCACTCCCATTCCCCTCCTATACTTTGGACAACCAATCAATATGTTTATTTCTGTATCTTTTTATTTGTGTGTTTTTGTAATACATATAATTGCATATGTCTCTGTAATGTAGTGTTTTATTTCATATATTCTTAATTATTTAAATAAATATTACATTCTTAAGGTTTAAAATATTTTTTAAAGGTAAACGGTGAAAAGTTTCCCTCACATCCCTGTCTCCCACCTACCCTGTTCCTGCCACCAGCCCCCCAATATAAGTAATTACATTTATTGCTTTCTTGTTTATTGTTCCAGTGTTTCTTCATTCAAATAAATCAAATATGAATATACATTCTTATCCCTGTCTTTGGCACAAAACTAACCATATATATTGCTTTATACTTTTCTTTTTTACTTAATATATTTTGAAGGTATTTCCATTATTATACAGAGAGCTTTGTATTTTTTACAGCTCCATGTTATTGCACTGTGTGTATTCACCATCCTTTATTTAACTGGTTTCCTATGATAAATATCAGTTGTTTCTAATCCTTTTCTTACTATTTAATACAAACCACACAACACTGTACCACCTTATGTGTACATCATTTGATAGTACAGTGGTATTAAAATATAGACCTTAATCTGTTTCTGATTTTCAATCAGCACTGTTTTTTTAAAATAAATTTTATTGTGTATATTTCAGGTATATAACATCACGTTATAGGAAACATATAGATAGTAAGAAGGTTACTATAGTGAAGCAAATTAACATATCCATCACTCACAGTTACCCATTTTTAAAATTTTTGTTGCAAGAGCAGATAAAATCTACACATGTTGCATGAATCCCAAACACAAAACAATTTTATTACCTATGGTCCTCGTGTGCTACGTTAGATCTCTAAACCTCTTTGTTCTGTGTATCTGCTACTTCATATCCTCTGACTTACATCTCCTCATTTTCTCTCCTCTAAGCCCCATCTGCCCTAGTAACCACTGTTTTGTTCTGTATCTCTGAATATTTGAAAGTTTTTTTTAGATTCCAGATGTAAGTGAGATCATGCAATAATTTTCTTTCTGCGTCTGGTTTACTTCACCTAACATAACATCCTCCAGCCTCATCTACATTGTGGCAAATAGCAAGATCTTGTTCTTTTTTAGGGCTCAATGATATTCCATTTATAAATATATTAATTCTACTGTTTTTTAATCCATCCATTCATTTATGGACACTTTGCTTGTTTCCACACAATTAGCACTGTTTTTAATACCTATCTATATTGCTATATATACATCTGATCCATTGCTTCTAGCTGCTGCATAGCACCGTGTTTTATTTATCCTTTCCTCAGTGATGAATACCTAGATTGCCTCCAGCATCTTGCTACCACAAACAATGACAAAGTAAATATCCTTATACATGTCCTTTTAAGAAACTTTGTGAGGCCAGATGCAGTGGCTTACACCTATAATCCCAGCACTTTGGAAGGCTGAGGCAGGAGGATCACTTGAGCCCAGGAGTTTGTGACCAGCCTGGGCAACACAGGGAGACCCTCTCTCTACCAAAAAAAATTTAAAATTAATCGGGTGCAACTGCTTACACCTGTAGTCCTAGCTACTTGGGAGGTTGAGGTGGGAGGATCGCTTCAGTCTAGGAGTTTCAGGCTGCAGTGAGCTGTGTTCCCATCACTGCACTTCAGACTGGGTGACAGAGCCAGACCTTGTCTCAACAACAAAAAAAAAAGCAAAGAAAAAAGAAAAAAAAACTGTGTGACAATTTATCTGGGAAAAATACATAGGAGGGTGATTTATACCTTGTAAGTTATATGTTTATTTCTAGTTCATTTGACTAGATATTATAAAATTACTTTTCGAGAGTGTTCACATCAGTGTACGTGCCCAGCATCAGTGTTTAAGAGGTTCCCATATTTGTACTTCCCTACAACCGTTAGCATTAATATCCAAATTTCTAGTTTTTGCAAATTGATGGGAGAAAATGATATCTCATTGTTTTAATCTGCTGATGCAGGTTTAGGGAAACTCAAGGATTGCTTAAGAGGTAAAAACAGTCACATGCTCTTGTAGGCCGGTATTGTGGCTTCTTTAGCAAGAACTTAATAGCTTTCTAAACCACAATTTCTTTTTTGTTCCATTGAAATTCACTATAGCCAGAGATTTTATTTGATCATGGATTGTAAGCATGAAAACTGTTCTCTTCAATTACGGCATCTGTGTTCAGCCTCTTTTCTCTCCAATTTATGACAGTTATCTAAACAATATACAAAACAAAAAGCTTGAAGGAAACACCCTGCATCTGAAGCTTACCACTGGGCTGGATCCCATTATCTGTCAAGAACACTTAAAGAAAAGCTCTCGAGAAAGCCTTGAGGATACAGTCTTACCTTCTGCTATTTAGATATAAAAGTAATTGGCTTTTTCAAAACTTGAAGATTGAATATTACTGGACTCTCAGTTAATTTAAATTGCATGCTGCACTCAGAGAGCCTTCCATGTCTGCTTGCACACTGACCAGCACTGACAAGGAGTAGCTGATACATACCAGCATTGTTTTTCCAAGCTCAATAAGTTTGTGGTCTGCCTTCAAAGGTATTCCAGGTGACTGTTGTACCAAATATGCCCCAAGGTCTAACAAGAATCAATGGCTATCCAGCATGCCATGCCTGTGCGCTACCACCTGACCTCTCAGTAATTCAATTATATTTCAGGTTTTAGGTATTCGTACTTCTGGGTACTCAATTTTGGACTAGTTATGATATAAGTTGCAAAGGCTGTAAAATAGACTCAAGTAACACAATAATGGCTTATACAGGATGAAGTTTATTTCCCTCTTACCTAATAGTAAGAGCAGTTTAGGGGTGCTATGGCAGCTCCACATGTTGAGTGTCCCTCTTACCTTGTTGATCTACCTTCCTCAACACACAGCCTCTATCTCTAGGTCTAAGATGACTGCCCTCCCCTCACTCTCCCATCATGCCTTCCCATCTGCTAATAGAAGAAGGAGAATACAGGCAGAAGAAGGCATGCTTGTTCTTTTAAGGTTATCAACAAGTCAGTGGTCCAAAATACTCCTGCTCATATCCTATTGGAGGGAACTTAGTCATATAGTCACACTGAGCCACGTGGGAGTCAGGGAAATGAAGCCTTTAGCTGACAACTATGAGCCCAGCTAAAACCTTTATTGTACTATACAAGAATGGTAGAATAGACACCTGGAGATAGCTAGCAGTCTCTGCACTGTCCATTTTTCTATTAGGTTTTTGTTTTCTGTTCGTTTTCTTGGTTATTCTGATGGATTTCCTGTTCTGTCAATTCTTATTGATTTGCACTAATACCTTATCTATTGTAGAAATTAGTCTCTTATGGTTTGAGATATTACAAATATATTCTCCCAATCTAATATGTGTCTGTTAACTTCATTTCCTTCCACTGATGCTTACAAATGGATTTCTTTTGCCTGATGTCCTTTCCCTCTTGTAGCAACTTGCTAAAACTTGCTAACAAGAACTAGACCATAGATACTAATTACTACTAACAGAATTATGGTATCAATAGGCTATCTTCAGTTTTTAAAAATTTCTTATTTCTATTTAATCAATACATAATTTTTTCTTTAAGATTTATACATTTAACGTGGGTATAGCTATCTGCCTACTTCTGATATTAGTAATTTTCATCACTAGAAGATGTATTACATATGTATATATATACAAACACATATATAACAATGAAATATACAAACATATACATATATCTGTACATTTATAAAATAAAGGTGAGGGCCAGGTATGGTGACTCGCACCTATAAACCCAGCTACTCGGGAGGCTAAGGCGGGAGGACTGCTTGAGCCCAGGAGTTCGAGGCTGCAGTGAGCTAAAATTGTGTCACTGCACTCCAGCCCGGGCAAAAGAGCAAGACCTGTTTCCAGAAAATAATAATAATAATAAATAAATAAACAAAATAAAATAAAGGTTGAATGTAAATGCTGCAAATCATATAAAAATGTAGTTGTGTTTTCTATAACTGATCTCATCTGGCTTTCAAGTCTCTATGCTTGATTGATAAGACAATAAAAAGCTTAAACTTGTTTATTCATTTTCTAGTGTAAAACAGTCTTTTTGAGTTATTATTATTTAAGTCACTTCAGGATTTAAGCCTCAATGAATTCTAAATTCTTCCCCTCCTCCACCTTCTTTTCTTGGGAAGTGAACCAAGTTTTTCGAAGTCTTGCACTCAGCCTCTGGGGAAAGATATCTGATCTTTTACTGAGGTTTTAACTTCCCTGCCTTGTTTCAGGGTGTCCCTTGGTGTTACTGTTGAGCCAATCCTTACAGGTCCATTGGGGATTCTATTGGTAGCTGCTGCTGAAATTTGCCATCCTGGCACACACTGCCATCTTCTATAATGTTCTGGCACCTTGTGGCCTCTCTGTCTAGATATTAAGCTGTTTGTGTTTCTTTTCTTTTTTTTTTTTTTTTTTTTGAGACAGACTCTTGCTGTATCACCCAGGCTGGAGTGCAGTGGCACAATCTCTGCTCACTTCAACCTCCACCTCCTGGGTTTTCAAACAATTCTCGTGCCTCAGCCTCCCAAGTAGCTGGGATTACAGGCATGAGCCACCACGCCTGGCTAATTTTTTTGTATTTTTAGTAGAGACGAGGTTTCACCATATTGGCCAGGCTGGTCTTGAACTCCTGACCTCAACTGATCTGCCCACCTCCGCCTCCCAAAGTACTGGGATTACAGTCGTGAGCCACTGTGCCCAGCCAGCTGTTTATATTTCATTAGTTCCTCCAGAACTTACCTATTCCCTAACTAGGATACAAGCACATTTGGATTCTCCAGCTGTTTTGCATGAGCTCTGGGAAATCTGGATGTTGTCTCTGACCCATTTATCTGGACACCAATTTGGCCATTTCCAATCTGTGGCCCGGAGAGACACCATGTTGCCCTGATGCTGAACATGAGGACTCTTTAGGGAAGAATGCACTAAGCAAGGAGCCAGCCTGCTGTTCTGGGATTGCCCCCATTTATCTGTATGTCTCTATCATATACCCCCACCTGGAGATTCATCCCCTTTCCCCCTAAAGGGCAGGGGCAAGAAGAGCAAAGACATTTAAATCAGATTTCATGCTAATCAAGTTCTTATTGCCCAGGCTCCTCCTCCATGCACCAGAATGTCTTTTCTTTTACTGGGCAGTAGAGGCTTTCTTTATGTTATACCTTTGCTTCTTCTACTCTCAGGTTAATTCTTTAAAATTTTAAACAACAAACTTCTAGGTTTGTATCCTTATAAATTCCACTCTGTACTCCAATTTTCCAGATTTGGATATATATATACATATATATATGCCAGTTTGGTAGTTTCAGAAAATCCTTTTGTCTCAACACAGCTTGAATGTTACAACTTATAAGCATATGTTTTCAAATAATTGTCTTGCTATTGCCCTTTAAAACTATTTTTTAAACTAAAAGGTAAATGTGAATGCTTTTTTCCTTTTTTCTTTCTTTTTTTTTTTTTTTGAGACAGAGTCTTGCTCTGTTGCCCAGACTGGAGTGCAGTGGCATGATCTCGGCTCATTACAACCTCCGCCTCCTGGGTTCAACGGATTCTTCTGCCTCAGCCTCCCAGGTAGCTGGGACTACAGGTGCATGCCATCAGGCCCGGCTAATTTTTTGTATTTTTAGTTGAGACGGGGTTTCACCATGTTGGCCAGGATGGTCTCGATTTCCTGACCTCGTGATCCGCCAGCCACGGCCTCCCAAAGTGCTGAGATTACAGGCGTGAGCCACCACGCCCAGCCGTGAGTGCTTTTTTTCAACTGAATCTGCTCTCTACCTTCTCTGATGCAATAAGCCCCAAAATTGACCTAATAGCATAGTCTCAGTCAGAAGGTTGTGAATAGGAAATACGAAGAGAAATGAAGAAAGGAGAAGAATTACAAAGAAGGAAACCATGATGTATACTAACATGATAAAAATGATTATTGAATGTTTACTATGTGCAATGCAATATGAAAGATATTCTCTATATATTGCCTCATGTCAACTTTTATTTTTTACTTAAAAAATACAATGATCTCCAATAAAGCTGCTGCCCATCCCAAGACCTAAAACATTACTAAAACTCATAACTTCCTATAGACTCCTCACCTACCCCATTCCCTGCCTGCCTCATTCTAGAGGTAATCGTATTCAATTTTGTTTAATTTACTTGTGTTTTAATAGTTTTATAGGCTGGGCGTGGTGGCTCATGCCTGTAATCCCAGCACTTTGGGAGTCCGAGGTGGGCAGATGACTTGAGGTCAGGAGTTTGAAACCAGCCTGGGCAATATGGCAGAACCTTTTCTCTACTAAATGTACAAAAAAATTAGCTGGGCATGCTGGCGCGTGCCTGAAATCCCAGCTACTCAAGAGGCTGAGGCAGGAGGATCACTTGAACCAGGGAGGTGGAGGTTGCAGTGAGCCGAGATCGTGCCACTGCACTCCATCCTGGGAGACAGAGTGAGATTCCATCTCAAAAAGTAAATAAATAAATAAATAATAACAATAATAGTTTTATAAAAATATATACACAACTATAATGTAGTCTCATTATACATTTCTATATAAATATATTATATATTATGGATTATATATCATATGTGATATATAATCTATATTTATCTAGATAATGTATCATTAGTTTTATCTGTTCTTAAACTTTACATAAAGTATACCATATTGTTTACTTCTGGAACTTGCATTTCTTACTCAACATTTTACTGAAATTAATTCATTTTGGCTATAATTTATTCACTATCAATGCTGTATAATATCCCAACTTGTAACTAACACAACTCATTTACCCATTGTCCTATCAATGGGAATTTGGGCTGTTTTCAGGTTTTCACCATTATGAACAACAGTGTTATGGAAAGTCTTAGACTACAAATACTGAAAGTTTCTCTTATGTATAGACCTAGAAATCAATTGCAAGATCAGAGGGTAGGTAAATGGTAAACTTTACAAGATAATGTCAAATGCTTTCCAGAGTAGTTCTGCCAATTTACATTCCCACCAGAAATATGAGGAAATTCCATTGATCTACATCTACTCTATGCTTTTGTCAAGCCCATTCATATTTTTGCCCCAAATGATGTCTTTTTATCATGTTGATCTTCTTTTCCCTAGTTGTTAATGAGGTTGAGCATCCTTTCATATATTTATAAGCCCTATGGGTTTTCTGTTCTGTAAAATGTTTGTTCATGTCTTCTGCCTATTTTCTATTGAATTGCTGGCTTCTTTTTCCTTACTGATTTGTCACTTAACAGTATTGCAAATATCCACCAGTTGTGATGTGTTTTTTCACTTTCTTTAATGTGCCTTAATGAAGAAAATTTCTTAATTTTAATTTAGCTGAATTTGTTAGTCTTTCCTATTATGATCAATGATTTTATGCCTAAGAAATTCTTTCCTGCCCCAAGTTCAAAATACCTGCACTTACATTTTCTTGCAAAACTTAAACTTTTGTTTTTGATGTTTAAATTCTTAATCCATCTGAAGTTGTGTATGTGCATGTGTGTATGTGTGTATGTAATAAGAGATCCATTTCCTTTCATTTTTTTTTCCAAATGGTTAACCAGTTTTTTCAAGCTTTATTTGTTGAACAGATCCCATTTCTGCAGTAAGCTGCCATGCCTTCTCTACCATGTCAAAGTTCTTCATCTGCATGCATCTATTTTGGGCCACTCGCTTCTTTTTTTTTTTTTTTTTTTTGGACAGGGTCTCGCTCTGTCTTCCAGGCTGTGTGTGATGTGATCATGGCTCACCACAGCCTCAACCTACCAAGCTCAAGCAATCCTCCCATCTCAGCCCCCCGAGTAACCAGGACTACAGGTGTGCACCACCACGACTGGATAATTTTTGTATTTTTTGTAGAAACAAGGTTTTGCCACATTCCCCAGGCTGGTCTTGAACTTCTGCGCTGAAGAGATCTGCCTGCCTCAGCCTCCCAAAGTGCTGGGATTACAGGCATGAGCCACCATACCCGACCTCAGGCCACTCTCTTCTATTTCTTGGTCATATTGTCTAACCCTGAACCAGCACCCTACGGTTTTCTAGATTTTTAATAAGCCTTTGTATTTGTGAGGAAACACCCTGCTGCTTATACTTCTTTAGCATTGCTTTGGATATTCTTGGCCTTCTGTTCTTCCATATAAATTTTAAAACCAATTTATTAGGTTACCAAAATGTCTTCTGAGATTTTTATTGAATTTATATTAATTCCATGGCTCAATTTTGGCATAATCAATTTTTTAAAAAAATTAAGGATCCTACAGGAGTCAGACAATCTTGAGATCTCTTCCAAGCTCCAGCGTTTACTGGATGCATGACCTTTAACAAATGACAGTATCTCTGAATCTATTCTCTTCATTTATAAAGTGGGCATTTCATATGAACGTACAGGTAAAGTACCTACAACACCACTAAATACCTGGTGGACACTCAACAAATAATTTTTATCATTTTCACCAATAATATTGCAATCTAATGAAAACAATATTACTTGTAAATAATGAACCATGATTATGGTTACACAATAAATTGATAATTGAAAAAATTGCAAACATTTAAAAATAAATTAATTAAGCCTTCTTATCTCTGAACATGATGTCTCTCTACATTAATTTAGATTATCTTTGGTAGCTTTCAGTCAAGTTTGTTTTTTACTTCTTTCATAAAGCTCTTGCAAATCTTTTGTTGTGTGTCAATGACATCTGTTCTCAGGATTTAAACATAAATACAGAATATTTAGGCTCTAGGGATTGAAAACTGTCAAGAGAATCTATACAAATTTACTTTCTGGAGGTTTTTTTTTTTTAATTTTTACGTTGTTTTTGAGACAGGGTATCCCTCTGTCACCCAGGGTGGAGCGCAGTGGTACCATCTCGGCTTACTGCAGCCTCTACCTCCCTTTAATCAGGTGATCATCCAGAATAGCTGGACAACAGGCATGTGCCACCACGCCTGGCTAATTTTTATATTTTTTGTAGAGACAGGGTTTCACCACATTGCCCAGGCTGTCTTGACCCCCTGGGCTCAGGTGATCCACCCTCCTTGGTCTCCCAAAGTGCTGGGATTACAGGTGTGAGCCACCGCAGCCAGCCACTTTCTGGAGATTTTTAAGAAACATTTTAGGGAAGTGTAATATATATACAGAAGAATACACATATAAAAAATGTATAGCTTGATTATCACACAATGAACACACCCATATAAAAAATAAAACCTCACCAGCACCCCAAAGATTCCCTCACGTCCCCTGTCAGCTACTACCCCACACTCCCCTCCACAGGTACTTCTTGTCCTTCTAATAAATAGTAACCTTTTGAACACTATGTTATGAATTGTTTGTAGCTGGCACATAGAAGCACTAACTCTGGTATACCCTGCCATCTTGTTAAGCTTTTCTATTTATTAAATCATTTGTCTGTGTGTATTCACAGGCGAAAGAAATAAGGTTCATATGGTGAGGCATTCTGCTCAAATCCGGGCTGTATATCAGAGAAGACCAGATTTGAATGGTGGTCTTGTTGATTTTATTCTGTTTTGCTAATTTTCTACTTTGTATTTTTCACTGAAGTTAGGCAGAAATTCAGAATCCTGGTTTCTGTTTCTCAAGAGGCATATGTGCATGAAACTTTGTCCTGCCCTTATTTTGAGTTCCTCTGCCTGCTGGAGGACAAAGCTGGGGCTAGATCAGCAGCAGGAAGTGCCTGTGAGAACAAGAAATTTGTAGTCCCAACAACATGCAATGGTTAACCAGAGATAAACCATTAAAGATGCTATGAGGCTTCTTTTATTGTGCCTGCCTTCTATTTTAGAGAGACCCATATTCGGGAAATGCCTTTCTGCCTGGTGAAAGCTCCAGTGAGGATGAAGAGCCTTTAGCAGAATTGTCAAAGGAAGAATTGTGCGCCAAAATAAAAAGCCTGAAAGAAAAACTAACAAACACCCGGAAAGAAAACAGCCGACTTCGACAGTCTTTGGTCATGCTTCAAGGTAAACTTTGAGAAAATTGACATTTTAGATAAAAGGGAAAGTATATGATCAGTGGAAAGTATTGCAAATTAGCTGTCAAGAATGAAGAAGAAAATCCACACCTCTGGGAGCTCAAAAAATCACAGTTTTAGAAAAAATCACTGATTATATAATTTAAATACAAAAGCACTCTATTGAAGGATCTAGCTTATGGCTTGAAAATTTTTAGATTCTCCTACAAAATACTAAATATTATATTCATTTAATAGTTTTTAAGAGATTATTTATTGAGCATTTAATATACACGACTCACAGTGCTAAGCCCTAGAGACAAAAGATTATTAAGACAGAGCAAATATGATAAGTTACTCATGATGTACTTAGGTCACCCCTGTCTGCTAGGGAAATCTCTAGAAAATGGAGCTTATTGTGATTCTTCATGAAATCACTGGAATTAGAGTCCATATAGTACATTTTCATTTTTTTCTGTTGGGAAGAGTGTCTTGGGAAAATAATAAAAATAATAGCATTCCACTGGAAACATATAAAGAAGAAAGATCATCACAAAATACTCCAGTGGCTGGAAAAAAAATGAAAAAAGGAGAAAGACAGCATAAGCAAATTAAAAACTACTTGGCTTAATGCCTTTTTGTAGGATCCTATGTGATGTTCATGTGTTTATTTTTTCAAAAATTATGCTTTCCATTTGTAGTTAAGCACTATATATTTTTTATACAGCTGAATATTTTATAATAAGGATACTATGTTGGCAGCACTCAGTTGTAAAACAGTAAATACACAGAACATTTTGAAAATAAGTCCTTCCAGTTGCTGTGTACAGAATGAGTACAAGTGGTACAAGAAAGTGAGGCAGAACCACCAGAAAGGCCATACAATTGTCCAGTCTCACATGGTAGCAACCTACCCTAGAACAATGGCTTATGAAAATAGAGGGGTTCACAATGCATTTGGAGACAGAATAGTAATAAGAGACAGATAGAACACAGTGATGAATGAGGTTGAGAGTAATGATTCACATCCTTTCCTAAGAATATTTGTTAAATTAAAGGCTTCATACTTTTAAGTAGAAATAGCCACATGTAAGTAGAAAGATGTTATTCAATTGACAAGGCATTACCTCTTTATTTCTTCACTTCATTTTTTTATTTGTTTGTTTTGTAGAAACAGGGTCTTGCTCTGTTGCCCAGGATGGAGTGCAGTGGTGAGATCATAGCTTACTGCAACCTCAAACTCCTAAGCCTAAGCAACCCTCCTGCCTCAGCCTCCTGAGTAGCTAGGACTTTTGGCATGCACCACCACACCCGACTAATTTTTTAAATTTTTCATAGAGATGGGGGTCACACTGTGTTACCCAGGCTGGTTTTGAACTCCTGGCCTCAAGCCATCCTCCTGCTTTGGCCTCCCAAAGTGCTGGGATTACAGGTGTGAGCCACCGTACCTGGCCTTATTTCTTCATTTTACATATTATGTTTTTAAAACTGATGTTTTCTTTTGACTAGTTTTTTGTGATTTCCAAAGAATACATAATACCCATTTTTATATAATCTCTTCCAGAACTTAGCATAGGATGAAAAGCTAGTTTATAAAATTAGCATGAATTGCTAGTTAAAAGCATTAATCTTGGCCGGGCGCAGTGGCTCACGCCTGTAATTCCAGCACTTTGGGAGGCCGAGGTGGGTGGATCAAGAGGTCAGGAGATCAAGACCATCCTGGCTAACACTGTGAAACCCCGTCTCTACTAAAAATAGAAAAAATTAGCCAGGCGTGGTGGCGGGCACCTGTAGTCCCAGCTACTGGAAGGCTGAGGCAGGAGAATGGCATGAACCTGGGAGGCGGAGCTTGCAGTGAGCCGAGATCGTGCCCCTGCACTCCAGCCTGGGCGACAGAGCGAGACTCCATCTCAAAAAAAAAAAAAAAAAAAAAAAAAAAGGCATTAATCTTGGAGCTGTAGACCTTGGTGTGAAGCCCGACTTTGCTGTAAAACTTTGGCCATATTATTTCACTGTGCCCTTATCCCCCACTAAGGTTTCCTCATCCAAAAAGCAGAGGAAGGCAATATATGATTTCCTTGTTGCTATGAGAATTCAATGAGCTAATTAGTAGAAATGCTTTACCTAGTACCTGGCACAAAAGAAGAACTCAGTAATGGTAGTTATTATTGTTATTATACATTTTTATTGACACCTGACACATAATCCATCCCCCAAAAAACTGTAGGCTAAATTTCATTATAAATATAGAAGAGAAAATTTTAAATAAAGAGTGCCAATCAGCTTCAATAGCATATAAAAATAATCACTTACTATGACCAGTTTCTTCTCTCTCCCACGCTCCAAATTGCCATTTCATTTTCTTCTCTTTCTGCCAATTCCAAGTCTTCTTAATTCTCAGTTGATGGCTTTACTTCTTACTTCTCTGAGAGGTGGAAGGATAGGAAGCCACTGCCATCTCCCTGCACCTGTGCTTCTGTGCCCCCTTTACTTCCTATTATTTATGAATAACCTATCCTTGTGAGTCTCAATCTCCTTCAGTGCACCAGATCCCATCCCCTTTTTTGTAATCAGTATATTGCTCCAGAGATTCTGCCCTGTCTCCTGCAAGATCAAGTTTTCCTTCTCTAATGAATCATTCCCATTAGTATCAAACATACTATTATTTCTCCCATTTAAAAAAAAAAAAACAAAAACCTCACTTTCAGACCATTTGCTTCTCTACCTTCTATTTTTCTCCTTCCTCTTATGGAAAAACTCCTCAAAACTCTTGACTATACACACTCTATTCAGTTTCCTCCCTGTTATTCTTTCTGGATCCCACTCCAATTAGATCCTTTAATTTCATTGTAATTTCTCATCTCATGATCATCAGTCATCTCCATGTATTAGCTAGCTAGGGCTGCAGTGACAAAGTACCACAAACTAGGTGGCTTAAACCACAGAAATTTATTCTGTCACCTGTCTGGAGTTTGGAATTACAAAATCAAGGTGTCAGCAGGGCCATACTCCCCCTGCAGGTGCTAGGAATAATCTGTTCAGGTTTCTCTCCTAGCTTCTGATTGTTCCTTGGATAAGTCAGCATAACCCCAATCTTCACAGGATGTTCTTGTGTGCTTCTCTCTCTGTGTCTAAACCTCTCCCTTTTTATAAGAACACCAGTCGCATTATATTAGGGCCCACCCTAATGACCTCATTTCAACTCGATTACATCTGTAAAAACCCTATGTCCAAATAAGGTCACATTCTGAGGTAATAGGGGTTAGTCTTCCGACACATCTTTTTGGGGGACACAGTTCAATCATGATATTCTGCATTGCTAACCACAATAGTCATTTATCACTTGTCATCTTAAGTGCCCTGTTACCAGCATTTTGACACATTTGGACAACTCTCCATCCTTGAAAAAGGTCCTTTGCTGCTTTCCAGGATACCAAAATCACCAGCCTTCCTCCTATATTGCTGGTCTTTCCATCTTATTCCATTTAGCTGATTCATTGTCTCATCCTCTAAATATTTTATGAGTCCCCTGGCTCAGTACTAGGACTTTTTTCTTTTCTATCTGCATTCATTCTCTAGATGACCGTCTCCAATAATATGGTGTAAATATCCATCAATGAGGCTGGGCACAGTGGCTCACACCTGTAATCCAGCTCTTTGGGAGGCCAAAGCGGGTGGATCACTTGAGACCAGGAGTTTGAGACCAACCTGGGCAACGTGACAAAACTCCATCTCTACTCAAAATACAAAAATTAGCCAGGCATGGTGTTGCGTGCCTATGGTCCCAGCTACCCGGGAGGCTGAGGCACGAGAATTGCTTGAACCCAGGAGGTTGAGGTGGCAGTGAGCTGAGATTACACCACTGCACTCCAGCCTGAGTGACATAGCGAGACTCTGTCAAAAACAAACAAACAAAAACAAAAACAAAAAAAAACACACAAAAATCAATGAGCTATGATTGTCAGAGTTCTATTTCCTGCCTGGGCCTCTCTAACTCATTGTCTAACTGCATGCTTAACATGACTGATAGGCTAACATGTTTCAAACCACATTCCTCACCTCCTTCAACCTGTTTCTTTCTTCCTCATCTTAGCTAATGTTAACTTCATTGTTCAAGTTCCTTAAACCAGAAACTATGATGTTATCTTCATGTTATCTTCTATTTCTGTATTTATTTTACACCCCACACTCAGTCCATTAGCAAATCCCACTAGCTTTGCCTTCAAAATATTTCTGAAACTCAATCCCTTTTACCACTCCTACTGCTGCTACTCTGGTCCTAGCCACCATTACCTCTCATCTATATAATTAAGGTGGCATTGTAACTTGCATCCCTACTTCTGTTCTTGTTCCTATGAGGTCTATTCTCAACCCAGCAGTGAGAATGATTCTGTTAAATGTTAATCAGTTCCTGTCCTCCTGTGCTTAAAACTCTCCAGTGGATTTGTACCTCACTCAGTATAAAAACTAAAGTCTTTTTATGATCTTTGGCTCCTTACATGATCTGGCCACCTCCCCTCCACTTACTTCTCTTGCCTTCTTTTCTACTCTTCATCCTCTCCTTCTCTGTGATCCAGACACACTGGACCACTTACTTTCCCTCCGAAGACATCAGGCATGATCTTGTCTTTAGTGTCTTTGTGCTTTCCATCACCTCTGCCTAGAATGTTCTTCTTCCAGTTATCCATATGCCTTGAACCCCCATT
The DNA here is from genome assembly GCF_000001405.40 of Homo sapiens. Taxonomy (NCBI): domain Eukaryota; kingdom Metazoa; phylum Chordata; class Mammalia; order Primates; family Hominidae; genus Homo; species Homo sapiens. The sequence continues at coordinate 56,997,252 of NC_000006.12, forward strand.
TCTTTCAGATCTTCACTGCTAATTCATCTTTTCCGTGACCTTCCTCCCATCTAAAATTTCAACCTTTCTTCTCCCAGTTTTTATTCTCCTCCCCTGTTTTGTTTCCTTTTTGGCACTTGCAACTCTGTGTAATCTATTATGTATTTAATATTGTCCATCTCCCCATCTCCCCACCACATACACACACACTAGAATTTAACCCTAGAAACGAAGTAGTAAAGTTGGCAATTGACTAGACTTCTGGCAACAGAAGTCAGGAACTGCCTACTGCCACTGCAGTGTTCATTTCTGCATTTATTCATTTTATTTATTTATTTTTTGAGACGGAATCTCACTCTGTCGCCCAGACTGCAGTGCAGTGGCGCAATCTCGGCTCACTGCAAGCTCCGCCTCCCAGGTTCACGCCATTCTCCTGCCTCAGCCTCCTGAGTAGCTGGGACTACAGGTGCCTGCCACCACGCCTGGCTAATTTTTTGTATTTTTAGTAGAGACGAGGTTTCACGCATTAGCCAGGATGGTCTTGATCTCCTGACCTCGTGATCCACCCACCTCGGCCTCCAAAAGTGCTGGGATTACAGGCATGAGCTACCGCGCCTGGCCCATTTATTCATTTAGTAAATATTTATAAAGTCCCTACTATGTGAAAGGGACTATTCTAAATACCGAGAAAACTCAATGAACAAAACAAAGATTCCTGCTTTCACGGAGCGTGTGTGTGGGGGTGGGGGGCGGCAAGAGGCATCTGGATAGTTAAAAAACATACAAAAGATAATTCACTAAATTATATAATATGTTGAATGGTGAAAGGTGCTATGGAAAAAATAGAGGCTGCAAAAAAAGATTACGTTTTGAGGGAGAGGGAGTGGTTTACAATGTTAACGGCATGTTTATAGCAGGCCTTCTTGTAAAGCTGCAGTTGGGAACTAGGAAGATAACAGAAAGTTGAAATCTCTTGTATAATACTATTAAGAAAGGGGTCTAAGGGAAGACTATATGCTGATTATTTACTTTGTTTGCAATAATGTTCCTAACTCTTTAAGAATCAGGGCTGTTTCTGTGTTTGTAAAGCCTGCTAACTAAGAAAAATGGCAGAATGAATATGCTATTCTAGAAATTCAGGATGGCAAACGTGTGTGTGCTATGTGTGTGTGTGTTAAGTATTTAATACATATCTTGTGCACTACAACTGACCAGCACAATAGGATGTGAAAGAAAATAAGTGATATATCTGTTGTATAGAAAGGTATTAAATTGTCAGTATTTATCATGTGTACACCTAGGAAAAACAAAGCATCAGCCAAAAACTTGACTCTTGTAAGTAATGAGATTTTAGTAAAGAATGAAAAATCAATGTTTTTAGACTCCAAAAAAATCAACTGAAAATGGATTAAGACCAGAAACTATGGAACTTCTAGAAGAAAACATTGGGAAATGCTTCATGACATTGGTCTGGGAAAGGATTTTTTTTTAATAAGACCCCAAGAGCATAGGCAACAAAAGCAAAAAAAAAAAAGAAGGAAAGAAAGAAAAAGGCAAATAGAATCACATCAAACCAAAAAGCTTCTACACAACAAAGGAAACAATCAACAGAGTGAAGAGACAACCTCTGAAATGGAGAAAATGTTTGCAAACTCTGCATCTGACATGGGGTTAATATCCAGAAAATATAGGGAACTCAAACAACCCAATAGCAAAAAATCAAATAATTCTGTTTAAAAATGGGCGAGAAAATTGCTGGGTTCATCAGCCCACTCTGCTGAAGCCATGGTGCAGCAGTTTCCTCTCTGCTTCACTCACAGGACCCAGGCAGGTGTCCAGGCATTAGGAGCACCCACTCACCTGGTTCAGCAGCCTGAGTTGCTCCCCACCCTTCTTGGGCATAAATCTTGGTGCAGTGGGACTCTCTCCACTCCATGCCCAGGCAGATCTCCAGGTATTCAGAGCACTTGCTCATGTGGATCAGGAGCTTGATTCACCCCACCCTTTCTGTACAGAGATTCATGGAGATTCTGTACAGTGATGGCATGGAGGCCATCTCTGCTTCATGCCCAGGCAGATCTCCAGGCATTTGGAGCACTTGCTCAGCTGGTTCAGCAGCCTGAGCTGCCCCACCCTTCTTGTGCAGAGAACCAGGTGCAGGGGGATCCTCACTGCTCCACATTCAAGCAGATCTCCAAGCATCTATTGCACTCACTTTCCTGGATTAGTTTAGGCCACGTTCCTCATGCCTGTGCAAAGAGCTTGGGGCCAAGGAGATTTCCCAGCTCCACAACTAGGCACACCTCTGGGCGCTTGGTGGCCACCCACTGGATTCCCCATCAGTGCTGATGCTTGTGCCTGCTATCAGGAGACCTGAAGGTGGACCTGTCCATCCAGCCCTGCCCATTTTGGTCCCTCCTTCCCCTGCAGCTAAGCAGAGAGCACAGACCACTGTGTACTCCACCAATCAGCCCATTGACTGAGACCACAGAGAACTTCTCTCAGTAAAACAAGGATCAAGTCTATACCCAGCCACTTTGGTTGCAGCCAGCTCTTACCTATAAGTGCCATGTACTAGTCTGTAGGTCAAACTGCATGGCCCGATATAAAACCTGCCAACAGAAGTGCATAGACCTGGCCGCCCATTGTCTGGGATGTGAGGAGCGCCTCTGCCCAGCCGCCCCGTCTAGGAAGCGAGCCCCTCTGCCTGGCTGCCCCGTCTGGGAGGTGAGGAGCGCCTCTGCCTGGCCACCCATCGTCTGGGATGTGAGGAGCGCCTCTGCCCTGCTGCCCCATCTGGGAAGTGAGGAGTGCCTCTGCCCGGCCGCCCCGTCTGGGAGGTGTACCCAACAGCTCCAAAGAGACAGCGACCATCGAGAACGGGCCATGATGATGATGGCGGTTTTGTCGAAAAGAAAAGGGGGAAATGTGGGGAAAACAAAGAGAGATCAGATTGTTACTGTGTCTGTGTAGAAAGAAGTAGACATAAGAGACTCCATTTTGTTCTGTACTAAGAAAAATTCTGCCTTGGGATGCTGTTAATCTATAACCTTACCCCCAACCCCGTGCTCTCTGAAACATGTGCTGTGTTAACTCAGGGTTAAATGGGTTAAGGGTGGTGCAAGATGTGCTTTGTTAAACAGATGCTTGAAGGCAGCATGCTCATTAAGAGTCATCACCACTCCCTAATCTCAAGTACCCAGGGACACAAACACTGCGGAAGGCCTAGGAAAACCAGAGACCTTTGTTCTCGTGTTTATCTGCTGACCTTCTCTCCACTATTATCCTATGACCCTGCCACATCCCCCTCTCCGAGAAACACCCAAGAATGATCAATAAATACTAAAAAAACAAACAAAAAAAAAAAACCATAAATAACAAGAATCCAAAATATGAGATAATGAAAAAAAAAAAAAAAGTAGGAGTTGACCCTTTCCAAAATCTGGAGTTGGGATGGGCATTAGTGGTTTGGAGAGGAAAGAGCAGGTGTGTTGTGGCTGGGAGGCGATTCCTTTCAGCACCTTGGGTGATGTCTGAGGCCATACCCACTTTCTGTGCTAGTTTTGGGATTATGATGATTAACCCACACTCCCTTTGTTCCTCCCATGTAAGCTGGATTCTTGGGCATTCAACCAATATTAAACACTTCCTCTGAAAAAAAAAAAAAAAAAAGAAGTGCATAGACCTATAGAAATGAAGCCAAAAGACCCTACCCAGTATTCACTATAGCCACACTCCCTAGGGAGGGAGAAAAAGGAAAGAAAAAGAAAAAACATTTTAGGGAAAGGAAAAAAAAAGAAAAAAATCATACCCACATGAAAAAGAAAAAGAAATCCAGAGAACACCTGCTACATCCTATACAAAATGAACATCACCAAGACATAGAGTCACCAGACCCTCCAGGGTCAATGCTAAAGAAAAAGTCTTTTTTTTTTTTTTTTTGGAGACAGGGTCTCAGGGTCTTGCTCTGTTGCCCAGGTTGGAGTGTAGTGATGCCATCACTGCTCACTGCAACCCCTACCTCCCAAGCTTAGGTGATCCTTCCACCTCACTCTCCCAAGTAACCGAGACTACAAGCATGCACCACAATGCCTGGCCAATTTTTCTATTTTTTGAAAAGATGGGGTTTTGCCATGTTGTCCAGGCTGATCTTGAACTCCTGGGCTCAAGTGATCCACTACCTTGGGTTCTCAAAGTGCTGGGATTACAGGCATGAGCCACTGAACCTGGCAAGAAAAAAAATCTTAAAAGCCACTAGAGAAAAATGTCAGATCACATTCACAGGGAACCCCATCAGGTGAATGGTGGACTTCTCAACAGAAAACTTGCAAGGCAGGAGAGGTTAGGGGCCTATTTTCAGCATTCTTAAAACAAGAAGTTCCAACCAAGAGGTACATATCCTGAGAAACTAAGCTTCATCGGTGAAGGAGAAACAAAATATTTTCCAGATAAGCAAGTGCTAAGAGAATGAGTTAATACTAGACCAGCCTTACAAGAGATTCTTAAGGGAGTTCTAAACATGTAAACAAAATAATGAAACCTACTACCACAAAAACACACTTAAGTACGTTGCCCACAGATACTGTAAAATAACCACATGATAGAAACTACAAAGCAGGCAGTTAACAACTTTACAATAGGATCAAAACTTCATATATCAGTATTAACTTTGAATGTTAATGGTCTAAATGCCCCACTTAAAAGGCACAGAGTGGCATGTTGGATTTAAAAAAGCAAGTAGACCTCATATGTAATGACACCCATAGGCTCAAAGTAAAGGGCTAGAGAAGTATCACAAATCAAAAATAAAGAAGAGCAGGGGTCGTGATTCTTATATCAGATAAAACAGACTTTAAGCCAACAATAGAAAAAGAAAGGGCAAAGTGGAGCATTACATAATGATAAAAGGTTCAATTAAATAAGAAGACTTAACTATCCTAAATATATATGCACCCAGCATTGGAGCACACAGATAAATAAAACAAGTACTTCTAGACCTATAAGAAGACTTAGACAGCCATACAATAATAGTGGGGGACTTGAGAACACCCCACTGACAACATTAGGCAGATCATCCATGCAGAAAACTAACACAGGAATTCTGGAATTAAATTGGACATTTGACAAAATGGACCTAAGAGACATCTACAGAATATTCCACCCATCAACCACAGAATATACATTCTTCTCATCTGCTCATGGAAAATATTGCAAGATTGAACACATGCCTGGCCACAGAGCAAATCTCAATAAATTCAAAAAAATTGAAATTATATGAACCATACTCTCAGACCACAGTGAAATAAAACTAGTAATCAATATCAAGAAGATCTCTCAAAACCACACAATTACATGAAAATTAAACAACTTGCTCCTGAATGACTGAGTAAACAATGAGATTAAGGCAGAAGTTTTAAAACTTCTTTGAAATTAATGAATATAGAAATATAACATACCAAAATTTCTGGGATACAGCAAAACTAGTGTTAAGAGAAAAGTTTATAGTACTAAACATTTACCTCAAAAAGTTAGAAATACCTCAATGATCTAACATTACACCTAGAGAAACTAGAAAATCAAGAAAAACAAACCCCAAAGCTAGCAGAAGAAAAGAAATCACTAAAATCAAAGAACTAAACAAAATTGAGACCCAAGAATCCATACAAAGAATCAATGAAACTAAAAGTTTGTTCTTTGAAAGGATAAACAAGATTGACAGACTGCTAGCAAAATTAACAAAGAAAAAAACAGAGAAAATCCAAACAAGCACAATCAGAAACAACAAATGTTACATTACAACTGACGCCACAGAAATACAAAAGATCCTCAGAGACTATTATGAACACCTCTACACATACAAACTAGAAAATCTAGAGGAAATGCATGCATTCTTAGAAACACACACTCTCCTAAGGTTGAACCAGAAAGAAATTGAAACCCTAAACAGACTAATATCGAGTTCTAAAATTGGACCAATAATAAAAAATCTGCTGGGCACAGTGGCTCATGCCTGTAATCTCACCACTTTGAAAGGCCAAGGCAGGAGGATTGCTTGATCTCAGAGTTCGAGATCAGCTGGGGCAACAACACAAGACCTTATCTCTATTAAAAATAAAAAGAATTAGCCAAGTGTTGTGACACATGCCAGTGGTCCCAGCTACTCAGGAGTCTGAAGCAGGAGGATTGCTTGAGCCCGAGAGATGGAGGCTGCAATGTGCTGTGATTGCACCACTGCACTATAGCCTGGGTGACAGAGTGAGACCCTGTCTCAAAAACAAACAGCAACAACAACAACAACAACAACAACAACAAAAACTACCAATCAAAAAAAACCCAGACCAGATGGATTCATAGACAAATTCTACCAGACATGCAAAGAGCTGCTACCAATTCTACTGAAACTATTCCAAAAAATTGAGGAGGGAAGGACTCCTCTCCAGCTCATTCCACAAAGCCAGCATCACTCTGATACCAAAACTTTGCAAAGACACAATGAAAAAAGAAAACTACAGGCCAATATCCCTGATGAACATAGATGCAAAAATCCTCAACAAAATACTAGCAATTCAAATCAAACAGCACATCAAAAAGTTAATTCACCACTATCAAGTAGGCATCATTCCTGAATATAAGGTTGGTTCAACATACACAAATCAATAAATGTGATTTACCACATAAACAAAATTAAAGACAAAAACTTCATGATCATCTCAATAGATGTGGAAAAAGCTTTAAATAAAATCCAACATCCTTTCTTGATAAAAACCCTCAAGAAAATAGGCATCAAAGGAACACACCTAAAAATAATGAGCCACCTATGACAAACCCACAGCCAACATAATACTGAGCAGGTAAAACCAGAAGCATTGCTCTCGAGAACTGGGACAAGACAAGGATGACCACTGTCATCACTCCTATTCAACCTAGTACTAGAATTGGTAGCCAGAACAATGAAGCAAGAGAAAGAAATAAAAGGCATCCAAATAGGAAAAGAAGTCAAGCTATCTCTCTTTGCTGACAATATGAGTCTATACTAGAAAACCTTGAAGATTCTGCCAAACATCTCCTCGAAACGATAACGACTCTAGTGAAGTTTCAGGATACAAAATAAATGTAGGCCAGACTTTCTTCACCGTGGGTCCCCAAGGTTTCCTGCTTCAACAGTGCTTGGACAGAACCCAGCCCTCATCCCCCCACCCCAGCTGGCTGCCCATAGCCAGCCCTCCGCTGCCTCCTCACCGCGCCCTGGGACCGTCCCAAGGCCTCTGCCGCTCCAGCTCCGTGTAGCCACCGCCACCGCCATGACTACCACATGCCCCTCACAGGTGCGCCAGAACTACCACCAGGACTCAGAGGCCAACATCAACCTCCAGATCAACCTGGAGCTCTACCCCTCCTACGTGGGCTGAATGCAATGGAGTGGGCATTACATTTGGAAAAAAAAAATGTGAATCAGTCACTACTGGAACTGCACAAACTGGCCACTGACAAAAATGACCCCCATTTGTGTGACTTCACTGAGACACATCACCTGAATGAGCAGGTGAAATCCATCAAAGAATTGGGTGACCAATTAGGATTGCCTGAGCTCAGGACTTGAGACCAGCCTGGGCAACAAGGAAATACAAAGAAATTAGCCAGACATGGTGGCATGTGCCAGTAGTCCCAGCTACTCAGGAGGATGAGGCAAGAGAGCTACATTGTCAGATTATATAGTTGAAAGTCAATAATTATCTGAATATGAAAAGAATTAAGAAGTAATTGTATATTGCACATTATTGCTTAAAACAGTAAGATAAATACCAGAAGAAACAGGTAAGTGAATTGGAAGTGGAGGCCTGTAGGATAGGTAATCAGGGGTGGCAAGAACTAGGACAGAGGACTGCTGTTTTTCATTATAAGCCTTATTTTTTTTCATAAAATAATAAATCACTGGCTCATAATAGGTGTCCAATATCTAGTAGCTACCAGTTTTAAAAAGTCAGTAATTTCTTTATGCATCAGAAATCACTGCTATATTCCTGAAAGAAAAAAATTCATTCACATTAATTACAATTATAAAATATCTACTAATTCCCCTAACAAAAAATGTGTACTCTCTGTGAAGAAAATATAAAACTCAACTGAGAAATTTACAAACCTAAATGAATAGAAAGACTTGTGGGCCACGCGCAGTGGTCCATGGCTGTAATCCCAGCACTTTGGGAGGCCAAGGCGGGTGGACCACCTGAGGTCAAGAGTTGGAGACCAGGCTGGCCAACATGGTGAAACTCCATCTCTACTAAAAATACAAAAAAAAATTAGCCAGACATGGTGGCAGGTGTCTGTAATCCCAGCTGCTTGGGAGGCTGAGGCGGGAGAATCGCTTGAACCCGGGAGACGGAGGTTGCAGTGAGCCGAGATCGCCCCACTGCACTCCACCCTGGGCGACAGAGCGAGACTCCATTAAAAAAAAAAAAAAACAAAGACTTGTTACAAATGGGAAGAGAAGAGGCCAATTCATCCCCAAAATAATCAATAATTTGAATGTAATCCCAATTAAAATACCAATGGTCCTTTTGTTTTTGCTTTTTTAATAAGTTGACGAAAAATATTCTAAAATTAACCTGAAAGAATAAACCGGCAAGATAATTAAGAACATTCTGAAAAAGAAGAATATGAGTGCCAAACCTGTCAATATTTAGTCATATCAAGTTCCAATAATTTAAAGTGCCTGGCTAATGCAAGAATCAACAGATCAGTGGAACAGAATGCATATCCTCCAAACAGAACCTAATGTATGATTAAGAAACTATCCTAAAAGCAGTGTGGCGTAGGAGCGAAGAGGTAAAAATATGAAGAAGCAAACCACCTGAGTTCAAGCCCTGCTCTGCCACCTAGTATCTGTGTAACCTTGTGCAAGTTGTTTAACCACTCTGTGAGTCCATTTTTTCATCTCTAAAATGGAAATAATAAATGTACTCACCTGAGTGACAGGTAAAGCATTCAGAACAGAGCCTGGCACATAGCAAGTATTTGCTGTTACAAATGTTTGCTATCACAAGTCAACATGGCCAGCTTCGTAGATGTGTGACGTGCAGTTACACAAGACCCTGCTCTTAGAAGGGCCCACATACTGATTAAAGGCTCTGCTGTCACCATCTTAAAATTCTTTAGATGTTTTGAACAATGAGCCCTGAATTTTTAGTTTGTATTGGACCCTGCAAACTATGTAGTCATGTAGTGAGTCCTGCAAGTCAATCAGGAAAAGGATGAATTACTCAACAACGTGTTGGGAAAATTGATATTCCAAGCTACCTTCTCACTTCACACTAGGTGGCTCACTAAGAACATAACTATACAGTCTAAATTAAAACTCCATGTTCTGATTTTGAATGGGAAGTACTGGTTTGAACACATAATAAATTTTGTCTTTAAAAAGTTATAGTTTACCCAAAGCAATGTACAGATTGAATGCAATTCCTATCAAAATACCAATGACATTTTTCACAGAAATAGAAAAAACATTTTTTATAATTTGTATGGATTCATGAAAGACCCTGAATAGCCAAAGCAATTCTGAGCAAAAAGAACAATGCTGGATGTATCACTCAAATATACTACCAAGCTGTAATAGCCAAAGCTGCATGGTATTGGCTTAAAAACAGACACATTAGACCAATAGGACAGAATAGAGAACTCAGAAACTAATCCACATACCGATAATCAATTGATTTTTGACAAAACACCAAGAACATTCACTGGGGAAATAATAGTCTCTTTAATAAATGGTGCTGGAGCCAGGCACGGTGACTTACACCTGTAATCCTAACACTTTGGGGGGCCGAGGTGGGAAAATCACTTGAGCCTAGGAGTTCGAGACCACCCTGGGCAACACAGGGAGACCCATCTCTACAAAAACTGTTAAAATGAGCCTGGTGTGGTGGCACGCACCTGTGGTCTCAACTACTCAGGAGGCTGGGTGGGAGGATTCCTTGAGTCCAGGAAGTTGAGGCTCCAGTGAACTGTGATCACACCACTGCACTCCAGCCTAGAAGATGGAGTGAGACCATGTCTCAAATTAAAAAAAAAAAAAATCATGCTGGGAAAATTGGATAATTATTTGCAGAATGAAACTAGACCCCCACCTCTCGTCCTATGCAAAAATCAATTTGAAATGAATCAAAGACCTAAATTTAAGACCCCAAACAATGAAACTACTAGAAGAAAACATAGGGGAAACACTCCAGGACATTGGTCTGGAAAAGATTTTGTGAATAGGACCTTAAAAGCACAGGCAACAAAAGCAAAAATAAACAAACAATCTGATTTAAAAATGGCCAAGACTAGAGGATCACTTGAGGCAAGGAGTATGAGACCAGCATGGGCAACATAGCAAGACCCTATCTCTACAAAAAACAAATTTTTTTTTTTAATGAGCTGGGTATGGTGTCTTATGCCTGTAATCCCAGCTACTCGGGAGGCTGAGGCGGGAAGATAGCTTGGGTCCAGGAGTTTGGGAAGTTTACAGTGCGCTGTGATCATGCCACTTTGTTCCCGGAACCAAGCTGGGTCCAGGAGTTTGGGAAGTTTACAGTGTGCTGTGATCATGCCACTTTGTTCCCGGAACCAAGCTGGGTCCAGCTGTGTTTTCTGGAGGCCCAATAACAGGAAGCAGACAAACTAGGAAAGAAGGGAATTTATTGCTATAACCAGATACAAGGAGAAGGCCAGAGATAATTCCACCAGACCAACTCAAAGTGTTGCAATTTTCTTAGTGCTTATATAGGTTGGGGTTATGTGCCTTCATGCAGTATAGCATTGGCCTAAGTCTACTGGTAACTAATTTTGTTTCAACTAGAAGGTCAGAGACAAAAATGCTTGCTAAGTCTGATTAAAAGGGCCCCAGTACCTTCAAGGCCTGTCTACTGTGGTACCGGAGTGATTATTTCTATCTTATCTCCTTTACAGCTTGGTCCAGAGAGCTGCCTTAGACTCTCCAATGAATGTGTTCAAACAGCTGCCTCTGTTACCTTGACTCATCTCAGATACGGGTCCTGGTGCTAGGAATCAAAGACTGTCTCTATTATTTTGGCTTGCTCCAGGTTGGGCAGAAGCCCATGCAAGGCTACTACTGATCATGTTTCATTTCTAGCTTTGATGTCTGGGCACTGATTTCCCTAGGTTTAACTATTTGCTCAATGTCAAGGCAGTGCTGTGGAAATCTGTCTGTGTAACTGGAGTGCTATGCAGACCTGTCTGTGTGACTGTCATGCAGGCCTGTCTGTGTGATTGTCAGGGAGAATTGGCCTGCCACAACTTCACTGCAGCCTGGGTGACAGACACAGACACCATCTCTTAAAAAAAGAAAAAAGAAAAAAAAATAGGCAAATGATCTGAACAGATATTTCTCAGTAAGACATACAAATGGCCAACAGGTATATGAAAAAAATGCTCAACATCACTGATCACCAGGGAAATGCGTATCAAAACCACAGTGAGGTAACATCTCACCCCAGGAAGTATGGCTATTATCAAAAAGACAAAAACAAAACAAATTCTAGTGAAGATGTGGAGAAAAGCGAACTCTAATACACTGTGGGTATGAATGTAAACCAGTGCAGCCACTATGGAGACAGCATCGTTCACAATAGATAACATAGGGAATCAACTTAAGTGTCCAACAACAGATGAATAGATAAAGAAAATGTGGCATATATACACAATGGAATATTATTCATCCATAAAACAGAATGAAATCCTGTCATTTTTGGCAACAGGGATGATCATTATGTTAAGTGAAATAAGCGAGGAATAGAAAGTTAAACACTGCATGTTCTCATTTGTATACGGAAGCTAAAAAGAAAAAGGTTAATCTCATAGAAGTAAAAAGTAGAACAGAGGATACAAGAGGCTGGAAAGGGCAGGGGGAAGGGAAAGGTAGGGAGAGATTTATTAAAGGATACAAAATTACAGCTAGATGGGAAGAATAAGTTCTAATGTTCAATACCCCTGTGGGATTACTATAGTTAACAATAGTATATATTTTCAAGTAGCTAGAAGGAGGATTTTGAATGTTCCCAACATAAAAAAATGATAAATGTTTGCAGTAATAGATATGCTAATTACCCTGATCTGACCTTTATACATTATATGTATCAAAACATCATTATTTGCCCTATGAAAATGTATAATTAAAATATTAAATAAAATCAAATTTTAAAAAAGGATTTTCTAATATGGTTCCCTGAGTAGTCCTAGAAACAGGAACTCAATAGCCAAGAGCACTCCTAGCAATTAGATGTGCCCTTGTAATATCATTAACCATTAAAGGGAACGATGACTCCTTGGATAAATGGCTGATTCCATGTCTTGCATACAAAATATACAAAATGAGACTTGTGAAGAAGCTTGAGCAGGAAATATACAGGAACATCTTGTCATATCAGAAAGCAAGGAAGTTAGACCATGCAGATGTGTCAACTAGAAGAGCTTCCCACAAGCCAAAGATGGGACAGTTTGAGCATGAATAAGAATGACAACCACAATAGATAGACACATATTGTATTGATATATGTTTAATGCATGAGTTCACAGTGGTATTCAAAAAAGAAGAAAACGTTATGGTCATCTGAAAACAACCAACTCATAATTTTGAAAATTGGCAGATACAAACCAAAATCAAGCGTGTATCCTGCCATTACTATATGAAATGAACTTCTGGGTAACCAAACAGTTGATAAGAGGAACTTTCCCTTTGTAGAACTCCAGCTAATAAATGAAGAAAATAATTAGAATATCACTATTTTGCAAGCCATTGTGACATAATGAATCTATGCAGTGACCATCTGTAGCTGGTAAGATCACAAAAAAGCTAACCAGGCATTAAATACCACCTGATGGAAGTTAAAACAGTACCTGAATCCGATCAACCCTTCAGATCTAACTACCAATCTACATCAAATACAGGGAACAGGAGAATATGTCAAATACCACCTAAAGGTGCAATCACAGCAAAATCCGACTGTAGGAAATTCTCCAGGACAAATGACCCAGTTTCTACAATTAATAAATTGCAAGGGAAAAAACTAGGAAGGGAGAGGAAACCTATAGTTTATATGGAAGAGACAGCAACCAGTTGTAATGTATAGTCCTTACTGGATCTTGATTCGAACAAACTTAAAAAATAAGACCATCAGAGAAATTTGAACATTGACTAAGGTTTTTTTAAACGATATTAAAAAACTATTGTTAACTATTTCTGGCTGCAGTAGTGGTGTTAACAGTTATAATTTTAAATACACCTTTTAGAGATGCCTACAGAAATATTTACAGATAAAAATGAGATGATGCCTGTGCTTTGCATCAAATAATTTGGGGGATAAAGGGGATCAGGGTATAAGTGGATTGAGACTTGCCATGAATTGAAATGGGAGAATTTGCTATTTTTGTTTCTGTTTAAAATTTTCCATTAAAAGTTTAAAAAATATATCCAGGAAAACAGCCTACTTATGAAAAGATATTTAAATTCTACAAAATTGTTGGTGAATATTTAACTGATCTGAGTGATGAATGAGTAAGTATAAAATAAATGGATAATATACTAAGAAAAGACTGCTACTTTCAACTAAAATGAAAATTTAAATTATGTGTGTTTAAAATGTTATAAAATTAAAAGATAAACACTTTGAGAAAAATATTTGCAACTCAAGAAAAATAAAAGATTAAAATGCTTAATATATAAGGGAGTTAATAATAAAGCTAATACATTCTGCTTATAATGTGCTAGGCACTCTTGTAACCACTTTACAAAAACCATTTAAGTTCTTATAAAATAGAAAAAGTACCAATATCCCATGCTCCAATAGATAATTGATAGAAGAAATTCTAATAATCAATAAACAAATTATATTTAACTTCACAGTACTTAAATAATTGTAATTTAAAATGTACTAAGATTATAACCTATCAAAAAAAATGGAGATTGTTGTTACTGATTAACACCAGTTGTTGGTGGCACAGTGAAATGGCCAGTTTCTTGTATTGCTAGTGGGAGTGTAAATTGGAAAAATCTTTCTAGAGAGCAATTCAGCAATATGAATTGAATCTCAAAAGCATTTATACCTCTTAATGCTATTATGCTCTCAGGAATTTATAGCATTGACATGATCAGAGGTGCATATGAAAATGTAGATGCAAGAAGGTTTATCAAAGCTTTGTTTGTAATAAAGAAAAATTGGGCCTAGCAAAGTGGCTCCCCACTGTAATCCCAGCGCTTTGGGAGGATCACTTGAGCCCAGGAGTTCAAGACCAGCCTGGGCAACATAGGGAGACTCCATTTCTACAAAAAATAAAAATATTAGCCGGGCACAGTGGTGCACACCCGTAGACCCAGCTACTTGGGAGACTGCGGTGGGAGGATTGTTTGAGCCCGGGAAGTCAAGGCTGTAGTAAGCTGTGATCATGCCACTCTACTCCAGCCTGGGTAACAGCAGGGCCCTGTCTCAAAAAAAAAAAAAAAAAAAAGAAAAAAAAAGAAAAGAAAAGAAAAAGAAAGAAAGAAAGAAAAGAAAAAGAAACATTGGAAGCAACCTAATTTCCAAGTGAGAAAAGGAGCATTTAAAGAAGTTACAGGACCGGGCATGGTGGCTCACGCCTGTAATCCCAGCAATTTGGGAGGCCGAGGTGGGCAGATCACGTGAGGTGAGGAGTTCAAGACCAGCCTGGCCAACATGGTGAAAGCCCATTTCTACTAAAAATACAAAAATTAGCTGGCATGGTAGTGCACACCTGTAGTCCCAGCTACTTGGGAGGCTGAGGCCAAAGGATCGCTTGAACCTGGGAGGCGGAGGTTGCAGTGAACCGAGATCATGCCACTGCACTCCAGCCTGGGTGGCAGAATGAGACTCTGTCTCAAAATAAGTAAATAAATAAATAAGTTACAGAGCATGAATATATTGGATATTAGGGAAAATAGCCCATCGACAGGTGAATGGATACATTAATTATAAAGTAATGAAATGTTAGCAATAAAAAGGAATGAATTATGGTACACACAACATGAATGTCTTAAAATATTATGCAGAGAAAAAGAGACAAAAAAAGGAGAATATACTGTTTGAGTTAATTTATATGGAATTCTAGAACAAGTAAAATTTATCTACAGCTAAAGAAGTCAGATTAGTGGTTGCCTCTGTGGTAAGTCCAAGGATTGATTTAGACAGGATGTAAAGGAACATTCTGGGAGGATGGAAATGTTCTATATCTTGATTAGGTGTGTTTTAAATGGGCGCACCCATTTGTCAAACGCATCCCCTTTACCTATGTAATTTCTGCTCAGACTTCATGTAAGGTTTTGCCTTTAATTGTATGTAAATTAGGCCTTACAAACTCATATTTTCCAAGAAGATTTAATAAAACAGGCAAAATATTCACCTTACCATTTTAATTGGGAAAAAAAGAGCCTTGATACAATGCAATGTATACAGCATGGTTCTAATTATGTAAAAGAAAATACATTAATAAAAATAGAGATACACAGGCAGAAATGACAAGAATGATGTATGCCAATGAACATGTACAAACATAATTTGAAAAAAATAGTAAATATTCTTGTAGTCCCACTTCATACCAAATTCCCTTTTTCTTCTTACATTCTAGATTTGGCCTTCATTCAGTTCCTCATATGAAGAAGGTGCTATTCCTGTGCCTCTAACGACCCCCTCATTCTCTACGGCAATTTAATCCCTGCTCAGCCTTAAGTTGTCAGATGAATCTTGACTTCCTCAGAGAAGCCCTGCTTGCCCCACCCAAGTCAAGCCCTCCCATTCCCCATCCTGGGTCAAGCACCTGATGCTTCTTCTTTGTGGCGTTTAAGAATTGTGATTTTTTATTTTTTGCATATACCTCAAGTAAACCAAACTGCAAAGTTAAGGGCAGTGTCCTCCCCACTGCCAAGAGTGCCTAATACTTCTGACACCAACTACACGTTCAGGAGTTTCCCAAAACCACCCTCATATTCAATAATTTGCTATAATAGAAAAACTCACAGAACATTTGTTACAAGGAAAGGATACAAATTAGAATCAGCCTAAGAAAGAGGGCAGAGTCTGGGAGGTTTCCACATACGTGAGGCTTTGGTTGTCTCAGGATGCCTTATGCCCATAGCATCTATATGTGACAATACACATAAAGTATTGTCTATCCAGGAAGCTCACCAGAGCTCTACTGTCCAAACTTTTTATTGGAGCTTCATAATGTAGGCATGATTGATCGGTTGATTGACTGCACATGTGGTTGAACTCAGTCTCTAAATCATATGGTTGGTCTTTCTGGATTTCAAGCTGTGGCCAGCTGCCACCCTAAGGCTATTGCATGACTTGGCCCCACCGTGAGTCAGCTCATTAGCATAAACTATCAGGCATGGTCCCAGGAGCTCATGATGAGTGGCGAAGATACTCCTGTCAGTCAAGAAATTCCAAGGAACAGTTACTTCCCAGGAACTGGGACAAAGGCCAGATCATTCTTTGAGCAGGGCAAAATTCTTGCTACACAGCCTGGTTTGTAAATAAGTCTCCCCTTCACCCCTCAGACTGTAAGCTCCAAAACGACATGGATCACATCTGGTTTTGCTCCCAGTTTTATCCCTCACACCTAGCGTAGTGGTTGGCAAATACTGAGAATCTGTGTAACATGGACTTGGGAGGCAGCCAGTCTGAATTTGAATCTTGGCTCTTCTCTTCACTAACTATGTTTGACTCTGGACAAATTACTTTACTTCTTCTTGCCTAATTGACTTCATCTGGAAATGGCAGGTAAAGATAATACCTATCTCAGAGAGTTGCAATGAGTATTGGATGAAAGAACATCAGTTAAGATCTCAGAATAGTGCCTAGCACAGAGAAAAAATAAACTAGATAAATGTTTAATATTATTAAATGCTCAATAAGTAATTACTGATGGAATAAGTGTCTGGTACATGAGAGGTGCTTAATAAATGTTTTTGAAAGAACAGAAAATAAGATTTTCTTCTTTAGTAGATTTTCCTTTAATATAGTACCAGATATACCGATTTGCACATCATTAATTATTCTAAAATTGTAGCTCAATAATATGCTTAAGAAAAGTACAAAAAAAGTTTCAGAGTTTTTTCACCTCTCCAGCAGGCTGTGCCCTCAACCATATAGTGAGGAACTGAATTAGACAAGGTTCAAGATCTCTTCCAACTCCAACAACATGTTATTTGTCCTTAGGAAACAAACTAGATATAACAACAGAGAAGACCATTTTACATGGAGGCATGAAAACTTTGAATGTGTAAGTTTCCATTTGAAAAAAGGAACAAAGAAAATATTCCATTGATTACCAAAATTCATCTTTAATATATCACAACACAGGTTTGAATTGTGGCAGTGCATTTTTAATAATTTGATGAAATTTGACTCCCTTGTAAACCATACACGAAGGTCATAGAAAATTTATTTTCATCTTTGAGAAATGGCTAGTTTTATCTTGGCACATAAACAGGCCTAATGTGAGCTTCTAGAAGGTGATTGATAATAGAATCAGTAATAGCTCCAAACAAGAGATTCAACTCAACACCTTCAAATAAAACCCCTAGCAACTAGAAAAAAAAGAATCAACTTTTAAAACATTCTTTTTAGTTACAAAGTAATGCATATACATTTAACTGCAATGACCAAATGTTTTTAATTGCTTTATTATTATTAAGCAATTACTAAATTATTTAATAATAAAAGTAAATATGTTCCAAACACCTTTCCTGCCATGTTTATTTTCCAAAGATAGCAAATGTTAAGTTTGTTCTGCATATTTCTATGCACATACACTCAACAAAAAAATATGTACATATGCACCTATTATCAATGGTATTTGTAAAGTGTACTTTTTCTTGCCATTTTAGTGTTACCACAAGCAGTCACCCAGTTTGAAGAATTGGTTGGTATGGCCGAGGCTCTGCTTAAGGGTGGGGGAACCATGTCTACATCTGCATCCACCCTCTGGAGAGCAACAAACAACTCCTCGCCAGATTCATTTGCCTCAACATGCAGTAATTCTAATTCTAACTCCAGTTCACCAGTTTCCTTAAAGCCTGAGGAAGAGCATCAGACTGATGAGAAACAGGTCAGTTGTAATACCCGCCTTATTGTTCTTTGGAATATGCTTAAATAAAAAATTTAAATAAGGGTGGAAAATGATCATTGTTTTATCAGATAACTATTGGATAAAATAGTTTTATTCAATAGGAATATTACAATTCTTAAGTACCACAAAGAAGAGGCATAAGGTGGCCAGGTGTGGTGGCTCACCCCTGTAATCCCAGCACTTTGGGAGGCTGAGGCGGGCAGATCATGAGGTCAGATCGAGACCATCCTGGCTAACACAGTGAAATCCCCTCTCTACTAAAAATACAAAAAAAAAAAAAATTAACCGGACGTGATGACGGGCACCTGTAGTCCCAGCTACTTGGGAGGCTGAGGCAGGAGAATGGCATGAACCCAGGAGGTGGAGCTTGCAGTGAGCCGAGATCGAGATAGTGCCACTGCACTCCAGCCTGGGCGACAGAGCGAGACTCCGTCTGAAAAAAAAAAAAAAAAAGAAGAGGCATAAGGCGCTTGACCTAGCCTGAGGAAAGGGAAGGCAGGGCTTGACTTAGGAGGGAGAAGAAGGTCTTCTCTGAGGAAGTCAAGATCAATCTGAGAACCAAAGGCATAAAACTGTTGTCCTTTTATAATAAAAACTAATATTTGTAAAACAAATACCCAGTTTAGAAAATTAAAGCAAATTGGGTACAAAGATAAAGTTATTAAACTTTAAAATTCTCATACCAGTGACAGAAGGATACCTATGCATTCAGGGTTATACAATTTTATATCATTGAGAGGTAAATTTCAGCCTCAGCATGCTGGCTGAACACAATTCTTTTTCTGTTTTTGTACTTAATCAAGACACAGATGCTAAAAAGACAGGAGTTTTGTTAGAATCAGGTAGCCTCAGTAAGTATACCATCAAAAATGATAAATATTAACTAACAATCTGACATTCAAAATATTTGAATCTTAGTGTATCAGTTACCTATTGCTATATAACACATTATCACAAATTTAGTGATTTCAAATGACCCAAATTTATTATCTTAGAGTTCTATAGATCAGAAGTCTGGTACAGGTCTCACTAGACTGAAGTCAAGGTGTTAGCAGGTGCATTTCTTTCTGAAAGCTCTAGGGCAGAATCTGTTTCCTGCTCATCCAGGCTGTGGTAGAATTCATTTTCTTGTGGTTGTAAAACTGAATTCCCCATTTTCTTGCTGGTTGTAAACTGAAGGCCATTCCTACTTCTAGAAGCAATCACATTCCTTGGTTCACAGCCCACTTCGGCCATCTTCAAAGCCAGCAACAGCAAGTGAAGTCCCTCTCACACTTCAGATCTTCCCTCCCTCTTCTGTCTCTTTTTCCTGATCTGCCCTTCTGCTTCCTTCTTCTGCTTTTAAGAACTCATGTGATTAAATTGGGCCCACCTAGGTAATCCAGGATAATCTCCCATCTCAAGGTACTTAACTTTAATCACATCTACAGAATTGTTTTTGCCCTGTGAGGCAACGTGTTATAGGTTTCAGGGATTAGGATGTGACCTTTCAGAGGGCCATTATTCTGCCTACTACATTTACGATGAAGCACTGAGTATGGGACTAAGCCTGAAAGGACCAAATCCAGTTTACATGACAAGAATTTGTATACACCCTATAACAAATACCTCATAAATATTGAAGAGTATCACAAAGATAACATTTAAATCTAATCCCTGACATGTAAAATATATATTAAATTAAAATGTAAAATATATATTAAAATATATATATAATATCTTACCTTAAAAAATGTTGACATTGTTTTCTTTTATGCCTTAACTCAATTAGTAACATATTTCTCCATACAGCACTTTCTTTTTCCAACTTCAACTCTTTCTTATCTTTTTAGTTCCAGATTGAAAAATGGCAGATTGCCCGTTGTAACAAGAGCAAGCCTCAGAAGTTTATTAATGATTTAATGCAAGTACTTTACACAAATGAATACATGGCCACTCACAGCCTGACAGGGGCAAAATCCTCTACTTCAAGGGACAAAGCTGTAAAACCAGCTATGAATCAGAATGAAGTCCAAGAAATCATAGGTGATAATATGATTGCGTTATATTGTCGTATGAATTTTAAATCATGTTACCACTCAAGGTCAAGATAGTCTTTCATGGTCCTTTTATTTTTTAAAGTTTATTTTTCTGGGAAAGAAAAATCTTAGGATAGTCTAAAGCTCTCATTAAATATGGGAAATTTTATAGAAAAACTTTACATTAACAATGGTTATTAAAATGAAACTAAGTTTTATATCACCAAAAGGTTTCAATTCATACAATTTATAGCTTTGGAAATGTAAATTTTCACAATCTTTTAAAGTAAAATTTCAATAACAATTTCTTCCTTGCTTTTGTTATATGTCTTATCTTTCATTCCAGAAAGATAAAGGCTAATTTGACCATCCTATTTATGGTTTTTAAATTAATGAATCTCCTTAAATATAATCTAGATTATCCAATTAATTTTTTGGCAACATCTGACAAATGTAAGGATTCTCTGAATCCTAGCTCTATATATGTCATTTCTTAACATACAACAATGTCTGTCTTCCTGAAACAAAAAACTGCTACTTCTAACAACTGCAATGAAATTCTTTCCCTTGGCTCACACATGCTGTTAGACTGACTTTAAAAGTTAGAGAACATGGCTGGGCGTGGTGGCTCATGCCTGTAATCCCAATGGTTTGGGAGGCTGAGGCAGACAGATACAGAAAAAGATCAGTCAGAGTTTAGTTGTTTCAATTAATGTTGGAAATGGATAAAAATACATTCCTAACATTTTAGAGCAAGAGGACTTAGAGTTTAAAGCAAGTAGGAGGATTAAAGTTAATCACTACCATAGGATCTCAGTTGATAATATAGACCTTCTGATATCTCTTGCTTTACTTAGAAAAACCTGCCTATATATTCATCTGTTTAAATAGCTCATGGGTGTTTGGGCTACTTTTGTAAAATGGAAAAAAAATTATAATGTAGAATACTTGATGTTTTACCTCAGTTCATACCCTAAGATGCAAAGCACTCATGAAGTTTCTCATGTGTCGCTATTGGTTTTTTACAGGAGTAACAAAACAATTATTTCCCAATACGGATGATGTTTCAATTAGGAGAATGATAGGGCAAAAGCTAAACAACTGTACCAAGAAGCCAAATTTAAGCAAAAATCTTAACTCTCAGGATATTAAATAGATCCTTTTGGTAAGTCTTTTAAATCTTCAGTCCTTTCAATGTGGCAAGAAAATGTCATAATACTTTTATTTTATTGGAATAGCATTTTCCAATCACTCTACTAGAAAATACTAGTGACCCATGAAAAGCTAATAGGTATTCCTGGTGGCAAAAGGGGAGAACTGGGAGTGGGGTTTGAATTGGAAAATGCTGGGTTCAGTTTTTCTTCCTCAGAACCTCTCAGATATTTTGATGCCCTTTTAACATGCTCATGTGCACCAGAAATCTCTAAGAAAGGGATATAGTATGTAGTGTTTTCCAAATGTGTTTTACTGAGGAAATTTTTTCACAGAATCCTGTTAACTTGGTGGGGATAGAAAGGAGCCAAAGGAAGGACACATGACAATTTAAGAAGTATTTCTCTCTAGGACAGAGGAGATTTAGACCCTTGGGAAATCTGAAGTACATCGATGAGACTGAACTTACAGCTAGCTCTAACAGTGGTCTGACAGTTGTGCAAACTATTGGCTGAAGTGTGCAGCGTTCTTCTCCACCATCCTACATGTTGCTTCGCATGGTCTTTAAATTTTTAAATTAGTTGTTATTGTTTAATAAGGATTTTTACCAAGATGCATGTCCTATACTAAGAAAAAGAATAATTTTTTAGTGAGAGTTCTAAAGTAAATAGACTTTCTAGTCAAGCCTTGACCCAGGCAAAACTGTGAAGTGGAATTTTGCCACCCACTATCCTGGCTAGCTCACTTTTACTTACCCCTCCTCTCTCTCAACTATTTTGATGGAAAATACGTGAAACCATGTGTATGACGTGTTAAAATTTTCATTGATTAATAGAGGCATGTGGGTAACACATGAGGGTAAGGCCCACCACAGATATTCCTTTTTTCTTTCCATTTTCCTTCCACTTCTATCTTTGACTTGTACTTTGCCTGTCTTCTGCCTAATACCAGCCACTTTCGAGACCATTTTACTTGACTTCATTTCTTCTGACCATGTTTTAAATGAGATGTGGAGCTGAATGTAATGCAGTAATCCCCTGCCCCAAACGCCCTACATGTTACTGACTACCACTCCCATCCTCCCCCAAGAGTCCCTTATCTATTTTGCTACACAACTAAGACCAGCTCTGCCGAGAGTCAACAATGTCTGTCTTCCTGAAACAAAAACATAAACAAATCAAAAAACTATTACTTGTAACAACTGCAGTGAAATTCTTTCCCTTGGCTCACACATACTGTTAGACTGACTTTAAAAGTTAGAGAACATGGCTGGGCATGGTGGCTCACGCCTGTAGTCCCAATGGTTTGGGAGGCTGAGACAGACAGATACTTGAGCCCAGGAGTTCGAGACCAGCCTGGCCAACATGGCAAGACCCCATCTTTATAAAATACGGAAGAAAAAAAATTAGCCCAGCGTGGTAGTGCACACCTGTAGTCCCAGTAACCCAGGAGCCTGAGGTGGGAGGATAGCGAGGTGGAGGCTACAGTGAGCTGTGATGTTGCCAGTGCACTCCAGCCTGGGGGACAGAGTGAG
This sequence comes from Homo sapiens, assembly GCF_000001405.40. Lineage (NCBI taxonomy): Eukaryota > Metazoa > Chordata > Mammalia > Primates > Hominidae > Homo > Homo sapiens. The sequence continues at coordinate 57,020,079 of NC_000006.12, forward strand.
ACCTTGTTTCCAAAAAAAGAAGTTATAAAAGATAAGGTTACCTGTATCTTTTTTCTCCAAGTGATTATAAATTTCAGTAGATTGTGACCTCACAACTTTTCAATTATTAGATAATTGCTTAAATATGCCCTTAGTACTTCCTATTTTGACATGAGGTTACCCACCCAGTTACCTTGATGTATAATGACCAAGTTCTCTATTTTTTTTTTTTTTTTTGAAACAGTGTTCTCACTTTGTTGCCCAGGCTGGTTTTGAACTCATGAGCTCAAGCAATCCTTCCACCTTGAACTCCTCAAATGTCAGAAAGCACTCCACCCAGTAACTAAGTTCCTTGTCTTTTCTTTTTTATTTTTCATTTTTGAAACGGAGTCTTGCTTTGTAGCCCAGGCTGTAGTTCAGTGGCGCGATCTCTGCTCACTACAACCTCCACCTCCTGGGTTCAAGCAATCCTCCCGCCTCAGCCTCCCGAGCAGCTGGGACTACAGGCCCGCGCCACCACACACAGCTAATTTGTGTATTTTTAGTAGAGACGGGGGTTTCACCATGTTGGCCAGGCTGGTCTCGAACTCCTGACTTCAAGTGATCTGCCCACCTCGGCCTCCCAAAGTGCTGGGATTACAGGCGTGAGCCACCGTGACCGGCAATTTCCTTTTCTAAATGGTATGTTACCAGACCTCCAAGTCAAGTGGCTATCTTTTGGGGCACACTGTTATATTTCAGAGGTCTGTAAAGCATTTTGATATCCTAAACTCTTGTTTTTTTTTTTTTTTTTTTTTAATATTTCTGACTTCCAAGGATAGGCACAAAACTCATCTCTGACTATATCAGCCAGCAGAATGTTAAAGAAGTGAAAGTTAAGAGATTTTTATATCAGTTTTGCTTGTACTTAACAATAGAAGTGTTATTAAATCTGCTAGCTATGGCATTAATTAAAATTGAAACAAGGAACAGACATTTTGCTATGAACTTTGTGCCTTTTGAACCTGAGCCTGACTTAATAGTGCCAAGTTGTTTAGACTGGAAATGCATGTATTTTGAATCAGTAATGGAGATTAGCTAGAATGGAATTTTTTAAATTTGCAAATATCTTTCATTTTAAGTATGGTTGAATTCAAATTATTGCAAAAAGGACTGAGGAAAATATGCTGGAAAAGACAGGGTCAGGTAAGACCTAATTTGGACATGCTTGATAAATTAATCAGATATAGCACCATCTAGTGGAATACTGTTATATTTTTCTGTTCTCAGTCATTTAACTCACAGGAGCCTATGGCCCTGCCCTGCCACCAAAAATATTCTTTGAAAAACTTACTTTTCTAGCATGGTCCCTGTGGTAGACCGTGCCCTCCACTCAGTCCTGAGCTCAGGTTGTCACTGGTGGCTTAGATTTAAAAGGGTAACAATTTCCCAGCTATGGCTCAGGTCTGTGAGGGTAAGGCCTAAATTCCTCCCTTTTTTTAATATATTCTTTCTTATTCCTGTGGCTGCCCTAAAGTTGCCTGTAGCTCTCACATGCAAGAGCTTGATTTTTTTCCAGCCTGTCTCCATTTTTTACTTCTTTCTTGCAGGCATTGAAGAAAAATGTATTTATAAGATTTACAGAATATTAGGCTATCACCTCTATAACATCCAACTAAGTGACCAAACTGCCTTCTCCTGAAATTTCCAAAGCGGCCTCAGGGTATATAATCTCTGGCGTAATGTTACATAACATATATTATAACTTATAGGTGATCTAATACAGTGGTGCTAAAATGGTGGGGGGCGGCGGAGAGGGAGGTGTGATTTAGCCACCTTCCTCCAACGCAGGGTATTTAGGAATGCCTGGAGATATTTTTGATTGTCAAAACTGGTGGTACTTCTGGCATCCGGTGGTCAGAGGCCAGGGATGCTGCTAAACATCGTTGTTGAATTTGGTTTGCTAGTATTTTGTTGAAGATTTTTGTATCTGGCTCATCAGTGATGCTGGCCTGTAGTTTTGTTTTTTTGTTGTGCCCTTCTCTGGTTTTGGTGTCATGGAAATACTACTTTGTAGAATGAGTTTGGAAGTATTCCCTCCTCTTCAATTTTTCTTTTTTTCTTTTTCTTTTTTTTTTTTTTTTTTGAAGAATTAGAGCAGAACTGGTATTACTGTCTCTTCAAATGTTTGTAGATTCAGGGGTAAAGCCATCAGGTACTGGGCTTTTCTTTGATGGAAGACTTTTTATTATAATTTTGATCTTGTTACTCCCTATTGATTTGTTGAAGTTTTCTATTTCTTCATGGTTCAATCTTGCTAGGTTGTATGTGTCCAGGAATTTAACCATTTCTTCTAGGTTTTCCAATTTGTTGGCAAAGAGTTTTTCATAATACTCTCTAATGAGTCTTTGTATTTGTGTGGTCTCGGTTATTATGTATCCTTTTCCATGTCTCATTTTATTTATTTGGCCTTCTCTTTGTTATTTCTTAGTCTGGCTAATGGTTTGCTGATTTTCTTTGTCTTCTAAAAACACCAGTTTTTTCTTTCATTGATCTGGTTTTTTAAATCTCCTTTTTTGTTTGTTTGTTTTTTGTTTTTTGGCTCTGATCTTTATTATCTCTTTCCTTCTACTAGGTTTAGGCTCCGTTTGTTCCTGCTTTTCTAGTTCTTTGAGGTACACCATTAGGTTGTTTATTTGAAGTCTTTCTACTTTTTTGATATAGGTGTTTATTGCTACAAACTTCCATCTCAGTACTGCTTCTGCTGTATAGTATAGATTTGGGAATGTTGTATCTCCATTTACATTTGTTTCAAGAAATTTTATACTTTTTTTCTTAATTACTTCATTGGTCATTCACGAGCTTGTTATTTAATTTCCATGTGTTTGTGCATTTTCTGAGACCCTCAGGTTATCAGTTTCTAGTGTCATTCCATGGTGGTCATAAAAAATACTTGATATGATTTCTACTGTTTTGAATTTATTGAGACTTGTTTTGTGGCCTAGATATAGCCTATTCTGGAGAACGTGCCATGTGTTAATGAAAACAATGTGTATTTTATAACAGTTGGGTGAAATATTCTGTGAATATCAGTTTGGCCTATGTGATCTATGGTGTACTTTAACTCCAGTGTTTCCTTGTCAATTTTCTGTCTGGAGGATCTGTCCATTATTGAGAGTGAGGTGTTGAAGTTCCTCAGTATTATTATATTGCAATCTGTCTCTCCCTTTAGATCTATTAATGTTTGCTTTATATACTTGGGAGCTCTTGTGTTGTGTGCATAGACATTTTAAACTATTATAGCCTCTTGCTGAAATGACTTCCTTATTATTATAAGTGACCTCCTGTGTCTCTTTTTACAGTCTTTGACTTGTACCTGTTTTACCTGATATAACTACTTCTGCTCTTTTTTGGTTCCCAGTTGCATCACGTATCTATTTCTACACCTTCACTTTCAATCGATGTGTGTCTTTATAGGTGAAGTGGCTTTCTCATAGGCAACATGGTAGTTGGGTCTTGTTTCTTTGCATTCAGCCATCCTATACCTTTTAATTGGAAAACTGAGTCCATTTACATTCAATGTTACTATTTTTCTTTGAGGCAAGGTCTTACTCTTGTCCAGGCAGTGGTGTGATCATGACTCACTGCAGCCTCAACTTCTTGGGCTCCAGCGATCTTCCTACCACAGCCTTCTGAGTAGCTAGGACTATAGGCACATGCCACCACACCTAGCTAGTAAGCTAGGATCTCACTATGTTGCCTAGGCTCAGTGTTATTATTGATCAGGACTTACTACTGCTATTTTGTAGCTTGTATATTTTCTAACTCCTCTCTTCCTTTCTTCCTTTTGTACTGTCTTCCTTTGTGGTTAAATGATTTTCTCTGGTAATATGTTGTAATTTGTTGCTTTTTATTTTTAGTGAATCTATTAAAGGTTTTTGCATTGTGGTTACTATGAAGCTTATAAAAATATACACATAAGAAGTTGTTTTTAAAAGATGACGATTTTTATTACAAAGAAGTTTTAAAAAAACTTTATAAAGGGGTTTCTTAGGTCTACGGTTTAATTGCATTCACCCCACATTTTGACTTTATGTTGTCTCATTGACATGTTTTTATATTGCCTATCTCTTAATAGGTTGCTGTAGATGTTATTGTTTTGATACATTTGTCTTTTGAGCTTTGTAGTGGTGTTATGAGTGGATTGTAAATGACAATTACAGTTTTAGATAATTTTAGGTTTGTTTGTATACTTAATTTTACCAGTGGGTTTTATACCTTCAGATGTTTTGTTCTTGCACATTAGCATTTTTGTCTTTCAGACTAAAGAGCTCTCTTTAGATTTCTTATGAGACTGTTGGTGATGAATTCTCTCAGCTTTTGTTTCTCTGGGAAAGATTTTACATATCCTTCGCATTTGAAAGATAACTCTGCTGGATACAGTATTTTTGGATGACAGTTTTTTTTTTTCCTTTGAGCCCTTTGAAAATGTTGTTTCACTCCTTTCTGGCCTGCGTGGTTTCTGTTGAGAAGTCTATTGCCAGGTGAATTTGAATTCCTTTATATGTTAGTTGCTTCTTCTCTCTGGCTCCTCTTAGAATCCTGCTTTGTCCCTGATGTTTGAGAATTTGTTACATGCTTTTGGGTAGTCTTATTTGAGTTGAATGTGTTTGGTGTTCTCTGACCTTCCTGTACCTGGATATTTAGCTCTTCCTCAAGTTTTGGGAAGTTTTCTGTTACTATTTTTTAAAAAGCACTTTCCACTCCTTGCTCTTGTGTGATTCCCTCTTGAATAATAATAAGTCTTCGATTTGGTCTTTTGAGTTAATTGTCTGTATCTTGGAGGTGACCTTCATTCCTCTCATTCTTGTTTCTTTTTGCTCCTCTGACTGTATATTTTCAAAAAGCCTGTCTTTGATTTCACAGGTTATTTTCTCCACTTAATCCATTCTGCTGTTGAGAGCCTCTAATGAATTTTTCAGTTCAGCAAATGTATTTCTCAATTCCAAGATTTCTGTTTGATTTTTTAAATTATTCCTATCTCTTTGTTAAATATCTCTGATAAATTTATGAATTGTTTTTCTGTTTTCTGGGAGGTCACATAGTTTCCCTAAAACTGCTATTTTGAATTCTTGGTCAGAGAGTTCACATATCACCGTCTCACTAAGGTCAGTCACTGATTTCTTGCTTTGTCTGTATGAAGAGGTCATTGTTTCCTGTTTGCTATTATTTCTTGTGGATCTACATCTATGACTTTGCATTGAAAGACTAGTTATTTATTTCTGTCTTTTTGGTCTGACTTGTTTTGGTTTTTATTGGATATGTTTGCTTATTTGTAATATACCAGTTGATTTTCTCTTTTTTCCCAACTAGGTCACTGCCTCCTTTTTGGCACTAACTGGTGCCTTAAGCCCAAGTTTGCCTCAGTTCTAGCCAGCAATCAGAGTGCTGCCTGACCTGAATGGGGGATGTCCCAAAGAGGATATCCTGGTTATGTGAAAAGGCTGGCTAGGGATCCATGCTCAGGGGACCTGTGGAACACACCTCTTACAGTGTAGTCCTGCTGAACAGGCACTCTGATTTGGTGCCTCAAGATGATGAGGAAGCTCACTGTCCACCTTGATCTCACTTTTTGCAGTGTAGAAACTGAGTCAGGAAGAAATTTTCCTTGTGTTTGATGCTGGGGATATTAGGGGAGAGGATTATTGTGGATAAGGAAGCCTGAATCTCTTACCACCTGCTTGGAGCTTTTCGTTTTTATTTTTTAACTTCTCTGTGGCCTGGGAAACTGTTTCATCCTCTTACTTGAGTTCTGGGATATTGCTGGTGAAAATCTTGGCACTGTATGTTTGTTTTTGGTTTTCTGTGATAGGGAGTGAAGCCAGCTTGCTTCTACACTGCTATTTTGGAACCAGAGTCCCTCAACAATTTGTATTTTTAATACAAATTTGTAGTAGATACAAAAACAAATAACTCATATAACTGTTAAAATACTACGAGAATGTTAACATAAATTTGTATTTCTTTGAAATTTGCTTTTTGTAGGTATTACAGGTATCTGAAACAAAGCACCTTCAATTCTAAATCTAGCACTGGATTTTGTTGGAGAATCTGCAGCCTTCCTGGCAGTGAGAAAGACAGACATGTGCAGTGACAGGCTGTAAGACATATGTAACATTGCTGAGCTCTCCTAAGGGACCAACAAGCTTGCTGAAGAAGCTGCATGTAGATTCCACCCTCAGTACTAGTGATGCATCAAACCAGAGAATTTCTGCCAGTCAAATAAGCATGCAATATGGTTTCTTTGGAAATAAGCATTTCCCAATCCCCAAATACCCCTCTGTACAGTTAATCTAACAGGATAGTCAGAGCTCTTATCATAGCAGCCAAAACTTCAGCCCATAGGTTAGTCATTGTCCTAACCAATCATTGTACATTGATTATTACCAGTGACTTCCCATTATAGTTTTTGGATCTTTAGCATAAGCACATGCTTGCAAAAGTAAACAGTGAAATAATTAATGTTGGCAAATATGAGAACAACAAAGTCAGCCCAAAATCTGATAATCATGTCTAACCAAGTAATAATGTTTTAGCAATAAAATTACAGGATTATTCTGTTATCTAAAAATGTATAAAATGGGAATATGAAAAAAATGACAACAGCAAGATGTTTTATTTTAATGTTAAGCAATTCCACCACACTTCTGAAGAATAAACCTAAGTTTTTGTGATTGTTAAAACAATGCATCAATTTTCAGGGAAATCTTTTTGTTTGTTTATTTACCAGACATGTTCTAACTTTGTATTGCCCAAAGTATATTAAATACAGATGTGTAATATAAAGCATCAATATCACCTAACACATCGTATATAAGATATAACATGATAGATAGTTGGTCGATTACATTGCTATACTGCTTAGTTTTAACTGGTTTATTTTTATTGTAGCAGAAATGAACTGAAAAAAAATATGGGTTTGATAATCACACACATGAAAGTACCATTTTGTAACTCAACAAAAGATAAAACATTCTTCATCAAAAGGCTTCTCGCTTGGTGTCAGGTTGTCACATGTGACCACTGTGCAATGCGAAGCCATACTTCTTCAGTGCACAAAGTCATGTTTAAACTTGGAAAAGAGGATGCTACAGTAGTTTCAAAGTTCAGTGTTGTGGACCCAGGAAATTTTCCATAAGTCTTGCTTGATAACAATGTGATTGTACAAAATAAATGTTCTTAAGGAAACAACTTATGTAACATTTGCTACCTTTATGTAAACATAAATAAATCCCATTTAAAAGATAAAACTTATTTTCTTGTTTCTTTATTAATGCATAAAAATTAGGGAAATATTTTTTTCTAGGCTGATAGCTTTTTCACTCATCCATTAAGGCATTACCATTACGATTTGACTATGTAGCTCTGACTCATTTTTCTTGTAAAGAGCCATGCTATGTAGGATATATAGACAACGTCCAGGAAAGTAAATACATTTAATATTTTTATTGAGAAAGGATAATCTTACTAAGATGTATGCTATTTGCTTTATTAAAAATGCTACTTGATAATGTAAGTTTTGCCTACTAAAGGTAAATAAAATTACTTTTGCAAAACATAACCGTATTATTCAACTGGAACTTGTATGGTCTTTTCTTATGTATTTTGAAATATGTTGATATCTTTATAGATAATAGAATAAATGTATTTTTTATTCATCTTTGTAAATTGGTTCTAAATGAGTTACAGAATAAGAAAACTAATAAAACTGAAGAGAGTGCCCAGCAAGCAATTCATATACATGTATGTGTCTATATATATATATATTATGTATTCACATGTATAATACTTAAGAATATGGTTAAAGCAGAATCTTTAATAAGTAGGGAAAGGAAGGTTTATTCAATGATACTGAGACAACTAATAAATGGAAAACATTGTTATATTCCTACTTCAAATCATATTACATAGAAACTTTCAGATGAATGAAAAGCAAAAAATGGACTCAGATGAAAAAACTTTTAAATGCAAGAATATTTTTATGTTCTCTGAATAAGAAATACATTTTCAATACAAAGGTAGTTCAGCCAAAATGCCGAAGAAAACACTTACTAACATGAGTTCCTACATGTGTGTTCTGTGATTTTCCTACACAGAGGTGATCATTTCACTAAAAACTTTACCCTGTGGTGGATATATGACATGGTCAGCATTCTCGCTAGTTCTGTGAAATCATCCTTCTTGCGAATGTTTTCATGCATTTATCCATTTTTCCAGCTTTATTGAATTGTTTCTTATAAAATCTTTGTATTGATGCTGCACTATAGTCTTTCTTGAACACTTATTGTTTAATGACATAGTTTTTCCTGGACCAGCAATTTACAGGCAGTTTCATGGATGGTAGGAGACGCCAGGGTTTTCTTTTGGGCTTTAAACCTTGCAAAGGCCCTTTCTTTGCTGTCACAGAGACCAGTGATCCTGACAGGTATGGCTTTTCTGGGAAATTTTTTTGTGCATCCTTGCTTCCTCTAGTTCTCTGATCTAAGCTGAATTTGAAAGGGTTTCTGTCACCAGCCCTGCACTTCCCAGGCCCTTCAGGACCTGTAAACAAAGAGCAAAGCCCTTGGCCGGGCATGCAACATCACAAAACCGTCTTTACTAAAAAAAAAAAAGAAAGAAAGAAAGAAAGAAAAATTAGCTGGGCATTGTGGCCTGTGCCTGTAGTCCCAGCTACTTGGGAAGCTGAGGTGGGAGGATCACTTGAGCCCAGGAGGTCAAGGCTGCAGTGAGTTATTGTGGATGTCATGGGCTCTTGACCCCCATAAAGATTTGCTAAAAATCACTGAAACTGCCTTTGCAAAAATCATAACTGAGGAAATTATGACAGTGAAAGAGATCAGACCTAACTGACCCCATCTTCCTTCTAACCTCTAAACTGTCTGTTCATTCCTGGGCATAGGCCGAACTAACCTTGGGAAATAATTTATAGTTTAAACTCTGAAACAAAATTGATAATAGCCCTTTCCCAAAAAACCTCTTCTTGCCTGGCCACCAGTCTGCTTTTGTAGGACTAACAAATTAGCTACAAGATTAGAAATTATGGTTTAGGGGCCATGCAGCCTCTGGCTGCAAGAGTCTGAACCTCCCCCAAATTCCTCCTGGGAATAACATCACTGTTGCAAAACCTAAGATCAGTACTTGAGATATTTTGCAGACCCTGCATTGCGATGCAGCAGATGACACCACCCAGACCAACAATCTGGCTCAACCAGTTCTGCAATCCCACTCAGGAACAGAAGTCAGCAAGAACTCACTTTGACCCCCTATGATTTCATCTGCAATCTGACCAATCAGCACTCCCCACTTTCTGAGCCCATACCCGCCAAATTATCCTTAAAAACTCTGATCCCGCCCTTCGGTGGAAAAGTTCAGTCTGAACGTTTAGCGAGTGCTGCCTCTAAAGAGAGCAATCACTACACTTACGGCTGAGACTTTGCGCTTAGTAGTTCAGAGGCCCCCAGGCAGACTACAGACCGTGACAAAAGGTGTAGAGTCTCATTTGTACAGATTGGATTCGTCACAAATTCACCAGATCAAAAATTCCAGATAAAGTGTTTCACGCCTCACCTGAAGATCATGAAAAATATGGTGGGGATCCACAGAACCCTCATAAACTGCATATTGTTACCAGAATAAAAAGTACAAAATACGTCCATATTGGGAAAAAGATATAATAAAGAAGCTTGGATTGGAAAAATCACATATCCCTCAAGTTCACCAGAATTCCCTTCAGTGAATGCAAAATTGAAAGTGGTTAAGCATTTGATAAGAATTGAAGTTGCCACAAGGACTTCCAACAGAGGAGAACATGTCTAACACATGCCTCAAAAGCACTGGGGAGTTAGTAGTGCAGTGGCATCTGAAACCTGTGGAGTAGAAAGCACATGAGTCCTAGTGCCCTAGCAGCTTCCGATTGGAAAATGCAAATTGTTTTTATTTAAAGATGGTGAGAAAGTGTTTTCATTAAAATATGTTTTAAAAACCATTTTCAGGCTGGGTGCGATGGCTCACCTGTGGTCCCAGCACTTTGGGAGGCCAAGGCGGGCGGGATCACCTGAGGTCAGAAGTTCGAGACCAGCCTGACCAACATGGAGAAACCCCTGTCTCTACTGAAAATACAAAATTGGCCGGGCATGGTGGCACATGCCTGTGGTCCCGGCTGCTCGGGAGGCTGAGGCAGGAGGATCGCTTGAGCCCGGGAGGCGGAGGTTGCCTTGAGCTGAGATGGTGCCACTGCACTCCAGCCTGGGCAACAGGACGAGACTCCGTCTCAGGGGAAAAAAAAATTTTCACTGACTAAACCTGCTGCAGTTCTTTTTTACTACAGACTTGGAGATTTTAGTTTAATTTGGTTTAATTCTCTGTCCTTTCCCTTTCACTGTTTCACTCCAAAACGGGTAAGAATGGCATTGTTTGAACATCTACGTTTGGGTCTACTGCCACCTTAGCAAGCCTCATTAACTGTTTTATAAAAATTGCGTTATTGTTGTTGTTGTTTTTGAGATGGGGTCTTGCTCTGTTGCCCAAGCTGGAGTGCAGTGGCATGATTTCAGTTCACTGCAGCCTCAACCTCCTGGGCTCAAGTGATCCTCTTGCCTCGGCCTCCAGAGTAGCTGGGAGTGCAGGCAGTGTGCCACCACACCCAGCTAATTTTTGAAAGTTTTTTCATAAAGACGGGGACTCACTATGTTGTCCAAGCTGGTCTCTAACTCCTGGGTTCAGGCCGTCCTCCCGCCTCGGCCTCCCAAAATGCCGGGATTACAGGCACGAGCCACTCTACCCAGCCAAAATTGTTTTCTTTTTTGAGTGAATTCAACAATTTCTGTGAGTGGCTCTTTGCATGAACACTGCAATGTGTTGAAGAAATCCAAAGCTGACCAAAATATGATCCCCACCTTTTGGAGCTTACAGTCTGTTCTGGGGAACAGAGATTCAGCCAAAGTCAAGAAACACTGGATGCTAGCTAGATTATCTGTTCTGTGCTTTAGTGTCTATAAGTACATATGTGGGTATGGGTTCATTTTATCCCTAAATTTAGTACCAAACCAGCATTTGTTTCCTAATTATAAATCTAATTTGGCCTAAACTTTATTATTGCACACTGCCTGAACAAAACATATTCGTCACTATGTAAATTTTTTCCTCATGGAACAAGGGTGTGAAATGAAAATATTTTAAGATTTATTTAAAAACAGACTATTCTGTTTTCAGCTTCAAAATTTTTCTTTGAATCCTAAGGAAACTCTGTCAACAGTTGAAGTTGCTATTGAAAAGAAAAAAGAAGGAGGCAGAAGTCTCTCAGGGATAATTATTTCCTTCTTTTTCTATTTCAGATACCTGGTGGGGTGGGGAGAAGTAAGAATTGTAAGGGAGGTTCAATAGTGGGAAATTCTGTGACAGCTGATTGAAGATGATGATGAAGAACCTCTGCATTCTAGTTACCCTTTGCTTTCCTTTGCCTCTTGTAAAATTTGGCTTGGCAACAATGACATTGCCATGCTTACTGTCCCAATATCCATCCTGTCATAGATCTTAATGTTTTTGATCATTGCATTAAAGTGGAAGTGCCACCCACAGTGAAACCAGATCCCATAAATAAATAAGCTTAAAGGCAAAAAAAAAAAAAAACCAAAAAAAACTCTGATCCCGAATGCTCGGGGAGACTGATTTGAACAATAATTAAACTCTGGTCTCCCACACAGCAGGATCTCCTTGAACTACTCTTTGGCCATTGCAGTTCCCCTGTCTTGATAAATCAGCTCTGTCTAAGCAGCAGGCAAGGTGAACTCTTTGGGCAGTTACATCACTAACATGAGGCAGATTGATCAATAGTAGAAAAAAGCATCCAAATTTATTTAACAGGTATACACAGGAGTCTTCAGAGTTGCTACCGGCGAATCCACAGGGGTCCGCAGCAACCTCAATTTTTGCCTCCTCAGGAGAAAGAATTCAACTGAAGGGCATAAAGTAGAAGGAGAGACCGAGGCAAGTTTCAGAGCAGGAGTGCAAGTTTATTAAAAAGCTTTATTTAGAACAGGAAGGAAAGGAAAGAAAAGAAGGAAAGTACAACTTGGAAGAGGGCCAAGTGGGCGACTCGAGAAACCAAGTTCACCTCTTCCCATCTTTAATATTGCGACAATGTATCTGAACCTATCTTTTGGCACTTACCTCTTTTTCACTAGTATTAAGTAGTATTATGTGTATATCAATTCCTCTGATACAGTTTGACTGACTGTCTTCATGTCTGCATGAGTGTGTATTTATACTTGTTTATTTATATACCATTGATTTCCAAAAGAAGAAATATTGGCAGCAGTTTGCAAAGGAACTACTATACTGGTTAACATAGATGTTGTGACTGAGTTAAATTTGAGTTTCTGAGGTAAAAGTTATAAGTTACATAGTTGTTTTTATTTTTATTTTTTGAGACGGAGTCTCACTCTGTCACACAGGCTGGAGTGCAGTGGTGTGATCTCAGCTCACTGCAACCTCTGCCTTTCGGGTTCAAGCAATTCTCCTGCCTCAGCCTCCCCAGTAGCTGGGATTACAGATGCCTGCCACCACGCCCAGCTAACTTGGGTATTTTTAGTAGAGACAGGGTTTCACCATGTTGGACAGGCTGTTCTCAAACTCCTGACCTCAAGCAATCCACCCGCCTTGGTCTCCCAAAGTGCTGGGATTACAGGCGTGAGCCACCGCACCCAGGCAAATTACATATTTTATTAAAGAAACAAAGATGCAAGCAGTTGCTCAGTGAAATAAAGGTTTTATTGCATTAAATTCTGGAGGAAATTTTAATAAGGAATATCATGTAAAATTTTACAATGGACAATCATATTTGTTTTGCAGCAAATGTAGAAGATGTTGACTATTGTTCTAGACTAAAAATAGCATAGACTTGGGTTTTACTTCTGTTTCTGACATGTCCAAACACCATACCTTTGGACAAAATACCATTTTACTTGTCTCAGTTTAGTTAATTATAAAATAGGGATGATACCACTTACTCACAAAGTTTAGATTTGAATGAGGCAACTTCTATCAGGTATCTGTCAAATGGTGGGTTTAAGCATATCTTAATTTACATATATCTCTTCTTACAATGATTTTCAATAAAAACTCAAGGGCATACCGCTAGGTTTACCCGCAATGCAGGTAATTTTACAAGGGGCAAGCAAATATCTGCAAGGTTAATACCCTTCTGGGAGTTTGGTATAAACCAAAAGAACACTTAAGTAGCTGGCAGGGTAGATGGAAGACATGTGTCTTGAAATATTTTTCTTGAACTTTGGTCTGGAATGAGCAAGGGCAGCTTGGAGGTTAGAAGCAAAATGGAGTTGGTTAGGTCAGATCCCCTCCACTGTCAAAATTTTCTCACTGTTATAACTTTTGCAAAGGTGGTTTCATTTTCAGGAAGTATACTTTTATTGATGCTGTCTGAGATCTACCATTCATGAAGTACCTTGACATTCTCTTTGCATTTTTGCCCAATTTAACTTCCAACAGCAACTTTTAAAAGTCTTTGGATTCGGTAGAGATTTTCGGTCACTTACATCGCTAAAGATACCAGACCTGGTATTTTGTTTTTACTGTTGTTGTCCTGTTTTTATTTCTCTGTGTTGTTTTTTTCTTATTTCTTAGAGGAGCAAAAAGGTAAGAAAGTCCACTTTCATAATCATACGGGAGAGTTAGATCCAGTGCTGCTACTGCAGGATTGCTGGTAAAGATGACTGCTCAGTTAAATTTGAATCAGATGAAAAATGAATATTTCTCACTATAAGTATATCTCATGTAAAATTGGCATAACCTTACACTAAATAGTTACTCAATCATATGAAATTCAAATTTAACTGCGTGTCCTGTATTTTTATTTACTAAATCTGGAAACCCTATGTTACAATGAAGACTACCATCATTCTAATTCTCATTATTTTATTCAGAAAATGTTTCTCCATTCTCTCCGAGGCTCCTTTAATTTTTCTCTTTCCCCAATATAGTAGAATTTGATGGAAATTTGCTTTGTTGCATATCCTTTTTTATTAATTGCACTGGGCACATGATGGACCCTTTCAAACTGGATACTTACGTCCTTTAATTCTGGGGACATACAGAGACATAGACATAGATAGATATTTCCAGTATTCCAATTAATTTGTCAATTTGATAATAATATATTGATTCTGTTGACTTCTTATCTTTATAATTTTTTAATCTCCTTGCTTCTTTCTTTTTCCTGCTTTCTGGGAGATTTTATTACATATTTTAAACCAATCTATTAAATTATTTATTTTTCCATCAAAATTCTAATTTCCAAGAGTTTTTTCTTGTTCAGAGATTATTCCTTTTTCATAAAATTATAGGCTTATATGTGCATGCTGTAATGCTATAGACTGGATGTTTGTGTTCCTCTCCCCATCCCTCTGCAAATTTATATTTTAAAATCTAATCCCTAAATTGAGGGTATTTGGAGGTGGGATCTTTGGGAGGCTCTGCCCTCATGAATGGAATTAGTGCTCTTACAAAAGAGGACCCAGAGAGGTCCCTCACCTTTTCTGCCGTGGAGAACACAGCAAAAAAACAGCAGTCTATGAACCAGGAAGCACGCCCTCACCAGACACTGAATCTGCTGGCACCTTGACCTTGGACTTCTTAGCCTCCAGGACAATGAAAGATAAATTTCTGTTGTTTATACGCCATCCAGTCTATGATATTGTGTTATAGTAGCTCAAGCAGACCAAGAAAACTACCTGTATCTCTCTGACAATTTTTATTACTGCTGTCCTTCTTTTTGAAATATTTTTCCATACAAAATCTCTGTTTCACCCAAAATTTCTTCTTCTTATTATCATTTTGGTGTCTTTTTCCTTATGACATTCTTACTATAATATCTATAATTTTTGCTTTTTTCTTTTGTCTGATGGGTCATTAGATAGGAACCCAGCTGTTTTGTTGAGATATTCATACATATAAGCTTATACTGACAATTATTTATTGGGACTGAATATTTCTCCAAAATGATTCCATGGGTTTTCTGCTTGCTCATATTTTTCATACAGGACCAAGAAAGGGGGCTAGAAGTGACAATATTCCAAAACCAGACTTAAGTGTCTGCAGCTCCCCCATTTCCAGAAACATACCTGGAGTCATGGGCCTTGGGCATCTCCTATGACATTCATATAGGGAATGTCCTGTGAGTAGATGCCTTCCATTACGTCTTCTCCCTTTCCACCTGAACTTGTGTTGGTGACAATAAAGGTATAATCTCCACTTAAATCTAGGGAGAGTAGATTTTGAACCAGGCCAAATGCAGATTTGAGAGTCATATTTAAAGAATTTCTAAACCTTCAGGAGAATGAGATACATTTAAGAAGGAATTTTGAATAGTCCTCAGTACTAAAAGTCTCAGTTTCCCTGATTTAAGCCAATTCGTGCATTTATTAGTATGTCCCTCAGAAACAAGCACTTGATTATAAAAAATGAACTAGAGAAGGCCAGAAAATGATGTAAGTTCTCTAGAGAAAGATACATCTGAAGAACACAGGCATACCTTAGAGATATTGCAGGTTTGGTTCCAGACCTCTGCAATACGGTAAATACCACAACAAGCAAGTCACATGAATGTTTTGGCTTCCCAGTGCAAATAAAATTTATGTTTACACTGTACTGTAGTGCAATGAATTATGTCTTTTAAAAGTACATATCTTAACTTAAAAATACTTTACTGCAGCTGGGTGCAGTGGCTTATATCTATAATCTCAACACTTTGGGAGGCCAAGGTAGTAGGATCACTTGAAGCCAGGAGTTCGAGACCAACCTGGACAACAAAGCAAGACCCCGACCTTGTTTCTACAAAAAAACAAAGCAAAGAAACAAAAAAGTTTATTGCTTAAAAGTGATAACAATTATCAGAGCTTTCAATGAGTTGTAATCTTCTTGCTGGTGGGTGGTCTTGTCTCCATGTCGATGGCTGCTGACTGATCAAAATGTTGGTTAGTGAAGGTTAAGGTATCTGTGGCAATTTTTCAAAATAAGACAGCAATGAAGTTTGCTCTATTGATCATTTCGTGAAAGATTTCCCTATGGCATGTGATGTTGTTTGATAGTATTTTAACCACAGTGGGACTTATTTTGAAATCAGTCAATCCTCTTCAACTCTGACATGGCTTTATTAGCTAAGTTTATGTAATATTCTAAATCCTTTGTTGTCATTTCAACAATGTGCACAGCATCTTCACCAGGAGTAGATGCCATCTCAAAAACTACTTTCTTTGCTTATCCATAAGAAGCAACTCCTCATCTGTTCAAGTTTTATCATGAGATTGTAGCAATTCAGTCCCATCTTCAGGCTCCATATCTAATTCTAACTAAGATTCAAATTAGAATTAGAATTAACTCTAGAATTAATCTAACTCTTGCTATTTCCTCCACATCTTCAATGACTTCCTTCGCTGAAGTCCCAAACCCTAAAACTCACCCATGAGGGTTGGAGTCAACTTTTTCCAAACTCTTGTTGATGTTGATATTTTGACCTCCTCCTATAAATCACACATATTAATGGTATCTAGAACAGTTAATCCTTTCCAGAAGGTTTTCAATTTACTTTGCCCAGATCCATCAGAGGAATCACTCTCGATGGCAGCTATAGTCTTATGAAATGTATTTTTTTTCTTTCTGAGACTGAGTTTTGCTCTTGTTGCCCAGGCTAGAATGCAGTGGCACAATCTCGACTCACTGAAACCTCCACCTGCCGGGTTCAAGTGATTATCCTGCCTCAGCCTCCTCAGCAGCTGGGATTACAGGCCCCCACCGCCTTGCCCAGCTAATTATTGTATTTTTAGTAGAGATGGGGTTTCACCATGTTTGCCAGGCTGATCTTGAACTCCTGACCTCAGGTGATCCACCTGCCTAGGCCTCCCAAAGTGCTGGGATTACAGGCATGAGCCACTGCGCCCAGCCTGAAATGTGTTTCTTAAATAATAAGACTCGAAAGTCAAAACTACTTGATCCATGAGCTAAAGAATGGATGCTGTTTTAGCAGGCATGAAAACAACATTAATCTCTTTGTATATCTTTATAAGAGCTCTTAGATTACCAGCTACATTGTCAATGAGCAGTAATATTTTGTAAGAAATCTTTGTATCTGAGCAATATGTCTCAATAGTGGACTTAAAATATTTAGTAAATGCTTCTGTAAACAAATGTACTGTCATCCAGGCTGTGTTGTTTTTCCTTTCCTTTTTTTTTTTTTTCCTGAGACTGAGTATTTTGCTATTGTCGCCCAGACTGGAGTGCAGTGGCGTGATCTTGGCTCACTGCAACCTCCATCTCTGGGGTTCAAGTGATTCTCTTGCCTCAGCCTCCTGAGTAGCTGGGACTACAGGCGTGTGCCACCACGCCCAGCTAATTTTTGTATTTTTAGTAGAGACAGGGTTTCACCATGTTGGCCAGGATGATCTCAATCTCTTGACCTCGTGATCTGCCTCCCAAAGTGCTGGGATTACAGGCTTGAGCCACCACACCCAGCCTGTTTTTCCTTTTCTTGGAGGCAGTGACAGTGCTGAGAAAGCATCTCTTATGGAGCAGATGGGGTGGAGCGGGAGAGTGGTGGAGAAGGTTGGGGGAAGGAGAGAACAGAAGCTGCTGTAGAAAAGGAAAGAAGACCTCCAATGGATCCCTCTTCCCTGTATCTCTATGAAACACATCTTCAGCTGCTGGAAAAAGGGCATGGAACTCAGTCACCCTTCAGAGCCCTGGTGAAGCCCCATTGCAAGAAAGAGAAAGAAAAAGAAAAAACAATTACCCTGTAGGGAAATAGAACATTTATTGGGCTCATACCAACAGCTGGGAGAAAACTGGATCACTGGAAAGTCCCCACCCTGAGACTCAGGGGCACATTGCCTGAGATAGCGTTAATTAGAATAGAGAATGCCACCTGTCAGCCATGTGTGGTGGCTCATGCCTGTAGTCCCAGCACTTTGGGAGGTGGGCAGATCCTTGAGCTCAAGAGTTCAAGACCAGTCTGGGCAATGTGGTAAAACCCTGTCTCTATAGAAAAAAAATACCAAAATTAGCCAGGCATGATGACATGTGTCTGTGGTCCCAGCTACTCGAAAGGCTGAGGTGGGGGAATTAATTGAGCATGGGTGGTTGTGGCTGCAGTTAGCCGTGATGCCACTGCACTCCATCCTAGGTGACAGAGCAAAACCCTGTCTCAATGGCAACAAAAAAAAGCATCAAATAACAGGTAAGGGCAATCTACCCCTGGTCTGCTGGGAGAGGGCCAAGAGCTTGGGGGTGCGGCCTTTTCTAAGGAACACCAAAAAGAGAAGACCTAAAGTTTGAGGTTGGAGTAGACACTGAAATAAATCCTCTAGTAAGCCAGCCCCCAGCCTAAGCACAGAGCAATCTGAAGCCTGATGTGCAGTGAGAGAAGCATGACAACAATAAATTCCACACCTCACCCACCTCCTAATTAGACTGGTTCAACTCCACACACTAAAGGACTACCAGAAGGAAAGAAGTATTCATTTCGAAGCAGAAAACAATTAAACTGAGAGTTTTGATTTGGATCAAAATGGAAGTATTGAGGACTGGATTTACTCTCCCAACTAAAACACTATATAAAATATATGAAACAGCAGCCCTCAACATATTGCATGTCAAACATTGAAGGACAGTGATCCTCAGAAGACAGAAAACCTTAAAATTGGCCCAGCTTTTTCTTGTAGGAAGTTTCTAGGCCAAGAAGCAAGGAAGAGAAACCCAGGAATAGCCTGTTGGTCTCCCTAAGTTGAGGAGATGGACGTGAGAGTCCAGGGAAGTCAAGGTAGCTAGAGCACACAGAGAAGACCACCCGAGAGGAGACATTCAAAGAACTCCAGAGATCTGCAGAGGGTCTGCCTTGCAACTGAGTCTCATCAGCACATGTATGTGAGGAAAATATCCAATCAAGAGCAAACACTGCGCAGATTTCAGAGGATACTGCCTGCCAGATTTATGATTCCTGCTGAAAGCTTCAGGTGGGGAAGGACACATGGCTTGGAGTCCTTCCCTACCTCTCCCATCTGTTCCCATTTTTCACTGACTGAAAATCATCAGACTTTCAATCACCCCTTGAAGATACATTATTGCTATTGAATTTTTGTGTTTGGCTTTCTAGACTATTTGCAGTCTGACAATTTGTACCTTTAATGGCAGAAGTTACTCAACAATGAGCTGATCACATGACTCTATTAATCTTATTTTTTCCTGTTATATACTCCTCAGTAGTTTGATTGTTGTCCCCACAATGTGATTATAATGGGGTGTCCTCATAATGGGATTATCTTTATTAGGCTGCTACTGAATATGATTGGAACAAAAGGTGTGGGAAGTTATACAAATCTATTTTGAAAATTTTGAACATTCAGAGTTTTGCTTTGACTTGGCTTCTTGCATTGTTCTTCTTCCATTATTCTTTTTCCTACAGCCTGGCTTAAGGGAGCCTAGCAGATATCAGACTTAATCCTGGTTAAGTTGTATAAAAATGCTTTTCTATGAAAGTATTTTTCTCCCTCTTACACCCAAATCCTCTTGACAAAAGCTCTGAGTGAAAGTAGGAAATAATTGGGAAAAAAACATGAGATTATAGTTAGTGAGATGAGACACACAGAGTGTGTAATAATCAAGGAAGAGCAAAAACTTTGGTACCCAAAGAAGCAAATTTTAGACTCCAGAAAAAGTGTGGGGGTGGGGGTTGAGGGGGGAAGAAATAATGATTTGTTTTTATTTTTAAGAACTGCCTGTGGAAGCCTTCTCCTCCTGAAAAAACAAAAATACTATCTGTGAGCAGGTGGAGCAAGATGGCAAGTAGAAGCCTCCACCGATCTTCCTTCCTGCAGGAATACCAAATTTTACAACTATCTACACAAAAAAACACTTCATAAGAACCAAAAATCAGGTGGATGATCACAGTAACTGGTTTTACCTTCACAACACTGAAAGAGGCACTGAAGTGGATAGAAAAGACAGTCCCGAATTGCTGACACCACCCCTTCCCCATCTACCAGCAGTGGCCACATGGCATAGAGAATCGTGCACTTAGGGGAGGGAAAGCACAGCAACTGGAGGACTTTACACTGGAACTCAGCGCTGCCAACATGTGGCAGAACTCAGCCTGTGCCCACAGAGGGAACATTATAAAGAGCCACAGCAAGAGGGTATTCACCCATCCCAGCAGTTGGAACTGAGTCTTGGTTAGCCTCGCAATCGCAGGCTAAAGTGCTCTGTGATCCTAAATAAACTTGATAGGCTGTCTAGGCCACAAAGAGTGCACCTTCTAGGTAAATTGTGGAGATATGCTGGGATTGGAGCCAGTGGGTTTAGGGGACACATGACCAAGTCAGAGAGCAGTTGGTGCAGCTAAGGGAGTGCTTGCATCACCCCTGCCCCAACCCCAGGTAGCACAGCTTGCTGGTCCAAAAGAGACCCCTTCCTTCTGTTTGAGGAAAGAAGAGGGAAAAGTAAAGAGGACCTTGCCTTGCAACTTGGATACCAGCTCAGCCACAGCAGGACTGGGTACTGGGTATCAGTCATGAGGCCCCCTTTCCAGGCCCTAGCTCCTGGAAAACATTTCTAGACACACCCTGGTCCAGAAGGGAACCCACTGCCTTGAAAGGAAGGAGTCAGTCCTGGCAAGATTCATCATCTGCTGACTAAAGAGCTCTTGGGGCCTGAATAATCAGTAGTGGTAACCAACTAGTACATGCTGTGGGCCTTGGGTGAGACTCTGAGAGGGGCTGGCTTCAGGTGTGACCCAGCCTATTCACAGCTGTGATGGCTACAGCGAGAAACTTCTTCTGCCTGAGAAAAGGAGAGGGAAGTATACAGGGTACTTTGTCTTGCAGCTTAGGTACCAGCTTGACTACAGTGAGGAAGAGCACCAAGTGGGCTTGTGGGGTATCAATTTCCAGGCCTCGGCTTGTGGATGGTATATCTAGCCCAGGATGGACCTGCCCTGGGCTAGAGGGAGTCCAGTGCCCTAAAGGGTGAGTCCCAGGACTGGTAGCATTCACCATAAGCTGACTAAAGAGCCCTTGTGCATTAAGGGAACATTGGCCGTACTCTGGCAGTACTCCCTGTGGGCACGTGGTGGTAGTGGACACGGGGAGGCTCCTCTGCCTGGGTAAAAGGGAGGGAAGAGTGGAAAAGACTTAATCTTGTGGTTTCAGTGCCAGTGTAGCTGCAGTAGAATAGAGCCACCAGGTATATTTCTAAGGCTTCTGAATCTAGTCCCTGGGTCCTGGACATCATCTCTAGACCCACTGGAGCTCAGGGGAACTTGCCACCCTGAAGGGAAGGAAACAAGACTGGCTGGCTTCACTACTTGTTGATTGCAGAGCCCTGGAGACTTCAGCAAATATAGGTGGCAGCCAGATAGTGGTTACAGCAGGCCGTAGGTAAGACTCAGTACTATGCTCACTTCAGGTTTGACCCAGCCCAGTCCCAGTATTGGTGGCCACAGCGGTGCTTATGTCACCCCTCATCTAGCTTCAGGAAGCTCAGCACAGAGGGAGAGACTGTGTTTGTTTGGGAGAAAATAAGGGAAGAGAGCAAGAGTCTTTGTCTGGTAATCCAGATAATTTTTCCGGATCTTATTCAAGACCACCAAGGTGGTACCTCTACGAGTCTGCAAGAACTACAGTGTTAGTGGGCTTGGGGTGCCCTTAATGTAGATATGGCTGCAGCGACCAAAAACTTAGATTATATCACCCAAGTCCCTTCAAATACCTGGAAAGCCTTTTCAAGGTGGAGGTGTACAAACAAGCCCAAACTGTGAAGACAACAATAAATACCCAACTCTTTGATGCCAAGACAGTGATGAACGTACATAAGAATCAAGATCACTTTGGAAAATACAACCTCACTAAATAAACTAAATAGCAGGTGCCAATCCCAGAGAGACAGAGATATGTGACCTTTCAGACAGAGAATTCAAAATAGCTATTTTGAGAAAACTCAAAGAAATTCAAGCTAACACAGAGAAGGGATTCAGAATCCTATCAGGTAAATTTAACAAAGAAATTGAAATAATTAAATAGAATCCAGCAGAAATTCGGGAGTTGAAAAATGCAATTGACATACTGAAGAATTCATCAGAGTCTCTCAGTAGTAGAGTTGACCAAGCAGAAGAAGGAATAAGTGAACTTGGAGACGGTTACATGAAAATATACAGTCAGAGAGGACAAAAGAGAATAAAAAAGAATGAAGCACACCTACAAGACCCAGAAAATAGCCTCAAAAGTGCACACCTAAGAGGTATTGGCCTTAAAGAAAAGCTAGAGAGAGAGACAGGGGTAGAAAGTTTATCCAAAGGGTCCGGGCATGGTGGCTCAAGCCTGTATTCCCAGCACTTTGGGAGGCTGAGGCGGGTGGATCAGGTCAGGAGTTCAAGACCAGCCTGGCAAACATGGCAAAACCCTGTCTCAACTAAAAATACAAAAATTAGCCAGGCGTGGTGGCGGGTGCCTGTAGTCCCAGTTACTCAGGAGGCTGAGGCAGGAGAATCACTTGAACCTGGGAGGTGGAGGTTGCAGTGAGCCGAGATTGCACCATTGCACTCCAGCCTGGGTGACAGAGCGAGACTTTGTCTCAAAAAAAAAAAAAAAAAAAAAGAGAGAAAGTTTATCCAAAGGGATAATAACAGAGAACTTTCCAAAACTAGGGAAACATACTATTATCCAAGTACAAGAAGATTATATAACATCAAGCAGATTTAACCCAAAGAAGATTACCTCAAGGCACTTAAAATCAACTCTATGTTTAAGAGACATAGCTTAAAGTAATAAAAGCCATCTATGACAAACTCATAGCCAACATTATACTGAACAGGGAAAAGTTGAAAGCATTCCCCCCGAGAACTGGAATGAAACAAGGATGCCCACTTTCACCACTTCTGTTCAACATAGTACTGGAAGTCCTAGTCAGAGCAATCAGACAAGAGAAAGAAATAAAGGGCATCCAAACTGGTAAAGAGGAAGTCAAACTGTTGCTTTTGCTGATGATATGATCATATACCTAGAAAACCCTAAAGACCCATCCAAAAAGCTCCTGGAACTGGTAAATGAATTCAGTAAAGTTTCAGGATACAAAATTAATGTCCACAAATCAGTAGCTCTGCTATACACCAACAGCGACCAAGCTGAGAATCAAATCAAGAAATCAACCTCTTTTACAATACCTATAAAAATTAAATAAATAAATAAAATAAGGTACTTAAGAATACACCTAACCAAGGAGGTGAAGGACCTCTACAAGGAAAACTACGAAACACTGCTGAAAGAAATTATAGATGACACAAACAAATGGAAACACATCCCATGCTCATGGATAGAATCAATATTGTGAAAATGATCATACTGCCAAAAGCAATCTACAAACTCAATGCAATTCCCATCAAAATACTACCATCGTTTTTCACAGAACTAGGAAAAACAATCCTAAAATTCATAGGGAACCAAAGAAGAGCCCATATAGCCAAAGCAAGACTAAGCACAAACAAGAAATCTAGAGGCATCACATTACCCAACTTCAAACTATATACAAAGCCATAGTCATCAAAACAGCGTAGTGCTGGTATAAAAATAGGCACATAGACCAACAGAACAGAATAGAAACCCAGAAATAAAGCCAAATACTTGTAGCCAACTGATCTTCAGCAAAGCAAACAAAAACATAAAGTGGGGAAAGGACACCCTTTTCAACAAATGATGCTGGGATAATTGGTGACCCACATGTAGAAGAATTAAACTGGATCCTCATCTCTCACCTTATACAAAAATCAACTCAAGATGCATCGAAGACTTAAATCTAAGACCTGAAACCATAAAAATTGTACAAGATAACACCGGAAAAAACCTAGACATTGGCTTAGGCAAAGATTTCATGACCAAGAACCCAAAAGCAAATGCAACAGAAACAAAGATAGACAGGACTTAATTAAACTAAAAAGCTTCTGCACAGCAAAAGAAAAAATCAGCAGAGTTAACAGACAACCCACAGACTGGGAGAAAATCTTCACAATCTATACATCTGACAAAGGACTAATATCCAGAATCTACAAAGAACTCAAACAAATCAGCAAGAAAAAAAAAAACAACCCCATCAAAAAGTGGGCTTAGGACATGAATAGACAACTCTCAAAAGAAGATATGCAAATGGCCAACAAACATATGGAAAAAATGCTCAACACAGCTAATTATCAGGAAAATGTAAATCAAAACTACACTGCAAATCTACCTTACTCCTGCAAGAATGGCCATAATCAAAACATCAAAAAATAATAGACGTTGGCATGGATGTGGTGAAAAGAGAACACTTTTACACTGTTAGTGGAAATGTAAACTAGTACAACCATTATGGAAAACAGTGTGGATATTCCTTAAAGAACTAAAAGTAGATCTACCATTTGATCCAGCAATCTGACTACTAGGAAGAGGAATAACCACAGAAAAATAAGTCATTATACAAAAAAGATCCTTGCACATGCATATTTATAGGAGCATAATTCGTAATTGCAAAAATATAGAACCAGCCTAAATGCCCATCAATCAACAAGAGGATAAAGAAAATGGTGTATATACACATACATACACACACACACACACACACACACACAATGGAATAGTACTCAGCCATAAAAAGGAGCAAATACTGGTATTCACAGCAATCTGGATGGAACTGGAGACTATTATTCTAAGTGATGTAACTCAGGAATGGAAAACCAAATGTTGTATGTTCTCACTGATAAGTGGAAGCTAAGCTATGAGGACACAAAGGCATAAGAATGACACATAGGACTTCAGGGACTCGGGAAAGGGTGGGAGGGGGTGAGGGATTAAAGACATCGGGTACAGGATACACTGCTTGGGTTATGGGTGCACCAAAATCTCAGAAACCACCACTAAAGAACTTATGCATGTAACCAAACACCACCTGCTTCCTAAAAACCTATTGAAATAAAAAATACATTTTTATTTTTAAAAAATGTCCATACTACCCATACTACCCAAAACAATCTACAGATTGAATCCAATCCCCATCAAAATACCAATGACATTCTTCACAGAAGCAGAATAAACAATTCTAAAATTTATGTGGAACCACAAAAGACCGAGAATAATAGCAAAAGCTAACCTGAGCAAAAAGAACAAAACTGGAGGAATCACATTACATGACTTCAAATTCTACTACAGAGCTATAGTAACCAAAACAGCATGGTACTGGTATAAAAACAGACACACAGACAAATGGAACAGAATACAGTACCCAGAAATAAATCCACACACTTAGGGCATGGCTACACGGAGGAAGGGGTTTCTGAGCACAATACTCTGTGTGTGTTAACTTTGTAGTTTTGAAGTTAACAAGACCCTGGGCTCGCTATGCAGTCCGTATGTGATGTTGAACCCTTTACACACAGCACTAGACGGTTTTGAACCTATCAAAACACTGCTTCACTTAAATTTCACCAACTCCTTAAAATCCTAGTAAGTCTATGTTTTCCTTTGTTCCTATGTTCTCCTTTTCTCCCACTTTGTGGGTTGTCTGTTTACTCTGCTGATTATTTTTTTTGCTGTGCAGAAGCTTTTTAGTTTAATTAAGTTCAGTCTATTTATCTTTGTTTCTGTTGCATTTGCTTTTGGGTTCTTCATCGCGAAGTCTTTGCCTAAGCCAATGTCTAGAAGGTATTTTTCCGGTGTTATCTTGAGCAATTTTTATGACTTCGGGTCTTAGATTTAAGTCTTTGATGCATCTTGAGTTGATTTTTGTATAAGGTGAGAGATGAGGATCCAGTTTAATTCTTCTACATGTGGGTCACCAATTATCCCAGCACCATTTGTTGAAAAGGGTGTCCTTTCCCCACTTTATGTTTTTGTTTGCTTTGCTGAAGATCAGTTGGCTAATCAGATACCTCATAGCTCCTTTGTTGTATAATTTTGTGCATTGTAGATCAGGGTCAAAATGATAAAGGTGATTTTCTGGGACTACAGACTTGTCAATAACAGGTGGTCCTAGGCTGATAGAGGTAAACAAATAAAAGCTTTAAAAGAATATTCTCTGTTAAAATTTGCTTTCATAAATTTCATGTTTAAAATCATTTGTGAATAAATGTTAAAATAAAAAGGTGAGCCACGATTTTGGTAAGGCAATTTCTGAGCAAATCACACACAATTTTTTTTCATTCCCATTGATCTATTACATAGACGAATATTTGGTTGTGAAAAAGTGAGAGAAAGAACTCGGCTATTTTATTATAGTAGAGCAACACCGAAGGGAGACGACTTCGCTGTAGCTCAGAGTCTTTTTCCATTCTTCACCCACGCGCGGGGCAGTCGCGCGGCGCGGTCGCGCGGCGGGTAGGAACTACCATCCCAGCATCCTCTGCGGCGCGGGGAAGGAAGCCCGGGAATGAGAGAAAGAGGCTCCGGGGAGATAGCGGACCAGTGAGGGCTGCCCCTCTTTTGAAGCGGTTTTCGTCTCTTTCCGCCAGTGGCCTCCCAGCTCACGCAGGGGCGGGTCCCGGTAGCGCGAGGCGGTGCAGGGCGGGAAGGGGAGTGGTGGCGGCTGCGGCAGTAGGGACAGCAGGAGCAGTGGTGCTGTCAGCGCGGCCGTCGGAGACATGGGAGACCCGGGGTCGGAAGTGAGTAGTCGAGTGAGGGTCCTGGCGTTCTCAGAGGCGAACCGCGAAGGGTTTGTGTTTTCTGCGGTCTGAGGCCTGGTGCTCCGTCGCAGCCTCGGGGCGATACCTCTTCAGTGTCTTGGGCCGAGCCCAGCTCTGGGGCCTGGTGCGTGTCTGAGCGAGGAACCCGCAGCAACAATGGCCGCCCGGCCCCCCGCACGGGCCCTGGCGTTCGTTGTGGCCGCGGCTGGGCCAGTGGGAGCGACGTTTTAAGGCAGGATTGCCCTTCGGTGTTGAGCTTGCGTTCCTCCTGGAGTAGATAAGGGGAATTGTGAGAGGCTGGTAACTAACGCGTTTTCAGCGTTGGGTCCCTGCAGCTCCGCACACTCTGTGGCAAGAGCCAGAGCTCGAGTTCCGTTCCTAGTCGGGTTTCCGTGAAATTGTGCTCAGTTCGTTTTCCTCAAGAGCTCTCTGTCTTTAATTGTTCCTTTCGGAAACGCTCTCTTCCTACACGAATGTGGCTGAACAGATAAGCATGTTTTGGCTTGTTTTTATAGATAATAGAATCTGTCCCTCCAGCTGGCCCTGAGGCATCTGAGTCAACAACGGATGAAAATGAAGACGACATTCAGTTTGTCAGTGTAAGTAGCAATGATGATTGGGGTTTTCCCAGAGTAAAAGACTATGGTGGGCCATTATGTAATGTTACCTCACCTGGTCATTTAATGTTCATGAGTGTCTAATACATACTAGACACTGGAGCATGGCGCAGGATTGGGAAATTTACCAAAAGAGCTATCTGAGCCACCCCCGTAGCCATCACAAAGAGCACGTCCTAAAGAACGTGCTGTACACTTAATCTCGCCCCCTGCCTTTCATTTAAACTTAAGATAAAAACGCTGGTGTCTAAAACGCTGTTTTGAAATGGAGCAAGAGTAACTTCTAAAGGCGACACGGAGGAAGGAGCTGCTAATGATGAGCAAGGACGTAGAAAACAGGAAGGGTTGTGAGAGCCCAGAATCTTAGCGTTATGGTGCTTCTAACATGAAGGCAAATAGCTTGAAGATTTCTCTAACCTCTGAGATCATCATGTTACGGCATAGTACAGTTGATGCTCATAATGAAGAATCCTACATCACTGGGAACATGCTCTATTTTTCTGAGTTTGTTCCCTTTGAGACAGTAGTTTTCAAGCCTTAGTAAGTATAAACAGGCAGATTCCTGGGCCCCACTGCAGACCTACCGAATCAGAATTTCCAGGCGGGGGCCTAGGAATCTTCATTTTCAGACAAGTGCAGGGACATAAGGATTTCTGAGCACACTTTGGACAGAATGGGTTTCTAAAGCAGAAGGGAGTGTTTTATGATATATTTTGGGGTGATTTTCATCCATAATTGTTGGAGTTTTAGAAAGGCTTTGCGTAAAGTGGTATCTCAGCTCGCCAGGCAGAAAACAGTTCTGTCCCCAACTCGTCTTTTGGAATGCCGTAGTTAGTTGCAGTTTGGTATTCAGGCTGTAGAATTTTTCTTTAATGGAGTGTCTGTCTAATGTTTCTGTGTTTTTTAGTTTTTGTAGGTTTAGGGCGACTTTGTAAGTCACTTGTTTTTTAAATTAAAATTTCCTCCCTAAACATTGTTTTGTTAACATCGTTGTTTGTTTTTCGTGTTTTGTGTATAAGTTCTTTACCCTGTCACTTTCTGGACATATTTCCCAATTAATAGTGTGTGTATATTTTGTTCCTGACATTTGGAACCTTTCTAAATATTGATGATACCAAGGGAGATTGTATGCTGACTCTGCCTTCACTGTTGTTATGGAGTAAGCAACGTAACTTGAAATCAAAGAGCAATGGTTTCTGTTTTTGTAACGAGAAACATTTGGGAAGAGGAGTTCATGGGTCTTTAGGAAAAATAATTTTGGTTTCCTCTTAACTGGTATAAAAACAGGAATGATTGGGACAGATGATCTTGATGAGTTTTTTGTGCATCTGTATGTAGAAGTGACACACGTCTGATTGATGATCCATGTGCCATTGAGAAAGTATGTAGAAGTGACATACGTCTGATTCATGATCCATGTGCCGTTGAGAAACACAGATGGGATGTACAAAATTAAGTTTGGAAAAGTAAATAGGTATAGATTTGTGTAATATCCTGAGGAATAAATCATTATATTTTAAATTGTGAGTTAATATATAGGCTGTGTTTAGCTGAGGTTTAAAACTCTTACTTTAAATTTTATTTTAAATATAAAGATCCTTCTACATCTTTTCATACAATATTTTGTATATCCAGCGTGATAGAACCCTTTATATTTAACCCTGTTCAAAATAGAAGATCAAAGGTTTGACAGCTCTTATATGGAGAAGTGAATTACATGCTGTCAGTGTAATTGCAGTACCAGAAAGAATGTAGTAAAACATCCCTGTTGCATTTCAGTGGTGCCACATAAAAGACAATGATAACTTAATTCCACTTTGAAATACACTCAGAGACAACTTTCCTTTGTAACCCCATCCTATACTGGGCTCTACCAGGATATGCTTATTTCTCTGTGTTTTTTATAGTACCATCCAGTAAAGATGCAATGCTGCTGGGTATAGTTCTCTGCTTGTGGGTTCTTCAGATTAAAAGAAAAAAAAGTTTGTTACTTCTTGATATATTCTGGTTTGGATTCCTTAGTCTTTTCATATAAATGTTGATTATCTAGCCTTCATTCTGCGTTGTGGCACAGAATCCTCTTTGTGTTCTGTCATGTACCTAGCCTCCAAAATAAACAATATGCTGAAAGAAAGGAATGATAAAAGATTTGGGGATACAAAAAGAGTCCTTATCTTAATGTAAATTTTATTGAAATATAGTACCTATACAGGGAAGGTTACTTCCTCCTTGCCATCACTATTTTTGTACCACATTACCATTTGTCTAGATTGATTATCTTGTTTGTATTCTTCCCACATGCTCTCTTATGTGGTTAACCTTCTTGAAACAGCTCTAATAATGTTCCCATCTTGATGTTATTTATTGATTCCTTTGCCTACAGAATAAAATCTAGGATTTTGACTAGGGCATTTATGGCCTGGTCTATGATGAGGGTAGTGTATATGTAAAGAAAGGATCAAGAAGACTCAGAGTTTGATGTTTGGCTGTACAGTGATGTGGAGGATAAAGCAGGGTTATCAAAGAACTTCGAGATTACTGATAATCATTTCAGTTAAAAAAAATTGTACTATGAAATCTGTTATCTTTTTTTTTTAATGAGGTAGGGCCAGGGGGTGGGTTTTTCACTATGTTGCCCAGGCTGGACTTGAATTCCTGGGCTCAAGTGATCCTCCTGCCTCAGCCTCCTGAGCAGCTGAGACTGGCACTGTGCCTAACTGAAATCTGTATCTTTTTAAATCAATATCTGTGCTATTTCCCATTTTGAAAGGAATCTACATGGCTTTATTCCTCTATATAGATTTAGGCTCTTTGGGTTTTGTCATTATTATGTTTTTTTTTTTTTCCTTTTTACTAGCAGGAACAGTATTACGTATTCATGTACTCTGACTCTTTTCCCATGCCTCTTTTTTTTTTTTAGACAGTGTCTTGCTCTAAATTTTATCTAGGCTAGAGTGTAATGGCATAATTATAGCTCACTGTAGCCCCAACTTCCTGGGCTCCAGTGATCCTCTCACCTCAGCCTCCCAAGTAGCTGGGATTACAGGTGTGAGCCACCGTACCCATCTGATTTTTTTTTTTTGTAGAGTTGGTGTCTCACTATGTTGCCCAGGCTGATCTTGAACTTCTGGGCTCAAGTGATCCTCCTGTCTTGGCCTCCCAGTGTGCTAGGATTACAGGTGTGAGCCACTGCTCCCAGCCCCTTTGCCCGTTTTGTTTCTAATTATTCTGTGCCACTTGCAAGATTTTCTCGAGAATCTTTCCCAATTCCAACTAAAAAAATCTCCCACTGATTGTTAAATTTAAGTTTAATTGGAATGATTGTTCATGACTTGTAAATTTGCCCACTTCCTTTTTAGGAAGGACCATCGAGACCTGTTCTTGAATACATCGATCTGGTCTGTGGTGATGATGAAAACCCTAGCGCCTATTATAGTGATGTAAGCACATTATATTTGTGTTTGTTCAGTTTTCTTATTAAGTGCAATAGTGTGTTGGTGGTAGCTTGAACTGGATCATAAGAACTAATTGTTGGCCAGGCACGGTGGCTCTCGCTTGTAATCCCAGCACTTTGGGAGGCCGAGGCGGTTGGATCACTTGAGGCCAGGAGTTCGAGACCAGCCTGGCCAGCAAGGTGAAACCCCCATCTCTACTAAAAATACAAAAAATTAGCCGGGCTTGGTGGCACATGCCTGTAATCCCAGCTACTTGGGAGGCTGAGGCAGGAGAATCACTTGAACCTGGGAGGTGAAGGTTGCAGTGAGCCGAGATCATGCCATTGTGCTCTACCCTGGGCAACAGAGCAAGACTCCTTCTCAAAAAAAAAAAAAAAAATCTAATCGTTAAACTTTCAGGAATTTTGTGAGCTGATTGTAAACATAACAGTTATTACAAATTAAAGTATATAAATGCACAAGTACATAAATGATCATATTTAATACATCATTTCCTACTTAATACATCATTTCCTACTATCTGTGCACTTGAGGTTATTTGCATCTATTGGTAGAAATACTATTAATACATAATAGTGTCCTGCTGCAGTATTGATAGAACATTACCCCATTGTAATCAGTAAAATACAAACTAGAATTTGATTTATTATTTGTTGATTAAACTTAAGAAAGTGAAGGATAGAATGTTAATGCAGATTAAATTTCAAAGTGTGATGTGTCTCTGCTAGACTAAATGCAATACAAAAAAATTGAGGAAGTTGCTTTGCAATATTCCAAAACTCGGCCAGGCATGGTGGCTCACACCTGTAATCCCAGCACTTTGGGAGGCCAAGGCTGGCAGATCACTTGAGGTCAGGAGTTCGAGACCAGCCTGCCCAGTATAGTGAAACCTCATCTCTACCAAAGATACAAAAACTAGCCGGGCGTGGTGGTGCATGCCTATAGTCCCAACTAATTAGCCAGGTGTCGTGGCACGTGCCTGTAATTTCAGCTACTTGGGAGGCGGAGACATGAGAATTGCTTGAACCCGGGAGGTGGAGTTTACGGTGAGCTGAGATCGCGCCACTGCACTCCAGCTTGGGTGACAGAGCGAGACTCCGTCTCAAAAAAAAAATTTTTTTTTAAACTCTTCATTAGTTCGGAAAGATGTTGATGTCATTGATGAATGAGCGAAACTCTAATATATGTCTTTATTGTTTCACTTTCATCTTATTCATTAATGTAATTGAAAATATTATCCACCCTTCATGTTGCTACTACAGTCAGCCCTTCATATACTGTGGGTTCCACATCCGTGGATTCACCCAACTGTAGATGGAAAATATTTTTTTAAATAATAAAAATACAATAATAAACACATTAAAAAGTAATACATTATAAAAACTTTTATGGCATTGATATTATATTAGGTATTAAAAATAATCTAGAAATGACCTCAAGTATAGAGGAGGATATGCAAAGGTTGAGTGCAAATACTTCATTTTATACAAGGGACTTGAGCATGGGAGGATTTTGGTATGGGGAGGTGCAAATAGCATACTCATTTGCGAAACATATGACCAACCATTTTGCTAATTGGATGATAATTCATAGTCAAATTTTGTGAAACTGTTGTTGGTTGTAGAATTTTAAAAACTAATAGTGGGTTTTTCAAGAAATAGCAAGTCATATTGATATTATAGATATAAACTGAAAATCAGGTTAAATATTTAAGTTTAAAATGTATTTCCAAAATTAGATAATCACTAAGAGAACTTTTTACATTGACCCTTAAAGTGTTATGAATTTTACTTACATATGTAAAATTATTTTTCAGATTCTGTTTCCTAAAATGCCAAAACGACAGGGTGATTTTTTGCATTTTTTAAATGTGAAGAAGGTGAAAACAGACACAGAAAATAATGAAGTGAGCAAAAATCACTGCAGATTGTCTAAGGCAAAGGAACCACATTTCGAGTATATTGAACAACCAATCATTGAAGAAAAGCCATCACTTTCATCAAAGAAAGAAATAGATAATCTTGTGCTTCCAGATTGTTGGAATGAAAAACAAGCATTTATGTTTACAGAACAATACAAATGGCTTGAAATAAAAGAAGGTAAATTAGGATGTAAGGATTGTTCAGCAGTTCGGCATTTGGGATCGAAAGCAGAAAAGCATGTCCATGTGTCCAAGGAATGGATTGCATATTTAGTAACCCCTAATGGCAGTAATAAAACTACTAGGCAAGCTTCTCTACGAAAAAAAATTAGGGAACATGATGTTTCTAAAGCCCATGGTAAAATTCAGGATTTGTTAAAGGAATCAACTAATGATTCAATTTGTAATTTAGTGCATAAACAAAATAATAAAAATATTGATGCTACTGTAAAAGTTTTCAATACTGTTTACAGTTTAGTAAAACATAACAGACCTTTATCTGATATTGAGGGGGCAAGAGAATTACAGGAAAAAAATGGAGAGGTAAATTGTTTAAATACACGTTACAGTGCAACAAGAATAGCAGAACATATTGCAAAAGAAATGAAGATGAAGATATTTAAGAATATTATAGAAGAGAATGCCAAAATCTGTATCATAATTGATGAGGCATCTACAGTTTCAAAGAAAACCACCCTAGTGATTTATCTCCAGTGCACAATTCAGTCAGCTCCTGCACCTGTTATGTTATTTGTGGCTTTAAAAGAATTGGTGTCAACTATAGCAGAGTGTATTGTCAATACATTATTGACTACTTTAAATGATTGTGGTTTTACAAATGAATATTTGAAAGCAAATTTAATTGCATTTTGTTCTGATGGTGCTAATACAATCCTGGGAAGAAAGTCTGGAGTAGCTACAAAATTGTTAGAAAATTTTCCTGAAATCATCATTTGGAACTGTTTAAATCATCGATTACAATTGTCACTTGATGATTCTATATCCGAAATAAAACAAATTAATCATTTAAAAATATTTATTGATAAAATTTATTCTATTTATCATCAACCTAATAAAAATCAAACCAAGCTTCTAGGAACTGTAGCTAAAGAACTTGAAACTGAAATTATTAAAATTGGTCGAGTAATGGGACCAAGATGGGCGGCATGTAGTTTACAAGCTGCTACTGCTGTATGGCATGCATATCCTATATTATATATGCATTTTTCTCATTCTTACTCTGGTTTGGCGAAGAGATTAGCTAACATTAATTTCTTACAAGACCTTGCTTTAATGATTGACATTCTTGAAGAATTTTCAGTACTTTCAACTGCATTACAGTCAAGATCAACTAATATTAAGAAAGCACAAAAATTGATCAAACGTACCATAAGAGCTTTGGAAAATTTAAAAATTGGTACTGGAAAGTATGAATCTCAAATTGAAGATTTGATCAAGTCAGATAAGTTTAAAGATATTCCATTTAATAAAAACAATAAATTTAATGCTCTTCCTAGGAGTATATTACTAGACAATATAATTCAGCACATGAACCTACGCCTTTTATCTGACAGAAACCATGAAGATATTTTTAATTACTTTGATTTGCTGGAACCTTCCACATGGCCTTATGAAGAAATAACTTCACCATGGATAGCTGGTGAAAAAACATTATTTCATTTGTGTAAAATTTTAAAATATGAAGTTGATTTGAATGATTTTCGGGAATTTGTAAATAATAATATAAAATCAAACAATGTTTCAATTCCTACAACTATATACAAAGCTAAAAAGATAGTTAGCACCATTGCAATCAATAGTGCTGAAGCTGAAAGGGGTTTCAATTTAATGAACATAATTTGTACAAGGGTGAGAAATAGTTTAACAATAGATCATGTATCAGATTTAATGACAATAAATTTACTGGGGAAAGAATTAGCAGATTGGGATGCAACACCGTTTGTAAAATCTTGGTCAAATTGCAACCACAGGTTGGCTACAGATACAAGAGTTCGGCAAAAGTCAACAAAAGTCTTCCATGAGAATCAATTGGCTATATGGAACTTAAAATAGAATATTGTATACGTTTTTTGTCATCTGTAAATTATGTACTACACATCCTTTATATACATAAAGGTCTTTTTTTTTTTTGGAAAGCCAGTTAAACTTTTATCAGCATGTTGCTGTTTAAAAGGCGTTCTTTAAGAAGATAATCTTGAAGATTGGTTTTAGAAGCTATAGTTTTTTAGAGATTGGCCCATGTTTGCTAGAGTGGGTCATAATACATATTCCATGAAGTTCTGTACAGAACAAACACCGTTTATAATTTTGTACTGTTTTACTTTAAGTAAGGATGCAAAAAATAGCAGGACTCAGCTAAGTTCTAAGCCCTGGAGGTTATATTAAATAAAAGAGAAATGGAATAAAAACTGTAAGCCTTTTGGCTCTTGTCTTTCTCATTTCCATATCTGTGCTATCTAGTATGGTAGCCACTAGCTACATGTGGCTGATCAGCTTAGGGCTAAAAGTAAAATTTTTATTTATTTACTTTTACTTAAATATGAAAACTGAAACAATGTGAAATATTTTTCTGCTTAGCTTTACTGTTTTTCAGTAATACATTTTACTCTGTTACCTTGCATAAGATATGGTTGTTGTAGTGTGCCTGTCAAACTTGTGTGTCATTTCCAATATTGAATATAAACATATTGCTGATAGATATGATACTGCTGTCAGCAGATGGATTCAATGCAAGTTATTTTTTCTACAAATTGATGTAACATCATGTTTATCTGAATATTTTATGCAGACAACAGGAATTACAGTGATTCCTGTGTAAATTATAACTGGTAATTGAAATACTTATTTTAATCATGATTAAATTATTTTTCTAGTTTACACATGAATATGAGCAAATTTTTAAATTTAAAATGAAGGCATACTGAAAAAGAATCAAGTGGCGATGCAGAACCTAGTACAACTGGAACAGTAAACAGACTCAAAGAAGGTATGTTGCAGATTTGACAATGAATGGCAATTGCAGTTTGCTGTGGCAGAGCAAAACAAGCTGCTATTTAAGAAACAAAGTAGGAAAATTGAGACTTCAGCAGATGCAAAATGAATTGGGTAAATTATATTTCATATGCCAAAAAGAATCAATGAAATTTAGTCACCTAAAATCAGAATTAACAAGAGTTTTTAAAAACAATTTTAGAAGGAACTAAGGTTGTAAGTTTGGCCAGATGTGAAATAGCTGAGATTCTTTTTTTTTTTCCCGAGACAGAGTCTTGTGGTGTCACCCAGGCTGGAGTGCAATGGCGCAATCTTGGCTCACTGCAACCTCCACTTCCTGGGTTCAAGTGATTCTCCTGCCTCAGCCTCCCGAGTAGCTAGGATTACAGGAGTGTGCCACGACGCCTGCCTAATTTTTTTTTTTTGAGACAGAGTCTTGTGTCACCCAGGCTGGAGTACAGTGGTGCAATCTCGGCTCACTGCAACTTCCACCTTCTGGGTTCAAGCAGTTCTCCTGCCTCAGCCTCCCAAGTAGCTGGGATTACAGGTGTCTGCCACCATGCCCAGCTAATTTTTTTGTATTTTTTATAGAGACGGGGTTCCACCTTGTTGGCCAGGCTGGTCTCAAACTCCTGACCTCAGGTGATGCGCCTGCCTCAGCCTCCCAAAGTACTAGGATTACAGGAGTGAGCCACCATGCTCAGCAAAATAGCTGAGATTCTTGCATGAAAGAATTAGGGTTTTTTTTTTTTTTGGATGGGAGAGGGGAGGGTCCTGCTATGTCACCCAAGCTGGACTGCAGTGGCTCACTGCAGCCTCTTCCTCCTGGGCCCAAGCAGTCCTCCCACCTCAGCCCCCTAAGTAGCTGGGAATACAGGTACATGCCACCACACCCAGCTAGTTTTTATATCTTTTTGTAGAGATGGGGTTTTGCCATGTTGCCCAGGTTGGTATTGGACTCCTGGGCTCAAACAGCCTTCCTGCCTTGGCCTCCCAAAGTGCTGGGATTATAGGCATGAACCACCATGCCTGGCTGAGAACTAGTTTTAAATGGATAAATGTGAAATTATTTCAGTTGAAGAAATTGTTAGAAAATTATGAATAAAAGCCTAAATAAGATGTTTTATTAAAAATTACAAGGCCTTGCTGGGTGCTGTGGCTCATGCCTGTAATCCCAGCACTTTGGGAGGCCGAGGCAGGTGGATCATGAGGTTAGGAGATCGAAACCATCCTAGCTAATATGGTGAAACCCCATCTCTACTAAAAATACAAAAAATTAGCTGGGCCTGGTGGCATGCACCTGTAGTCCCAGCTACTCGGGAGGCTAGGGCAGGAGAATCGCTTGAACACAGGAGGCGGAGGTTGCAGTGAGCAGAGATCACACCACTGAACTCCAGCCTGGGCGACAGAGCGAGACTTTGTCTCAGAAAAAAAAAAAAAGTACAAGGCCTTTAGTTAAGCACCAAACAATTGCTATTAGAATATAGGACCTAGCAATATTAAAGATTAATTGATTCTAAATCTGAAAAATCATAAGTACATTTCTGTAGTTTTAGAACAGTTTCATAATTTGAGAAACTACCCAAGTAACACACTACATTGAGTCTCATAGGACTTAAAAATTATGAAGAAATAATTTCAATTGATGGCCCCAAAAGTCAAATTTATGGCCAGGTGCAGTGGTTCACACGTGTAATCCCAGCACTTTATGGGAGGCCGAGGCAGGTGGATCACCTGAGGTCAGGAGTTCGAGACCAGCCTGACCAACAAGGTGAAACCCCACCTCTACTAAAAATACAAAATTATCCAGGCATGGTGGCAGGTGCCTGTAGTCCCAGCTACTCAGGAGGCTGAGACAGGAGAATTGCTTGAACCTGGGAGGCAGAGGTTTCTGAGCTAAAATCGCACCACTGCACTCCTGCCTGAGCGACGGAGCAAGACTCCAAGTCAAAAAAAAACAAAAAACAAATTTATGCAGCTGTTTTTTTAATAATTAAATGTTAATTATTATTATTTTTTGAGACAGGGTCTTGCTTTGTCGCCCAGGCAGTGGCATGATCATGGCTTACTGCAACCTCTGTTTCTAGGCTCAAGCAATCCTCCCACCTCAGCTTCCCAAGTAGTAGGGATTACAGGCACATGCCACCACAATCGGCTAGTTTTTGTATTTTTGGTAGAGACAGGGTTTCCCCATGATGCCCAGGCTGGCCTCGAACTCCCTGGTTCAAGTGATCCACCCGCCTTAGCCTCCCAGAATGCCGATATTACAGGTGTGAGCCACCGCGCCCATCTCATGCAGCTTTTAAAATCTCTGCGTGTGTTATAACAGTTTCAGCTAGATGAGAAAAAAAAAACATTTTCTGTCACAATAAATGGCACTCCAGCTAAGTTAGGTTAAAAAAAATTAGATTTCATTAGAATTTTAAAACAAACTTGATGTTTCTGTTATTTCTTCATTCCACTAAATGATATGGTTTGAAAATATTTATGCTCAGATTTTTAAATGGTCTCTACAACAAATTGTCACTTGTTGGGTTCAATTAAGTGCTCATTGTATAAGTGCACATGGTACAAATCAACACCAGCTTATAGGATTGTGGAAAGAATTAAGAGATGAATTTAGTGATCTTATATACCCTGTCAGTTGGTCATATTGTGGAAGAGCTCTACAAAACTTACTGTACTGTTAACTCCAAGATTTTCTTCCAATAACAGGGATGCTAGCCAGATATTTAATAATCAAAGACCAAAAATGGCAGTTTAATTTTTCTACCCAATATCCTATGGCATATGAATGATCCAAATTTGAAGCTCCAAGGATAGGAAAAAGCTTACTTGTGCCTGTCCTAGACAAGTACTAGAGTTTATATTGAAATCAAAACTTCTAAAAATAAAAATCAGTAAGATTAATTTTACTCATTTTTCTAACACGAGTCAGTATGCTTGAAGTTTTCATTGTATTTGATGTCATGTAAATTTACTGTAAAAAATAAGAAAAAATTTTAAAATGCTTTATTGATTAAATTTAGGGTTGCTTTTCAGTATACTCAGTAACTCCGAAGTCAGTGTTAACAGTACTGAGCTTACATAAGATTTATTGAATTTACCTAACTTAGGCAAATGTTTTCAAACTTATATGCTTTTGGTCCAAAGTCAAATCAATTATTTTGAAAAAGATGAATGGGATTTTTTTCAGTGTGGATATGAAAAATAAAATAAAATGATAGCTATGTTTGGAACAATTGGGTTTGTGAGTCTACTTTGTCATCTGTGAATTTTATGAAATGTATATACAAATCAAGTATGATGAAAACAGGAATTGAGATGTGCCTTAGGTGTGAAATACACATTAGATTTTAAAGACTTAACATGCAAATTATCACACTTAATAACTATATTGATAATATGTTATAAATTGATAATATGTTATAAATTGATAAATATTATTTTGGATATATTGGGTTAAATAAAATAATCATTGTATTTCTATTTCAGAATTACATATGTGGGCCAGGCGCACTGGCTCATGCCTGTAATCCCAGCACTTTGGGAGGCCGAGGTGGGCGGATCACAAGGTCAGGAGATTGAGACCATCCTGGCTAACACGGTGAAACCCCGTCTCTACTAAAAATACGAAAAATTAGCTGGTGTGGTGGTGGGTGCCTGTAGTCCCAGCTACTCGGGAGGCTGAGGCAGGAGAATGGCGTGAACCCGGGAGGCAGAGCTTACAGTGAGCCGAGATCGTGCCACTGCACTCCAGCCTGGGCGAGAGCGAGACTCTGTCTGAAAAAAAAAAAAAAATAGAATTACATATGTGGCTTGCAGTATAGTTGTATTAGACGGCACTACCCTATATGATAGTTACTCTCAAAACCAAGTTTCATCAATCTAGACCTTACTGTTGACTTCAGGATCCATAGTCAACTGTCTTTTTCATCAGTTTCACATTGTTGTTCCGTAGGCATTTTAAACTGAATAGGTCCAAAGCTGAATTTATTCATCTCTCATCATATCTGTTTTGAAAAATGGCCCAACCATTTCCCTTGATGCTCAAACTAGAAAGGTAGAAGATATTTGAAACCTTTTCTTCATCCACCTTGCCCTGTCTCTTTCACCTCTCCTACTGTAGTTATTTTGGTTCAAGTCATTATTTTTCTTGCTTAGAGTAATATAATAACTTTCTAACAAGTCTCTCTGCCTTCATTCTTGCCCCTTGTTAATACTAATATATCCTTCATACTAAGGATTGACTATTCTAAAGTTTACATTTATTTTTAGATAACTTTTATTAGGAAGACATTCAGACAACAAGAAAGTCAAATCACTTAAACAGATTTATAATCTTGTATAGCAAATCTAGAGATGGCTACAGTCTTTGCTTGAGTAGCTCAATAGTGTCATTGTTGTGTTATCTGGGGTGGTTTTGGTCTTTCCCTCATAATTGCCGGATGCCTGGCACAGTTTTAGGGATGCTCGATTTAAGACAACATGGCAAGACCTGGATCAAGCCCTGTGTATTCGTCAGAAAGTCAAAAGCTTTGCCAGAAGCTTTTCCAAGCAGACTTATATTTCACTGGCCAGAACTGTGTCAGCATGGCCATACTCACTGCAAGGGAATGTTGGGATGTGAGCTTTTACCTTTCATAGCTTCTGTATTAGAAGTAGGCAAGGGAGAAAGAATTGGGAATGGGTGGTTGGTTAGCTGGTCTATGAAGTCTAACATATTTCTTCTCTACTGAAAAGCTTTTACTGGCTCCCCACTTTGTTCAGGATAGTTTAAGGTTATAATGAGTCTGTGCCCTCCGTCTGTTGCTGAGGTCAAGGTAGCTGCCACTGGCCTGGTTATGAAAGGGCAATTTAAAGATGATCTAATAGGGTCTCTTTGTTTTGTAGGTAATAAAACTGACATTTCAAGAGGTTTAGTCAATTGCCAGGGTCACAATTAACCAAAATTATGAACAGATAACCAAAATTGTTATTGAATGGGAACTGAAAATGTGATTTATTTATTTATTTATTTATTTTTATTATAGAAACTGGCTCTTGCCACGTTGCCCAGGCTGGTCTTGAACCCCTGGCCTCAAGTGATCCTCCTGCTTTGGCCTCCCAAAGTGCTGGGATTACAGGCATGAACCACTGCATCTGGCCTGAAATATGTGATTTTAAATTATGTTCCGCCTTTTTTTTTTTTTTGAAACAGAGTCTTCGCTCTGTCACCAGGCTGTAGTACAATGGCGCGATCTTGGCTCACTGCAACCTCCAACTTCCTGGTTCAAGCGATTCTCCTGCCTCAGCCTCCTGAGTAGCTGGGATTACAGGCACGTGCCACCATGCCCAGCTAATTTTTTTATTTTTAGTAGAGATGGAGTTTCACCATGTTGGCCAGGCTGGTCTCAATCTCCTGACCTCGTGATCTGCCCACCTCGGCCTCCCAAAGTGCTGGGATTACAGGCATGAGCCACCGCGCCCGGCCATGTTCCACCTTTTAATATCAAGATGGCCTGGGAGAGTTGATTGATATCTCTGAGTATTAATTTACCTATCTTTCAACAAGGATAATAATTGCATCTTGAACGGTTCTAGTTATTTATTTATTTATTTATCTATTGAGACAGGGTCTTACTCTGTTGCCCAGGTGGGAGTGCAGTGGCACAGTCATGGCTCACTGCAGCATTGAACTTCCAGACTTGGGCAGTCCTCCTGCCTCAGTCTCCCAAGTAGCTGGGACTACAGGCACATGCCATCATGCTCAGCTAATTTTTAAATTATTTGTAGAGACGGGGTCTTCTGTTGCCCAGGCTGCTCTCAAACTCCTAGGCTCAAGTGCTCATCCTGCCTCAGCCTCCCAAAATGCCGGGATTACAGGTGTGAGCCCCCACATTCAGCCTAGTTTCAGGTTTTATGGGGCCTGTTGATTATTGAATTTGGCACACTAAGAAAAATAATCCCATAAAATTGTGAATATACCATTAGAAATTATTTGAAATATTTATTTAGATTAAGAAAATAAATAATTACAATCTTCGCAATATTTAAAAGTTAACAATATCACAAAACATAGAGGTGAAAAAGACATGATCTTTTTATTAATTATAGCTCTATAATTATTTTTAATTATTTTTTCCTAGGTTTTCTTTTTTTTTTTTTTAGACAGGGTCTCACTCCGTTGCCCAGGCTAAAGTGCAATGGTGCGATCTTGGCTTACTGCAACCTCCACCACCTGGGCTCAAGAGATCCTTCCACCTCAGTCTCCTGAGTAGCTAGAACCATAGGCACGTGCCACCACGTTGGGCTAATTTTTGTGTTTTTATAGAGACAGGTTTTCACCATGTTGCCCAGGCTGGTCTCAAACTCCTGAGCTCAAGCAATACACTGACCTTGGCCTCCAAAAGTTCCAGGATAACAGGCATGAGCCAGATTACTGCCTGGTCCCTAGTTTTCTTTTGGTTTTATATGCATTGATTGTCTCCATTTGACAATTCTGTAATATCCTTTTCTGTAGAGGTATAGAAGGGTAATTGACAGTATCCTCTAGCATAGTTGATGGAAATTTGCTTTTTTATTTTTGACAGTTTACATAGGTTTCTTTCCAATTCTCAACTGTGACTAATCAATATAATTTTTAGGATTATTATCACGTGGGGAAACTCCTATTAAGAGTCACATCTGAACTACAAGATTTCAGAGCATTTCAATTTTCTGTGGAGTGACTGCTCTTAAATATTGTTTGAATTGACCATTCAAAGTATTCCTAGAAGACTTCCCAACTGAGATGGCCAGCAATAGTTTAACTATACATGGAAGAAATTTCAAAGTACACAAATATATCCCAGTCACTCCTTAACAAGAGCTCAGAAATGTCTACTGCCACTATATGGTTACAACAGGAAGGGAAAGTACACAGAAGGTGCAGCTGAAATGGAAACAGATGGTAGTCTTAACTGACTATGGTAAAAATATTTTTGTGGCCGAGCATGGTGGCTCACACCTGTAATCTTAGCACTTTGGGAGGCCGAGGTGGGCGGATTGCCTGAGCTCAGGAGTTTGAGACCAGCCTGGGCAACATGGTGAAATCCCATCTCTACTAAAATACAAAAAATTAGCCGGGCGTGGCGGCATGTGCCTGTAGTCCCATCCATCTACTTAGGAGGCTGAAGCAGGAGAATCACTTGAACCTGGGAGGTGGAAGTTGCAGTGAGCCGAGATTGCGCCACTGCCCTCCAGCCTGGGCGACAGAGCAAGACTCTGTCTCCAAAAAAAAAAAATTGGAAATTTAACAAAAATATATAAATGTGAAGAGATATTTCTGTGGTTCCTTTTTTGGAAGGTACCCCTTCAATTAAGTTTCATAGTTATTCTGCCTCTGACCTAGCTTTCTTGATTTTTTGGATTCTTGAATGAGGTAAAGCAGACTTGGGAAGTTGTTAGACACTTAATAAGTAATCAACAAATATTACCAGAAAAATGATAGAATCGTGGATAATTTTTTAAGCTGGTTGTTGAGTATTTGTGTGTGGAAGGGAGGGGTTTGTTTTACTTTGTATTTAAAATTTTCCCAGTAAAAGTATTTTTAAAATCACATGAGATAAATGTAAAATAATTTAACTTTTTTCTATGCTGGAATCCTCTTAATAGATTATGTTATTTCTTTTTTTTTTTTTTTTTTTTTGAGACGGCATCTTGCTCTGTTCCCCAGGCTGGAGTGCAGTGGCACAATCTCGGCTCAATGCAACCTCCTCCTCCCATGCTCAAGCAACTCTCCTGTCTCAGCCTCCTGAGTAACTTGGATTACAGGTGCACGCCACCACAGTTGTCTAATTTTTGTATTTTTAGTTGAGACGGGGTTTCACCATGTTGGCCAGGCTGGTCTCAAACTTCCGACCTCAAGCGATCTGCCCGCCTCAGCCTCCCAAAGTGCTGGGATTACAGGCGTGAGCCACTGTGCCTGGCAGATTATGTTATTTCTAAATAAAAATAGTTATTATTAACAATTTTTATTTTTAAGCGAAAACACCTAGTAGATACAAAAACAACTTACAAATATTTCGAGTACTATAAAACAATACTATGAATTGGCCCTTTTTTTAAAAAAAATTGCTTTTTAAGATATTATATGTACCTGAAACAAAGCACCTTAGGTTCTAAATACAGCATTGGATTTTGTTGGAGAATCTGCAGCCTCCCTGGTGGTGAGCACACAGAGACATGTGCCGTGTAAGACATCAGTAACACTGCTGGGCTCCCCTAAGGGAGCAACAGGCTTGCTGAAGAAGCTGATGCAGATTCCACCCTGTGTAACAGTGCTGCATCAAACCCGAGAATTTCTACCAGTCAAATAAGCATGCATAATGGTTTCTTTGAAGATACATATTTCCCCATTCCAAAATATATAGTTGGTGTATGAGAAAAATTTAAGTTGTATTCCTACCTCAAACAAAATTCTAGAAAAAATTAAAGATGGAATAAAGAATAAAAGTTGAAGTCATAAAATAAAAATAAACTCATGAATATTTTTGTGTTTTCTGAATAGGAAGGATATTTTCAGTCCAAAGGTAGTGCAGCCAGAGTGCTGCAACAAACCTTAACTAATGCATGAGTTCTGCCTGTGTGTTCTCCTATATAGAGGTGAACATTTCATTAAGAATTTTACTCTGTGGTAGATGTATGGTCAGCATTTTCATCTCTTCAATGACAACATTTTTCTTGTGAATGTTTTTCA
The DNA here is from genome assembly GCF_000001405.40 of Homo sapiens. Lineage (NCBI taxonomy): Eukaryota > Metazoa > Chordata > Mammalia > Primates > Hominidae > Homo > Homo sapiens. The sequence continues at coordinate 57,064,522 of NC_000006.12, forward strand.
TGCATTCATCCAGTTTTGCAGCTTTCTCACATTTTTTCTTACAAAATCTTTGTATTGATGCTGTGCCACAGAATTTCTTGAACACATATTTTAGTGACTTGGAGTTTCCTGGACCAGCAGTTTGCAGGTGGATTCGTGGATGGTGGGAGGCCCGGGGGTTTTCTTCCAGGCTTTAAATGTTCCAAAAGCCTTCTATTTATTGTCATAGAGACCACTGATTCTGGCAGATGTGGCTTTTCTGGGAAATTTTTGTGTGTATATCCCTGTTCTCTCTGGTTCTCTGATCCAAGATGAATCTGGAAGAGCTTCTGTCACCAGCCCTGCACTCCCCAGGCCCTTCAGCACCTGCATCTTCATGTGAGCCTTTCACCTCAGTATGTTTTTGCTGGACCTTTCTGAGATGTGCTGCTAAGAGCCCTGTAGATATTCTCTGTGCTTTTTCTCTCTGCATTCCATCCTCATGACTTCTGCTGAAGCTCAGCTTCCACAGCTCTGTGCTCACTCAGTTGTTAGATTTTTGGGTTGAAGATTTTGCATTTCCTGGTGAGTTCCTCCTTTTCAGGAAGTATCGTTTTGCTGATACTCTCAGATTTGCTGTTCATAAGGGACTTTGATATTCTCTTTGCATTTTCTTAATTTTAATTGCTTTTCCTTTTGACTCTGCAGCAGATTTATGTGACCTACTTGTTGAAAAAAAATGGGGCAATTTTTTTTAATCTTCTATATTTTGTTCCTAATTTTTCCTTGTTGCATTGTTTGCTGTCTCAGAGGAGGAGGAGAAAGAGGGTAAGGCTACCTACCAATGTGCTCATACCAAAGAGGTATATCCGGTGTTGCTAATCAGAAGCCTAATGCAACTCTGATTCTCATTTTATTCAGAAGCTGTCATGCCATACTCCTCGAGGCTGTTTTAATGTTTTAATCTGATAGACTAGAATTTGATGAAAATGGCTGTTGTGTTGCCTTTTTTGTTTTTTTTTTTTTTGAGTCAGTCTTGTTCTGTCACCCATGCTGGAGTGCAGTGGTGTGATCACACCTCACTGCAGCCTCGACCTTCTGGGCTCAAGCAATCCTCCCACCTCTACCTCCCAAGTAGCTGGGACTATAGGCTCACACCACCACACCTGGCTAACATTTTATTTTTTGCTAGAGACGGAGTCTCACTACATTGCCCAGGCTGGTTGTGCATCTTTTTCATTCATTGTGCTAAGTACACAATGGACCCTTTCGAACTGAATACCTGTATTCTTCAATTCAGAGAAATTTTATTTTTATGTAGTTTCTATATGATTTTCTCCTCTGTAGTTTTTATCTTTGAATTTCAGTTATTCTGGGAATTCAGTTGTGGACTGAATACATGGCCTATCTTTTCACTACAATTAAAATCCATGCATATTTCTTTTTTCAGTGTCTGGGAAATTTCCTTAAATGTATAACTTCCAGCCTTTTAAAATTGCAGCTATTCTAATTTCTGGTTGGGTGTGGTGGCTCATGCCTGTAATCTCAGCACTTTGGGAGGCTGAGGTGGGTGCATCACTTGAGGTCAGGAGTTCAATACCAGCCTGGCCAACATGGTGAAAACCTGTCTCTACTGAAAAAAAAAAAAAAATAGCCAGGCATGGTGGTGCATACCTGTAATCCCAGCCACTCAGGAGGCTGAAGTGGGAGAATTGCTTGAACCCAGGAGATGGAAGTTGCAGTGAGCCAAGATCTCAACTCTGCACTCCAGTCTGGGCAACAGTGAGACTCCATCTAAAAAAAAAGGAAAAAAATTCAAATTTCCAAGAGCTGTTTCTTGTTTTCTGATTGTTTCCTTTTTCATTTAATACTATGCTTATCTCTGGATGCCTTTGATTTATCCTCTGAAAATAATAGTTTTATTAAAAACTACTTTTTATTTAACCTGTTCCCTGGGAAGCTTCACTGGGAGTCATTGGGTAGAAGGGCATTTGTTTTGTTGGGATAGCTACATAACAGTCTGATACTGAGTCTTATGGTTTATGCTAAGTGGTTCTTCACAAGTTTCCTTGGTTTTCCTGGCTGATAATGTTTGCATAGAGGACAGACAAAAGGGGGCTGGAACTGACTTGTTAAAAATAGACGTAAAATGAATTCTGTTTTCAGCTGTCACTGATGCTCGCAACTGCATGTGATGTCCTGGGCCATGGGTGAATCCTTTGAACTTAATGCAGAGAATGTCTTGTGAGTAGATATGTGGAGATGTGCGTATGGAGTCTTTCAGCCTTTCTGTTAAGTGGCACCTTACCTCCATCATTCATTGTATGCGGTGTCATAGTTCTGAGTCCTTCCTAGGTTCCCTGGGGCAGACTGGTTAGCTGCCTTTGCCCTCTGAAATAAATTACTACTTCTCCACCTACTTTTGTCTTCCAAAGCTTTCTCAGATGTCTAGTGGATATAATACTAGATAATATCTTACAAAGCTGTTATGTAGAGTAAACGAACTTATATATGTAATATGCATGGCACAGCACCTGGCATGGAGTAATCATTCCATAAATGGTAGTTATTAGTATTATACAACTTCTCACTATCCCAGACAGTCCTGGTCATATTAATTACCTGGATAGTGACCCAAGAAAAATCTCTACTGCTGCCTTTGGGACTTACTAATTTATTTTTATTCATTTTAGCAAAATAAAAAATTGAGAGAAATGAAATAAATTATCGCTTTAATCCTACCATTACACTGCTTAATTACCAGAAATATGTGATAAATTATAACATCTGATAGTTAATCATTATTCAATATTCTTTTTGAAGAATATTTTGACTGTTTTCATACCTTAGTCCAGAAAAGTTTTACAGTCATTTTGACTGGTCTCCCCTAATTTCCTTCACCCTTAAAATACTCTTTAAGATTGGCCGGGTGCAGTGGCTCACGCCTGTAATCCCAACACTTTGGGAGGCCGAAGCGGGTGGATCACCTGAGGTCAGGAGTTCGAGATCAGCCTGGGCAACACAGTGAAACCCCGTCTCTACTAAAAGTACAAAATTAGCCGGGCATGGTGGTACATGCCCGTAATCCCAGCTACTTGGGAGGCTGAGGCAGGAGAATTGCTTGAACCTGGGAGGCGGAGGATGCGATGAGCCGTGATCACGCCATTGCACTGCAGACTGGGCAACAAGAGTAAATCTCTGTCTCACAAAAACAAAACAAAACAAAAAAAAAACAAACTGAAGATTTTGATTGGAATTATACTTAAGTAATTTTCAAATCTGGGGAGAAGTTATATCTTTACAAAACTTATTTTTTCAATCCAATAACAAGGTCAGCTTAACATATACTTTTTCTTTCTCCTTAGTAAATATTTGCATTTTTCAGGTAGGCCCTACACACTTACTAATTTAATTTCTGTGTATTTTATATGTTCTTATTTTACATGTTGCTATTATAAATGGGACATTATTTTATTTTTATAGTTGACTATTGCTATATAGAAAACATATATTTATGTATTCCTTTTTAAGTGTCCAAATTACTTTTTTTGATTCAAGTGGGTTTTCTGGGTAGAGGAAAAAGTTTCTCTTTCAAATAATGATCATTTTACCTCCTCTAACATTTATGACTAGTATTCTTTTTCTTATCTGATAGCATTGCTTATGACTTCAGAAATAATAGTAGTGGTTACAAATATGTTTATTTTATCCTTCACTTGAATAGGAATGTCTTTAGGATTGTTATGACTGATATTTGTTGGCTGCACATAGACATTCTTTAAACAAGTGTCCCACTGACTTGTGTTTTGCTTTTGCTGCTTTAAGCTAGAATGTCCCAGGTAGTACACACACAATCTCTCTCACACACACGCAACTCTCATAATACACTCATGAAAAGAAAAGAGTTCTTTGAGATTCTAATATCTGGGACCTTTGTGGTAGATAATCAGGCTCTATCCTCAGAGGAAAAAAAATTGAACATTTTGATTTGAAAGTGGCAGGATCCAGAGGCAAAAAGAAGAGGAAAGGAAAAGAAAGAGATTCTGGATCTTTGGAATTATGTGACACACATTCCTGGTACCACTTCCAGGTTCATTTGCTTTCTACATGATTCCATTTTATGATCACAGTGAAGACTGTAAGCCATGATTTAAAAAAAATCTACTTGGCATTATTTTATTCTATTAGTACGAATCAAGCTGAACTCGTGAACAGTGATTGCTGTATCATAAGTTCAAAAGTTACTGAATAGGTGGGACTGTTTTCTCCTATACCAAACAGTCCTGACTGTATTACTTCTTAGGTTCTTTAATCTATGTTTTAAATAATGTTTTCTCCCCTTCCTCTACATTCTGGTAACACCAAATGCCGGCAAGGATGTGGAGAGATTTGATCATTCATACATTGCTGGCAGGAATGTAAAATGGTGCAGCAACTTTGGAAAACAGTTTGGCAGTTTCTTTAAAAAGTAAACATGTTAAACCCTATGACCCAGGAATTGCAGTCTTGGGTATTTCTCCCAGAGAAATGAAATCTTATGCTCACAGAAAAACCTGTACATGAAAGTTCATAGCAGCTTTGTAATAGTTAAAATCGGGAAACAACCTAGATGTCCTTCAACATGTAAATAGTTAAACTGTGGTACATCCATACCATGGAATGATGCTCAGCAATTAAAAAAAAAAAAACTATTGTTACATGAAATAACCTGGAAGAATCTCCAGAAAATTATTCTGAGTGAAAAAAGCCATCCCCAAAAGGTTACATACTGTATTATTTCAGTTATCTAATGTGAGAAACAGGCTCACCCATCCAAACCCAAAGAATGGACTCAGAGGCACAGAGAACAGTGAAAGTGAGACTTTTAAAAGTGGTCTTGCAAGATTGGATGTCTGGTAGGCAGGCATACTCGGGGCAGCTTCAGCATGTAATTTATCTCCTAGCCTGCAAGTCCCTCCCCTAGTTCCTCATTGATCAAGTACTATGGGGTTACAATCTGCCCAGTCACCTAAGTTTCATTATCCACCTTATAAGTTTATACCCTTGTCCCCTTCCCTGCTTAAGTTTCGATTTCACGGTAACGAAACTTTCTTCCCTTTGATGGGCTGACCCTTCCTCTACATTCTGTTCACTTATCATGACTTTCTAGGAGCATGAGCCGTGCAGTTTGTTACATCCTCAGGCTGGCTGCCAGTGCGTAGATTTATCATGCCTTGAAAATGGACCATTTAAGATGTTTTCTCACGTATAACATTATTGAAATGACAAAAATAATAGTAATGGAAAACTCATTAGTGCTAGGTAATAAGGAGGAAGCAGGGCTGGGAGAGAAGTTATGGCTATAAAAGGACAACAGAAGAGATCCTTCTGGTGATAGAAACATTCTGTATCTTTGTAGGAGATCGGTCAGGGTGGTGGGAAAAGTTACAAAAATTATAGGAAAAATGCAAAACTTCTTGGAAGGCCAGGAGTTTTTGCAAAAGCTTCGAAAGAAAATTTGGCTGAAGGCAGCTGAATTCTCTCAGGGTAGACAACAAGAAAGTGTAAGAGAGTTTATCTAGATAAGTTAGTTTACTTAGGCCTGGAACCTGGCGTTTAATCATCGGCATGCAGGACTGCTCTCTCCATGGGGGGGGAGGGGCGGGGTGACCATGTTAATTACCCCAAGTTGTGTTGACTCAAAGCCTTTGTCATTAAATCTGTACTAAATGCCCACAGCGCAGGCTTGTTGGGGCTGCTGTGACTGTTTATGGCACCCTCCTTGGTGTCTATGAGCAGCCTAGTCCGCTAGCTGCGGGCCCAGGCAAAAAACCTGTGTCTGCGTACATTTTTTCATCTGTAGTTCGGCCAGGGTCAGACCCAGCAGGTGGTGCCCCTTGTGAGGAACACTGCCACAGATTGCAATGGAACCCTCGAAAATGAAGGTGAAGAGACAGCGCGGTCAGAAAGTCACAAAGTCATTGATGCCCTCTCAGGATTTCGAAGTTTGAGGGAATTGTTCAGGCCAGGGTTTCATCAGGGGACAATAGTCATCAGTTCAACAGCAACACTATATCAAAGTATTGAAACAGCTGCTTAAAGCTAGTGGAGCCTCAGTTTTGCAGGCTCAATTAAGGGACCTAATGCAAACTGTTGTTTCCCATAACCCATGGTTCCCGGAAGAAGTTACGCTAGATGTAGAGCTCTGGGAATGAGAGGGGAGAAATCTTAAACATCATGCACAAGGGCAGTGGGTCCCAGTAACATCTCTAACATTATGGGCTTTAGTTATGGCTACTTTGGTCCCACTCTACACAGAAGAGCCTAAAAAGGGAAGGAAGGAGGAACCATCACCTACCTTACCGCCTCCTTCTCCCTCAGCCCCGCCATTAATGGGCAGAAATACCAAAGAGGAGACAGTTTTTTCCTGAGCCCCCTCCTCCAATAAATAGGAAAAAAAGACAAGGGATACGCTACAGCTATGGGACCCTGTCTTAGGCAAGCGGCATTAGAAGGGGAGCTCTTAGCCTACCCGGTAATGCAAGATCAACAAGGCAATCAGGTGTATGAACCCATTACTTTTGACGCTTATAAAGAGATAAGAAAAAGCATTAGAAAAAACGGAGCCACTAGCCCATTTACGAAAGGGTTAATTGAGGTCACTCTGCAGACCTCTTTCTAATAATGGCCACTGTTATTCCTCCCCTACCCCTAATGTGGCTCTCTCAAAATCCTATTTGGGTAGAACAGTAGCCTTTAAAGGGAGAGAAATTACAAAGAGCTCATTAATTAGTTGAGGAGCAATTAAAAGCCGGCCATATAGAACCATCAAATAGCCCTTGGAAATCGCCCATTTTCATCATTCCCAAAAGGTCTGGTAAATGGAGACTTTTTGCATGACTTACAGGCTATCATGCTAATTTGCAACCTATGGAGCCCCTTCAACAGGGCCTCCCTTCCCCTGCAGCGATTCCTCAAGATTAGCCTATAGTCGTTATTGACTTAAAAGACTGCTTTTATACTATTACCCTTGCAGAACAGGACAGAGACAAATTTGCATTTACAATACCAGCTATCAATAATGAAAGGCCAGCTTGCCAATTTCATTGGAAAGTACTTCCTCAAAGAATGCTGAACAGTTCTACCATGTGTCAGTATCATGTGAATCAGGCTTTGCTCCCCATTAGAAAAGAATTTCCTAGTTGCAAGAGTATTCTTTTATGGATGATATTTTACTAGCAGCCCCAACGGAACAGGTACTTTTAACTTTATATGCCTCTGTCGTAAAGAATACACAGCTAAGAGGTTTAGTCATAGCACCTGAAAAAGTACAAATGTCCTCTCCTTGGAAATATCTTAGATACATACTAACTTCCCAGTCAGTAAGACCTGAAAAGGTTAAATTAAATACTAGCAACTTACACACCTTAAATGATTATCAAAAATTACTAGGTGATATTAATTGGCTTCACCCCACCTTGGGCATAACTACTGATAAGTTACAAAACCTGTTTTCTATCCTAAAGGACAACATAGCCCTAGGATCTGTCAGGTATTTAACTCCTGCAGCAAAAAGGGAAATTAAGGAAATAGAGCAAGCTATTTCTCAGAGGCACATAGATCACATAGACCCAAAATATTCAGTTCAATTGTTTGTTTTTCCTACTAAACATTCCCTAACAGTATTAATAGGACAGATGGCCCCAGGGCTGTGCTTCCTAGAATGGGTTTTTTGCTCACATACCGGAACTAAAACTCTATCTCCCTATATCCAGCTAGTTAGTAAAGTCATCTATTCTGGCCACAGATGATGCAGTCAGTTGCTAGGTTATGACCGTGATGTCATCAGAATTCCTTTGAGTAAAAAACAATTCAAAGCAGTATTGCCCCTATCTCTAGATCTTCAAATAGCACTCTCTGATTACACAGGCCATATAGAGCATGCCCTTCCTGCTGACAAACTAATTCAGTTCTTATCTCATACTACGGTAGTTGTGCCTACAAAAGTAGTTCACTCCCCCATACCCAATGCTTTTAACACTTTTTACTGGCAGCTCTGGTAAAAATGGAAAAGCGGCAATTTGGTGGAAACCACATAATTCCCTCACTTGTTCTGGATTTACTAGCACTCAGCTAAGGTTGGAGCCTTAATATTGGCCCTGGAAACTTTTTCCACTCAGCCCATCAATACTGTTAGTGACTCTGCTTACTCTGTTTATTTACTGTAGAACCTTGAAACAGCTCTCATTAAGTCCACTCTTGAGCCCACCCTGTGTGCACTTTTTCTTCAACTTTAACAATCGCTAGGTCAAGTACACATCCTATTTTTATCATACGTATTCGAGCCCACAGCTCACTGCCTGGACCATTGGCTCATGGCAGTGAACAAGCAGACCTGCAAGTTATGATGTCACTGCTTGACCAAGACACCCAATCGCATCAATTTTTCCACCAAAATTGGAGAAACTTAACTAAACAATTTAAACTTACCCAAAGACTAGCTAAACAAATTATCCTGCAATGCCCAGATTGCCAATTCACAGGCATGTCCCCTCCTTCAACAGGTGTTAACCCTAGAGGACTAGAACCTAATCAGTTATGGCAAACAGATGTTACTCACATCCCTGAATTTGGAAAACTAAGATAGGTACATGTATCCGTGGATACCATTTCTCAGTTAGCATGCATGTTTTTCCTGGAGAGTCCACCCAATGTTATTAAACATCTTCTCTTAACTTTTGCATTTATGGGGCAGCCCCCAAAAATTAAAACTGGTAATGGTCCGGTTTATGCCAGCTCACAATGGTCCGGTTTATGCCAGCTCACAATTTCAACAATTTTATCACATGTGGACTATCCAACCTTCCACAGGCATCCGTATAACCCCCAAGGACAGGCCATAGTAGAATACGTCCACTCCACCCTTAAAAATATGCTCAGAAAACAAAAAAGAGGGAATATGAGTAAGGACCCTGCAACACTACTAGCACAAGCCTTATTTACCCTTAATTTCTTAAATTTAAATGATAAATTTCAATCAACTATAGAAAAGCACTTTTCTAAAACCTCTCAAGACATAAAACCTGCAGTTTTATGGAAAGATGTAAATAGTAATGTATGGTGTGGTCCAAATGAATTGCTAACGTGGAAGAGGATATGCTTGTGTTCACACCCCCTCAGGTTCTCTTTGGTTTCCAGCAAGATGCATCAAACCTTACCATAGCATGGCTAGGACCCAACCCGGTACCAGAAATAAAGAAAATGGCCCTGCAGGACCCACAGCCCTGGACAATGTGGCTTCCTCAGATGACACAGGCCGACACAGGCCCCAGACGTAATGCTGAAGAAGACAAGTCAGAAGACTGAGCGAATCCTGCCCCGGACACAGACACCATTCACTCCAGATAATTTGTTCCTTGCTATGCTTTATTAACCTTTTTTAATTCTCTCACTCTGCCTGCAACCAGTACCTGCTACACTCTATTGGGTCCATCTTCTAAATCTGCCTTTCTTCCACCCTGTTACCTGGGCAGACACCCACTTCCCAGCCTCTAGTAATGTAACTGCTTGGCTGGAAGGGGTTAACATACCCCCAGTGGGGTTCCTTAGTAACGACACACATTGAACTGAGGTGCCAAGTAACACTACATGTTACTCCTTCATTGGAAAAGAATGTTGCTGATTATACTCATGTATGTCTTGTTTACTAATTCTAGGATGCAAAGCCAGAAGACAAGCAGTGACCACTATGCCTAATAAGCCTGTTGCTGCACACATCTGTACTCTTCATTCAACAAAACATGATGCAAAAAACAGGAAAAGGGGCAGACGTAGGAGATTGGTCAGGGTGGTGGGAAAAGTTATAAAAATTACAGGAGAACCACAAACTTTCTTGGAAGGCTGGGAGGTTTTGCAAAAGCTTCTAAAGAAAATTTGGCTGAAGGCAGCTTAATTCTCTCAGGGTAGATAACAAGAAAGTATAAGAGAATTGATCTAGATAATTAGTTTACTTAGGTCTTGGAACCTGGCCTTTAATCATCTGCAGGCAGGACTGCTCTCTCAGTGGGGAGGGGGTGACCATGTTAATTACCCACAAGTTGTGTTGACTCAAAGCCTTTGTTATTAAATCTGTACTAAATAAATGCCCGCAGCGCAGGCTTGTTGGGACTACGACTATATACAGCACCTTCCTCGGTGTCTATGAGCAGCCCGGTCCCCTAGCCGCAGGCCCAATCAAAAAACCTGTGTCTACGTACATTTTTTTCATTTGTCACTTGGCCAGGGTCTGTGGGTCAAACCCGGCATATCTTGACTGTAGCACTATCAATGTCCTGGCTAGGATGTGGTACTATAGTTTTGTAAGGTGTCACCACTGGGAAAGTGATACATGGAATCTCTAATTCTTGTTTTGAAACATTTATTGTATAATATAATTCACACACCATGTAATTCACTCATTTAAAGTGTACACTGCCATGATTTTTAGTATGTTCACAGATATGTACAATTATCACCACAATCAATTTTGGAATTTTTTTATCACCACAAAATGAAACCTTGTACACTTTAGCTATCATCCTCCTATCCTCATGTAACCCTCCACAACTGTAAGCAACCACTAATCTCTTTTCTGTCTATGTAGATTTCCCTCTTCTGGATGCTTAATATGAATGGAATCATATAATATGTGGTATTTGTGACTGGTTTATTTCACTTACCATGTTTTGATGGTTCATCCATGTTGTAGTATGCATCAAGCATTTTATTCCTTTTTATGGCTGAATAATACTCTATTATGTATGAACATACCACATTTTATTTACCTATTCATCAGTTAATGAACATTTGAGTTGTTTCCACCTACTGGCTATTATGAATAATGCTGTGATAAACATTCACAGACAAATTTTTGAGTGAACATGTTTGCACTTCTCTTGAGTATGTATCTAGGAGTGGAATTGCTGGGTCATATGGTAACTCTATGTTTAATCATTTGAGGAACTGCCAAATGGCATTCCACAATGGCTGCATCCTTTTATATTACCACCATCAGTGTTTTAGGTTTAGTATTTCTCCACATTCTTGTGAACTCCAGTTATTACCTGATTTTTAAATTCTAGCTATCCTTGTGCTTGTGAAGTGGTATTTCATCATGGTTTTGATTTGCATTTACCTGATGATGAATGATATTTAACATATTTCCATGTGCTTATTGGCTGTTTATATATCTTTCGTGCAGAAATATCTATTCAGATCATTTGCCCATTTTTAAATTGGGTTGTCTTTTTATTATTGAGTTGTAAGGGTTCTTTATATTCTGGATACAAGTCTTTTACCACATATATAATTTGTAAATATTTTCTCCATTGTCTTCTCTTTATCAATGGTATCCTTTGAAGCAAAGAAGTTTTTTTTTCTTTATTTTTTGTTTTGTTTTGTTTTTGAGACAGGGTCTCACTCTGTCACCCAGGCTGGAGTGCGGTGGCATGATCATAGCTCACTCCAGCTTTGACCTCCCCAGGCTCAGGTGATCCTCCCACCTCAGCTTCCTGAGTAGGTGGGACTACAGGTGTGCACCACCATGCCTGGCTAATTTTTGTATTTTTTGTAGAGACAGGATTTCACCATGTTGCCCAGGCTGGTCTCAAATCCTGGGCTCAAGCAATCTGCCTGTGTTGGCCTCCCAAAGTTGTGGGATTACAGGCATGAGCCACTGTGCCTGGTTAGCACAGAAGTTTTACATCTTGATGAAGTGCAATTTATTTTTTATTTTGTTGCTTGTGCTTTTGGTGTCCTATCTAAAAATTATTTCCCAAATTCAGTGTCATGAAGATATACCTCTATGTTTTCTCCAAAGAGTTTTATAGTTTTCACCTCTTACATTTAGGTCCTTGAGCCATTTTGAGATAATTTTTTTTTTTTTTTTTTTTTTTTTGCGATGGCATCTTGCTCTGTTGCCAGGCTGGAGGGCAGTGGCGCGATCTCGGCTCACTGCAACCTCCGACTCCTTGGTTCAAGTGATTCTCCTGCCTCAGCCTCCCAAGTAGCTGGGATTACAGGCATGCACCACCATGCCCAGCTAATTTTTGTATTTTTAGTAGAGATGGGGTTTCACTATGTTGGCCAGGATGGTCTCGATCTCCTGACCTTGTGATCCATCTGCCTTGGCCTCCCAAAGTGCTGGGATGAGACAGTTTTGTATATGGTGTGAGCTAAGTTCCAGCTTCATTCATTTGTATGTGGCTGTCCAGTTTTCCCAGCACCATTTGTTGAAAAGACTATTCTTTCCCATTGGACAGTCTTGGCACCCTTGCTAAAAATGAGTTGACCGTGGATGTATGGATTTATATCTGGACTCTCAGTTGTATTACATTGATGTGTATGTCTGTCCTTGTGCCAGTACGACACTGTTTTGATTGCCATTGCTTTGTAGTAAGTTTTAAAACTGGTGAGTCCTCCTACTTGATCTTTTACAAGATTGTCTTGGCTATTCTGGGTCCCCTTCAGTTCCATATGAATTTTAGAACCCGTTTGTCAATATCTACAAAGAAGTTATTCTGATAGGGATTTGGATAGGGATGACATTGAATTTGTAGATCAAGGTGGAGAATTTTGTCATATAATGATGTTAAATCCTCTGACACATGAACATGGGATATTTTTCCAGTTATTTAGATCTTTAATTTCTTTCAACAATATTTTGTAGTTTTTCAGAGTATAAATTTAGTAATTCTTTTCTTAAATTTATTTTGATGCTATTATAAATGGAATTCTTAATTTCATTTCTGGATTATTCATTGTGACTGTATAGAAATACATTTGATTTTCATATATTAGTTTTTTTGTTTGTTTGACACATTGTCTCACACTGTCGCCCAGGCTGGAGTGCAGTGGCATGATCTTGGTTCACTGCAACCTCTGCCTCCAGGGTTCAAGCAATTCTCTTGCCTCAGCCACCCGAGTAGCTGGGGTTACAGGCACGTGCCACCAGGCCTGGCTAATTTTTGTATTTTTAGTAGAGATGGGGTTTCGCCATGTTGGCCAGGCTGGTCTTGAACTCTTGATCTCAAGTGATCTGCCTGCCTTGGCCTCCCAAAGTGCTGGTATTACAGGCATGAGCCACTACGCCAGGCCAATTTTCATATATTAGTCTTGCATCCTGCAGCCTTGTGAAGCTTGTTTTTGGGTCTTAGTTTTTTTTTTTTTTTTTTTTTTTTAGTTAATTCCCTGGGATTTTCTATATACAATATTATGTCATGTATGAATAGTTTTACTTTTTCCTTTTCAATATGGATGCCTTTTGTATCTTTTTGTTTGTTTGTTTGTTTTTGAGATGGAGTCTCACTCTTGTTGCCAGGCTGGAGTGCAATGGCATGATCTCAGCTCACTGCAACCTCCGCGTCTCCCAGGTTCAAGCGATTCTCCTGCCTTAGCCTCCCAAGTAGCTGGGATTACAGGCGCCCACCACCATGTCCGGCTAATTTTTTTGTATTTTTAGTAGAGACGGGGTTTTACCATGTTGGTCAGGCTGCTCTCAAATTCCTGACCTCAGATGATCTGTCCACCTTGACCTCCCAAAATGCTGGGATTACAGGCATGAGCCACCACGCCTGGCTGCCTTTCATATCTTTTTATTGCCTAATTGCCCTGGCTAGAACCTCCAATTCATTGTTGAATAGAAGCCTCAAAGAGGACATCCTTGCCTTGTTCCTGATCCTAGGGGGAAAGCATTTAGTCTTTAAATATGATGGTAGCTTTGGGTTTTTCATAGATGTCCTTTATCAGGTTGAGGAAGTTTCCTTCTCTTCTTAGTTTATTGACTGTTTTTATCACAAAATGGTGTTGGAGTTTGTCAAATACTTTATCTGCATCTATTAAGATGATCATGCAATTTTAATTTGTTATTGATAGAATAGAATGTATTACATTAATAGATTTTTGTATGCTAAACCAGCCTTGCATTCCTGGGAGAAGTTTCACTTGGTCATGGTGTATAATGCTTTGTATATATTGCTGAATTTGGTTTTGTAGTATTTTGCTGAGGATTTTCATGTCTATATTTAGAAGAGATATTGGTCTGTAATTTTCTTTTTTTGTGGTATCCTTCTCTAGTTTTGTCATTAGTGTAATACTGACTTTATTTTATACATAAATTCATAAATTGCATATATTTATGGTGTACAGTATGATGTTTTGAAATATATTGACTTCATTAAAATGAGGTCAATATTACTAATCCCAAAACTAGAAAAGGATATCACAAGAAAAGAAAATTGGGAAATATTCCTGTTCTTCTGCTTTTTGGAAGAGCTTGTGAAGAATTTGTATTAATTTTTTGTTACATGTCTGGTAGAATTCATTGGTGAAGAATTCATTGCACTTGGGCCTCAGCTTTCCTTCATGGGAAAGTTTTTGATTACTGATGGAATCTCTACTTGTGATAGCTCTATGAAAGTTTCTGTTTCTTCTTGAGTCAGTTTTGGTAGCTTGTGTCTTTCTAGGAATTTGTCCATCTTGTCTAAGTTATCTAATATATTGGTGTACAGTTGTTCATTGTGTATTTTGTAATCTTTTTTTATTTCTGCAAGGTCGGTAGAAATGAACCCTCTTTCATGTTTTATCTAGTAATTTCAGTCTTCTATTCTTCTTGGCTAGTCTAAGATAAAGGTTTGTCTATTTGTTGATCTTTTTAAAGAACCAGCTTTTGGTATCATTGATTTTCTCTATTACTTTCCTATTCTTTATTTTATTAATTTTTACTCTGTTCTCTACTATTTCCTTCCTTCTGTTTGCTTTAGATTTTGTTTGCTATTCCCCCCAGGGGTTAAGGGTGGAATGTTAGGTTATCAATTGAAGATCTTCTGTCTTTTGTTTAGATATTTATTTATTTATTGAGACAGGGTCTCACTCTGTCGCCCAGGCTGGAATGCAGTGGCGCAGTCTTGGCTCAATACAACCTCAACCTCTTGCACTCATGTGATCCTCCCACCCCAGCCTCCTGAGTAGCTGGGACTACAGGCGTGCACCATCATGCCTGGCTAATTTTTGTATTTTTTTGGTAGAGACAGGGCTTCACCATGTTGCCCAAACTGGTTTCGAACTCCTGAGCTCAAGCATCCACCTACCTTGACCTCCCAAAGTGCTGGGATTACAGGTTGGTGTAAGCCACCGCACCCAGTGTCGGGATGTTTTTTTTTTTTTTTTTGAGACAGAGTTTCACTCTTGTTGCCCAGGCCGGAGTGTGATGGCGCGATCTTGGCTCACCGCAACCTCCGCCTCCCGGGTTCAAGCAATTCTCCTGCCTCAGCCTCCTGAGTAGCTGGGATTACAGGCATGTGCCACCACACCTGGCTAATTTTTTATTTTTAGTAGAGACAGGGTTTCTCCATGTTGGTTGTTGGTCAGGCTAGTCTCAAACTCTGGACCTCAGGTGACCCGCCCGCCTCGGCCTCCCAAAGTGCTGGGATGACTGCCTGGCCATGAGATCTTTTGTCTTTTAAAAAAATGATTTATTGTTTAAATTGACAAAGATTGCATATATTTATGGTGTACAATATTACATTTGAAATATATGTATGTTGTAGAATGGCTAAATGAAGCTAATTAATATGGGTATTACTTCACATACATTTGTCATTCTTAATATAGGCATTTATAGTTATAAATTTTCCTCTAAGTGCTGCTTTAGCTGCATCCCATCAGTTTTGGTATGTTGTGTCTTTATTTTCATTCATCTCAGAATATTTTTTATTCTTTTGCTTTCTTCTTTGAATCATTTGTTATTTAGAAGTATGTTACTTAATTTCCACATATTTGTGAGTTTCCCAAACTCTTTCCTGTTATTGATTTTTAAGTTCATTCCATTTTGGTCAAATAATCTATTCCGTATGGATTTTATTTTTTAAAATGTATTATTTTATGGCCTAGCATATGATCTATCCTAGAGAATGTTCCATGTGCATTTGAGGACAATGTATATTGTGTTGTTGGGTGGAGTGTTCCATAGATGTCTCTTGATTCTAGTTAGTTTATTGTGTTGTTTTCTATTTCCTAGTTGATCTGCTATCTATGTTGAGAGTGAGTTATTAAAGTCTTCAACTATGATTGTTGAATTATCTATTTCTCCCTTAATTTCTGTCAGTCTTTGTGTCATGTATTTTAGTGCTCTGTTATTAAGTGCAAATTGGTGTATCTTCCTAATGAGTTAATTGTTTTATTATTACAAAATGACTCTCAACTAGGTGTGGTGGCTCACACTTGTAATTCCTACATTTTGGGAGGCTAAGGTGGGCAGATTGCTTGAGCTCAGGAATTTGAAACTAACCTGGGCAACATGGCAAAACCCCATAACTACCAAAAAATATTCAATTATTAGCTGGGCATGGTGGCATTTGCCTGTAGTCCTAGTGACTCCAGAGACTGAGGTGGGAGGATTGCTTGAGCCCAGGAGGCAGCGATTGCAGTGAGCCAACATTGTGCCACTGCACTGCAGCAGAGTGAGAGACCGTGTTTCAAAATAAAATAAAATAGGGAGGGATAGCATTAGGAGATATACCTAATGCTAAATGACGAGTTAATGGGTGCGGCACACCAGCATGGCACATGTATACATATGTAACTAACCTGCACATTGTGCACATGTACCCTAAAACTTAAAGTATAATAATAAAAAAATAAAATAAAATAAAAATTCTCATTTCTAGTAACTTTTTTGTTTTAAAGTCTGTTTTATCTCACATTAGTATAGTCACTCCAGCTTTCTTGTTGTTACTGTTCTCATGATATTATCTTTTTCCATTCTTTTACTTTCAATCTATTTATATCTTTGAATCTAAGTGAGTTTCCTCTAGACAGCCTATACTTTGGATCATTTTATTTGTGAAAGAAGCTTTGTTGGATATAGGATTATTGTTGGATATAGGAGTCTTGACTCACAGTTGTTGGTTTTTTTTTCTTTGAGCACTTTGAATACATTATCCCACTGTTTTCTTACCTCTATGGTTTCTGAGAAGCCAACTATTAATCTTATTGGGGTTCCCTTATAAAATAATGTCATTTTTATGTTGCTGCTTTCATGATTTTGTCCTTGTCTTCAACTTTTAGCATTTTTTCTCTGATGTATCTGTTGTGGCTCTTTTCATATTTAACCTACTTGGAATTCATTGAGCTTCATATATATGTAGATTTTTGCTTTTCAATAAACTTGAGAAGTTTTCAGCCATTATTTCTTTGAATATTTTCTCTGCTCCTTTTTCTCCTTTGGTACTCCCATTATGTCTGCATCAGTGTAAATGATGGTGTCCCACATTTCTCTGGGCTTTCCATTTTTCTTCTTTTTTCTCTTTGTTCTTTGGCTTACATAGTCTCTATGAATCTACAAGTTTGCTTATTCTTTCTTCTGACAATTCAAATCTACCATTAAGCCTCTGAGTTTTTAAAAATTATATTTATTATAACTTCTAAGTCCAAAATTTCCATTTGATTCTTTTCTATAATTTCTTTTTCTTTATTGATATTCTCTAGTTGATGCAACATTGTCGTACCTTTCTTTACTTCTCAATCATGTTTTCCTTTAGTTCTGTGAATCTGTGGATAATGGCTAATTTGAAGTCTCTTTTTTTTTTGTTATAAATCTGTTCTCACAGGCAGTTTCTGTTGTCTGCTTTTTTTCCTAGTGTATGGGTCATGCTGTTTCTTTGCATGCCTTGTAATTTTTTGTTGCAATCTGGACATAATAGGTAATATATTGTAGCAACTTTGTGTATAGGTACTCCCCTCCCTCCAGGACTTATTGTTATCTGCTCATTTATTTGTTTAGTGACTGGCTGGGTTATTTTAATGAAATGTATTCCTGCATCCTCCCTCCAGCGTAAAGCCTCTGTGTTGCTCCTCGGGGAGATGCAGCATCCTATAGTCACCATGGGGTAACACTGGTTTTGGTAAGGTTCTCTTCCTCTTCTTCCTTGACCACTCCCAGGAATTAAACTTCACTAATTCTTGCTGATTGCTCTATTGTTTTCAACAGTTATCTGGTTTATAAATAGCTCTACACTGTAATTCAATCAAATTCTGGCTCTTTTGAAGGAATAGTTTCTGACGTTAGTGTTTGATATTTGTTCTAATCCCCAGAGGGCTCCTCTAAGCTGTTTTATTCCATGGTTTTCCTGGAAACTAGGCAGCCTTCAGTTTGTCCTGCATTCCAAATCCCAGTTGGACTGTCCTCCCAGTTGACTTCTGTCACAATCTCCAATGTTCTTGAGAGCACCCTTAAGGTTGAATGTCTCCACTATCTGTTGGAGATGAAGTCAGCTCCTTTGTGAAAGGATTAAGAGTTTCCTGTTTTACAGCTTGCTTCTCACATCAGGCAAAATCTCTAAGCCAAAGCTCTGGAGTTGCAAGTGGGAAAAATGGCAAACTTCTCTTTTAGTGAGCTGTAGAAGCTAAGTGCTTGATAGAGGATTGAGAGCAGCAGACTGAGGTCCTCTTGTCTTGCCTCTCCTGGTAAGGCATGGAACCATCACCTTTCCAGATTGAGCAAGGGTGCTAAGGGGCCCAGTATTCTCAATGTGATGAGTTCAAGGTAGAGCCTCTGTCCCAATGGAAGAGGAGAGCCCCTGCCTCTCAACTGCACTAGCCCAGTGCTTAGCTTCAACAATAGGTAGCTGAGGACAGGATGAGAAACAGTGATGTCTTGCTCTTTACAGGAAGGGGGCCCTCCAAGTGGAAGTTGAGGAAGGGGGATAAGTTGGAGAGGGAGCCTGTGTTCTTGATTATAGCAGTCTGGAGTGAAGTCTGTCTTGCTGAGCTGGGAAGGGGGTGGGAGCAAGTGGTCTTGGTTTATATACCACAGATGCTTTCCTTTCTTACAGAATTTTCAGATTTCCTTTGATATATGTTTCTTCATTTGCTGTTGGCCCTTAGGACTGTCTCCATAGGCTTTAAGTGATTTTTAAAAATATTTTTTATCAGTTTCATATGAGAGCAGGCCAGTGGAGCTCCTCATACTGTCAAGCCAGAAGTACTATTCTTTCTTTTTGGAGACACAGTCATGCTCTGTTGCCCAGGCTGGAGTGCAGTGGCACGATCTCGGCTCACTGCAACCTCCACCTCCCGGGTTCAAGCATTTCTCCTGTCTCAGCCTCCCGAGTAGCTGGGATTACAGGCGTGAGCCACCATGCCCAGCCAGAAGTACTATTATTTCTTATAACTACATATGAATCTAAAATTATCACAAAAGGAAACTTCTTTTAAGAAAAAGAAAAGAATCAGAACATAAATATACAGCATGGCAAAACTACATCTAAAACAAGTATTATAGGTCTCATGGTGGAAAAATTGGACCCACAAGAAAAGTTGTTAATTATCTCTGATATTCTGAACCATTGATATCTGCAAAATGATTACTAGGTATGTGCAATGAAGGCTATTGATGTTACCCTGTATATCTGCACACTGTGTACAAATGCTGTTAAATGATGTAATAAAAAATTAAAAAGGAAATTAATGAATTCATATTTAATAAATTTTAAAAATGGAGAAGGTAAGACTTTCTTACAGAAAAATGCCAGTTGAAATCATTGAGAAAACTAGTATCGGACAATTACCACTTGCAGCCATCATAGTAAAAACTGATAACAGGCAAAAATCATCACATGATATATTGAAGGGAAAAGTTTCATGAGGAACATGATGTTTGCATGGCCTGAAAGTATATCCTCACAGATTGCTTACTAGTTGTAAGGGGAAAAATAGCAACTACATAGTGGTCATACTAGATGACACCTTGACCAGTTGGCTATAATTAATATCCTCAATGAGGGGCAGAGAGCCATCATGTGTCTCTACATGTAATAATCAAAAACACTTATAATGTCACTGATAGTATTTTGTCTGGTCTAACCTGCGTCTAATCATGAAGAAACATCTGACAAACCAAAATTAAGGAACATATTATAAAATAAGTGGCCTCGGTTCTTCAAAAACATCAATATCATAAAGACAATGGCTGAAAAACAATTCTAAATTAAAGAATAAAGGGACATAACATCTGAATGCATTATGTGATCCTAGACTGGATATTGAATTTGGACAATTGACAAAATGTGATAAGGACTGTAGATTTTTAAAAAAGTATTTTATCGTGGCCGGGCGCGGTGGCTCACGCCTGTAATCCCAGCACTTTGGGAGTCCGAGGCGGGCGGATCATGAGGTCAGGAGTTTGAGACCAGCCTGGCCAAAATAGTGAAACCCCATCTCTGCTAAAAATACAAAAAATTAGGTGGGCGTGGTGGCGGACGCCGGTAATCCCAGCTACTCGGGGCTGAGGCAGGAGAACCGCTTGAACCTGGGAGGCAGAGGTTGCAGTGAGCCAAGATCATGCCATTGCACTCTAGCCTGGGCAACAGTGCGAGACTCCGTCTCAAAAAAAAAAAAAAGTATTTTATCAACATTAACTTCCAGATTTTGATAATGGTACTATTAATGTCAAAGAAAATTCTGGTTCTTAGGAAATATATACTGAAATATTAAGGGATAAGGAGGCATGATACATGCAACCTACTTGCCAATGATTCAGAAAAAATAATATGTAAACATATGTCTCAGACAGAGAATATGGTAAAACAAATATTATTCTTTCAATTTTTCTATAGGTGTGAAATCATACCGAGATGTCTTGCTTCTGCTTAGGATTTTTCACTCTCCTTTAGCTTGTAGGAAGTAACAAATGTTAGTTATACCTGTCTTAAATTCCTCCTCAGTTGCTCTTAAATAAATCAATTTTGACAATGATTTTAACATGTAGATTATTGTAAAAGAGGTTAGACGATATAACCTTCTAATAAGATTGTTACAATTATACCTACCTACCGCACTACAGACCAATTCCTTTAATGAATACAATCTGGTTCTAATATTTTTGGTTGTCTGTGGTGTTTTCAAACCCCTTTTTAATCACCACAAGTGATTGAACCATCAGTAGTTTTGTTCAGTGGCCTGACATGGAATAATACTATTAATATGATCCAAATACACTGAACTGAACGGTGATTCTCCAAATCTTTCTAGAAAGAAAATAGGATGTGTAGGAAATTACTCACAATGTTTAGTAATAACACCAAAAACTACTGTCATCAGTGTACTCATAAGGCAAATGCATTTTGCTTGAAAGGGAGAATGTCCATATTCTAAATAAATTATGATAGCTTCCTCTAAATGAGTCAAGCAGCTTGTGCTTATGAGCCAGTGACAGAAATGAGCCACCGTCTTTTGTCCTGTGCTGCAACAGGCTGCTTTTTCTTATGGGCTAGTCCTTTATACTTTTTCAGAATCAAATGCTCTTTATTTTGCTCCCATAACTCCAGGCAATGACTATGACACCAGGTTGCTAAGAGCCATTTTCTTCCCTGAAGAATATTCTATTTTAAAATGCCTACAAATCTATTTCCTACTTCATCAGAAATTGTTAATGAGAATATTCCAGTTCCACATCTTTTTTTTTTGAGAGGGAGTCTCGCTCTGTCGCTCAGGCTGGAGTGCAGCGGCACGATCTCGGCTCACTGCAAGCTTCGCCTCCCAGGTTCATGCCATTCTCCCGCCTCAGCCTCTCTCTACAGGCCTCAGCCTCACTACAGGCCTCAGCCTCTCAGTACAGGCACCTGCCATCACGCCCGGCTAATTCCTTGTTTTTGTATTTTTAGTAGAGACGGGGTTTCACCGTGTTAGCCAGGATGGTCTCAATCTCCTGACCTTGTGATCTGCCCACGGTGGCCTCCCTAAGTGCTGGGATTACAGGCATGAACCACTGCACCCGGCCCAGTTCCACATCTTAAAACCAGAGCATTTAATCCAAACTAAATATAGTTCTTAATAATAGAATTGCATTGGAAGTATCTGTGCTTTACTAAACCTTAATAAAATTTTGTGCTGTGTATACATGAACTCTTCTGTCCATGTTGAATGTTCCTTAAATAAATTAGAGGCTCACGGTAGTCAGGATGAAAATATCAACACTGATACTTTCCCTTTTTTGAAATTTATGAGTATCAGATAATGTTTCTAAACAGGGCTTCCAAACTGATGCATTTAATTTGCCTCTTGGTGGCACACCCTTGGCCAAGAACACAGTCTCTAGAGTCTTAAATGCTGTTAGCAGCCAATGTTCAGATAGATGGTTCTATAAATTACCATTCAATACAAGCAGTAAGACAGTCGATGGAGATCTGATGAAAAATTTTAGTTTTGAAAACAAAACTAGACTTCTTTGATACATAATGATAATGAGTTGAAGGAAGAATATCAACATAATGTCACTGATACAGATCTAGAAATCTATTATGATGTCATTTGGGAAAAAGTCTAAAAGTATTAAATTTAGGGGGGTTGTCAACGCAATGATGGGCCCTCTTCAAGATCTTAACTTATAAGGCAAAATAATGGATTCACAGCTCAGGTAAAACAACAGCAAAAAAATTCCTCAATCACACAAAGAACATTTCCCCATAGTTTAAATTCTCCATTTTGAACCTTGAACCAGTCAGTAAACAATGCTGCTTCTTCCAATTCTAACCAGTTCCTCACTTCCCAAGATTGGCTGAAAATCACCCAACCCAATTCCTTCTTAACTTTCTAAGACTGGGAGATTCCTAAATTTTGCCTATGGCTTTTCTTCTCTTTGGCTACACCAAGCTAAATAAACCTGTCTTTTGGGGACTACAAGCATGTCTCAAATCTCTTGGTGGGCTTCAAAGGATTTTCTTTTTTTCTTTTTTTTTGAGACAGAGTCTCGCTCTGTTGCCTAGGTTGGAGTGCAGTGGCGCAGTCTCAGCTCACTTCAACTGCCTCCCAGGTTCATGCCATTCTCCTGCCTCAGCCTCCCAAGTAGCTGGGACTACAGGCACCCGCCACCACGCCCGGCTAATTCTTTGTATTTTTAGTAGAGACGGGGTTTCACCGTGTTAGCCAGGATGGTCTCAGTCTCCTGACATGGTGATCCGCCCACCTTGGCCTCCCAGAGTGCTGCAATTACAGGCATGAGCCACCACGCCCGGCCCAGGATTTTCTTTTTATTTTCTTTTTTTGAGACAGGGTCTTGCTTTGTTACCCAGGTTGTAGTGCGGTGGTGAGATTAGGTTCACTGAAGCCTTGACCTCTTGGGCTCAAGTGATCCTCCCACTCCAGCCTCCTGAGCAGTTGGGACCACACACATGTACCACCACACCTGGCTAATTTTAAATTTTTTTGCAGAGACAGGGTCTCACTATGTTACCTAGGCTGGTCTTGAACCCCTGGGCTCAAGCATTCCTCCTGCCTCCCAAAGTGCTGGGATTATAAGTGTGAACCACCACCCCCAGCCTGGATTTTCTTGTAAACACATAGTCCAGCTGCCCAGAAAAAAAATAAATTACTATTCCTGTTTAAGTAGGTTTTCTCTTTCAGGGATGCTTTTCTTGATGGCTTGACATGTGATATGGTTTGGATTTGTGTCCTCACCCAAATTCCATGTGGAATTGTAATCCCCAATATTGGGGGAGGGGCCTGGTGGGAGGTGATTGGATCATGGGGGCGGATTTCCCCCTTGCTGTTCTCTAATAATGAGTGAGTTCTCACGAGATCTAGTTGTTAAAAAGTGTGTAGCACCTCCCTGCTTTGCTTTCTTCCTCCTCTGCCCATGTAAAGAGGTTCCTCCTTCCTCTTCACCTTCTGCCACAATTTTAAGTTTCCCAAGGCCTCCCCAGCCATGCTTCCTGTACAGCCTGTGGAACTGTGAGCCAATTAAACCTCTTTCTTTTATAAATTACGCAGTTTCAGGTAGTTCTTTATAGCAGTGCAAGAACGAATACAACATGGTTCTAATTATCCTATATATTTCTTGAATTTTTGAAAAATATGCTTTGAGAAATGTTAGGTAAACATTTTCAGTGGAGATAAAACACTGTAATGTTATCTTTATAGCATACATACCAAAATTTAAACATTACATTCCCCAATTATTAGACATTTAGATATTTTCCAGTTTTTGCTGTTATAAAAAAACCTGTGATGTATCTTCAGGAAAATCCCTGCAACTACAGTTACTGAGTTGTATGGTGTGAGAAGTTTTTGGGTCTAGCCACATACTGCTTGTTTTCCAAGAATTTTACCCATTAACTCCTGCCTCAACTGATTAAATATTAGAGGACACTTTCACCAGCCCACTAGGAAGAGCTTTTAAATACAAGTTTTGCCTACACATTAACGTTTTAAAAATATTTAATTTACACACAGCTTTTGAAGAACTCCCCATGCACGTCTGTCATTCTCAATTGGCTTCCACAAGTCTCAAACTTACTAGGTAGAAAGTAACTAAAGTCATAAAGCACTTGGTGGAAATGCAGGAAATGTCAAATATTAAACAATAATTACTACAGGCTTAGGCAATCAGATGGTAGTTTTGCATACAAACAAAAACAGGAATCTGAGATGTTAAATAATTTGTGTTTTTTTTTTTTTTTTTTTGAGACAGTGTCTTGCTCTGTCACCCAGGCTGCAGTGCAGTGGCATGAATTTGGCTCCCTGCAGCCTGGATCTCAATCTCTCGGCCTCAAGCGATTCTCCTACCTAAACCTCCTGAGTAGCTGGGACTACAGGCAAGGACCACTACGCCTAGCTAATTTTTGTATTTTTTGTAGAGACGAGGTTCCCTCTTATTGCTCAGGCTGGTCTCGAATTCCTGGGTTTAAGTGAACCGCCCGCCTCGGCCTCCCAGAGTGTGAGGACCCGCCTGGCCTAAAATAATGTTATCACTTAATTCTTTTCATAAACTTTATTGACAACGATTGGTGTGTTTTTTTAAAAAACCTTTTTAAATTTTTGGTAAGGTATTACCTGAGAACAGATTAAATGCATAGTTGAATATAAAAGATCTATTTTATAGACTGGTTTATGAGTGTGAACACACAAAAGGTTAAAAGGTCAACCTTACAGCAGTCTATAAATAGATCTCTCATATTCTCTCAGTATATCTGAGAATATTGAAAAAGTGCATTTCAAAATCACTGGCTAGGGTTTAGTGATAGTTAGGTAGACCTCGGTTCCCTTTCCTATTGGGCCCTGGATTTCCCATCCCTATTTTCTTCCTCAGGTGTATTAATACTGGCAGGGCCTGGGAGACTGACGCTAGGGAAGAGGTGTGTAATGTAAGGATACTTCAGATTCTTTCCTGATCCTAGGATTCAGCTAAACCTCCACATAGCCCCTGTCCTCAAAAATGAGTAAATACATAAATTTAAAAATGAAAGGAAAAAAAGAGAAATCCGTTCCCACCACCCACCTTCAGGGCTAAAACAGAAAAATCAATGAGCTGCGCTTCACAACCATACCAAAACCAAACAAATACCAACTCAAACCCTCCTTCACATCCTCCCACATCTTCCCAGTGCTTCGCTATCTCACAGGACCCAGCTGGCCCCTGGCTTCGCCCCACCCACTGCAGCTGGCGTCTTTTAGGCGCATGGTTCTTTTCCTCTCCGGCGAGGGGCGGTCTCGGGGCGGACCCGAACTACAATTCCCAGCATCCTGCGCGGCGCGGGGAAGGAAGCCCGGGAGTGAGAGAAAGCGGCTCCGGGGGCATAGCGGGCCAGTAAGGGCCGCTCCTCCTTTGAAGAGGTTTTGCGTCTCTTTCCGCCGGTGGCGTCGGCGCTCACGCAGGGGCGGGTCCCGGTAGCGCCAGGCGGTGCAGGGCGGGAAGGGGATTCGTGGCGACGGCGGCGGCAGGGACAGCAGGAGCAGTGGTGCTGTCAGCGCGGCCGTCGGAGACATGGGAGACCCGGGGTCGGAGGTGAGTAGTCGAGTGAGGGTCCTGGCGTTCTCAGAGGCGAACCGCGAAGGGTTTGTGTTTTCTGCGGTCTGAGGCCTGGTGCTCCGTCGCAGCCTCGGGGCGATACCTCTTCAGTGTCTTGGGCCGAGCCCAGCTCTGGGGCCTGGTGCGTGTCTGAGCGAGGAACCCGCAGCAACAATGGCCGCCCGGCCCCCCGCACGGGCCCTGGCGTTCGTTGTGGCCGCGGCTGGGCCAGTGGGAGCGACGTTTTAAGGCAGGATTGCCCTTCGGTGTTGAGCTTGCGTTCCTCCTGGAGTAGATAAGGGGAATTGTGAGAGGCTGGTAACTAACGCGTTTTCAGCGTTGGGTCCCTGCAGCTCCGCACACTCTGTGGCAAGAGCCAGAGCTCGAGTTCCGTTCCTAGTCGGGTTTCCGTGAAATTGTGCTCAGTTCGTTTTCCTCAAGAGCTCTCTGTCTTTAATTGTTCCTTTCGGAAACGCTCTCTTCCTACACGAATGTGGCTGAACAGATAAGCATGTTTTGGCTTGTTTTTATAGATAATAGAATCTGTCCCTCCAGCTGGCCCTGAGGCATCTGAGTCAACAACGGATGAAAATGAAGACGACATTCAGTTTGTCAGTGTAAGTAGCAATGATGATTGGGGTTTTCCCAGAGTAAAAGACTATGGTGGGCCATTATGTAATGTTACCTCACCTGGTCATTTAATGTTCATGAGTGTCTAATACATACTAGACACTGGAGCATGGCGCAGGATTGGGAAATTTACCAAAAGAGCTATCTGAGCCACCCCCGTAGCCATCACAAAGAGCACGTCCTAAAGAACGTGCTGTACACTTAATCTCGCCCCCTGCCTTTCATTTAAACTTAAGATAAAAACGCTGGTGTCTAAAACGCTGTTTTGAAATGGAGCAAGAGTAACTTCTAAAGGCGACACGGAGGAAGGAGCTGCTAATGATGAGCAAGGACGTAGAAAACAGGAAGGGTTGTGAGAGCCCAGAATCTTAGCGTTATGGTGCTTCTAACATGAAGGCAAATAGCTTGAAGATTTCTCTAACCTCTGAGATCATCATGTTACGGCATAGTACAGTTGATGCTCATAATGAAGAATCCT
This sequence comes from Homo sapiens, assembly GCF_000001405.40. NCBI lineage: Eukaryota > Metazoa > Chordata > Mammalia > Primates > Hominidae > Homo > Homo sapiens. Next base: position 57,091,386 of record NC_000006.12, read on the forward strand.
ACATCACTGGGAACATGCTCTATTTTTCTGAGTTTGTTCCCTTTGAGACAGTAGTTTTCAAGCCTTAGTAAGTATAAACAGGCAGATTCCTGGGCCCCACTGCAGACCTACCGAATCAGAATTTCCAGGCGGGGGCCTAGGAATCTTCATTTTCAGACAAGTGCAGGGACATAAGGATTTCTGAGCACACTTTGTACAGCATGGGTTTCCAAAGCAGAAGAGAGTGTTTTATGATGTATTTTGGGGTGATTTTCTTCCATAATTATTGGAGTTTTAGAAAGGCTTTGCGTAAAGTGGTATCTCAGCTCGCCAGGCAGAAAACGGTTCTGTCCCCAACTCGTCTTTTGGAATGCCGTAGTTAGTTGCAGTTTGGTATTCAAGCTGTAGAATTTTTCGTTGAGTGTCAGATGTGCATTTATGGTGGATGCTGGGAAACCTTGTAAAATTGGTTATTAAACAGTTTCTTTCCCAGCATTAGGGCCATTTTGGTAATTCATTTTTGTATGGTATTTTAATAGATTTGTTTAGGAGTCCTTCACAAGATTGTTTTATTGAATTTCTTTCCCTTTACCAGTGTATGTTGTACTCTCTCCTTTTCATTTTGATCTTCTACGGATTTGGAGTAGAGGATGGGGGTGAATTGTATCCTGTCCTTTCCTTCACCATGCGCTGAAGTATGTTTAATAACAGGTTTCCATGGCTCTTGAGGACAGATATTTCAGGTTCTTCCTGAATCTTGGTATATTTGTGAAGAGAATTTTTTTCTTATGGTGTTTAGTAGAAATAATACTAGGAATGACATACTTCTTTATGAACTATGGCCCTTTTTGAGAAACACGAGTAGCATCTCTTAATATTTGAAAAATGTTTTGTGTAATGAATTACAGTGTAGCTTGTGACTAGTTAATGTAGGCTTGAGTTCACCTTTGGTTTAAAGGAGTCTTTAAATTTTATGTTGAATGTAGAGGATCACTTCCGTCTTTGCATCAAGAGTAAAGAATGTACAATCATTGAATATCTGACATGATACAACTTCTTACTCTTGTTCCCAAATAAAGGTTCAGAGGTTTGACAGTTCCACATGGAGAAGTGAATTATATGTTGTAAGTGTAATTACAATACTAGAAGAAGCCTATTAAAAATTTTCCCTTTACATTTAAGTGGCACCACTTACATGACAATAATAGCTTAATTATATTTCAAAATATATTCAGAGACAGAATCTTTACTTTTCTCTGGAATCCAATCCTATATGTGGCTCCTCCAGTCAGTAATGCTTATTCAGTAAAGATGAAAAAGTTTGATTTTTTCAGATAAAAAATGAGTATTGTGATGTTACTTCTTCGTTTTTACGGTTTGGATTTCATAGCTCTTACTAACCTAATTTTCCCACTTTTAGTCCACTTGGTGGCCCAGGAGTTATTCTGTGATTTGTAGAATACAGAATCTGAAACTAAACACAGCATGCTGAAGGAAAGGAGTGATATAGATATGGAGGGGGGTGCAAAAATGGGCCCTCTCATTTAAATTTTATTGAAATATACATAAAAGTGCACAATTCATAAGTATACTTGTTGGATAAAGTTTTGCAAAGCCTCATACATCTATGTAAACAGCGCCTAAATCAAGAAACAGAATGCTGCCATAACAAAAACTTCTTATTTAGGTCTGTTGTTCTTATTTCTGTTTAGTAATATGATCCTTTATTCAACTACTGTTTTTATATCTTTCTTTGAAATTGCAGATTTTTTATGTGATTTACTTCTAAAAAACTAATAGCTGATGATGTGATAGTTCACAGTGCTGTTCTAGATATGAAGGTATACAAACTGCTGAGGGAACCTATCGTAATTTTGCTAACAAAACAATACAAGAGATTCAGGTTTCAGCCAAGATTATTGATATAGTGTAGCATCATTGGAAGTCAGTGAAATCAGGATATAATTTCCTAAATAGCTTCAGTACCACATAGATCAAGTATTAATACTTTAGCTGCAGAAGGGAGTCAGGCAGAAAATAGTATTATTTGGCTGGGTGTCTTGGGGCTGTGATTGGTTTAATAAATAAAAAGTGTTGAAGCTCATAATATGCAAAGCCGTGAGTTAAGTTCCTTAGAGCTACAAGGATTAATTTGAAATACATCCTACCCTTAAGGGTCAGTATTTTAGTGTGAATGATGAGATAGGAGGTGAGAAGTATGTAAATAGTCCTTAGAGGTAGTAGAAAGTTCTCTTACAGAAAGTACATAGTGCTGTTAAAAAAGGACATAAGACTTGCAGTTTATCATAGTAGTAGTTAGTAGTAGTAATAAGTAGTAGTTAGGATTTATATGTGTTTAAAAGGGCATTTTGAGTAGAAGAAACAAGGAAAGGCATCAGAATGGGAAAGCAGAGAGGATTATGTGTAGTCGTGAAAGATTTTTTGTTGTTTTTTAAGGTGGGAGGAGGCGGCATGGGCCAGGTAGTATAGATCTTGAATGTTGGATTAAATTTGAACTATAAAACAGGCACAATTGGAAACTATTTGAAATGTTGCCTGTCAGGACTGCACAAGTAACCTGTGTCCCTGACTTCTCTATATGGGGGGAAAAATGAATTATTTAGGGTTTCAGATTTATGCTCAAATCCATATTCTTTGTTTTAGAGAAAACTTTGGTTGTAGTAAACTACCTTTTTAGTAGACCATATTTTGGTGTATTGATATCTCTTTCCAATTAGTAGGAAATTGGTGTTTTGGCTTAGAGAATCAGTTTTCTCATAACAGGAATGAAAGCTTTTTATTTCATGAAACATATTTTAAAACTTAGAATATTGGTTTAACTGTTTTCCTAAACTGTTTTGCCATGCTTCTACATGTGCTTCTGCCCCTAAATTGTGTGGTATTGGGAATAGAATTCTTTAATTTTTAAATTTTATTTTTATTTAATTTTTTATTTCTATTTCAGAGACAGGGTCTCACTCTTGCCCAGGCTGGAGTGCAGTGGTATGATCATAGCTTACTGCAGTTTTAAACTTGTGGGTTCAAGCAACCCTCCCTCCCCAGCCTTCCGAGTAGCTGGGACTACAGGTGCACTCCACCATGCCCTGCTTAGAATCCTTTATTTTTTGTTAGTGGTGCAATAGGGCATGAGAATGATGGTTTACTAGTTGATGGATAGAACAAATGCAAATAAAAATACCTTGTAATTACAGGACCATACGCAGTTATAGTTGTTAAAGATATAAGTAGTAATTATAAATATTATACCAAATTATTTTTTCTTGATATTTTTATTATAAACATAACTTCTTTTGAGAAATTGGTAATTTATTTTTGGTCAGTGTTACAAAGTATTCACAGATGGGGTAATAGAGGTAGTCCATTTTCTCTTAAGGAAGAAAAAATGTGTTATTTCAGGAACTCAGGTAATAAACATTGATTTAAAAATAGTATTTATGTTTTGAACTACCTCACAATTATAGTGCCTGTACAGCCAGTTGTGTTTAGAGAACCAAGTATACCCCACTCAGTTTTCCCATCTGTTAAATGGGATAATACTGATAATTCAATATCTCACCTTGTAAAGTAATTTGGGGGATTAAGTGAAATGTACATTAAAAGCTTTGCACAAGGCATGGTACAGGGCTCAATAAATGTTATTGATTCTTAGTCAAATAAATGGAGTACTAAATGTTTTACTTCCGTAAGCTCATTATCATGGAAGTTTTTCCATATTCACTGAAAATTAGCTAGTGTACACTATTTGTGTATAAGTAATCTTTTCCTTTGGGGTACATGTCTGTCCTTATTTTTCCACTCAATCTCTTTGCCATTTTAGTGATTTTCAACATGATTCCCCTTCTCATTCTACTCTGTCACTTAAAGCTCAGTAATTATTTGTTGAATGTATAAATATTCTAAATGACTTCTGTTTTTTCTCAATTTTGGATTTTCTGTGATACTTTTTTTTTTTTTTTTTTTTTTTAAAGAGATAGGGTCTCAGTCTTGCTTAGGCTGGAGTGCAGTGGCGTAATCATAGCTCACTGCAGCCTTGAACTCCTAGGCTCAAGCAATTCTGCTGCCTCAGCCTCCCAAATAGCTGGGACTACAGGCACGCACTACTGTACCCAGCTAATTTATTTTATTTTTGTAGAGATGAGGTCTCACTGTTCTGTCCAGGATGGTGTCAAACTCCTGGACTCAAGTGATCCTCCGTCATCGGCCTCCCAAAGTGCTGGGATTATAGGCGTGATCTACCACGCTCGTCTGGATTTTCTATCCATATTTTCCTTTTTTTCTTTTCTCTTAGTGTGAATCATATAAAATTATTGTTCTTCAGTAGTTGAAAAATGTTTGCATATTGGTTTAATGGTTCACTGCAAGAATAAATTTCTGATAACCTTATTTGTCCTTACTCCTTCCCTTTAAATATTACTGCAGCTTTTTTTTTTTGTTGTTGTTGTTGTTGTTGTTGTTGAGACAAGAGTCCCTCTCTGTTGCCCAGGCTGGAGTGCACTGGCGTGATCTCAGCTCTCTGCAACTTCTGCCTCCTGGGCTAAAGCGATTCTTGTTCTTCGGCCTCCTGAGTAGCTGGGATTACAGATGTACACCACCACGCCCAGCTAATTTTTGTATTTTTAATAGAGACAGAGTTTTGCCATGTTGGCCCAGATGGTCTCGAACTCATGGCCTCATGTGGTCCACCTGCCTTGGCCTCCCAAAGTGCTGAGATTACAGGCATGAGCCATCCTGCCTGCAGCTATTTTTAAATTATGTTTTTGATCATTTTCTTTCTTCCTTTCTTTCTTTCTGTTTTTTTTTTTTTTTTTTTTTTTTTGAGATGGAGTTTCGCTCTTGTCACCCAGGCTGGAGTGCAGTGGGACAGTCTTGGCTCACTGCAACCTCTGCCTCCCGGGTTCAAGCAATTCTCCTGCCTCAGTCTCCTGAGTAGCTGGAATTAGAGGCGCCCACCACCATGCCTGGCTAATTTTTTGTATTTTTAGTGGAGACAGGGTTTTACCATGTTGGCCAGGCTGGTCTCAAATTCCTGACCTCAGGCAATTCGCCCACCTTGGTCTCCCAAAGTGCTGGGATTACAGGCATGAGCCACCGTGCCCAGCCTGTTTATCTTATTTTTTTCCAGCCCATTTTACTTTTTACCTTGCATCCTGTCATCTTTCATCTTCTTCTTTACTTTCTGTGCATGGGAACTCTGCCTCTGTGTATTTCTGGTTACCGGGGCGGGGGGGTAGGGGGGCGCTTTTGTGTTCTGCTATTTCTGTGGACCTATAATGAAGGTTCCTAATGCATATTTCTTGTAGAGAGCAAAGTAAGATGATTATATCAATGGGAAAAGCTATCATTTTAATTTTTCTTCTTGGATCGAACATACAATTTTCAGTCTTTTTTTTTTTTTTTTTTTTTTTTTTGTGACAGAGTCTTGCTCTGTTGCCCAGGCTGGAGTGCAGTGGCACCATCTCAGCTCACTGCAGCCTCTGCCTCCTGGGTTCAAGCAATTCATCTGCCTCAGCCTCCTGGGTAGCTGGGACTACAGGTGCCCGCCACTACACCCTATTCCTATTTTTAGTGGAGACAGGGTTTCACCATGTTGGCCAGGCTGGTCTTGAACTCCTGACCTCAAGTCATCTACCCACCTCTGCCTCCCAAGGTGCTGGAATTACAGGTGTGAGCCACCGTGCATGGCCTACATTCTTCATACCAGATGTAGATTTTAAAGTAGGTGATTCAGCTCTGTTTACCATATATTGGAGAGTATTGCTTCCTCTGTTTCTTTAATTTTTACTTCCGTGTTTATAGTTTGAGCAAAAATCTCAATTCCTTTGCTACAGATCCCTGCCCAGTTTTGCCCTCTTGTTTTATCTTGGTATCTGAATTAGTACCCAAAAGATGGCAGTTTCTTGGTTGAGCAGAAGTCATAGCCTAGGGGAGAAAGAAGCTATCTTTGAGACTGGATGCCTATTCTAGGGAAGATCATTACCTAGATCTCAGCTTCTGTCTCCAGCAGTCAACTTTCTACATCCTACAAAATCCTTTCCTCAGCTATTATTTCTTCTGTGTTCCTTTCTTTTGTTTCCAACATACTGGATTTCTCAAAAGAATATGGCCTTTTCTACTGCATTCTCTAGTGTTTTAGAGCCTGGCTTCTGTGCTCACTACTTTCTTGAAAGTTGCTCTCTCAAAGACATTTAAAAATGTCTGGTTGCCACATTCAGTGGCATTTTATTGTTGCCGTGTTTCTGGCCACATTTAACACTGACAGCTTTTTATTGAGGCAATATGATAGTTCAGTTTAGTTCTAGAGTTTAATAGTCTTCTAGGGGAGCAACTCTCAAGTCTTTATTTCCAGGTATGTTCATACTTCCCAGATTACAGGCCTGCATTTCCAGCTGTCTGCTAGATACACCCTGTGTACCACTGTTACTTCAGCCCATAGGAATGTCAGCTTTCTGTTTCTGCTTTCCAAAGTTATACTATTGGCATTACTATTCTTATAGTCACCTGAGGTTAAAAACTTAGAGATCACTGACTCCTTGTTTTGTTTTTTAAATAATCTTTTAAATTTATTTTTATTTATATATTTATTATTATTATTATTATTATTATTGGGATAGTCTTGCTCTGTTGCCCGGGCTGGAGTGCAGTGGCGTGATCTTGGCTCACTGCAACTGCTGCCTCCCAGGTTCAAGCAATTCTCCAGCCTCAGCCTCCTGAGTAGCTGGGACTACAGGCACGCACCACCATGCCTGGCTAATTTGTACATTTTTAGTAGAGATGGAGTTTTACCATGTTGGTCAGGCTGGTCTCGAACTCCAGCCTGGCCAACATGGTAAAACCCCATCTGTACTAAAAGTACACAAATTAGCCAGGCATGGTTCTAACCTCAGGTGATCCCCCACCTTGGCCTCCCAAAGTGGTGGGATTACAGACATGAGCCACCACACCTGGCCTAATAATCAATCTCTTTTAGTTTTCCATTTTACTTGTATTCTCTTGTATATCCACTACCATACTCTTCTTGCCATCACCACCATTAGTTCTGCATTGTCATGTGCCTATACTGATTATCTTGCTTTCCCTGCTCTCCATACTCCTCTATGTGATTGATCTTGAAGCACAGTTCTCATGTTATTGTCTTATTATTATTTTTTATTTTCTTTTGCCTATTGAATAAAATCTAGGCTTTTAAGCCTGACATTCAAGGCCTGGTTGATGAAGAAATTGGCATGGATGGAAAGAAAGAATGGAAAAGAATTCAGGTTTGATGCTTGACTCTGCAGTGGTGGATGATGAAGCTGAGCTATAAGTCAATTCATTTTTGAACTTGGATATATTAACAGACTTTTGATACCAATTCTAGGTGTAAAGCACTGGATTATAATATTTGTGTCTTTGTAGCACTGTTCTTATATTAATTTTCCTTTCCCAAGTAATTGACATGGCCCTAATATTCTACAGGGGTGTAGGTGCTTCCTTTTAGGTCTTGTCATCATTTTACATTTATATATTTTGAATATTTTCCTCTGCTGCTTTTGTTCTGGTTATTTTCTGCTACCCACAAAGCTCCCTCTTCAGAGTAATTCTTGCCAGTCCCAACCAAAAAAAACACTGTAGGTTTAAATGCTAATTTGGTTTGAATAACTGTTAATGACTTCTAAATTTGCTTGATTGTTTATAGGAAGGACCATTACGACCTGTTCTTGAATACATTGATCTGGTCAGCAGTGATGATGAAGAGCCTAGCACCTCTTATACTGATGTAAGTACATTATATTTGATTTGTGTTTCTTCACTTGTGTCTTTTAAGAGGTATTCTCTAAAGAGAGTTACCAAATCAGGGAAGGCTGTGTTTAGAAATAGCCAGTTCTATTAGAATGGGCTAAAATAGGTAGTCCAAGGAGTCCTTTGCCCAGATCTCCTACTTCCAGTTTTTTTCCTCTACTTTGAATGAGATTATGAAAAAAATGATAATATGACTCTGGGAAATTCAGAGCCTTAGAGGTGATATCTGATAAAATGGAAATGGAATAAAAACTGCAAGCTTATTGATTCCTCTTTCCCTTCTCTTTTCCTTTACTCTCCTCAGGTGCCCTATACAACAGGATTCTTTTGTTCCAGAACCACATGACCACAGAAAATTTGTTTTCTCTTAGAAAAAAGGATATGTAGAGATCCTTTTAGGAATGGAAAGTGGGGGAAGGGTTTATAGGGGATATATTACTTCAGTCATCATCCCTTTAACCTTGTCTGTGCCCCACATATTTGGAGTTATTTATCTTACCTGTGATGTACTGGTTGTAGGTTTGACCCTTGGACCAATACTTCCCTTGCTCTGAGAATTGAACTAGTTGAGCCCTTTGTAACAGTCTTGCCTTTCATTTGTCCTTGCTTTAGCCCAAACTTCTGTTAATGAGCTGTTTTCATCTTGGATTAGAAAACTCTTAGTTATTGTTCAGAGTGGCCACAAACTTCTTGCTCTGTGATATAGGGGATTGAGACTTGGACTTGGAATCAGAATACCTGGGTTTGAGTCCCAGCTTTACTCTTTACAAATTCTGTGACTTTGGATAAATTAAGTAACCTTTTAGCCTCCGTTTTTTAATCAAATAATACCTACCTCACAGGGTTGTTGTGAGGATGAAATGAGGTAACAAATTATAACTTCTTATAACTACAAACCATAAAGTAGGACTATACAACTGGGAAGTTTTGTTATTCGTGGACAGTGAATGACAGAATTTTCAGAGGTGCCTAAAATGACTCTAATGGGGGAGTTTTAGATTTTTTTTCTTCTCAGTGGAACTTTCCTTAAGTTCTCTTTGCCATCATTAGCTTCTTGCATATCTTGAGTAGAACTTAACATATCTTGAATGGGATATTTTTTTCTTTTATTCTTATGAGTGGTCTCACACAGGACCAAACAGCAGGCCAGCATAGCACCACGTGATCTGAGCTTGTTTTTACTCTCTCCTTTTTCATAAACAGAGTCCCAGATTAATGCCAGTAGTTGATTTTGGGTCTTTGGGGTAGTGAAGCTTGTGGATTTGACTTCTCTGATTCCTTTTGCTGACCTTGAGTGGATTGTATCTTTCACTGTTAATTATAATAATTTAAAAATTGAGTTCTACTTACTGGACATGAATCTCTGCACTTGAAAGTTAACATATTAAAAGCATATTTTTTTTCTTCCTTGGTTTTCTTGTTCATGTGGATAACCCAGAGAATGCCTGAATCTAAGGTGCCATCCTCTGAGAATCATCGCCCAGAAATGTGCTCTAGCTGCAATGTTCCTCTTCCCATTGGAGATAGCAGCTCCTTCTCTGGGAGTTGTTCCAGCAGTCCAGAAAGGATAGTTTCTCAAACTTCCTCTGTTGAGAACCCATTGGAGAACCAGAAAAATGATCAAAATAATTCAGATACTAAGATCTCTGAGACAGAGACCCTTAAATCATCACAGAATTTTCAGACTCTGCCTTCATCTCCACTTCTGGTCCCCCAAGAATCTTTGGCCTCTTCTGAGGTCAAAGAGAATTTACGTATAGATTCTTCTTCAGCTTCACAGCATGGACGGGATGCCATCCTCTATCTCCAGACACAAGTAGCTGAAATGTCCCGAGTGATACGTGATCTGCAGTCCAGGAGCTGTTTTAGATTTCATCATTCTAGGCCAAGTGAGAACTCCTCAGTTCCTTGGGACATCTCCACCTCTAAAGAGGAAAATTTATCCACAGTTGAAGAAGAAACTGATTACAAATCACCATCAGCTGATGACAAAGGGCAGCCATCTGACCCCAGCCAATCTAGTTTCACAGGTCTTTTGAAGAGAATGGAACAAAGAGGTGTTATAAAAAGGGTGACATTACAATCTGAAGCGGAGTCATGTGAAGGGAAACCTGATTGTGTGACTTCTAAAAAACGTTTGGTTCCTCCATTGCATCCTCTTCTGAGAATTGCCACCACTGAGGTTTTTAAAGACCCTGCTGATTGCCATCCTTCTTCCTTCATGGGACACAGGGTATATCCTGTGGCCAAGGACACCTCTCCTTTCCAACCAAACCCACCAGCTGAAGGCCCCATTGTAGAAGCATTAGAACACAGCAAAAGAGGAAACACAACATCCCCTCTAGATTCTACCTCAAAAGAAATGGAGGTCATGGGTTGTAGGTTTTACCACGCTGCCTCCATTGCAGCCCGAGCTGCTAGCTACATGGCCTATATGACTCAATATCAGCGTAAACTCTGGGAAGACATGGAAGATCTGGTTCATGACCCAGAATTTGATCGTGGAAAAGCAAGATGCATAATATCTGATGGTATGGATGCAGGCCTTTGGCAACTTTGTACTACTAGGGACATAATGGACTCTGTAGTCAGAGTTATGGCCATGGCCATAGACTATAGACGGCAGGCCTGGCTTCGACTTACATCTCTCACTAAGAAAACCCAGGAGAAGATCTCCCACTTGCCCTTTGATGGTACTTCCCTTTTTGGACAAGATGTGAAAGCTGTTGTTGCAGAAGACAACAATATAAAAGAAAATGACTATAAAGATCACAAATACTATAATCAGCATCGATACTTTTATAGTCATGATCAGAAAGCACATTATCACAATAGAGGATACTCCAAAGGGGATTGGTACAAACCTCGAAACCACCCCTATAGATATAGAAAGAAGGGAGACTCTCCAGAACGCCATGGGTACAAGAATTAATAACCTGTTTAATGTTCAGCAGAGTAGTCATTCAAGATCCTAACTATTTTACTTGTTCCTCCTTGTACAAATAGGATCTACAGGTAGGAGATCATCTCAAAAACTGGATGCATGTCTGGAATGATCACAGCTGACATTTGAATTCTAGACTTTTGAAATGAAGTATATAATAAAGAAACTCATGACTTATTGGCCAAGTGAGCAGTGGAGACTTTCTTGAAAGGGTTGGACAAATGTTTATCCTTTATTTCTGGTCCAAAAATAAGTGTGGAGGAGGACCACTCAGGAATCTGAATCCTCTTGTGATTAAAGAAAAATATAAAGATGTGTTCCTCAGGAAAATCTTATTTGTAAACTGAGGACTAGCAGATTTTGAATCTAGAAATAATACTAGATGTCTGTTTACTAAGACCAGAGGTAAATCCTTAACTTTTAGGTTATCAGTGCTTCCTTGTTCAGGCTTCAGTTTGACAGATCTTCACAAAATGACACATCTGTTAAAATGTCTTTATGTCAAGATGGTCAACTCACCAAGAGTCCGTACTACTATCAAGCTCTGTGAGACTTCAGAATCAGCCATGAAGCTTTGTGTCAACTGGAATTCAAATCAAATTTTGCCAAATCCAGTTTGCTTCCCCTTGGAATGGCTAGATGTCGCAGGTCTATTATGGACACCAACTGGAAAAAGACTTCTACCTGTAACATCTCTGTAGAAATTGCACAGTAACTATCTTCATCAAGACTTTGATGGCCACCATACCATCACTACTCATAAAGCTACATGTGAGAGAATTGTTTGTTGTTATCAATCCTAATAGTCTTTGACCTATCAAGCTCTCGTATCAAGCTGTAAGACTGAGTCATGGTAGTCTCTCACTGTAAGCTGGGCCTTTCACCAAGATGGCCTTCTTAAACAACCTACCTTCTAAACATTTAATTCTTTTGAGCTTGATAGTGCATCACACTCTAAATACAAAAAAGATACGCACATCAGTGCCCTGGAAATAAAGGATGTTACACGATCCAGGCATGCAAATCTGAACTCCTAAGACCAAGAATTCCAAACATGCCTGACAATCTTGTCCCCTTATTGTAATAAAGAGGGATACCATCAGTCTAGATTTTATTGAGAATCCTTAAGATTTAAAGCATAGCTGTGGATGTGGTGAAGAGAACAAGCCACACAGCTCTGTTTCTGGATATCTAAGTGATGATATCCATTAATGATTTGAAAGGCTGAAATCAAGATTTAAGTGATACGCTCTTGGTTAATTGGTTACTTAATTTAGTCAGATTCTTAGTGTAAGAGACAGCTTATCTTTTTGCTCCCAATTGGTCCCATTAATAGTTTTTCACCATACTGGAACTGGCAGCAGATACCTCAATTATATGTCCCACAGTATCTTCTCTTTAGACTCAAGGTAGTGGATGTATGGTATATCAGCCCTTAGATCCATGTCTTCACAGCATGACATCAGGAATGGAGAATATGTCAAATTTGAGGGGTCTGAATACATCACCTAGTATTATTTGCTTGGCAGCCAAAAACAGTTGTTTTTATTGACAGACTTAATTCTGTAACTTCTGCGTTTTTTCATCTGCTTGATCAAGGCATTTTGGATGTACTGCTAATGGAATATGGCACTGTTTTACGGTTTATGTGGCTTCTGTTCTTGCCACAGTTGTTGCACAGTGGTAATTGATGTTTTCTCTGGTGCCACACTTTTTAATAATCTATTGGAAGCTCATTCCTCCTCCCCCATCATAACCATATTCAGCACCCATTTTTAAATCTACTTTTCTTCCTTATTTGTGCTACAGAGGTTGATGGCGTAAATTTTCCTACTTGGAAGAAATTACTTTATCAGTTAATTTCAGGGTACTGTATTGATCTTGTTTGTCCTATTTGTAGATTAAACTTGAACTAGTCTTAATAAAGGGGATATTGTTTTGCAAATTTAGCCCAGTCATATCAAGAGTTAATATTTATCTTATTTTTCTGTATTTTACTCAAAATTTTATTTCCACTTCTGTAGAAATAGGTCCATGCCAGTGTTCTCTACAAAGTGTCTTTCAAACTAAACTCTAGAAGAATATCGATTACCTGAACAGAAACAAAGGCCTAAGAAATCATACATTTTTGTAGCTTATGTGTATTGCACCAATCAAGCAATCCCATGTGCTCTTGATATTGGCACTGTAGTTTTATCTTAGAGGACTTGCCACTGGAGAACTCAGTGGTGAGAGACCTTGGAAATGTTTTATGTGGCTGCACATAAGTGTTTCTGACTAGCTAAGGCTACTTCAGACTTTTCACTTTCCATTTGTCCCCTTTTCCTTCCCTGAATTAGATGCTATGTCATAAACTTGGTGGTTTTTGAAATACTCTTATTTCAAACCTTAAACTAAACCGAAATAAGTTATGCCTGAGAATGCGTTTGTCTGAAACGATTTTGGCACTTCCCTTTAATATGCTTCCCCTTCCCTTTGCCTTTTAAATTGTGGTTAAAAAAAAAGAAAAAAAAAGGCACATAAAGCTGAGCACCTTAACCATTTTTTAAGCGTATGGTAGTGTTGACTATATTTGCATTGTTGCGCAGCTCCTCCATTCTTAAATATTTGTAAGATGATGTTGCTGTTCTCTTTTCCTCCTGTGATATTTATGTTGCCCAGTAATAAGTAAAAGTATCCTTTCTTAGTTACTCTAACTGATATGCCCAAGTGTCTCCAGATACTCTGTTTTCCTGGAAGTGTAAAGGTATTGGGAAATTATCAAATTGGTGACCAAGTAGTTCTGAAAGGATTTGACCGTTTAATAGGGATGGGGACAGAATGCAGATCAGGAAGAGTTTTTAGTAATAGATTAGTTTCTTGATTGCAAAAGAAATATCTTTAATGTGTTAATTTTTTATTATTTTAAAATCTCTGGCATACTTGAATGATAATGTTATAAAACTTAAAGTGAGGATTTGGTCTAGGGAGATTACCCCAATAGAATCAGAAACTCTTAGTCAGATAATAAATCCTCATATTATGCCTGCCATGTTCAGAACCTGCAACAAAATTCCCTACTAGGCCAACCTCTAACGTTTAAATACCTCTAGGTTTTCTAGGAGGCCTTGGAATAGTTGCAAGTTTAATGATCTGGTATTCTCAAAAAGGATGTATCTAATGATCTTGATTCTTCAAAATGTTATTTCTTGATTAGATATACAATGTATATAGAGACAATATGGTTTCTTGTAGTTACTGTGTATAGAGAAGTACTGTTTCCATTTTTATATGAAGTGCCTTTTTAATTCTACACTTTTCTTTAAAACTTAAACTTTGATGTCTTGCATATATTGCTGGTGGTATTTATGTGAATTTTGTACAGTGATTTAATCTTGTAGTTTATCATTTGTACAATTGCACTATCTAAATGTACTCCCTTCTGAATGTTAATTTGTTTTCTTTATAGCACTGTTGATTCATTTCAGAAGGTTGTAGAGTATACCTCCCTCCCCCTTATTTAACTAACTAGACAGTAGTTCCTTTTTGTTATTAGTGAGTGGCTAATTTTGGGGGGCCTTAAGGCAGCTTTGTTTTCTATAGATATGCTCTAGGTTTTCTGATTGTCTCGTATCTAACCTTGTTCTTAGCCATGATAACACAACTTATATTTGATAAGTGGATGTGTTTACTTGGTTAGAATAAGCAAGGACATTTTTAAAAAGCAGTAAATTTGCTGACACTTTTATCTTTTTTTAAAAGAATGAATGACAGCTTCCTTATCAGTATAATTACATTTAAACTTTTTTTTTTAAACCGTGTGGCAGCTTCTTTATCAATCAGTATAATTCCATTTATTTACTTAGCCCTCAAAATGACATTTTGAAGGGAGCATAAACTCTTTCAGGCTACTTGGACAGTATTTAGTATTCTATATTAGTACTACACTAATAATTTACTGAGTGCTACCTAAGTGACCTGATTGATAATGTCCTTAAGGACCTGATACATCCAGGATAACCTCTCAGGTACTGTAAACAAGGAGGTTGAAAAAGACACATTCCGGAATCCCTTTGTCTGGTAAAATTGGATACTGATGTGGATGGACATGACATTCATTATTCTTGAAGATATAACTAGTTGACTGGGATTCTGATGAAGGTTTGAAATTATGGATTAGATCTTTGTAGAAGTAGTTTAAAGATTGCAATAAGTGAAATCTTTTTTTTTTTTTTTTTTTTGAGACAGTTTCGCTCTTGTTGCCCAGGCTGGAGTGCAATGGCACGATCTTGGCTGACTGCAACCGCCACCTCCCGGGTTCAAGCAATTCTGTCTCAGCCTCCCGAGTAGCTGGGATTACAGGCATGTGTCACCATGACCTGCTAATTTTGTATTTTTAGTAGAGACGGGGTCTCTCCATGTTGGTCAGGCTGGTCTCAAACTCCTGACCTCAAGTGATCCGCCCGCCTTGGCCTCCCAAAGTGCTGGGATTATAGGCGTGAGCCACCGCGCCTGGCTGTGAAATTTTTTTTTTTTTTTTTTTTATGTGAGGCATATTTTGCCACAGTCTCGCACTGTTTAGGTTCTCTTGTCTTTTGGAATCTATCATTCTGTATTTAATGTTAGTGGCTAGTCCAATAATTGATTGTCTCATCTGTATGCATCTTATGCATGTGATTCAATAGACTAGATCGATTCTGTGTGGTTTATCATAGTAGATACACAAACCAGTCTTTATTTTTTACTTAAGAAAATATATAAGTGGAAGTTATCAGTAAACTGGTGATTATTGTATTGAATGCAAATCTTTTTATTATTTTTCCAGATATATTGAGTTTTATAAACCATTAAAATATTATTTTATGAAATTTCCCTTCCTGGATGAACAGAATATTGTTTTATTAAATCTTCTCTTATTAGTGGAATATTTTTTACTTCTTTGTCTTTTCATTTACTTGTTTTTTGTTATAATGAAAACTTTACTAGTGTTTGGTACCATTGAGATAACTTATTACTGGAAATTTTGTTTGCTTCCTGTGGGATATATCTGGAAGTGGTCATAGTCCAACCATGTCCTTTTGATGTTGTTAGCATATCAGTTATTCTATGTATTGATCTTTTCTTCTCCTGTATTCAACACCTCTTTCTGAAAGGATGTCTGATCTTCCCATAATCGCTTTGATGTAGATGATATTTTTATTCTATCAGTGTATACTAGACAGGATTTTGATGTGGCTTTGTATTTGTATATTTAAATACCATGTCTTTAAAGCATTATTAGAAGAGATATTCTAGTTTCTTCTAATGTCCCTTTTAAAAAAAATATAGCCAGTCCAATATCTCAAACTACTTTGATTTTTGAACTTAAATCAACTTTTAGTGCTACCTTGTTTAATGGTAGTAGTATTTTCTCATTTCTACATGTTCACACAAGTTTATTATATATAGTTTATGGTCATATGTATCTTATAAAAATTTTGAAGCCCATCCCCATGGATTTATTATAATACAGCTCTGATATATCTTAAAGTTAACCCGTTTTCCGTAGATGTTAAGGGCTTTACTGGTTGAGGTAACCTATTTCAAATGGTCTGTTGGGTTTTGTGGTACCTTGTCAAGAATTCAATAAGAATTCTCAGGCTGTCTGTATTTTCTTTTAGGACTTTGGAGATCTCTCAAGTTGTACTGTTTTCTAGTATTCCTGAGTATATTCCTTTGGTAACGTGAAAGTAAATAGTTTATATTTGATGATTTTTTTTTTTTTTTTTTGAGACGGAGTCTTGCTCTGTCACCCAGGCTGGAGTACAGTGGTGAGATCACGGCTCACTGCAAGCTCTGCCTCCCGGGTTCACGCCATTCTCCTGCCTAAGCCTCCTGAGTAGCTGGGACTACAGGCGCCCGCCACCACACCCGGCGAATTTTTTGTATTTTTAGTAGAGATGGGGTTTCACCGTGTTAGTCCAGGTGGTCTCAATCTCCTGAACCTTGTGATCCACCTACCTTGGCCTCCCAAAGTGCTGGGATTACAGGCGTGAGCCACAGTGCCCGGCCTGTATTTGGTGATATTTTAAAAAATTCTACTTTGACCTTAAGTGCTTCAAGAATTGTGTTCAGTTAGTAGTCCTTTTGTAAGACTAACTTTCATATGCTATCTTTGCTCCATGAGCTATCATAGTACTGTTTTCTTTCATTACCCGTAAGAGTGGCTCTATCACAGCATTTACTGTTAAGGGCTACAGTTAGACCTCTTGTTAACTCTACTTTTATTTGTGATGGCTGTGTTTCACACTACCTTGATTTATAAATGTAGTAATGTGTTAAATAACTATATGTTGTGGTCCCTTAATACCTCTTTTGATTGGTGAGGTAACAGTGATGTGGATGATGAAATAAAAACGTTTCCCCAAGTCACTAAACACAGTTTTCAATTCATTTTTTTTTACATATTTAATTTACATCTAACTACTGTTAGGTATGCAGCCCGTTCCTTTTTGCCTTCAGTAGAATATAGTTATATAAGTAGTCTCATTTAGATTCTTGGGACAGAACGGCCTGTGTATTGATCTTTCTTTAATGGCTTGGAACAGCTTCTATATATTCTGACAGGTCTTGGAAGCATGTTAATATCCGTGTGTTTAATTGTCATCTTCCTGCCTGGGAAGGCAGTAGAAGAAAGAATCTACATTTGTATAGTCTGTAGTACAGGCTCTGTGCTGATTGCAAGGCACTCTTGAGAGAAATTCATTCTTATTTTGCAGAAGAAGAACTGAAACTTCATTAAGTCATTAAGCAACTTGCTCAGGTGGTGGAACTGAGCTTTAAATATGGACTTTTTCCAGTCTCAATTCAGCATTATACTAGGCTGCCTCCATGTGTTTTTCAAAGCCCCATTCAAGTTTTACTTCTATGGTAAACTAATTTTACATACACAAATCTTTTCATTTTCTGAACTTCCTTTATGGCTTTACTGTCACCCCACTAGTATTTGATGTCTTAGCTATTAACTAATTCCTGATTATTTCACTTGTCACATCAGGAACCCTATCCTCTTAGTTCTCCCATTGAGATTTCACTGCTGGACTAAGATTATTCTTGATTCGTAGTCATTGGTTTCTGTTTCCATTCATTTTCAGCACTGATTATGTTAATCGTATTGCTTGAGTTTTTTCTTTGTTCAATGTTGTTTATTACATTCATTTTGTTTCATATACACACATTTTTTTTTTTTAACTGGCATTTTGAGGATATTGGTTTAATGGAAGGAAAAAGGAATGGTGCAAAGCACATGGTATTTGAATTCCAAAGACCTTGACCCTCAGCATTAGCAAGTCACTTGTTTTCTGAGCCTCAGTTTTCTTACTCTCAAATGAGGTAATATCCGAAAGTACTTTGACAACACACTAAAGCCTGATGCAGATTTCCTTTTTGAAGTAATTGTGCTGTTTCTATTCATATTGGATATGGTATTCTATGGTATTGGCTATAGATACATACATTTTAAAATGTTATTTAACAGCATGTAAATGTTCATTTCATGCCATGTGATCATGTTCCCCTTTATGATTTTTTAAGGCTGTCTTACAAGCCTAACAGTGTACTAAGTCATTAAAAGATATATTTAAAGTAAAATAGTCTCTTTTCTCAAGTACAAGCTAAGAAATGCTCATAATAATAAAATAAGAGAATGTAGAATGAGGAGTTAGAGTGTATATGTATGTGTATACAATTTTTGATAGATGGTATTTTGTTATTTCATATCTGTGTTGAAAACAGTCTTTTAGTTTGTCAGACATCTTTTTCAGTACCTGCTATGTGCAGGCAGGTATTGAGAAAGGTCTGAGAATACTGAGGGTTAATAAGAGATGGTATATTCTCCAGAGAAATAAATACCACTAAAGTATAAGAGCAGATGTCCTTTTTGGAAGAATGCCTGTGGTGATGGAATAAGAAAAGCCATATAGAGGGGTGAGGAAAAGCTTTTCTTACCAAGTGTGTGAGCTGAGTTTTGGAGGATGATTAGGCAAGAGTTAGTTGGCCTGGTGGAGAAACAGGAGCCAGACATTCAGCTGGAGGAACAGGAGTGTGGAACAGTGTGGGTAACACAATGGGGTGTGTCTGGTTTCAGAATTATAAGAAATAGTCTTTAGGGGGAACAGAAATGAAGGAGACTAAATAGATGATGATAAATTATCTGTGAATATGTACTGGTTCCTACATATTCAAAGTGTGCTAAGTTTGTACAGCCATTACTTGTAAGGTTCTAGGAGTTGTCTCTCTAGGGGTTGGTTTGTACCATAGTCCATTATGTACATCTAGAACAATTCTTTCTTTCCCGGAACTGAGCCCAAGGTGGGCTTTCTACAGTGCACCTCTGGCTCTGGGGCAGCTCAAGCAATCAGAAAGAACTGAGGCACTGGTAGAAAACAACTCTGAGGATGAACAGGATAATGTTCCTGAAGTGGAATGTGGTATCCCTTCATGGTTAAATGGTTGCATACTTCAGGGTCACCTATGGAAAGGTGTCCTCAGGGTAGCTAAAAGTGGTTAATTTCCTTGTGTTTTGACTTACAGATCATTTCTAGGTGGACTTGGGGAAAATAAAGTTACTTATAAAAATATTGCTTCATTGGCATTTGGAGGTGTTGTATTGAAGGAGGAAGTGGGTTCCTATCACCAGAACCCTCTCTAGGTGTTTCAGATAGGAAACTGGGTTGTAGACCTTGTCCCAGTAATATCTCCAGCAGCTCCAACACATTTTGTCAACTTCGTATTCGTTTTTTAAGTTTTTTTCCTTGCTGTTGGCCACCTTTACCTTCTTTTTTTTTTTTTTCCTTCTTTTTCCCTTATTTTTTGAGACAGTCTCACTCTGGCGCCCAAGCTGGAGTACAGTGGGGTCATATCGGCTAACTGCAACCTCCACCTCCCAGGTTCAAGCGATTCTCCTGCCTCAGCCTCCCAAGTAGCTAGGATTACAGGCGCATGCCACCATTCCTGGCTAATTTTTTGTATTTTTAGTAGAGATGGGGTTTTGCCATGTTGGCCAGGCTGGTCTCGAACTCCTGACCTCAAGTGATCTGCCCACTTTGGCCTCCCGAAGTGCTGGGATTGCAGGCGTGAGCCACCGTACCAGGCCCCATTCCCACTTTTACTTTTATTTTCTCTACAGTTCATCCTTTTTTTTTTTTTTCCTTCTGTGCCAGAGGTGGAACAGTGGCACTCAGGGTTAAAAAACTCCCTTTTGCTTTGTCACACTTCATATTCAGAGTTACTGTGGGGTTTTTTTGTTTTTTTTTTTTTGTTTTTTGTTTCTTGAGACGGAGTCTCACTCTGTCGCTGAGGCTAGAGTGCAGTGGTGCGATCTTGGCTCACTGCAACCTCTGCCTCCCGGGTTCAAGCGATTCTCTTGCCTCAGCCTCCCGAGTAGCTGGAATCGCAGGCACCTGCCACCATGCTCAACTAATTTTTGTATTTTTAGTAGATACAAGATTTCACCATGTTGGCTAGGTTGGTCTTGAACTCCTGACCTCAGGTGATCCACCTGCCTCGGCCTCCCAAAGTGCTGGGATTGTGGTTGTGAGCCACCACGCCTGGCCGTATATTTTAAAAATCTCTTAAGGTCCAGTTACTGTTATATTTTGGTCCTGTACTGAAGGAGGATGTAAGTCATTTTCCTAAAATGATTTTTATAGAGATAGATGTTGGCAGTTTACTCAAAAGAGAATATAGGAAAATCTTTTTTAACAGGTTTGGTGGGACTAGCCTTATTCACTGAATAAAGTACTTTACAGAATGGAGTATATCTATATGTGTGTTTTAAGATTTGTTCATACAAAGCAGATGTTCTGTGTACTTTGTATTTGTAAACAACTAATTGGGGGTGGGAAGGAGATTGCTTTGTAAAAAGAGGGTTTCCTTGTTCTAAAGCTTTGCTGCTGGAGATGGTAAGATGGTAAATAAATATTGTACTGTTATGCTGCGTTTATCTCTTCTGCTTTATCTGTATTTGCATATAAAATTCTTGAGAAAAACCATTGCTTTTCAAAGTGTTATTTGGGATACGGGTTTGAGTTATATAAGTTGAGTAGAAGGGGCTTCTGGTAAACAGAACTTTGGGGGGTGGTGCAAACTTCAGACCAAACTATGAATTGAAGCTTTAGGATGGGCAATAATAAGCGGACTTTGAAATTGGGTTTTTATGAAGTAATCCATTTGTTGCAGGAATTCTGTTCAAACCAAATGCGCTAGTCAGATACCGTGATGATGTGCAAAGTTAATTCTTTTGCAGTTGGTTGTTCCTTTGAGCTTTCTTTGAACTTGGAGTCCCTTACATATAAGATAGAGGTGATGAAAGAAATAGTCTCCAGTTGGTACTCCTCTGGATCATCAGTGCCAGCTGATGTTCAGGGAGATATTATGACTGTAAATAAACCTGCCTTGGATTGTTTTGTGTATATCCCCTCACCTTATTCTTTACCTTCTTCCCTCCTACAAATTGCATCTTTTTCTATTACTGGCTTTTTCAGTAGGCAGAAAGTGCCTATGATGAGTGAGATAGGAAACTGGGTTGTTGTGATCACTTCTCTGGGTAGTAACTGTTCTTGCAGAGTGCTTTCTTCCTAGGTTATATCACCGTGTGTGGTATATGGAGCAAAATTGTTCCATTTCACAGAGAGGTCTAGTGACTTCATGTTCATAATATATTCATATTTCTATTAAAGTAATTTTGTAGAAAATATAAAATGGAAGCTTTTTGGTTCATCAAGAACTAAAGTGCTTTCTGAAATTAGTAATAATGATTTACAAATATAAGTCATTTCTTTATCATTAAAAAGCCACAAAGTAGTACAATGCTATGAGCTATTATAAAATAATTTCTTCTATGAAGCCCAGCTTTTTGTTCCTTTTTCTTTTTTTAAAGCCTTTATTTTAGGTTCAGGGGTACATTTACAGGTTTGTTTTATAGGTAAACTTGTATCACGGGGGTTTGGGGTACAGATTATTTTGTCACCCAGGTACTAAGCGTGGTAACCGATTGTTATTTTTCTGGTGCTCTCCCTCCTCCCTCATTCAGGCCCAATGTCTGCTGTTCCCCTATTTGTGCCCATTGGTTCTCATTATTTAGCTCCCACTTATAAGTGAGAACATGCAGTATTTGGTTTTCTGTTCCTGTGTTAGTTCACTAAGCCCTCCAGCTCCATCCATGTTCCTGCAGAGGACATGATGTCATTCTTTTTTTTTTTTTGGCCGTATAGTAGTCCGTCGTGTATATGTACTACATTTTCTTTACCTAGTCCTGCTTTTTAATATTGTTTTCTAGAAATTGCTTTGCAAAAGTAAAATCACTCCATTAATTCCGCATTCCCTTTGAGTTAATATTTGCAAACATTTAAAGTAACTGATTTAGCTAGTTATCACAATAAGTTACTCAGAGGTTCAACTTTTCGATGAGTGATGTATGAAGAATAAAGTGAAAGATCTGCCTGAATTTAATATTTGTAAAAAATATACTCATGGGTCTTCTGAGAAAAAAAAATTTTTTTTTTTTTTTTTTTGAGATGGAGTCTCGCTCTGTCACCCAGGCTGGAGTGCAGTGGTGCAATCTCGGCTCACTGCAAGCTCCACCTCCCGGGTTCACGCCATTCTCCTGCCACAGCCTCCCGAGTAGCTGGGACTACAGGCACCCATCACCACACCCGGCTGATTTTTTGTATTTTTAGTAGAGATGGGGTTTCACCATGTTAGCCAGGATGCTCTCGATCTCCTGACCTCGTGATCTGCCCACCTCGGCCTCCCAAAGTGCTGGGATTACAGGCGTGATCACGCCACCGCGCCCAGCCGAAAAATTTTTTATAAAACAGTTTAGAGCCAGTTCTGTCTGGCATTTAGCTTCCTAAACCATACTACATTTTCAGGATCGAGAGTGAATTGTTCAAGAAATAGGCATTTGTAGATGAATTTTAACAGAAAGTTCATGTATGAAGTCATATACATTCATCTGAAGTTACTTAAGTAGAAATTTAGCTTCTACTAAAAATTTATTTTGGTTTTTAATTAGCTTCCTTTTGAGCACATTTGTTAAACTTACCTAAGAGAACTTATCTTTGTGATTGGAAAAACTAAGAATCCTGCTTTCTATATTTACATTCCAAAGAAGAATAGAGAAAGGTCAGGTCTAAGTGAGCTGAATAAGCATATATTTTTAAGTTTCAACTTTTAATTTGACTAAGTGTACTTTCATCAGTATTTTAAATACACTTTAAAATACAAAATCAGACATGCTTTTAGGAAAACCATATATGTAAAAAAATATATACAAATTTGTGTTTTAGCTAAATGTTTTTTGCTTTAAGTGATAACGGTGTTTGGCTTGAAATTTGTGTAAAAATATTTTCCCAATAGCCATTAAGCTTGTTGACCTGAAAGTGACTTTCCTTAATTCTTGATTAATATGTTTCTGTTGAGTTTGGAAAATAATGTAACCCAATCATTATACATATAGGGACAAAAATCTGAGAAAAGTTACATACAATTTACTAATAGATTATGTTCCTTCTAGATGCAGCATTTCTGTCTATATTTTTGTAGGATATATATTAAACATATTTTTATAAGGCAAAATTAGTGATTTAAACCAAG
This sequence comes from Homo sapiens, assembly GCF_000001405.40. Classification (NCBI taxonomy): domain Eukaryota; kingdom Metazoa; phylum Chordata; class Mammalia; order Primates; family Hominidae; genus Homo; species Homo sapiens. The sequence continues at coordinate 57,114,724 of NC_000006.12, forward strand.
TCCATTATGTTCCCAAACAAAAGACTGAGATCCTTAACATTTTTGTCTTTGTATAGTCTTCTTCATTAATAATTAAAATTAGTTAACAATTTTATTACATATGCTGATTGTAGAAAAATTAGAAAATAAATGTAAAAAAGAAAAAACCCTCCAGACAGAAATAACCACTATTTAACATTTTGATTTATATAGCTTTCTAGATTTTATTCATATATATATTTACAGGATCATTTTCACTTAAAAACTGCAAGTGTTGCTTGGCACAGTGGCTCATGCCTGTAATCCTAGCACTTTGGGAGGCCTAGATGGGAGGATTGCTTGAGGCCAGGAGTTCAAGTCCAGCTTGGGCAATACTGCAAGACTCTGTCTTCACAAAAATAAGAAAAACTTGCTGGGAGTGTTGGTACATGCCTGTAGGCCCAGCTACTCAGGAGGCCGAAGTGAGAGGATTGCTTAAAAGTGAGCTCAGGAGGTTGAGGCTTCAGTGAGCTGTGGTCACACCATTGCACTCTAGCCTGGGTAACAAAGTGAGATCCTGTCAGAAAAAAAAAGTATCTAATTGATTGATCTATTAGTACTAATAGGGAAGAGATGTTGAAATGTAAGTTTAACATTATCATTTCGTTGATTATGGGATTTTGTGTCAGGTTGTCATTTCTAGACTTGGACTTTTTGCTGTAACTCTACCAGGATACATTAAAAGATAAACGTTGTTTAGAAGTGTTGCTTTACCTGTGTATGCTTAACTTTCATGGAGATGTTTCGTCAGGTGTAACCAGTATCCTCAATATGGCTATCATTTCTAGGATACAACCGAAATTTGCTCTGTGCATGTTTTACCTAAAATTTTAGATAAAAATGTAAAGAAGTATATTTGAGAATGTAAGAATTTCATAGTGACTGAACCAGAATCTGCCTTTAGGCTTCTTCTGGCTTTACATCCTCCTTAATTCTATGCAATTCTGGGTATGGAAGAAAACTAATGCAGAAATTGATCTGAAGTATTGGCAAACAGAAGACCTCCAATTTTCCCAATATTTTTCCTAAGGCTTTCCTGTGCTTCTCCCCAACACTGATTGGCTAGCATTGATAGCTTATTCACTGTCGGTATGGACCCTTTAATATTATGTGTTTTATTTAAAGACATTAGTCCAGGGTGACCATAGGAAATACTTCAAGGAGGATAACCCTGAAGATCCTATAGCTGCTAATACTCAAAATGAAACTTAAAAAAAATAATGATTTTTGCCATGGATCAGAGCCAATTCAATTCTAGCTTGAGAAGTGAATTCAGGTCATATCTGAAAGCCTTACCTTTGTTAGAAATTAGGTCCAAAGACCTAAGTGATAATTCAAGTTATGGGCTTTGTGGGAGATGGCAAATCCAGCCTAAGGAAAGGAGTTCTGGAATTTTACAATTTCACATTAAATTACACGTCAGTATGTGGCATTAGGGGAATGGTAGAAATTCTCAGTGCTAAGAATTGAGTGGCCCCTTTAACCAGCTACCTTGACCCCCAAAGCCAAGATTTGTAATGGAAAAATATTGTATGGGCAGGGTGCTGTGGCTTACGCCACAGCACTTTGGAAGGCTGAGGCTGGCGGATCACTCGAGGTCAGGAGTTTGAGACCAGCCTGGCCAACATGGCGAAACCCCATCTCTACTAAAAATACAAAAATTAGCCGGGATGGTGACACACACTTGTAGCCCCAGCTACTCGGGAGACTGAGGCAGGAGAATCGCTTGAATCCAGGAGGCAAAGGTTGCAGTGAGCCGAGATCACACCACTGTACTCCAGCCTGGGTGACAGAGCAAGACTCTGTCTAGAAAAAAAGAAAAAGAAAAATATCATATGACTAATAGTCTGCCTCATATACCTAATCTTTTCCCAGTTTAAAACATCTTTCTTTAATATACCCGTTTTCTCAGTTTTAAAGTTTCTCAGTTCAAAATTGGCAAAGATTTCAGAGTTGAAGCCCTTGCTTTCTCTACTACCATTCCTTTTCCTCTACTCCTAGCAGATTTCTCCCAAATCTGTTTTCAGTATTGGTAGCCAGAGTTCCTTTTTTTCTTCCTTTTTAAGAAGAAAATAGAACCAGGCATGGTTGCATGTACCTATAGGCCCAGCTACTCTGTAGGATGAGGTGGGAGGATTGCTTGAGCCCCGGAGTTTGAGTCCAGCCAGAGGACCTTATCTCTAAAGGAAAACAAAACAAAAAAAAAAAAAATGAAGAAACTTTCTCCTCACAGGGAAGAAGTAAGCCCAAAGTCAATTCTAAGATGCCTTTTGTTTTCAGCATTAGGGCTTGTGGGTCTTTTCAGCCCTTCAGTGTTGTGAAAGAGAATAAACAGATCAGCAGAATTAGTAGAGAATAACAGAGGCAATTTATTGAGACATAACCATATACAAGTTGAGTGTCCTTTATCTGAAATGCTTGGAATCAGAAGTGTTTGGGTTTTAGATATTTTTGGATTTTGGAATATTTGTGTTACAGCTGTTGGTTGAGCATCCCTGATGTGAAAATCTGAAATCTGAAATGCTCCAAGGAATGTTTCCTTTGAGCTTCATACGGGCACTCAAAAAGTTTTGGATTTTAGAGCATTTTTTTTTTTTCCAGATTTTTGGATTAGGGAAGCTCAACTTGTAGTTAAATAAAATATGTAGGCTACTAATAGCTAAATATAAGAAAAACAATTGTAGTAAATAATGACAATCCCAACAGGTTTTAAGGCCTCCAAGATGGTAGGCTAGTGATTAATTTTAGAGTGAAGTTGAAGAGATCTAAATTAATGTTTAAATGGCTAAACAACTTATCTTCCTAGTGTCGTGAGTATGTTTTGATAGCACGTGAGTATAATTTGAAGGGAGTGAAGTTTTAAGAATATACTTATGTGACTAGTGAATTACTGAAATTTTTTCCTACTGAATATATAATTGCTGTGTTTCTGAATTTAATTTTCATTGACCTTTGCATCAAGAGTATATGCAAAGGTCAGTGAAAAGTATTGCATCAGATTCATTTAGTATGCTTTAAAGTAAACATTAAGAAGAATAAATATTATGTAAAGCTTTCCTGAATGACTATAACTTCAAAAGTAACTTAAAATGGTTTTATTATGGCCTAGAACAAAGTAAAATGATAGTGGAAACATCAATTCAAGGATAGTTCTTCCCGAGTTAGGATTACCTAAATTTATCCAAAACATGGCCTTCTTCCTGTCCCTAGAATATTCACATTGTTGTTGTGACACAGGAATTTCGGAGAGATGAAAAAAATCCCTTGATTTCCTATCCTTACACCCACATGGCTGCATAAGTGACTTAATGTTTGATTAGGAAATATTTTGTTTGGTGTAAGGGTAGCAACTTGAAATATCTTGATAAATTTTCTGCAGCTTCTAGTCTCCAGACAAATTTAGGCATAAGATATACTTTCTGTTTAGGAATGTCAGTCCTTCTCTCAACCTTTAGGAGAATTGTCATTACTGTCTTTTTTTTTTTGGTAGGTAAACAGTAATTTATACCTTGTCCACTTTGCCTGTATGTTAATGTGACCTTGGTTTACCAGGACTTTCAAGCATGACTTTTGTTAAAGTTTAAAACCTAGAAAGTATTATCTCTGTTGAGAAAGTTAACACACTCTATACCTGTGTTTAAATTTTACCAGCATCTTTAAATTAAAGTTTATATTTGTGATCTATGCTAAATTTCCTTCTCGAGGTAGTATCTACATTTTGTAGTTTTTGCAAGGAATAAATTTAATTTGACCTTTCTCCCCCTTTTTTTAGAAGAGAGTCTTGCTTTGTTGTCCCCCAGGCTGGATCATAGCTCTTTGGAGCCTCGATCTCCTGGGCTCAAGCAATCCTCCTGCCTCAGCCTCCTGAGTAGCTAAGACTATAGGCACATGCCACCACACCCAGCTAAATTTTTAATTTTTTTGTAGAGACGAGGCCTTGCACTGTTAGCTGGGCTGGTCTCCAACTCCTGGGCTCAAGTGAACCTCCTGCCTCAGCTCCCAAAGTGCTGGGATTACAAGTGTAAGCTACTACGCTCGACCACTAATTTGCTTTTAAGGCAGATTTGCCTGTACTAAGGGATCAAAGTTTAGAAAAATAACTTCCTGTGACTGCCATTTCTGAGGACCTGCATTGCCCTGTAACTTGTAAAAGGATATTTTGAAGTTAGTAGAATGTCACCTACTACCTGGGTGCAAGGCTGTATGCTGTCCAAGTAGTCAGAAAGTGAGCTGGGGTTACTTCTATCTAAAGTGGTCCTATAAACAGTCCCTACTGCAAAGGTGTAGCCTCATACTGAAAATACCAATTTGGCCTTTTTATATATGCTTACTTCAGTATAACTTCTTTCTACCTCTAGAAAGAAGTCATACCTGCTGTTTGACTTGGCCAGTGCACCACTATCCCACTTTAGATAAAAATTGGGTTGTACATATGTGACTGATTTGCCCAAAGAGTGATATTTTATTTGTAACCAATCATTCTGGTAGAAAAAGCCAGGGAAGGCCGGGGCGTGGTGGTGCACGCCTGTAATCCCAGCACTTTGGGAGGCCAAGGCGGGCAGATCACCTTAGGTCAGGAGTTCGAGACCAGCCTGGCCAACATGGAGAAACCCCATCTTTACTAAAAATACAAAAATTAGGTGGGTGGTGGCACGCGCCTGCAATCTCAGCTACTCGGGGGCTGAGGCAGGAGAATCATTTGAACCTGGGAGGCAGAGGTTGCAGTGAGCCGAGATCGCGCCACTGCACTCCAGCCTGGGTGACAGAGCAAGACTCCGTCTCAAAAGAAAAAAGAAGCCAGGGAAGATCTATTATTTTTCTTTTCTTAAAATAGACTTTTTAAAAAGAGCAGTTTTAGGTACACCATAAAATTGAGCAGAAAGTACAGTCAGACAGTGTCCACTTACCTCCTCCCCTCCCACCCCTCCATGCAAAACCTCCACTATCCTCATTGGAAACTACAGGGTACATTTGTTTCAATCTGTGAACCTCCATTAACATATTTTGTGCTTCTAGTCTCTAGAAAAATGTAGGCATAAGATATACTTTCTATTTCTTTCTATTTAGGAATGTCAGCCCTTCTTTCAACCTTGTAGCAGGAGAATTGTCATTACTTTTTTTTTTTTTGGTAGGTAAACAGTGATTTATAAGTTGTCCACTTTGCCTGTATGTTAATGTGAGCTTGGTTTACATTAGGGTTCATAGTTTACATTAGGGTTCACACTTGGTGTTATACATTCTCTAGGCTTTGACAAATGTGTAATGACATGTATCTGTCATTGTAGTATTACTGAAAATAGTTTGACTGCCCTAAAAATCTTGTGTGCCCTGCCAGTTTATCCCTCCTCCTTGACTATCCTGTCAGTCACTGATCTTACTACAGTTACCGTAGTTTTGCCTTTTCCAGAATGTGATATGTGGCCATACAGTATGCAGCCTTTTCAGATTGGCTTCTTTCACTTAGTAATCAGGTGCTTTTAAGGTTCCTCCATGTCTTTTCACAGCTTGATAGCTCAATTCTTTTTAGCATTGAATAATGTTCTATTGTCTGAATATACCAAAGTTTATCCATTCACCGATTGAAGGACATCTTGGTTGCTTCCAAGTTTTGGCACTTATGATACAGTTGCTGTAAACAGCTGTGTGCAGGTTCTTGTGTGGACATAAGTTTTCAATTCATTTGAGTAACAACCAAGAAGTCCAATATGTTTAGTTTTGTAAGAAACTGCCAAACTGTTTTTCAAAGTGGCTATACCATTTTGCATTCCAACCAGCAATGAAATGAGAGTTGGCTCTTGCTGCACATCCTTGCTAACATTTGATGTTGTCAGTGTTTTAGATGTGGCCGTTCTAATAGATGTATATTGGTATCTCGTTGTTTTAACATATACTTCCCTAATGGCATATGCTGATCTTTTCATATGCTTAATTTGTAATCTGTATATCTTCTTTGGTGAGGTGTCTGTTTAGCTATTTCCCCATTTTTAAGGCAGGCTGTTCATTTTCTTATTGTTCAGTGTTGAGTTCTTTGTACATATTGGATTACAGTCCTTTATCAGATGTGTCTTTTGCACATATTCTCCCAGTCTGTGGCTTGTGTTCTTATTTGTTTGACATTGTCTTTTGCAGAGAAGTTTTAAGTTTAATGAAGTGCAGCTTATAAATTATTTTTTTCAAGGACCGTGCTTTGCTCCTGTATCTAAAAAGTCATTGTCATGCACAAGGTCATTTAGATTTTCTCCTATGTTATCTTTTAGGAGTTTTATAGTTTTGTATCTTGTATTTTGTTCTGTGATTCATTTTATGTTAATTTTTGTGAAGGGTGTAAGGTCAGGGTCTAGATTCATTGTTTTTTGCGTGTGGATGTCTACTTGTTCAAACACCATTTGTTGGAAAGACTGTCTTTTCTCCATTGTATTGTTTTTGCTCCTCTGTCATAGATCAGTTGACTTTATTTATGTGGGTCTATTTCTGGACTCTGTTGTTTCATTGATCTGTTTGTCCCTTCTTTTGACAGTACCACACAGTCTTGATTACTGTAGTTTTATAGTAAGTTTTGAAGTCAGTTAGTGTCAGTCCTATGACTTTGTTCTCCTTCAGTACTGAGTTGGCTAATAGTTTTTTTGCCTCTCCATATACACTTCAAATTGAGGTTGTTGTTATACAAAAAATAATGTTAGGATTTTGATTGTGATTGCATTGAATATATAGATCAAGTTAGGAGAACTGACATCTTGACAATAGTGAGTCTTCTATCTGTGAACATGAAATACCTCTCCACTTCTTGAGAGGTTCTTTGATACAAAATTAACTACAAAAGTCAGTATCATCTCTATATACCAATAACAGTTAAGCTGAAAACCAAATGTAGAATACAACCCCATTTACAATAGCCACACAAAAAAATTGAATACCTAGGAATACACCTAACCAAGGTGTGAAAGATCTCTACGAGGAAAACTATAAAACACTGCTGAAAGAAATCATAAATGACAAGCAAATGGAAAAACATTCCATGCTCATGGATGGGAAGACTCAATATCATTAAAATGGCCATTCTGCCCAAAGCATTCTATAGATTTAACACTGTTCTTATCAAACTACCAATGTCATTTTTCACAGAAGTAGAAAAAACTATTCTAAAATGTATATGTAACCAAAAAGCCTGAATAGTCAAGGCATTCTTAAGCAAAAAGAACAAAGCCAGAGACATCACATTACCTAATGTCGAATTATACTACAAGGCTACAGTAACCAAACCAGTATGGTACTGTTATAAAAATAGACACGCAGACCAATGGAATAAGTTAGGGAACCCAGGAATAAAGCAGCACAGGCACAACCAACTCACCAACTCATGTTCAACAAAGTCGACAAAAATAAACAATCGAGAAAGGATACTCTATTCAATAAATGATGCTGGGAAAACTGGCTGACCATATTCAGAAGTGTAAAATTAGACCTCTCACCATATATAAAAATTAACTCAATGGATTAAAGACTTAAATGTAAGACCTGAAACTATAAAAATTCTAGAGGCAAACCTAGGAAATACTCTTCTAGACATTGACTTAGGCAAAGAATTTATGATGAAGACCCTAAAAGCAAATAGAACAAAATCAAAAATAGAAAAATGGGACTTAATTAAACGAAAGAGCTTCTGCACAGCAAAATAAACTATCAACAGAGCTAACAGACAACCCACAGAATGGGAGAAAATATTTGCAAAGTATGCACCTGACAAAGGACTAATATCCAGAATTTATAAGGACTTAAATGAATCAACAAGGAAAAAAACCAATTCCATTGAAAAGTGGGCAAAGGCCATGAACAGACACTTCTCAAAAGACAACATACAAGCAGCCAATAAACATGAAAAAATGCTCAACATCACTAATCGTCAGAGAGATGCAAATCAAAATCACAATCAGATACCATCTCACAGCAGTCAAAATGGTTATTTCTAAAAAGTCAAAAAGTAACAGATATTGGCAAGGTTCTAGAGAAAAGGGAACATTTATACACTGTTGGTGGAAATGCAAATTAGTTCATCTCCTGTGGAAAGCAGTTCAGAGATTTCTCAAAAAACTAAAAATAGAACCGTGATTCTACCCAGCAATCCCATTACTGGGTATATTATCCAAAGGAAAATGCTGGACATAGTGGCTCACACCTGTAATCCCAGCATTTTGGGAGGCTGAGGCGGGAGGATCACTTGATCCTAGGAGTTTGAGACCAGCTTGAGCAACACAGCAAGCCTCCATCTCTACAAGTAAGTTACCCAGGTGTGGTGGTGTGCACCTGTAGTCCCAGCTACTCAGGAGGCTGAGACAGGAGGATTGCTTGAGCCTGGCAGGTCAGGGCTGCGGTGAGTCATGATTGTGTCACAGCACTCCAGGCTGAGTGGTGAAATGAGACCCTGTTTCAAAAATAAATAATAAATCATTTCACCAAAAAGACACATGTATGTTCATAGCAGCACTATTCAGAACAGCAAAGACATGGAATCTACCTATGTGCCCATCATCAGTGGATTGGATAAAGAAAATGTGGTATATGTACACTGTGGAATACTACACAGCCATAATAAAGAATGAAATCATTATGCAAAGGTGCAGCAACATGGATGCAGCTGGAAGCTGCTACCCTAAGCAAACTAATGCAGAAACAGAAAAACGAGTACCATATGTTCTCATTTATAAGTGGGAGCTAAATCTTGGGTTCACATGGAGAATAAGTTGGGAACAATAAACACTGGGGACTCCAAAAGGAGAGAGAGAGAGGGTAGGGGGACAAGGGCTGAAAAACTTCCTATTGGATACTATGTTCACTCTCTGGGTGATGGGATCAGTAGAAGGCCAAACTTCGGCACCATGCAGTATACCCTTGTAACAAACCCTCACATGTACCCTTGAATGTGAAATAAAAATGAAAAAAAAAAAGTTTTATGTGTTATTTCATTATAGTTTTGTAGTTTTCTTCATAAAGATGTACACATTTTGTTATATTTATACCTAAGTATTTCATCTGGAGGGAGTACTAATGTACATAGTGATTTTTTAACTTCAAATTCCACTTGTTCATTGCTGATATATATGAAATCAGTTGACTTGTGTATTAACCTTGTATCCTGCAACCTTGCTATAATTGCTTATTAGTTCCAGGAATGATTTTGTTAATTATTTTGGATTTTCTATGTGGATGCAAACAAAGAGTTTTATTTCTTCCTTCGCAATCTGTGTATCTTTTATTTCTTTTTCTCATCTTACTTCATTAGCTAGGACTTCTAGTACAATGTTGTGAGTGGCAAGAGGGGATATCCTTGCCTTGTTCCTTATCTTAGTGTGAAGACTTTCTGTTTCTCATCATTAAATGTGTTGTTAGCTGTAGGTTTTTTGTAGATGATCTTTATAAAGTGAAGAAAGTTCCCTTCTATTCTTACTTTGCTGAGAGTTTTTATCATGAGTGGGTGCTGGATTTTGTTAAATGCTTTTTCTGCATCTATTAATATAGGATCATGTGTGAGGGCCCCTCTATGGCTGGCTCCCCCTGGAGTTTTTAACTCTCAGGCTCGTCCACGCTAAGCATCCATTAGAGTTTAGTTTCCTATGGAGGTTCCTGCTAGAAGGTTTCTGCTTTAGTAAGTCGATGTTCTTTATTTACCTCTCTCTCTCTCTCCAATTTTAGGGGTCGGCGCTTTGCCTGATGACCCTACCTCTCTGACAGATCTGAGAAGAGTTTACTCTTCAGCTTTTAAGTGAATAAAGATGATAAATGTCCTAGCAGCTCATTTGTCTAACTTCTTGAAAACCAAAGATGCTGGTGGATAATTGACAGACCTACAAAATACCACATAAAACCTACAATACACAAAATAGGTTCTTATAACTCAAGTAAATGGTTCTTTAGTATAGTAGCTGTTTTATGAATGGATGTATATTATCCAAATGCTAATTTTGTTAAAAGGAATGAAAATTTTTTTCATGTTATAGGAGAATATTAAACGTAAAGACCATATTGATTATCAGAAGGATAAAGTTGCTTTAACTCTGGCTCGTCTAGCCCGCCATGTTGAAGTGGAGAAACAGCAGAAAGAAGAGAAGAATAGAGCATTCAGAGTATGTGCTATTTTAATTGGTATTTTATATAATTAAAAAATTATTTATAATAAAGTTGGTAAAAAGCCTTTAATCAAAAAAAGATATGATTTAATCAAAGCTCAGTATGTACCCTAGATAGCTCATGAATTTAGTAGTAATTCATAATAGCTTTTTACATCTATTTTTAGTTTGTTGGATTCTTATCTGTATATAGGAAAAGAAAAAATAAAATTAACTGAGTGGACTTCATTTTTGAGAATTAAAAATCATGGATTTCTCAAAACAGATGAGCAATTAACAAGTTTCTGGTTATTTTATCATACGAGTGAAAAGAGTTTATCAGGGCTTTTATAGATATAAGCTGTTGAAAGATTATTTTCTACTGGATAGAACCAGATTGCTTTCTCAAATTTTAGCTTATCCTTCCAAATTAAATCCATTACTAAAAGGAAGAAATTTGAAGCAGGTTTGTAGATGAGCTGCTGTGTGGAAATGAAGCCCATTTTTAGAATCTTGCATGATATAATTTTTTTCCTTGACTTGCTTTAGAAGGCCCCAAATGAAATTACTTAAAGAATTCCCTCAATAGTGACAAATGTCCTTTAGGAGCAGAATGTTGATATATTGGGTAAAAAACTCCATACTAAAGTACAAAAATGGAAATTTAAATCATGCCTCTGGCCAGCAGCTGTTTAGATTTCAGTAGATCACTAGTTTTATAGACTTTGGGTTTCATTCTGTGAATGGACAATTTAGAGATTCTCCCAGGTCAGAATAAGCTCCATGATTTTGTAATTTTAACGTGCATGTTTTTGACTCCTTATTCCATTGGTTATTATAAAGTAATTTGTGTATTTCTGTAGCATCCTAATCTGTTATAAAATGGTCTTTAAATTTAGAAATAAGCTAGTTTGGGGGCTTTTACTTTATGATGTAATATCAATTAAATTAGACTATGGTATTCTAATTGTATGTTTTAAATGCTTATTGCATATATACACACACACATACACATATGCAAACACAGACAATATTATTTTTATCCTGGCAGAAACACTATTCAATTTTAAGGAAGTTCCCCACCCCCCTAGAACTATAAGTATGTTGTTTGATTTTTTTATGTGTCAAATCTCTTTGACAGAGGGATCATTTGCAAACTGTCTTACTTTCCCTCAGATTTCCTAAGTGATGCTAGCTTCTTTTCCCAGGCAGTCTTAATGGCTACATAGATAATAAAGTTTTTGTGATGAGCCCAGAATCTTGTATAGTTACTGTGACAACTAAGTTTTTTCTCAAGGGTAGTTTCAGCCTCCACCCATGTAAATGGTCATTCATTTTATTAAATACTTTACATTGAAGATTTTTTTTGAAATTTTGAAATTTTTAATTTTTTGTTTAACCAGTTGGAAAGAATAAATTTGTCTAGATTTCATTCTTCTTTAAGGAAGAAAATGACTCACATAGCAAGCTCATTGCTTGCTATCCAGCCATAATTTTGTTTTTCTTACTTTGATTCCCTTTATGGATTACTTATTTTTTAAAAGTAGATGACAAAACAACAACAACAACAAAAAACCACCCAGAAAGGAAGATATTGAAACTGAAATAGAAATAATTTTTGAAGAATTCTAGTGAATGATAATTCTGGTTAAAAATAGACACTATAGAAAATGTCTTTCAACTATTGTAGGCCTTTGTGAATTGTTGGTGTCTTCACTATTAAAGTAAGTTATCTTACTTTTGTGCTGGAGAGGTTTCAAAGAAAAAAAAAGGAATATTCATTAAAATCTTCACTGGAGCCAGACCTGGTGGCTCATGCCTGTAATCCCAGCACTTTGGGAGGACAAGGTGGACAGATCACCTGAGGTCAGTGGTTTGAGACAAGCTTGGCCAACATGGTGAAACCCCGTCTGTACTAAAAAGTTTTTGAAAGTTGCTTTGTGATAGAGAAAAAGGGTGGCTAATTTTAGGATGATTTCAATAAGTGTTTTTTGAGCATTGACTATGCATGTTCATAGAGTTCAAATTCTATTATAAGAAATGCCAGAGAACTTGAAAAAAAGATGTTTAATTTTAATTATTGGAAATTGTTAAAATAAGTATGCTAGTAGTTGGTATGTAGTAATATTTAATCTCAATTATATTACTTTAATTGAAGGGTTTTTATTGTAATTGATTCTTGCAAGGAACTTTGATAAATGGTCTAATTTAATATATAAGATGTCTTAGGATATATCTATCAAGGGCTATTGCTTTCTTTGGATAGGCTAACTTTGATTTTACTATTGTTTGTTTCTTATTGCATGTTATTCAGTATAGTGATCCTGTAGGATACACTTTGAAAAAGTATTTGGTGATTTATGAAGTTGGGATACTGCATACTCTATGTATGAAAAATAGGGGTGCACATTAGCACTTTAGGGCTTTAGTAGTCCTACATGAAAGTAACGTTTTAAATTTTGTGTTAAAACCAGTGTTTCTATACTTAATTTGATTACAGAGAATTTTAAAAAATGTATATAATGCATATTAACATTCATGAGAAGTAGTATTCTATGGCTGTAATTTGAACAATGTTATGTAGATTTTCTTCAGATTAAAATCTTGATCCACTTTTTCGCCTCATTTATCCTTCCTGATAGAAAACCCTGTTACATTGATAACTAGGCCATACATTATTATGGTTTATATCTTACAAATCCAGTGTTTCTGACTCTGATCCCTTTTGAAGTACATGTAAATCTTTTTGAGAGGCAGTATGATTATACTCGTTAGGGCATGAATTCTAGAATCAGATTGCCAGAGTTTGAATTCTGACATTATTATATATCCTTGGGCAATTTATTTGACCTCTGTGTACCTCAGGTTTTTCATCATAAAAGGGGAACAATAATACCTAAAATCTAAAGTCTTTTTAAAACTGCCTCACACATGGTTAGTGGCCAAAAAGTATTAATTTTAATACACATGATTGGAAAATACACAAATAGTTTTATGGATAATATAACTAGAAAGATTTAGGCTTTTAGCAATACAGAGCATCTAGTTCAGCATTGTCATTGGCCTGCTGCCTGCTATAAACAAAGATTTATTGGAACACTGCTACACTCACTTGTTTACATATTGTCTGTGGCTGCTCTCCTGCTACAATGGCACAGTTGAGTAGTGGCAGTAAAGAGTCTATGGCCTGCAAAGCCATAATGAAATATTAACTAGCCTTTGTGGAAAAGTTTGTTACCCCTTGGTCTAGATGGCAACAAATGCTTTACACTGGCACATATTAAGTGCTAATGAGTTATGTTATTAATATTACTCAGTGAACAAATACTTACTAGGCTCCTTCTGTATGTTTCAGATTAAATATGGAAAATTTGAAACAATACATAAAACTTTAAAAATGAAAATAATCCTTTACATAGAAATTCCTAGAGGTAGCCTTAATAACTTTTAATACATCTATTTTCAGGCTTTTTTTTCCTCTGCAGATACAGTTGCACATGGATTTGAAATTATTCTTTGTTTATATTTTGCCTCATTTGTTTAATACAGTTTGGCGACCTACTTGATATCCAAAGTATATTTCCACACCTTTGAAAAATTTGGTTAATGTTTTTAATGACGTCCATCAAATGTACATACCATAATTTACTTAAACCATACCCTGTTGTTAGGGGTGTAGGTTGTAGTAAATTTTGTGCAATAACACTGGTATACACATCTTAGAGCGTGCATTTTTATTTTGATGTATTTCTTTGTCATACATTTCTAGATGTGGAGTTCTGGGGATAAAAAGTAATCAGTATTTTCTGATCACTAATGTGTCAAAATCCTTTTCTCAAGGAAAACAGGGTAGTAATCTTAATTGAGTTTTTTCTTAATGTCTTCAGGAAAAAATTGATTTTCAGCATGCTCATGGGTTACAAGAATTGGAATTTATTCGAGGACATTCTGATACAGAAGCAGCAAGACTGTGTGTGGACCAGTGGCTAAAAATGCCAGGTATTCTTTAGAAATTACACTAAGGTTACCTAGCTTCCCCAAAGCCTTAAGGCAGAAAGTACGTCTGTTTTATGCTATTGCTAATAAGCATATAAGATATTAAATTTTGTTTCAGTGATACTAATATCACCTCATAATGGCCTACTTTATAATGGCCTGCTTTGCCCATTGTCTTTCTTCTTTGGCACAAGTATATTTGAGTATAAGCAATATAGGTCGTACCTGAGCTCATTAGATATTACTCATTTATTCATTTATATATTTAATAGTTATTGCATGAAGTAGCACATATGTCCATGGGAGGTGTGTAACAGATTATTTGAGGTCAGAAAAAGCTTCTCTAAGGAAATGGAATTTAAACTGAGATCTAGAGGATTCATGTTTATTTATTTATTCATCAGTGCAGCCTATGTAGATATTTAATAAGGAAGCATCCTCATAGACTTGTCAAAACATTGGGTAGCTTCTTCGTTACTAACTCTTTGCAGATCTGAGATTCCTTGAAGAGTTGCTGTGGAACATGTCTTACTCCACCGGATAATTTGGTGGAATTTTTAAGAGCCAGTAGGAGAGTCCCACCATGACAACTTTCCTGTCTTGTCTTGAAGAATATCTACTGAGCCTTTAAAGAGTTAGGATATCCACAGAAACTGTAGCTGTGGATTTAATCCAACAAAGTTTAATTACAAAAGTTCATGGAAATATCTATGCATGCAATGCTTAACTTTGTTGAACCTAGGTATCTTGGATTCTAAAGTTAGTTTTCAAGGGCTTTGCTTTGAATGGAATCAAATTGCCACTTATAAAAGAATTCTAATAATTTACATGTATTGGTATTTAGCAGTTCATTCCATTTGATACCTGACATAATCGATGTTTTAGACACTTGGCACCCCCTGAAACTATATTTTCTCCTTATCAACCTGCCTGTGCCTCGCAAACTCCCCTCCTGCCCCCAAAAACCTTTTTTCTTTGTTTTCTTCTTACTTGCCTGTGGGGTTTATACGTGGCCAACAAATAATACAGTATTAGGGATTGCTGAGTGAATATGGTTATTGTATATCATGTCCAATTATGTGAGAAGCTTATCTAGATTTATTCTATATAAGTTTGGTTGCTCAGCCATCTGTGATCTCAATACTTTATTCATTTCACTAATACAGTATTTATTATGTTCGATTGATCCGTTTATATGTCTGTCTCTTCCACCCAGCTATGTGCTTCTTGGGCACAAAGACCAAATCTTACTAATACTTTTTAGCGTCAGTTCCTTAAAAGAATGCTCAACATAGAGATACTCAATAAATGTTGGTTGAATTTTTATAGAGGTAGGCTATAAATATTTGCATAATGAACACAGAAAGGAAGCCTAGAACTTGGGCTCCAAATCTGACTGTTATTAAACAAAAAAATTATATGGCACTCCAGATCTACTTTGGCAAAAGACACATAGAAAATATGGTAAATGGTTTTGCCTCTTGGGGTGTTTTTTGAAAGCTTTTAGTTTTAAAAATCCCTCTTCATGTACATTCTTCTCAGTGGAAGAAGTTAATGACTAGCTCAGTGGTGTCATCTTTGCTGCGTCAGAATATTCTGGGACCTTTTAAACAGATGCCTACACCTTATTATCTCCAGAGATTCTTCTAGGGCATCTGTACTTTTGGGAAAGATCCCTAGGTGGATAGGAAAATGGACTAGAACTAGAAGACTTTATCATCTCTAGATCTCTTCTAAAAATTATCTCATGAGTCTGACACTTTCAAGTCCTATACAGAATGGTAGTCGGGCCAGTAATATGCCCTTCAAGCTTAATATCTGGCCTCCAGGTTGTCAGAATATTATAATGCATTGTAAAATGAATCTTGAGCATCTGTTTATGTATTTCCCTGAGCAGGTCAAGTGGGATCAAATGAGTTATTTAGCTGTGTCTTTATGGTACTTTCAAGATTAGTGTTTTCTCTGCCTTTCAGTACTGGCTTTTTGATGGCTGATAAGCTTAAGCCTGGAGTTAAGGTCTGTAGTTATGATCTTTTTTGTGTGATGGGCTCAGCTTTTTGCTTGGTCTCTGAGGCAATGTAAAAATAAAGTTTGGAATCTATTGCTTGAACAGCTGTGTAGTATTGGGCTATATTTGGTATGGTGCTATTCCATAAATGGGCTTTAGAGAGTGCTGAGATCCTTTAAGAGCATATAGCTGGGGAATAGAGAGGAATCACAGTTCTCTTTAATTATAGAGAGTGAGATTCTACTTCTCAGTAGCATTAAAGGACTCATTCAATCTATTTCAAAATACAGTACTCAGCTGTTATAATTCAGTTCTTTCATTAGAAGTATTTTAAGTACCTTATTTATAATTATTCTAATGTTGGACAATCCATTCTTTATGGGTTTTTAGAGTTGGCCAGTTTGCATAAATTTGAATACTTAGTATTATAATTTTTAAAAATGCTGTCTGTATTATTTAAGACAAAAGCTGTTTAAATCTCTGTATTTTGCCTTTCCATGGGGAAGCCTCCCCACCCCTCCACCCAGAAATTGGCTTCTCCAACTTTATTTTTATCCAGAGCCACTATTTATAGCTAAATAAAGGTCCTAATAGGAAACATCTGGAATGTGGGTGGACAATTATAACAGTTTTCATAATTCTTACTACATTAAGAATGTTAAAGTATATTGCCATTTTAATGCCTTGTTAAGACTAAAATATGATTAATTCCATGCTGTCCATTATTTGTTGTCAGAACATATTTATAAACATTTTGACAGTTTGATAGAGGTATTCCCCCAATAAAGACTAAAAGAGAGGAAAAGCAATTAAAACCTTAATCATATATAACCATTTTGGGATTTAAAAATCATATTGTCTTAAGGGAATAATTCTATTTAAATGCTTAGGGGCTTTGTAGAAAATTCAATAAAGATAAATATTTAGCTTTTTGTTGTATGAAATATTCAAAGCATTTGAGTGAAATTAGTCCACAAGAGATAGTAATAAAACAGAGAGTAATCAAACTGTCTGTGAATCAGAATACTTGTGGTTGTTTTGCAATTGTTTTTTATACAACTTAACTGTTTAAATTTTTCTTCATATATCATGCGTTGGGAGTTGCCCCGAGGA
Source organism: Homo sapiens (assembly GCF_000001405.40). Taxonomy (NCBI): domain Eukaryota; kingdom Metazoa; phylum Chordata; class Mammalia; order Primates; family Hominidae; genus Homo; species Homo sapiens. Next base: position 57,131,959 of record NC_000006.12, read on the forward strand.
CATTTGGCTGGGGGATTCATCTACAAGTTGTGTGACCTTAAGATCAAAATTATAAAGAAAGAAAGGGATGAAGAATGGACCAGGATAAAGGAGGATTAATTAAGAGAAAAAAATTGTGGACAAACTGTTTCCTAATTGGCTTTTTAAAGGGAAAAAGAGAAGGGACAAAATAGGATAAGTAGAAAGGGGAGAGGTATCAACAATAAGTAAATCTCTGCTTTGTGTTCTATAAATGTGTTATCCCTTACACTTGTATTACTTGATGTGTCTAGACTGGAACTGATTGATCAGTGGCTTGATTCCTCAGAAAATAACACACTTATCCTCCTTGCTTCCCTGCTTTCTTCATTCCATCCTCTCTACCCCAGTTACATTGTGTAATATAATTTTCATAGAGCTCAGACCCTCTATAATATAGCTAAATTTATAACACAGTTGAAATAGTTAAAAGAGAAAATAAGAATTAGAGGAAAAGATCTGGCTGGGCACAGTGTCTCATGCCTGTAATCCCAGCACTTTGGGAGGCCAAGGTGGGAGGATCACTTCAGGCCAGGAGTTTGAGACCAGCCTGGGCAACATTGAGAGACCCTGTCTCTACAAAAAATAAAAATATTAGCTGGGCATGGTGGCATGTGCCTATAGGCCCACCTGCTCAAAATGAAGGGAGTAGGGGCGTAACCTTCTAATGCATTTGGTCTTTAACATTTTTTAGCTGTTGAGCTTAAAGAAAAGGATTTTTTTTCCCTAAAGGGAAAAAAGCTACTTGGAGCTGGGCATGGTGGCGTGCTCCTGTAGTTTGAGCGACAGCAGGAGAATTGATTGAGCCTGGGAAATACAGCAAGATGCCCATCTCAAAAAAAAAAGAGAATGCTACTTGGTGATATTAAGGGCTTTTTTTTGGTCATAACTTATTTACTTTTAGGTTATTATATCTTTTATAAGAGAGGTTTTAAACAATTATAATTAGCATCATCCAGTTGATGCTATGTCATAATTTTCATTGTTTTGTCCTAATTTTGATCACTAGCCCAAAGGATAAGTATCTGAAATAATAACCTAAGAATTCATATTCTGATGATGCAGGACTCAAAACAGGCACAATTAATTGTGGAACAAAAAGTTCATTCCGAAGAGGAGGCCACACGTGGGTGTCTGGGAAACCAATTTTATGTCCTATAATGCACTGTAACAAGGAGTTTGACAATGGGCACCTTCTCTTAGGACATTTGAAAAGGTAAGTAGGATATTCATAATAGTGAATGCTGAAGATCTAGTGAGCTACCAAGTGATTTCATAAAATGAAAGCGTAATGCTCCTTTGCCATTATGATTATATAGCTTTATATTCCAAACTCAAATTATTTTGTGCCATTATGATATAATTTTTTCATAATTGATGAAGTCAGATTTTTCTAGTGGGTGTAGCTTTCAGCTTTATGGGTATAGCTTTTAAATATTTATTTTTCCCTGATACAGCTTATAAAGTTCTAAACAGACTTTCTCCATCAAAATCCAGATAGGTTAGTTTTAGAGAAATCCAGCCCATAAATGTAAATTTCAAGAGACAAGGAGCGTGTACAGACATTTGGTCTAGCCTGAAGAAAGGTAATAGGCATTACAAAATAAATGTTAAAAGCAAACTGATGTAAGCAAAATTAATAATAAAAATTCTATTTATTGAAACCCATTTTATCAATTTACTGAGTTTGGTGGTTTTTGTTTGTTTGTTTGTTTGTTTGTTTTTTTGAGACAGGATCTCACTCTGTCGCCCAGGATGGAGTGCAGTGCAGCTTCCACCTCCTGGGCTCAAGGGATCCTCCCATCCTCCCATCTCAGCCTCCTGAGTGTCTGGGACTACAGGTTGTGCGCCACCACACCCAGCTAATTTTTGTATTTTTTGCAGAGACGTGGCTCTGCCATGTTGCCCAAGCTGGTCTTGAACTCCTGAGCTCAAGCATTCTGCCCACCTCAGCCTACCAAAGTGCTGGGATTACAGGCGTGAGCCACCGCGCTCGGCCAGTTTACTGAATTTTTGAATAGTGGAGCTTGAGAAAGGTATCAAGGGAAGGTTGTATTAAACATTCGACTCCCCATAGCCTCCCTTTCTAATAGCTGAAGAATGGGAAATTGAGAGTTTGGGGCTCTAAGCCATTGTCTTTTCCATATGTCTCACCCTACTTATGCCTTACCTTATCAAGAGAAGCTTCTAGAGGGAGTTGTAGCATTCTATAAAAAACCAGGTAAAGTCAAAGCTGGACCTGGGGTCGGGGAGGGAACAAAATTTGATAGCATACTATACCTTAGCTAAAGTGCTCCAGGCAGTTTAAAATAATGCAGATTTATTAAATGGTAAAAATGAACATTAAAAGCCATTATGGGAAACAAGTGTACTAGAAATCTTAGCATGAGATTATTATTGCAGTGATGTATTTAAAGTTAGTTGTGAGTCTTATGGTAACCAAGGCAAGAAGTAAAAGATGCTGGACTTACAATTTTCAAACGAGAAGTTTACCAGTTTGGTAAGAAATGTCTAAATCTATTTTACCGGATATTTAGTACATATGAAATCTTGCACTAACTGTTGGTCACTATCTGAGGGAATTGCTGAGCATATGGGAACCACTTGATATTTACTGTATATGAAGAACATTACTTAATATTTCAGTAGAAAAGTGCAAAGTTCTGAATGTGTGTGTATGTGTTTAGCTTCACAAATGAAGCGACATAGTTGTTTCCCTAGAATGTAGATTTATCTAATATTACCTCTTACCTCTTTTGCTGAGTAGGTTCGATCACTCTCCATGTGATCCAACAATTACACTACATGGACCTTTCTTCAGCTCCTTTGCTTGTGTAGTATGTTATAAAAAATTTGTTACTCAACAACAATATAGAGATCACCTTTTTGATAAGGTAAGAGCATGTCCTAAATTAAAAGTATTATTTTTCTAGATAGCCATGGAGTTAAGTGGAGGTTTTTTCCTGCTGTTCTTAAGCTTGCAATTACCAGTGATACACATAAGTATCAAAACTGTAATTGTCAATTGAAAATAAAATGATTTGGGCCATTTAGTTATTATAGGCAGGTAAACTTGATACCTTACAGTCAGCAGTCCTAGAGATTATCATCAAAATCCTTTCATGGAGTTGCTCTATGAAATTAAATTACCTTGTTCAAGATGCTCTGAGTGAGTCACTTGATGAGAACCAGAACCCTGTTCTTAAGTCCACTGTCTTACACTGCTTGTTGAAATGTTGGCGCCATATAGTAAATGACAAGTTATTAATGCTAGTTTTTGAGGAATATAACTAGTATTTAAAAAGCTATGTCATATAATTCTAAGTAAGTGTTAAATCTTAAGAGACATGAGTTGATTCATGGATATGCACATCCATGTAATACAGAACTCTAATGGGTTTTTACCATATTTGATAGTAGATAACTTTAATGACTTACTAACATTGCAGAAGTAATGTATGTTCATTATGAAAAATTTTTAAAATATTAACAAAAAGACAAGAAGTCATCCTTAATCTCACAGAGATAAGGACTGGGATTAAGATTTTGATATATGTGTTTTTAGTATTACTCCATATATAGATAAATGTTTTTACATAAGATAAGATATCTAAATTGTTCTGTGATTTAAAGCAGTGTGTTGCAAACATAAAAGCTTAAATATTCATCGAATCAATGCATACATTTCTACATTTTAAATCATTGAATTGTTTTCTTCTGTATGAATATAGTATTAATTTAATAAATTTCCCATTGGATGTATTGTTTGTTTTCTATTATTAAAAACTATGCCATATTAAATATTCTGTTAACTAAAAACCTTTGAGAATATCCATATTTGGATATTTGAGTAAATATCAAATTGGATTTACCGAATAAATATTAGATTTTGAAATAGTAAAACATTTATTTAGTTAATGTTTTCAGAATTTGCTTCTATCTAGAGCTATACCTGGAAAGTAACATGGAGAATAGCTTGGATTCTGTGTAGGTTCACAGCAGAGAATTAAAGCTTGCATTCTAAGTATATCTAATTGAATTCTGCAGTCCTCCCCATCTCTGTCCTGGCACTAGAGAACATTCCCAGAACAGATGTGCATCTTGAAGCAGATTTTATTTTACACTGACTCATTAGTTTTTGGAGAGCCTGCGTCTTGTTCAACATTGACTAGGCACTGTAGTAGGGTAGTCTTGGGGATTCCTAACAAAAATAAATAGTAACATGATCATAAAGACACAGGATTTTAAGCTTGATATTGGCAAGAAGAAACTATTATAGAACAGTGACATGATGAAAATAACACATTATTCTTTTAAAGTTAGAAGGACTTCTAATTCTATAGCCCAATTCCTTCCTTTTTTTTAGAGACCCTGAAGAGACTGAGTGGCATTAGAATGGCAGTATTGTTCAGAATGGATTCAAAGATGTGGACAAAGAGACCAGTTTAGATGACTTTTACAGTAATTTAGCTCTGAGATGAGAGAATTGTTTGACTTAGGTAATGGCATTCAGAATGAAGACCTTAAAGTGAAACCAAAAGACATATTGAAGAAAGAAATGATAGGGTTATCCATTTCCATGACAAATGGAAGATTTGGGGAAGGAAGGGAAAAAGGGTGAAAGAGAACTGCATTCCGTACTTTAGGGTTTGCAGTAGGTTACTGATGTTCTGCATTTTCCAGAATTAGAGTTCTTTCAGGACATGTTTCCCTATTCATATACTGAGTGTTTTCTCTACTATAATGAGTATATATGTCTGTTTTCTTTAGTAAATTTGAGTAGGTAGTTTAAAATGAATTTTTTCACTTATTTTTTTCCCCAAATTTCATTAATTTGTTTTTTCTTTTTTCTCGGAATCACACATTCCATGCTGTTTTGCACTCCTTTTTGCCGTCTCTCTAGGAAGTAGATTTATGACCTTCAGCGTTCTGAAAAGCAGTATGGTAACATAGAAAGGGCAAAGGCTTTGGTATCAGACAGACCTGGGTTCCACTGTTACTATTATTTGCTTCATATTCTTAACAGGTTACTGAATCTGTGAGTTTAGTTTCTTCATCCCTAAAATGGTATCGTTATGCTTATGTACGAGATTGTTAAGAGAAAATGTAATACTCTATTTCAGGCCTGACCTGTAACCTTCAATGATTGCTTATTCCTTGACATTTGTGTCACCACAAGGACTCTAAAGAAAACTAGTATGCATGGGGGGTTGTAATTGCCTCTTTTAAATCAACAAGAAGAGGTCACTAGAAGATTGTATAAGCCTCGCTGTTTTTTATAGGTATGAATTCTGTTTTGTAAAGAGGCAGTCCCCAATGGAAAAAAGTCAAATTATTCACAATTTGCATTGTTTTCCTTGCTCCCCTCCCCCATTTTCTTTCATCTTCAATTTCTTCACTCTAGACTAGGCCTTCTCAAACTTAAATGTACACACATATCACTTGGAAATTTTGTTAAAATGCAGATTCTGACTCAAGATGTCTCAGGTGGAGCCTTAGATTCATATTTCTAACAAGCTTTTAGGTGATGCCATTGCTGTCGTTCCTTGAGTCATACTTTGAGTAGCAAGTTTCTAGTGGCTTTTGACACCTAAACCCATCCAATGGCTATTACATCACCAGATAGCACCCTGCTTTTCTCCCTGTTGTGTGATAGTGGTGGTCGATATACTGTGAGCTCCTTTGTACCTCAGTGTCATTTGTGAGTCTGTTGAAGCTACCACTGGTTATTCTGTTTCTAGGGCTACTGTATCATCTAAGGTGACTTTTCTCCTTGCCTAACCCATCTTCCTCATCCCTAGGCAACCACTAAGCTACTTTGTGTCTCCATGGATTTATCTATTGTGGATATTTTATATAAAAGGAATCACACAATATACAGCCTTTGTGACTAGATTGTTTCACTTCCCATAATGTGTTTCAAGGCTTATTCATATGGTAGCATGTATCAGTACTTCATTTCTTTTCATTGCCAAATAATATTTCATTGTAAGGACATATGCCGCATTGTATTTAACAGTTCATCAGTTGATGGACATTTGGGTTGTTTCTACTTTTTGGCTGTTACGAACAATGCTTCTATAAACCAACATCTAAGTTTTGTGTAAAAATACGTTTTAATTCCTCTAACGAGTTAAATTGCTAGGTCATATGGTACCTTTTTAATTTTTTTGAAGAAGTGCCAAACTGCTGTCTAGTGCACTGCACCATTTTACTTTCCCGCCAGCAATGTTTGTGGGTTTCAGTTTTTAGCCAGTCTAGTGGGTGTGAAATGGTATTTTGGTTCTGCCTTTTTTTTTTTTTTAAGACGGAGCCTCGCTGTCTTGTGCAGGCTGGAGTGCAGTGGTGCAGTTTCGGCTCACTGCAACCTCTGCCTCCCGGGTTCAAACGATTCTTCTGCCTCAGCCTCCTGGGTAGCTGGGATTACAGGCGCCTGCCACCACACCCGGCTAATTTTTTGTATTTTTAGTAGAGACGGCGTTTCACCACGTTGGCCAGGCTGGTCTCGAGCTCCTGACCTTGTGATCTGTCCGCTTCAGCCTCCCAAAGTGCTGGGATTACAGGCATGAGCCATCATGCCCAGCCCTACTTTTTTTATTGTACAAATTTGTATGGTGTCTTTTAATGTAACCAGAAATATGGTAAAAAGGAATTGAGCACTTTAACTTATCAGATATCTTATTTCCCATTCCTTTTCCCAGTTTGTAGAATGTATTTGCAGCTATGCCATATATATATATATATATATATATATATATATATATATGTGTGTGTGTGTGTGTGTGTGTGTGTGTGTGTGTATATATATATATAAAATTTTTTTTTTTTTTTTGAGAGAGAGGTGGTCTCAAATTCCTGGGCAAAGCAGTCCTCCCACCTCAGCCTCCTTAAGTGCTGGGATTACAGGTGTGAGCCACTGCTCCTGGCCAAGTATGCCATATTTTTGTAATAAGTATATTCTAATAAAATTTTATGTAGAATCACATTTTGGTTCTGTTGAGCAAATCATTTAAACAACTTTATGTGAGTTCATTTATAACTCACAATTAAACTAAAAATGATTTAATGAGTTTAGGGTTCTTCAAGTAGGAGAAATATGTATAAATTGGTGGTTACTAAATGCCTTTATTGCTCTTATCATTTAGAATCTTCAAATTGGAATGAAAATGTCCTCCTCGGTGTTATTTCTTCTGTGTGGCACTCATCAAATTAAAACAGGAGGGGAGTGTGGTGGGGAGGGAGTAGTGAAAGCAGCATATAATTCATAACCAAGATTGGAAAGCTGGGTTTAAATGGAAGTTTGTCTTTTCTATGGAGGGGTACAACTTGGGAGGAGGGGTAAGTTGGTTGACTTATCAGAACTTCAATTTTCTCATTTCTAAACAATGAAAATGGTACCTCATGGGATTATTATGAGGATTAAGTAGGTAAACATATTTAGAACCTCAGTGTGGTTCCTGACATGTGCTCGGTATAAATAAAAATTTTTTATCTCTCTTCTGGTTGCATCTCATAAGCACTACACAAACTATACTGATGGTTCTAGTGTTAATGATAGTAAATATGAGGCACAATACAATGTTTGAGGCTATTACTCTAAAGACCATTAACAAGAAGTTAAATTATATTTATAACAAGCACACACAAATATACATACACTTATAAATACACACTTTTTAAAATTTCCTATTTTAAGGTAGAGGAGGCTCTTAACAAGGTTTAGAAACTTAGATGCTAGAAAAGACATACTTATTTGACTGTGTCAAATTTAAAAAGTGACCATAGGCCGAGCACAGTGGCTTATGCCTGTAATCTCAGCACTTTGGGAGGCCAAGGCAAGAGAATTGCTAGAGTCCAGGAGTTAGAGACGAGCTTGGGCAACATGGAAAGACCTTGCCTTTACAAAAAATAAAAAAATTAGCCGGGTGTATTGGTGTATGCCTGTGGTCCCAGCTACTTGGGAGGCTGGGATAGGAGGATTGCTTGAGCCCAGGATGTCAAGGGTACTAGTGGGCCAGCCTGGGTGACAGAGTGAGCTCGTGTCTCAAAAATAAATAAAGAAGACTATAAACAAAATAGATATTTGAAAAAATATTGCAAAATGGAAAATGAGGCAGAGAATTAATTTCAGTAACAAAGGACTGATACAAACTGACCAGAAGGAGAAAAAACAAAACAATTGAGAAATAAAGCTAAATAATATGAATAAAAAATTCACATAAGAACACATCTGGGTAGCCAAAAAATGTATGAATAAATGCTCAAACTCACTTATAGATAGGAAATGCAAATTAAAGTAGCAATGAAGGCCAGGCACGGTGGCTCATGCCTGTAATCCTAGCACTTTGGAAGGCCAAGGCGGGTGGATCACTTGAACCCAGAAGTTCGAGACCAGCCTGGGCAACGTGGGGAAACCCTGTCTCTACCAAAAATACAAAAATTTGCCTGACAAAAATGAAAAAAATCTGTAATATATATTACTGCCAGGCTCATTCAGTACTAGGGGATATGTGAATTGGTAGAGCCTTTTTGAAAACCAGTCATACAGTGTCTTTTAATATTCAAATATATATACCCATTAGCCCTGTAGGGCCACTCTTGAGAATAAGAAAAAAGCACCTACCAGTAAGGATATATATTCAAGGATGTTTACAAGATCATTATTTCTAGTGGGAAAAAAAAACCCAAAACTTAAAAAAAGAAAAAAACTGAAAATAAATGTTGACTGAGTTGAATAGATTGACACCATGGCGTAGTTTGCAACCATTAAGAAGCATTAATTAGAGATATACCAGCTGATTTTTAGGGATTTCCTTTAGGTACTATGGAATGAGAAAACTAATAGGCAGAAGAGCCTATAAAATAATATTTGATAAAACAATGACATTCCCCCTTATTTCTATGTGTCTTTGTAACTGAGTAAGCATGGATAAATTTGTGGAAGAATAATAATGCAGGGTAGAGTGAATAAAGCAAAACATTAGGAAAAGTGTATGTGGTGTGATCACATTTATGCATTTATATATTACATGTGAATGTGTATGTAAAAATGAAAACTATATAGAAAGCAAATGTTCTTCTATATTTGTTACTACAACAGATGGCCATAATTTGGTTTTGAGGAAAAAAAACTAAAAATTTGACATTTGGGACCTCGGTTATGATAAAAGTTCCATAATTCACACTCAGGGAAGAACATCTTTCATGTTAAAAATTGATACAGGATATTGCGAATAAACAACAAATAGGAAATTTTGAAAGTTTTTTTCAAGAACTTGAGTGTTTATTTTAGTTTTCCATAATACAGCTTTGTCTTATATTTTAGGAAGCCACAGATGATGGACATAACAACAACCTTCTTCCTCAGATTATTCAGTGTTTTGCATGTCCAAATTGCTTCCTTCTTTTTAGCAGAAAGGAGGAGTGTTCAAAGCATATGTCTGGAAAGAATCATTTCCATCAGAGTTTCAAACTGGGTGGTATGTTAATACTCTCTTCTGCTGAAAATTAAACTACTTGAATCTTTGCTGATTTATCATACTTCTCAGATCATTCTTGAGATTACATATCCTCATCTTAGTTTTAGAACTATGAAAGTAAAAGATTATCTCAATTCCTACTTAAAAACAAAGATTCTTAATATTTATTTGTACGTATGAGTAAGGCTTACTAACTTTGAAGACTGAAGAAATCCTGGGAAGCAAATATTTATTCAGGATAATGTTATGTTATATCATGATATCTTGGAAGTTTTCTGTTTCTCGGCATTTAAGACTCAAATTTTAATTTGAGTATAAGTAAGGCATTCTTTGTATTTAAGGCTAGAAAGTGGCTTCCCTTAGATTTTTATTGCCAAAATAACTGTCTTCTTTTACTTACTCCAACTAATGTTGAGAAGGGCTGAGGGGAGGAAGGTTGGGTTACTCTGTACTCAAATAACTTTGCAAATTATAGTTTATTTTGTCTTTCAGATAACAAAGGAATTGCACATCCAATATCTTTCCCATCTTTTGCAAAGAAACTTTTGATCTCTCTGTGCAAAGATGTTCCCTTTCAAGTTAAGTGTGTGGCCTGCCACAAGACACTGCGTTCCCACATGGAGCTCACTGCCCATTTCAGGTTTGTATTGGTCTGGAGCTGTAAAGGAATACGGATGAGTGTTTGCCAGTGAGAAGATTCAACAAATACATTTTCTTTCCATGTTTCTCTCCTTTTAAAATGAGAATATACAGTTGCCTGGAAATTAGCCAAATTTAACATAGTGAGAGAAGTTAGAGTTGTGGAAAACGTGGATATATTGATATTCTGCAAGTGTAAAGCAAGCTAACAGTTCTAAGTTTTGTGTATGTTCTTCTGTGTGTGTTCTGTAAGTATGAGTAGGAGAGGAAAGGGTTAAAGTAGAACCTTGGCTTTAAGTCAACCAGAATGGAAAGTATCATATACATTTGAAAGATTAAATCTCAATGAAAGGCCAAATTTATCAAGTAACCAAGAAAGAGTCCAGTATGATTTGTGATTGCCATAGTATCTGTGAGATTTATCTATATTGTTTAGTACATTGTTCCTTCTTATTGGTAAGTAGTATTGTGTGAATATAGCACAATTTGTTGATCCATTCCCTTGTTGATAGATAGTTGGGTTGTTTACAATTTATAGCTTTTATGAATAAAGCTGCTTTGAATACTTTGCACAGGTCTTTTCATGGTCATATGTTTTCATTTCTCTTGGATGGACATTGAAAAGTGGAATTGTTGGTTCAGAAGTAGGTTTATATTTAACTTTATGAGAACCTACTAAATATCCAAAGTTGGTCGTATTAGTTTCATTCCTACAGGTAAGGTATGAAAGTTCTAGTTACTCTTCACCCTTGCTAACATTTGATATTGCCACTCTTTTTCATTTTAGCTATTCTTGTGTCTCATTTTAGTTTATTATGTGCATTTTCTTGATAAACAATGATGTTGGGCACTTTCTTGTGTTTATGGGCTATTTGTTTATCTTTGTGAAATCTCTGTTCAAGTCTTTTGCCAGTCTTCAAAATTGGATTGTTTGCCTTCTTAATAGTGAGTTGGGGTTCTTTATATATTCTAGATACAAATCTTTTGTCAGATTCGTATCTAGAATACAGGAATTTCTAGAATATACAAATATTTATGAGTATATTTTCCTGTGATTTTGCATATTCATATTTTTAATTATACCTTTTGATGAACAGAAGCTTTTCTTTGCATTAGGTGTATAATTTGTTGATTATTTTCTTCTTTTATGGTTATGCTTTCTGTGTCCTGAGAAACCCTTGCCTCTTCTTGCTTAAAGAATGTATTTTATTTCCCTAAATTCAGCTTTGATATTTTTAAATATTTATGTTTATTTCTATAATCTATTTCAAATTTTTGTTGATTTTTACAACAACCATTGTCTGGTTTCCCTGGCAATTCTCTGTTGTTTGCCCATTTTCTAGTTCATTGATTTCTGCTCTTTAAACTTTGAGTTTAATTTGCTTATCTTTGTCTAGCTCTTAAAGGTAGAAGTTTAGATTGACTTTGGATCTTTGTTTTCAATATAAACATTTAAAAATATAAATTTCCCACTAAGCACTGCTTTACCTGCATGCCACAGATGTTGATAAGTTGTGTTTTCATTTTTATTCAGTTAAAAATACGTATCTCTTTTTTCCTCATTTAACCATAGAGTTACCATATGATCCAGCAATTTCTGCTTGTTGACAGCCAAGAGCAAAGTGAACTTGCTCTTGTTCACAAATACTTGTATGTTTGTTTATAGCAGCATTATTCATAATAGTAAAAAAATGGGAACATCCCAAATGTCTATCAGCTGACAAATGGATTTTTTTAACTGGACATATCCATACAAGGGAATATTATTTGGCCATGAAAAGGATTGAAATCCTGATTACATGTTACAACCTCAATGAACTTTGAAAACATTATGCTAAATGAAATAAGCTAGTCACAAAAAGTCCATTTATATGATTCCATTCACATGAAATTCCAGAATAGGGAAATCTGTAGACACAGAAAGTAGTTGCTTAGGGTTCAGTGGTTGCTTGGAGTTGGGGAGCATGGCGAAAAGGGAGGTGGGGAGGTGATAGCTAAAGGGCATGGGTTTTCTTTTTGACATAACACAATGTTCTAAAATTAACTATTGATGGTTGCACATATCTTTATGTGAAAAATAGTTGAAATTATATACCCTAAATGGATGAATTATATGGTATATGAATTATGAATTATATCCTTTTTTTTTTTTTTTTTTTTTTTAAAGATAGGGTCTCTGTCTGTCACCTAGGCTGGAGTGCAATGGTGCAATCTCGGCTCACTGCAACCTCCACCTCCCAAGTTCAAGTGATTCTCGTGCCTCAGCCTCCCAAGTACCTGGGACTATAGGTGTGTGCCACCATACCTGGCTGAGTTTTGTATTTTTTGTAGAGACGGGGTTTCACCATGTTGGCCAGGATGGTCTTGAACTCCTGACCTCAAGTGATCTGTCCGCCTCAGCCTCCCAAAGTGCTGGGATTACAGGCATGTGCCACCGCGCCTAGCCGTGAATTATATCTCAATAAAGCTGTTTAAAAATGTTTTGGAAAAATGTTATCTTTGCCCTTTTGATTTATTGTTTGACCTATAGGTTTATTAGAAATGTGTTGCTTGGCTGGGCGTGGTGGCTCACACCTGTAATCCTAACACTTTGGGAGGCTTAGGCAGGTGGATTGCCTGAGCTCAGGAGTTCGAGACCAGCCTGGCTAACATGGCGAAACCCCATCTCTACTAAAAATACAAAAAATTAACCGGGTGTGGTGGTGAGCGCCTGTAATCCCAGCTACTTGGTGGCTGAGGCAAGAGAATCGCTTGAACCTGGGAGGCAGAGGTTGCAGTGATCCAAGATTGTGCCACTGCACTCCAGCCTGGGTGACAGAAGGATTTTCTGTCTCCAAACACACAAAAAAGATATGTGTGGCTTAACTTCTAAAGGTTTATAGATGTTACATTTAGGTATTTAATTTATAAACATTTAGGGATTTGTATTATTTTTTGTTTCCAATTTAATTCCACAATAATTAGAGAACATATTTTGTACAGTTTTTTTCTTTTGAAATATATTAAATGTATAAAATGGTAGCAGGTCTGTTCTCTCTGGAGTTTAGTAGTGAAGACACAGTTGTTCTATTTTTTTATTTTCCTAGGGAAGTTGATTTATTTTGAGTTAATTTGTGGAATAGTATGTGGTTTTATTGAGCCTAGTTCTTCAGTGCAAAAGCAACTAGGGGCATGACATTTGTCTGACATAAAATTAATCAGTTCTTTATTTTTATTTCTTATAGATTCAGGGGGTACGAGTGCAGTTTTGTTACATGGGTATATTGTGAAGCTCAGATATCTGGGCTTTTAATGTCACTATCATCCAAATAGTGAACATTGTACCCAATAGGTTATTTTCCAACCCTCACCCATTTCCCAACCTCCCACCTTTTGGAGTTTTCAATATCTGTTTATTATTCCACTCTATATGTCCACGTGTACCCATTGTTTAACTCCCACTTAGAAATGAAAATTTGCAGTATTTGACATTCTGAGTTATTTCACTTAGGATAATGGCCTCCAGTTCCATACATGTTGCTTCAAAAGGCATGATTTCATTCTTTTTTATGACTCAGTAGTATTCCATGGTATATATACCATATTTTCTTTATTCAATAATCCATTGATGGACACTTAGGTTGATTCCATTCATTATCGCTATTGTCAATAGTGCTGCGGTAAATGTACAAGTGTAGGTGTCTTTTTGATATAATGCTTACTTTTTCTTAAGGTAGATACCAGTAGTGGGACTGCTGGATCAAAGGGCGGTTCTATTTTTAGTTTTTTAAGAAAGCTCCATATTGTTTTCCATAGAGGTTGTACTAATTTACATTTCCATCAACAGTGTATAAGTGTTCCCTTTTCTCTGTATCCTTGCCAACATCAGTTGTTTTTTGACTTTTTAATAACAGCCATTTTGACTGGTGTAAGATGGTATCGCATTGTTTTAATTTGAAGTTCTCTGATGATTAGTAATGTTGAGTATTTATGGGCCAGTTGTATGTCTTCTTTTGAAAAATGTCTGTTCATGTCCTTTGCCCACTTCTTAATGGGATTATTTGTGGATTTTTTTCTTGTTAAGTTCCTAGTAGATTCTGAATATTAGTCCTTTGTCAGATGCATAGTTTGCAGATATTTTCTCCCATTCTGTAAGTTGTCTGTTTATTCTCTTGATTATTTCTTTTGCTATGCTTAAGCTTTTAAGTCCCATTTGTCTATTTTAGGGCTTTGTTGCATTTGCTTTTGAGGACTTAGTCATAAATTTTTTGCCTAGGCCATTGTCCGGAAGGGGTTTTCCTAGGTTTTCTTCTAGAATTTTTATAGTTTCAGGTCTTAGCCTTTAATCCATCTTGAGTTATTTTTTGTATATGATGAAAGATATGGGTTCAGTTTTATTCTTCTGCATATGGCTGTCAAGTTTTATCAGCACCATTTATTAAATAGGGTGTCCTTTCCCCAGTGTCTATTTTTGTCAATTTCATCAAAGATCAGTAGTTTGTAGGTATGTGGCTTTATTGCTGGGTTCTCTATTCTGTTCCATTGATCTGTGTGTCTGTTTTTATACCAGTACATGTTGTTTTGGTTACCATAGCCTTATAGTATCAACATTAATCAGTTATTAAAGAATAGGAACTGGGTTGTCTAGAATCTTAACCATAGTGTTCTTACATACAGTTTAATTACCATGGAGAGTCTAATAATTTGCCTGTTCAATAAGGTCCTCTGTCAGTGCTTTTGATACAGATTTTAGTTTTCTAAAATTTGCCTGAATTTAAAAAATTTTGAATCTAGTTTTAGCCTTTTGTATTTTAACTAGAAATAGATAAAGTGCAGATAATACTCAAGTATTTTGAGATGATAGAACATCATTATGTCATTTGCATCTTTATTGAAAAGTATCTTTTAGTGCTTATTTATACGTTGGTTATTTTATAATTCCTGCAATAAAATGCAGCAATGGTATATTTAGAAAATACTTCTGAAAGACTTTCTATTTCTTTTTATCTAATTTAGAGTTCATTGTCGAAATGCTGGACCTGTAGCTGTAGCTGAGAAGAGCATTACCCAGGTTGCAGAGAAATTCATATTAAGAGGTTATTGTCCAGATTGCAATCAAGTCTTTGTGGATGAAACCAGCACCCAAAATCATAAGCAGAATTCAGGACACAAAGTCCGAGTCATTAACTCAGTGGAAGAATCAGTCTTACTCTATTGCCACAGCAGCGAAGGGAACAAGGATCCTTCTTCTGACTTGCATTTATTGTTGGATCAATCAAAATTTTCATCACTTAAAAGAACCATGTCTATTAAAGAATCTAGCTCACTGGAGTGCATTGCCATTCCAAAAAAGAAGATGAATTTAAAAGATAAAAGCCATGAAGGTGTTGCTTGTGTCCAGAAAGAAAAATCAGTAGTTAAAACCTGGTTCTGTGAATGCAATCAGCGATTCCCAAGTGAAGATGCAGTAGAAAAGCATGTTTTCTCAGCAAACACAATGGGTTATAAATGTGTGGTCTGTGGAAAGGTATGTGATGATTCAGGGGTCATTCGTTTACACATGAGCCGGATTCACGGAGGGGCACATTTAAATAACTTTCTTTTCTGGTGTCGGACATGCAAAAAGGAGTTAACAAGGAAAGATACTATCATGGCACATGTGACTGAATTTCATAATGGACACAGATATTTTTATGAGATGGATGAGGTAGAAGGTGAAACTTTGCCATCATCCTCTACAACATTGGATAATTTGACTGCTAACAAGCCTTCATCAGCTATTACTGTTATTGATCATTCCCCGGCAAATAGTTCTCCGAGGGGTAAATGGCAATGCCGGATTTGTGAAGATATGTTTGATTCCCAGGAATATGTAAAACAGCACTGCATGTCTTTGGCAAGCCACAAGTTTCATAGATACAGCTGTGCTCACTGCAGAAAGCCTTTTCATAAGATAGAAACATTGTACCGACATTGCCAAGATGAGCATGACAATGAGATAAAGATTAAATACTTCTGTGGGCTTTGTGATCTTATCTTTAATGTGGAAGAAGCATTTCTGAGTCATTATGAGGAGCACCACAGCATAGATTATGTATTTGTGTCAGAAAAAACTGAAACTTCAATTAAAACCGAAGATGATTTTCCAGTAATAGAGACCAGTAACCAGTTAACTTGTGGTTGCCGTGAGAGTTACATCTGTAAAGTCAACAGAAAAGAAGATTATAGCAGATGTCTCCAAATCATGCTGGATAAAGGAAAACTGTGGTTTCGCTGCAGTTTATGTTCGGCAACAGCACAGAATTTAACCGACATGAACACTCATATCCATCAAGTGCACAAAGAAAAGAGTGATGAGGAGGAGCAGCAGTATGTAATCAAGTGTGGCACCTGCACCAAAGCATTTCATGATCCTGAGAGTGCACAGCAGCATTTCCATAGAAAACATTGCTTCTTACAGAAACCCAGTGTGGCTCATTTTGGATCTGAAAAATCAAACCTGTACAAGTTTACTGCTAGTGCCTCACATACAGAGAGAAAACTGAAACAGGCAATAAACTATTCAAAAAGTTTAGACATGGAGAAAGGAGTTGAGAATGACCTAAGCTATCAGAATATAGGTATGGCTTTATAGCTCTATGCAAATTTCATATACTGATATTGAAACTTACAATGTACCCACCTCGATTCAATTTTGAAGCAAGAAACAGGGTAACTTCTTGATGGTATGTTAATTATTATGGTATATACATTTTAGGGGTTTGTATTCCTACTACTACATTTATCCACTTTCTAAACTTACGAGGACAGAGTATATGTTGGCTTTAAATAATATATATTTTAGATATCATTTTATTTTACAAAAGGTGTGGAGATTTTGAAGATGAAGGAAGTTGATAGTTTTTCTGAAAGTTAGATTTCAAAGTTATCCTAGTATTAATATCATTTAGATTTTTCTTGTAATATTTGGGTTAACTAAAAAGATAAATCACGTGAATTCTTTTTGTTTCTATTTGGCCATATTCTTTAGTGTGAGACATTTTAAAGGTCATTTCAGCATTTGTATATTTTTGTTATGATTAACTTGGAAGAAAAGCTTTAACATACAATTAAAATAGCAATTAGAAGTAGAGTTAAAGTGGTAGCAGGAAACCAGGGGGAAAATTGAAATATGAATTCCTTGTTTGTACTTACTCCAGACTTTCTTTCTTCCATATGATAGGATTAAGTAAGTCTAGGCAGGTGTTATGTTTTTATTTTGTTTAGAAGTATAATTTGTTTTGTTTAGAAGTATAATTTGTTTTTGTTTAGAGTATAATTTTAAGTGTATCTTCTTTTATTTGTAAAATTTTTTTGAGATGGGATTTTACTATGTTGCCCAGGCTGGTTTTGAACTCCTGGCCTTAAGCAATCCTCCTGTTTTAGCCTCCCCAAGTGTTGGGATTACAGGTGTGAGCCACCACACCTGACTTAAGTCTATATTCTTTTAAATAAATACTAATTCTTGGTGAGTTATACAATGTAGCATATTTGGGTACAGTGAGAATATGTGAAAATTTTGGCCAGTAATGTATTTTTATGAACTATTGAATTTTTAGAGTCTTGCTCTATACCATATGTAGATTTCAACATCACCTTTAGTCATGGCATGTTTTCAGTGGTAAAGAATTAAATCATGAGCTACCTAGTCAACTCTAAACAGTGAAACACTGGTTACACCATTTTATGTTAGGCCTTTCTTTTGCGCTTCTGTTTACTTTTTTTTTGGAATTTGTGTTAGTCTGTGTTTGATAGAAAATGCAATACCTAAATCTAGAATTACCGAGAAGTTAGAGAAAAGACGTAAGGTGGCTTGGAAATGGAAGGGAATGGCAGTAGTATATTTGAAGGAACTATTAGAATAGAAACTATTCATTTTTTAAATAATATAACATTTTAAAGTTTGCATTGTTACCACAGGAAACTTTAAGGCCTTGTCAAAGTGGAAAAGTATGAAACAAGATAAAGGGGAGGGAGAATGAGAGTTGGGGCATGGGGGAAGGTGAAAGAAGAATCTGAGAGAACCAAGAAGATGTGTTTATAGGGGGAGGTGTCTCTGTACCACTGGCACATATTTCTAGCACTGCTTTATGGCAGCAGGATTCTAGGTTATCTTATTTCTGCTCTCTAGGGTGTTTAATCCTAGAACTAGAGGGCTACTAATAAATCAGTCCAGACTGGGAAAAGAACCAAATTCTGGTGGTGAAAATGTTCTTAATAGGTAACCTTGGAATTTTATATGGGTGGTATTAGTTTTTGCTTATTTAACCTTAAAACTTGGTTTTCTAGTTCTTCTAGTACATTAATTTTTTAAAAAAATTCCTTGTATAAGTGACTTTTTAACAAGCTTTAGAGTTGTTGGAAGAAAATGTTTGCAAGAAGGATATATAACCAAAATTGGTGAAATGTTCAGATTATTTTTATCTGATTTAAGTGTAAATGGTGTCATGTACAGATTTGGATTTCACAAAAAGGTTTAGATAGAAATGAGTAACATTCAAGGTTAGTATTTTTGCATATTAGGCTTCTAATACTTTTTGGACTTGAAATCAGAATGATTTTAGCAAATTCTTACTGAACTCATGTTGATATTTCTCTCTTCTCAGAGGAAGAAATTGTTGAGCTTCCAGATTTGGATTACCTGCGAACCATGACTCATATAGTCTTTGTAGATTTTGATAACTGGTCAAACTTTTTTGGTCATCTACCAGGGCATCTAAACCAAGGAACATTTATTTGGGGCTTTCAAGGTACGGTTAATAAGAAAAACAAAAGAAAACTTTTTCCCACCTCTTAGAATATAGTTCAGTTTAAAAGGCTCCTCTTAAACCTTCCTGGATAGAACATAGGAACATAATTGGAATATTGTTCTTTTGTATTATAGTTACTCTGCTAGAATCGTTTTCTTTACATGCCTCTGTGGTAAATGTTAGCTCTATCTGGTGACTCAAAGTTTATGGATCTTTTGGCCGGGCGCGGTGGCTCACGTCTGTAATCCCAGAACTTTGGAAGGCTGAGGCGGACGGATCACGAGGTCAGAAGATCGAGACCATCCTGGCTAACATGGTGAAACCCCGTCTCTACTAAAAAGAAAAAAAAAATACAAAAAATTAGCTGGGCGTGGTGGCGGGCCCCTGTAGTCCCAGCTCCTTGGGAGGCTGAGGCAGGAGAATGGTGTGAACCCAGGAGGCGAAGCTTGCAGTGAGCTGAGATCGCACCACTGCTCTCCAGCCTGGGCAACAGAGTGAGACTCTGTCTTAAAAAAAAAAAAAAAAAAAAAAAAAAGTTTATGGATCTTTTGATACAGATTGAAAAAGCCTTTATTCAACACCTAAAATGTGTCAGGTGCTTTGGCTTTGTACTAACATGGTTACTGATTATTATGGTTTTATCCCTTTTAAAATACAAAGAAGCAGATGTTTTGTTTTTGTTTTTGTTTTTTTTCCCTCAAAGTTTTAAAACTAATAAATAGCAGAATTATTTGGCCTCTCAGCTATAGGACTAATGTTATTTTCAACATGCCATAACTGCCTCTTCGGTTCATCCTTGCTGTTCTTAAGTGTTCAGCTTCATCTAAACCTCTTTACAAATTGTTGACCAAACTTGGGGGAGAGGCTTCTTTGGTTTACAGAGAATCTGCTATTGTTTGTGTTTGATAGGAAATAGCATGTAAAGAGAAAGATTGGGATTAAAGATAGAAACATACTGACCTGGATAAGTTAGCCAGTATAATTGCTTTAGTAAGTTGAGCTTTGGTGATTGCCCATCATTTCTGCATTGAACGGTGGTGACATCTGTAAAAACCACTTATGCTTACACTTATAGAATAATGCCATTCAAAGAATTTTTACACACATTGCTTTTGATTTTGCCTAATATCCATGTGAGTTTTAAGATGAGTTGACAGATTCAGGGAAGTTGGTCCACTTTCTCAAGACTTTAAAGCAACAAGATGTTGATGCTTATGCTAGGATGGAGTTCTTCCACATTCTGATCTAGTACTTTGCCTCTAGAAAAATTTTTTTCTAGTATGTGTTTTTTCTTGATAAAATTTTTGGCCTTTCCTCTCCTGTTTGATTATCATTTTTGCCTTTTCTAAAATTAATAGGAGGAAACACCAATTGGAAGCCTCCGCTCAACTGTAAGATTTATAACTACCTGAACAGGATTGGATGCTTCTTCCTTCATCCTCGCTGTAGTAAAAGAAAAGATGCTGCTGATTTTGCCATATGTATGCATGTGAGTCATTGTTTTATTCAAAATCTAATGTGAATCTCAGACCCACTTGCATTTTTTTCCCCACTTGAATTGTAATGAGACTTATAGATCATTCTTCAGTACTTCAGGTTCTACCTATGACTATTATGAAGGCAGGACCCCATAGCATATTTTTATTGCTTTATCCTCAACTTCTAGCAAACCTTCAGCTATCCATAGTAGACCCTCAACTATTTGTGGGATAAATGATCAAGAGCTGATACTGTTTTTTGGGTTTGTTTTTGAGACAGTCTCGCTCTGTCACCCAGGCTGGAGTGCAGTGGCGCAGTCTCGGCTCACTGCAACCTCAGCCCCCTGGGCTGAAATGGTTCTTGTGCCTCAGCCTCCCAAGTAGCTGGGACTACAGGAGCATACCACCATGCCCAGCTAATACTTGTATTTTTAGTAGAGACGGGGTTTCTCCATGTTAGCCAGGCTGGTCTCAAACTCCTGGCCTCAAGTGATCTGCCCGCCTAGGCCTCCCAAAGTGCTGGGATTACAGGTGTGAGCCACTGCGCCCTGCTGATGATACTGTATTTGATATATATTAAGACACTTTCATATTTTAATATCTCTAAAATTAAGAGGTACCTTAACAATCACTGTTGGCCTAGACAGAATTTGCATTTGCTTCTGTCTCTGCTGGGTACCTAGAGAAACTGCCAAACTGAGACCCACTTTAAATTTTCTGCTTGGGGACTTACATGTCACACTGATAATGTGAATTTACTCTGCAAACTTGTTGACTGCAGCTTATGGTTTAAACAACAAAAGATTTCTTTTTCAGTCTATCTAATGCCAAGATTGAATCATGCAAATTGCCTTGCTTACCTTTTCTCTATGGCAGATTTATTTCTTATTTACCCTTATATTGAGCGTATAGCCCTTTGGCATTTCAACCTTATGTGAGGTCTGTTGGACTTCCATTTTGGCTTTTTCTTTTCATGGCACATTAAATAGCTTATATAATTTAATGGCATCTTATATTTGATTAAATGTGGGGTATTTCATTTATGAACGAGTTCTTTCTTTCTCTCTTTTTTTTTTTTTCCTTTTTGAGACGGAGTGTCACTCTGTCGCCCAGGCTGGAGTGCA
Source organism: Homo sapiens (assembly GCF_000001405.40). Lineage (NCBI taxonomy): Eukaryota > Metazoa > Chordata > Mammalia > Primates > Hominidae > Homo > Homo sapiens. The sequence continues at coordinate 57,153,465 of NC_000006.12, forward strand.
GTGGCGCGATCTTGGCTGCAACTTCTGCCTCCCGAGTTCAAGTGATTCTCCAGCCTCAGCCTGGAGAATCCCGAGTAGTTGGGATTACAAGCGCATGCCACCACACCCAGCTAATTTTTGCATTTTTTAATAGAGACCGCGTTTCACCATGTTGGCCGGGCTGGTCTCGAACTCCTGACCTCAAGCGATCCACCTGCTTTAGCCTCCCAAAGTGTTGGGATTACAGGCGTGAGCCACTGCACCCAGCTGAAGGAGATCTTTATGTCATACTTTGGTAGGGACTAGGGAACAAGCTTAATATACCTTCCTAGGCATGTGTTCATTCTGAAATAGATGTAACTTGTTTTGAAACTCATGCTGATTTTTTATCAACCTGTGCCATTTGTTCTAACTTAGGCTGGCCGTCTAGATGAACAACTACCCAAGCAAATTCCTTTCACCATCCTCTCAGGAGATCAAGGTTTTCTGGAGCTAGAGAATCAATTTAAGAAGACTCAGAGGCCAGCTCATATACTAAACCCTCACCACTTAGAGGGAGATATGATGTGTGCCTTGTTAAATAGCATATCTGATACCACCAAAGGTACGCAGCTGCAGTCACAGTGCAAACCACCCAAGAGGAGGAGACTTCACTGCTGAGAGAAACCAATAAACTGCTGTCCGCTAGTGAACTGTTGCCTGCTTGCTAAACCATCATGTTCTCTTACTTCTATCTTACTTATCTTTTTTAAAAAAATCTCACTTTCATTCTTTAGTGTTTTAGAAGGAGGATGAATTCATAATAATTTTCTGGAGCTTTTTTTGATCTAGTAGATAAAATCTATATTGATGTATATAAAACATATATTCATGTGTTACAGTATGTTACTACAATTTTAAAAGCTCAGAATTCAGATCTTCACTTTGTTTCTGAAATTCCAAGTTGACCTTCAGTTTTTTAGAAAGCAGTGCGCTTAGAGGTGAAAACCAGAAAGCAATAACAAAGGTGATCATTTAAGAGGTTGACAGTGACAAAATAAAACGCTGATAGGCTTTTAGGTCCTTAGAGAAGTGGGTACATCCTATCTTATTGCTGGGACTTGCACTTTCTTCTGTACCTTTGTGAGATTGTTCAATGAAAGGAGTGCTGATACCCAATTTCACTTCCTAGTATATAAGAAAAGATGTAATTCTAAGGATTCAGAAGTTTTGTTTTTCGTTTTTCATAATTTCTGCAGTCAAATGCTCTACCACTGAGTTATAACCCCCTTTTTCATAATCTCTGAAGTAAAGAAATATGGATAGAATAATTAATGTTTAAATATCCTAATAATTTAAATTCATGAATAAGGTTTGAAGATATTAATGAATTACCTTAATGAAAAATAGTGGCTTTTTGGCATTTTTATTGTGTGCCTTTAAAGCTTTCAAGTCTGCTTGCCTCCTAGATTTTTTTTTTCTTTCAATATATTTGGAAGCACATTTTGATTGAAAACTCATTCTGGAGAATTTTGCTGTAATCACTGATTACAGTGGATCAATTCACTTCTGCAAAGTTAGGAATCAGTAATCTGTGCTCTTTATACTCTTTAAAGTGGAGTAATGATGGAAGATTATAAAAGAAAATGAACTCTTGTGTCTTTATGTCATGCCTTAGTTCTGAGTATTATCTTCCTATTCTGTAATTTTTGTTTTCACTTGTTTTTCTATCTGTGGCTTTCTTTTTTCTTAAAACAAAAAACAAAAAAACAAAAAAAACAGGCTGGGTGCAGTGGCTCACACCTGTAATCCCAGCACTTTGGGAGGCTGAGGTGGGTGGATCACCTGAGGTCAGAAGTTCAAGACCAGCCTGGTCAACATGGTGAAAACCCATCTCTACTAAATATACAAAAATTAGCTGGGCATGGTGGCGGTTGCCTGTAATCCCAGCTACTCGGGAGGCTGAGGCAGGAGAATCGCTTGAACCCAGGAGGCGGAGGTTGCAGTGAGCTGAGATTGCACCATTGCGCTCCAGCCTGGGCAATAAGACCAAAAACTTCGTCTCAAACAAAAAGCAAAACACCTCTTCTACTCTTTTGCCATCGCTTTCCCAGTTCTCAACATCTACTTAATATCCTATAAGATAAAGTTTTACCTTTGCCGCACAAGGCCAACCTCCCTTTCCTTCTCTTATGCTTCTGCTTTTGGGAACATTTCTTTTATAACTCCAAATGTGAAACCTGTTATGGTTTTGCAGAGGCAAAACCATATTCTGTTTGGAATGAGAGGTGAATACGAGTAGACTTGCATGGGTATATTACAGTTGGAGGTAAGATACAGGTTATTAATATCTGCTGATTATGCCCTTCCAAATGACTCTTATGTTCTAGGTATTCTTTTTTTTTTTTTTTTTTTTTAATCACTCATACTCAGTACTCATTTGAACTAACTACTCTCTGGAGGCACATGTGTACTTTATTCTTAGTTTTTGTGACATACAGAGATTGTGCACTGCATGAAGAAGGATATGGGCTTTGGTTCAAATGCTAACTTTGCTGTTTCCTAGCAGCGCGATTTCAGGCATGTTACTTAACTTTTTTGGAGCCTCATTTTTTTGTATTTATATGGTTGTAATAGTTAGTGATGTATGTAAAGTGTCTAGCACAGTATATAAAGCACTTTAGCTATTTAACAAATAATAGCTATTTTTTATTATTACTACCATAAAAAGAAAATGTGATTCCTAGCCACTACATTTTTAATGTTACACTGAATCATAGTATGTTCAGGCTTAGTTATCTGATTTAAGACCAAATTTTTTCTTCATGGAAGACTTAAAACCATCAAATTTCCTGTAGTGAACTTTATAAGGAATCAAAGAAAAATCATTTTCTTGGATAACTTTTATTCCATTTCCTTTCCTAACAAATAGCTTTGTGAATAGTTGAGTAATAGTTTCTATTAAGGAATGGTATTTAATGTATAATGGGACTCAATAAATCTCTCAATGTCCATTAATAATATAATTTTTGTTACTAAAGAATGCCAGATAACTCCTTGCACATAGCTAAACATGGTGTTCCTTCTTGTTTTCAGATTTGACAGCCAGTCAGTTTCTTAAGGCAATGTGGTTTTTGGGGTGAAGGGGTCACTGGACCTTTTTGAGAATCTGATGAAAACTTTCTATACCCTCCATCCCCCAAAATAAACATGTATGTACTACATTGCATACAATTTCAAGGGATTTGTGGTCTCAACGCTTCTAGATGCCAATCAACAAACAAAATTGTCCTTTGGGATGTAACCTAAGTTTATACTATAAGTCAACAGTCCCCAACCATTTTGGCACCAGGGACTGGTTTCATGGAAGACAATTTTTCCATGGATTGGGGGCAGGAGGTGGGGCATTAGATTCTCATAAGGAGCGTACAACCTAGATCCCTTGTACGTGCAGTTCACAATAGGGTTTGTGCTCCTATGAGAATCTAATGCCGCTGCTGATCTGACAGGAGGAGGAGCTTAGGTGGTAATGCTGGCTCACCTGCTGCTCACCTCCTGCTGTGCGGCCCAGTTCTTAACAGGCCACAGACTGGTACTGGTCCATGGCCCTGGGGTTGGGGACTCCTGCTATAAGTAACATACAGTGATAAGTTCTTTCATATTTGTTATTATATAGCCAGGCTAGTGATTTTTCAGATTTTTGAATTTTTCACCAGAGCATAGAGAAGTTGATACAAGTTTGAGTCTCTTATTCTTTATAAGTTTTCAGAAATTTACCATCAGCAGGACTAAAAAGTGGTTTTTATTAGACTAAAGATTGCTGTATAAATAGGAAGGATCTTTTGAATATTGTTATCAGAATCGATCATATGGTATCATACTAGGAGAAATTAGTCTTTGCTAATTTCTCTGTTAATTGAAAGTCTTTCCAGAGGTACTTATTTCAGTAAAAATACAGATATTTGGAGTTCCTGGTTCTGTATATCGGTGTCCAGTCATTTGTTCCTAAGGCATTGTTTTAGCATGGTGGGGAGGGGAAAGGTTAAGTAGCTTTATTACTGGTACATTTTTAGGTCTCTGACTTGGTTAGTTAGGGTAAAAGTTCTTTTCTCTACTTGTAAGCATCAGGGTTTCAACATGAGCATTTTAATTACGCTATGATATATGTATAAATTCTTGTAGAGACATTTAAAAAGTCTATTAACTTTAATTTCTGCCCCCACCTTGGTCTTCTTATCCTTCATCATTTCTATTTTATATTGTACTTATCCTCACTTTCTTAACACTTAAGATACATGGATCCTTTCTGGTAATCCCAATCAGAGAAGCCAGGTAGACTTTCTTAGACCATTTATATTTTATTCCCAAATACTTCATTATTCTAACTCAAGCCTCATGTTTCAGAGATGCAGATATAACTTGTCACTTAAATGTTGAAAGAAAAAAAAGGTGAACTTTTTAATTGAAAAAAGTTTATTGAAGTTTATTGTAGTTTATTGAAGACTACTATGTGCCAGCCACCATGTTAACTGCTTTTTATGTTTGTAGTGTTTACAGATGTTTAAATATGTTGAAAGAACTTCTTCCATATGCTTTTTAATCCCCTTTGCAAGCTACGAAGTAGGTGTTGGATTACCCCATTTTATAAGTGTGGAAGGAAGCACAGGTTCAGAAAGGTTAAATAATCTACCTGCAGTCACAGAGCAAGTGCTTTGCTTTTCATTAGTATCAACGACTGTGGTTGAGACTTTCACTGACACAAATACCTGATTCCATGATGTAGAGCTAGCCACCCAGTGTGAATTACTGGCTTTAACCATGTCCTTGAAGAATGAAGATAATGGGAAATATTCTGCCACAGTATAGGGACATTGCAGAGTTTATATAAAGATATCAAACAAGTTTTTTATTTTTAAATAACATTCAGGAAGAATGCGCTTTTTTTTTTTTGTCAGAAGAAATGATTTGGTTGTGAGTTCTGGTGCTTTAAAAAGTAAAGTGATTATATGCTGAATATAGCCAAGGAAAGCAATTAGCATTCTAATTTCTTTAGGATCTTTTGTCTCATAATTAAATGAATAAACACCATCTTTACAGGCTCCTCGAGATGTTGGCACTAGAACTACAAGCACTGCAGTGAGCTTATTGGAGTACTGCAACATGTGGTTTCAAAGAAATTCACTAGAAACCTGCCTCCCATTGCTTCCTCTACCTTTCACTTAATCGATATAAATGTTCCAGGGCACACAGAAGTTAGTATTTTCAGTGTTTTCTTATTTGGGCCAGTATCTGCTCCCTTGAGAATTACATGTAATGAAAAAGATGTTACTACAAGATAATTTTTGTTGAATCTGTATGCTCCTTAGATGGTCTTGTTTATAAGCCTGAGACTGTCATATCCATTTAGTTGTGGCTTCATTGTGGATGAGTGGGTTAGAAGCAGTAAGTAGGGTTGGCATCTATGAGTCATACCAATTACACAGATTTTTAAATCCATCTTACATATAGAGCATAAACATTCACCTAGGTGCTATGGAAGTGTAGATGATTGAAGCAGCATCATGGCCTGTGGACTAGGCATTACCTAAAATAATTGTTGAACTTATTTCTTAAAGTCTGTCTGCCTGTTGTTTCCTCAGCCTGTTAATGAAAACTATAGGTTGTTTCTTTGGGCACCATTATAAAAATATGTTGATAAAATTAATTCCATGCAAAGGTACTGAAAATAAGAAAGAATATTTACGATTTTCTCTGTTCTTCTGATGGGGTTGATGGAGGCAAAAGAAACCTTTTATGATATTAATATTTGCAACCCCATGTCAAGTTAATCCTTGACAAATCAAGGATTTGTCATTATTCAAACCTGTAGTGTAGCCTTAGGCCTTGCATGCAATGATGAATTGTTTGGATGAGTTATAACATGCTGCTTTTGACTGATCTTGACTTTAAATTGTAATAACAGAAAGCTGTGGGTATTTTCCTTTTGTTCTTAATGTTTAGAGCAAGCTTGTCTAACCTGTGGCCCACGGGCCACATGTGGCCCAGTTCAGCTTTGAATGTAGCCCAACACAAATTTGTAAACTTTCTTAAAACATTATAAGAGTTTTTTTTTTTTTTTTTTTGCGTTTTCTTATTTTGCTCATGGGCTATCATTAGCGTTAGTGTATTTTATGTGTGGCCCAAGACAGTCTTCTTCCAATGTGGCCCAGGCGAGCCAAAGATTGGACACCCCTGGTTTAGAGGTTTAATTTTGTTCTTTAATTTGTAAATGTAATGTTTTATTTACCTAAAACACTGCTTGAAATATTTGAAGTATTTTGCTGGAATTAATAGCAAAGATGACTTGTAAAAACAAATTTCTGCAGCAAAAGAATATAGTGAAATATAGTGATTTAATTTTTATTTATAGACCCCTAAAGGGCTTTTTAATGTATATTTTAAGTTTTTAAGTTTGCACAGAAACAAATATGTCTATATGATTTGTATTTAGTTAGGTGCTGATTCAAGTCACTGACATATATATCATATATAGATGCATATCTGTTTATATTTGTATAATTATGTCTTGATATAAATATATATTGATTTAAATGTAGTTAAAGTGATAAGCACAATATTAGGTCATTGATAGTACAATGTTTCAAATTTTTTAAAGGTGAACTTTATTTTTCAGTATGGTTTTAGATTTACAAAAAAGTTGTGAAGATAGTACAGAGTGTTTCCATGTACCCATACTTAGTTTCCCTTATTAGTAACATCTTATGTTAGAGTGATACATTTGTCATAATTCACGGAACAATATTAGGACATTATTACTAATTCCAGCCTTTAGTTTTCCCCAATGTCCTTTTTCTTTTGTTTTCTCCCCTCCCCTCCCCTCCCCTGTCTTTTCTTTTCTTTTCTCGTCTCGTCTCGTCTCATTTCATTTGAGACAGGGTCCCACTCTTGTCACTCAGGTTGGAATGCAGTGGCGTGATCTCAGCTCACTGCAACCTCCACCTCCCAGGTTCAAGCGATCTTCCTACCTCAGCCTCCCAAGTAGCTGGGACTATAGGTGCGCACCACCATACCTGGCTAATTTTTTGTATTTTTGGTAGAGACAGGGTTTTGCTGTGTTGCCCAGGCTGGTCTCGAACTCCTGAGCTCAGGTGATCCACCCACTTCGGCCTCCCAAAGTGCTGGAATTACAGGTGTGAACAACCACGCCTGGCCTCAATATCCTTTTTCTACCCCAGGACCTCTTGGGATCCCACATGACATTTAGACATTAATCTCCTTAGGCTCCATGGTTCAAATTTTAAGTGAGTTTTGCAGTGCCTTTTCAGTCATACCGTATTATAAAGCCTTCGGTCTCTTATTATGAAAGCACGTAAGACATCAGGTAAGTAAGTTTGTGCTATGCAAGAGGCATTGTTAATGAAAACCTATGGTGTTATCTCCATAGAGATGAATGCATATGATTTTCAAAACAGGAGAATTTAATGTCACCATTTTTAATATTATTTGGCAAGCACTGGAAAAAACCTAGTGTGGGAAAGTAGTGTAACACTAATGAACTGTATTATAATGAGTAAGCTTGGGTATGAGCAGTTATTGAAAATAATATTGAGAATACATAAATTTATGGCACAATAACTGCATGTATTGATTCTTCTTTACAGAATGTGACAGTGATGATAACATGGGTGCCAAAAATACTTCAATAGGAGAAGAATTTATATCCACAGAAGGTAACCTAATAGAGTTAATCTCTTTTCTACTTGACTGTATCTGTATTTTTTTTTTAAATTTCTCTGTCTCTCACCCATTCACCCCTCTTATTCCCTTCTACCCCCAAGTTAAAACATTTTCTCAGTTTGGATAGCTTTGCATTTTTCATGTAAGATGACTTAGGGGTAATACTAATTTAGAAAGCTAGAATGGGTCAGCCAATTATGGCCCTTGGGTCAAATCCAGTCCACTATCTTTAGGAACACAGCCATACATTTAAGTATTGTCTATGCTATTGCTTTTGTACCACAACTGCAAGGTTGAATAGGTATGGCACAGACAGTAGAGCCCCTCCACCCCCGCCCCCCTCAAATAATTATTTTCTAACCCTTTAAAAAGTTTGCTAACCCCTGGGCTAGGAGATGATTTTGATTTCCTAATTGTTACTTATCTTGAGTAGTATTAAGAGTATTAAAAGACAGGCAGTAGAACTCTAAAAGCAAGCACTTATATCTAAATATAAATGGGCTTTTAAAAATAAATTTTAAAAGGGTTTTTTTTGTTTGTTTTTTGTTTTTTTGAGACGGAGTCTTACTCTGTCACCCAGACTGGAATGCAGTGGTACAATCTCAGCTCACTGCAACCTCTGCCTCCTGGGTTCAAGTGATTCTTGTGCCCCAGCCTCCACAGTAGCTGGTATTACAGGCGTGTGCCACTAACACGCCCAGCTAAAAATTAAAATTCTCTTTTACTCTTCTTAAAGGAAAAGCTATTTCCTTCCATAGGTTAAAGAGAACTTTTTATGTCACTTGGCATCAAATCATTTGCTGGCTGTACCATTATTTGGTTGTGTCTTGTAACCATTCTTTACTTTGGTTTTTCTATAACAGACTGCACTTTTTAATAACCTGGGGGAAATGAGATAATGAATCTTAGAAAATACTTTGAGCTTCACTGGAGAAGTTGAAAGTGTTATATCGGCATCTTTGACATTAAAGAAAAACAGTAGGAGTCTTCATGTACATTCCAGTATAATGTTTATTGTTGGAGATTATAGGGTAGGAATGTGGAGGCTGGAAAGTAGGGATGGAAATGTGACTAAACACACACAAACAGAATGGCCCAACTGGTATGTTTTCTTTGCATTTCCTTGATCTCAGATAATACAACTAGTTTGACTAAGAGCATACTAGAACTTTATGCTATTAGGAGTTTGGGAAATGGAGTCTGGCAGTGGAATCGATTCATCCATTAGATTAAGTAGATAGCTGTAATCTTTCTGCCTTATAGCCAAATTTCATTGGTTAAACAAAACTGGCCATAAATCTATACCTAATTGGAAGGAAGCAAGTGTTTTGACCAACTTGTTTTCCCAGCATGGTCTTTCA